>NC_000010.11:28135000-28760000 GCF_000001405.40 Homo sapiens | reverse complement strand
CTCGAAGCTATACTCTATTTTTCTCCCTTTCTTTTTTTTTTTTGAGATGGAGTCTGGCTCTGGCACCGAGGCTGGAGTGCAGTGGCATGATCTCGGCTCACTGCAACCTCTGCCTCCTGGGTTCAAGTGATTCCCTTGCCTCAGCTTCCCAGGTAGCTGGGATTACAGGCGCCCACCACCATGTCCGGCTAATTTTTGTAATTTTGGTAGAGACGAGGTTTCACCATATTGCCCAGGCTGGTCATGAACTCCTGACCTCAGGTGATCCACCCGCCTCGGCCTCTCAAAGTGCTGGGATTACAGACATGAGAAATTGATTATTTGAGTATCCTGCTCTGCCATTTTCCATGAAGTAATTTGTATATATGCTTTGTTGTCTTGCTTTTTTTTAATGTATTAATTTTTATTTATTTATTTATTCTGAGACGGAGTTTTGCTCTTGTCGTCTGGGCTGGAGTGCAATGGCGCGATCTCAGCTCACTGCAACCTCCACCTCCCAGGTTCCGGTGATTCTCCTGCCTCAGCCTCCCGACTAGCTGGGATTACAGGGGCCCACTACCACGCCCAACTAATTTTTGTATTTTTAGTAGAAATGGGGTTTCGCCATGTTGGCCAGACTGATCTCAAACTCCTGACCTCAGGTGATCCAACTGCCTCAGCCTCCCAAAGTACTGGATTACAGGCATGAGCCACAGCGCCCAGCTGCTGTTGCCTTGCTTTAAAAAAAACCTAAGCATTGTAAAATTTATTCATTATTGTATATAGCCAGAATTGAATTTATGGGTTTGTTTTGTTTTTTTGTTGAGACAGGGTCTCACTTTATCACTCAGGCTGGAACACAGTGGTGCGATCTCAACTCACTGCAGCCTCAACCTCCCAAGCACAAGTGATCCTCCCACCTCAGCCCCCCAAGTAGCTGAGACTCCAGGCACACACCACCATTCCCAGGTAATTTTTTGTATTTTCATAGAGACAAGGTTTTGCCATGTTGTCCAGGATGGATTCAAACTCCTGAACTCAAGTGATCCTCCCACCTCAGCCTCCCAAAGTGCTGGGATTACAGGCATGACCCACAGCAACCAGCCGATTATGCCAATTTATACTACAACAAATGATGAATGAGAATTTGAGTTCCTTCATATCCTTGTCAGAATTTGGCATTGCCAGGCTTTTTAATGTTAGCCATTCTAGTGGATGTGGCTATTAGCAATTCTTGGATAAGTAATAGAAGAGCACCTTTATGTAAGTATGTTAACTACTTGGATATCTTCTTTTATGAAGTGCCTGTTCAAGTCCCTTACCATTTTTCTTCTACTGGATTGTTTGGTTTTTTTCTTAGTGATAAATACGAGCCCTTTATATTTTCCAGAATGAGTCATTTGCTTTTTGTGCCCTTTCTAATATACTTTGATAAATAGGAGTTCTTGATTTTCATGTTCAATGTATCGGTATTTTCCATTATACCCAGTACTGCTTGAGGGCTGGAGTATTGCAGAAATAAGATTGGCCATGAATTAATAATTGTAGAAATTAAGTGATAAATACATGAGGGCACATTACATGATTAAAGGCTTTGGTACATATTTGAGATTTTCTATAATAAAAAGTTTTATTATTATTATTTTTAATCCAAGGGATAACTTAAGACAGGACCAATGGGATAAGCAGGAACAGAATAACAGAAGTAGAGACAGAAGGAGGAAGGAGAAGGTGATAAGAAATGAAACATATGAATTTGGAGATTTAGAAATGGAGTCTATGACTTGAACACACATCAGGAGTTTTTCACTTGGCAATCTTACTATACGATCCAAAGGAACTATAGCAAGAGTTAAATACATAGAAAAAGGATTAGGTCAAAACTGATACACTGGGAAAGCAAAGAGGTCTGAGTGTGCATACAACTCAAAACTTCCGAGAGAGAGTAGGGTTAGAAGTGGCTGGTGGCCGGGCGCGGTGGCTCATGCCTGTAATCCCAGCACTTCTGGAGGCTGAGATGGGTGGATCTCTGAGGTCAGGGGTTCGAGACTAGCCTGCCAAACATGGCGAAACCCTGTCTCTCCTAAAAATACAAAAAATTAGCCTGGCATGGTGGCGCATGACTGTAAACCCAGCTACTCAGGAGGCTGAGGCAGAAGAATCGCTTGAATCTAGGAGTTGGAAGTTGCAGTGAGCCAAGATCATGCCACTGCACTCCAGCCTGGGCAACACAGCAAGACTCTGTCTCAAAAAAAAAAAAAGTGGCTAGTGACCTACTTACTAGTCATGTGGGACAAAGACAATTAAATGATACATTTTGAGTTAACCTGAATTACTGTCAATTCTCTTTTATATGCAAAGGCTAGGAAATGAGATGTCCTAGTTAAGCCAATTTCATATGCGTAAATACCATATATTTAGTCACTTATTAAAGTAGTAAACAGAACTCTCCTGGAGCCACTTCATCCTATTGTAGAGCATTTGGCTTTCCTGAGCATGAATCTGTAGAATATTTTTGGAAGAGAAAGTTTTTGAGTCCCTACCATTCACATCATTTCATGTTATTATTCCAAATGCATGACTTTCATTTACAAGGAAAATAAGGATCTTCCAAAGATATGAACTATTCTGGGTCATTCATGGTTTTCAGCCAGGAAAGCATCTACAGAAACAAAAAAGCAGGACACTGTTATCAGACGTGGGGTTAAATAATCATAATGAAAGACCACTCCTTAATCACTCCATAGCACATGAGCCCCTTTAGACAGCTGAATTTACTTACATTTGTCAAAAACATGGCTGATTTTGGAACCAAGTTGCAGGTTATTATAGTACAAAATTCCAGTTGACATTTAGCAAGCTTAACCCAAATAAAGATGACAGTTCAGGCTATAGTAGGGCTATTAAATTTGTCATTATAACTTCTAGCCAAGTATTTGTCAACTACGTATTCATTTGAACAAAACCATATGCATTTATAAGATGTCAGCCTCCTAAGTGTAGACATACATAGGCTAAAAATCATCCCAAGAACAGCTCAATAATTCTCCTGCTGCAAAATTTAAGGACAGAGCCAACTCAGGGACACAGGAGGGTTTTCTGCAGCCTCTGGGGCAGAACTTCCAAGTTGCCTAGGAACAAGTCATTTGCTTCTATCTATTGTCTCAAGAATGCTGAGGTGCAGGCAGAACGGAAGAAGGTGGTAGCAGAATCAGATGGTTTGCAAATATGAATCATAAGGCACTCACTCATTTCTGCCCTTGTCTGCTATCTTCCTTTCCACCCCTAAGTGTTTATTTTAACCTAGTTTGATCTGTGTCAGTGCACATGGAGGCAAGGATGAATAAAAAATACTGAGGATGGGCCAGGCACAGTGGCTCATGCCTGTAATCCCAGCACTTTGGGAGGCCGAGGTGGGAGGATCACGAGGTCAGGGGTTCGAGACCAGCCTGGCCAATATGGTGAAACCCCAACTCTACTAAAAATACAAAAATTAACTGGGCGTGGTGGTGGGCACCTGTAATCCCAGCTACTCAGGAGGCTGAGCCAGGAGAATCGCTTGAAACCGGAAAGCAGAGGTAACAGTGAGCTGAGATCATGCCACTGCATTCCAGCCTGGGTGAAAGAGCAAAACTCCTTCTCGTTGTTGAACTCTTGTTTCTCTGGGTCCATTTTTCTCATGTGGTTCAACAGAGGGACTTTTTATTAAGAACCAGGCGCCCCCCAACCAAAGAACCTAAAAGAGGGATATAGGAATCTGCGATGATTCTCACATTATGCCAGTTCATGCTTCACTTAGTCTTCTGGTTCACTGTAATTCTCTGCCAGGTTTCAAGGTGCTCTCCTTGGCTAAAGCCAGACCTCAGCTGCACTCCAGCCCTGTGACAAACCAAAAAGTCCCTCATCGTGCTGGACAAAGTCTACTTCAACGTATGGCCCATGACAGACAATAGCCCTCCATTTCAGGAAATACTTTCTAGTAGACTACAAGTATTACCAACAGACTTGGGGGAAACCCACAGGCCAGATTCCCATCAATAATATTTCTAACATTATTGGAAATGTAGGAATTTCTAACATTATTAGAAATGGGAATAATATTTATTATAATAATATAGATATAATAATATAGTAATAAAATATTTTATAAATTTATAAAATATAAAATGTATAAATTTATAAAATATATAATATAATTTATAAAATTTATAAAATAATTTGTATCGAATTTTATCATTTATAAATATAAATTTGTATTTATAATTTATTATTAAAAATAATTTATGAATTTATAAAATGATATTATATAATAATATTGATGGGGATAATATTCCATCAGTAATATCAGTAATATTTCCAAGAAAAGAGGTTTCCTGAAGTTATTACTTGTACCAGATACCTTGGCTAGGTCAAGATGCCCCTTGGGCACCACTCCACACCTGCTCAGCCTCACCTGTTTCTCTTTGCATCTATTGCTGTTGGGACTAGTACTGTGTAGGATCTGATCAACAGGTGCAACCTAACAGCACCCAGACCAGGGCCCCCACTGCCAGCCCTGGTAGGGTAGTTGACACATGGGAACCAGCTTGGTGTTCCCAGATGATGATAACTACTAAATTATCATCTTTCTAATAATCTCCATAGGGTTTTAATATTTTAATCATTAATACTCTATAGGACAAACCTTTGATCATTGGAAAAATGGATCCAGTGGATAAAGGCATCCCCTCTGTTCTTTCTCTGGGCTTATGACTTCAAGACATCTCAGGCAGCCCCACGAGATTGGACACAGGAGCTGTGACCAGCTCAACGAAACAGCTCTGTAATCGACTCTCTTTCCTTCCTTGCTTCACTCCCATCCTTCACTCCTGCTCCTAGGTCATATGCTAAAATAAAGCATGTGAAGTATGACCTCAAGCTTTAACTATGTGGCTGTATCAGCTTTCCAGAGAACCCAGGCTAAGATACTAGTCTATCAGCAGTCCCAGTGTGATGATGAGTAAATCATTGATTTCCCAACCTTTGAACATTTTATATGATAGAAATATAAACTCTACTAAGCCTTCTCAAACTCCAATTCCATCACATCATCTGCCTGAACAACAAACTACAACTTCTTCTGCCATCATTCCAACTCCTCAGCTGTTCCCTTTCCATTTCTACTTTATTAACGTTTATTGGAAAGTCCCCTTGGGGTTACATTCAAGGCTGTCCATCTTCTCCCTCCTTCCCTGCCCTTCACCAGCTATATCCCCTCCCCCAGACCCAAGCTTCCCTGTTGCTGTCACTCTACGTGTAAGGTGCTCATTCTGCCGCCAGGACTTCCATTCATTAACTGTACCTAGTTAGGTTGCCTCCCATCACACCATTACTCCACCTCCCTTCAACAGCAAGATGTTGTTGAACATGGTATACAGCTGGCACTGTCAAATCCCCTTTACAAGCCAGATGCAGTGCTGTGCTCCTGTAGTCTCAGCTACTCAGGAGGCTGAGGCAGGAGGATTGCTTGAGCCCCAGAGTTCAAGGCCAGCCTGAGCAACATAACAAGACCTCATCTCTTAAAAAAAATTCCCCTTTACAGAAAAAGAGAGAAAAACTGTACAACTGTTATTTTGCTGTAATAAGTCTGCTATTTTAAAAGGATGTCCCAGCCTAGGAAACATGGAAAAACCCCATCTCTACAAAAAAATTAAAAATCAGCTGGGCATGGTGGCATGTGCCTATAGTCCCACTACTCAAGAGGCTAAGTAAGGCCTGAGGGTTGCATGAGCCCAGAAGGTATGCAGGTTCACAGGAGCTGCAGTGAACCATGATCACACCACTGTGCTCCAGCCTGGATGACAGAGTGAGACCCTGTCTCAAAAAAAAAAAAAAAAACAAAACACAGGATGTCATTTGGAACTTATTTTCAAAAAATACATGTTTGTAATGGTTTTTATCATCATAGTAGAATATTAGAATATTACCTACACATCATTTGGCAATTGAGGAAGTTGCTTTTTCCTTTTCTGTGGATATTTTGTCTCCACCCACAACTGAACTAGGACTTTATTTCTCTTGCTCTTTTCTGCTCACAGCCTCAGATCATCAACCGAGTCTGCGCATCTAGAGTGGTGCATCACACACGAAGGTACTTGCTCAGTGTGTTGGGAAGTGTGCAGGGAACCTAGCCACAGCTAAGGCCAGACAGGCATAGGAAAAACTGGCCTGGTCACTCTTCCAGCCACTGTTCTAGGATTCCATGTTCATCTCTCAACACTTATGGGGATAAATAGTTGCTAATAAGATGAAATCATAACTCTGACTTTTAAGCCATAGGAAACATTTTCCAGACATGCATATGCACACATATATATTTATGTATGTATGCATGTGTATATATATATATATATATATATATATATATATATATATATATTTTCCCACCACTTTCCTGGAGGCAAAGGCGGTGCCTGTGGATTAAACTCAGCTTTGTAGCCATTTAACAATTGCCTTAAGTGGGAGTTTTATAAAAGCATCTAATTGAGGCCAGGTGCAGTGGCTCCTGCCTGTAATCCCAGTGCTTTGAGGGGCCAAGGCAGGAGGATTGCTTGAAGCCAGGAGTTTAAGACCACCCTGAACAACATAGCAAGACCCATCTCTTAAAAAAAAAAAAAAAAAAAAAAAAGCTAAAAATTTTAAAAATCAAAATTTAAAAAATCTAATGATATTTACTAATTCTTCCCACTCCCTACTTGCCTGTCTCCTGTCATGTAAAGGCTGTCTCCTCTCTTTCAATTGTTTAGCCTCCAAAGCTGGAATCCTCCCCAATTTCTCTTTCTCTCACATATCATGCCCATCCCATTAGCAAGTCCTGTGAGTTGTAAATTCAAAGAGACCTAAATATGACACTCCTCACCACCCTGGTCCAAACCACCATCATCCTTCCCCTGAACTGTATTTGAATCACTTTCTAAATATTCTCACTGCCTCTACCTTCACCTCCCTTTTAGCCCATTCTCAACATAGCAGCTTTACAATCTTATTAAAATAAAAGGCAGGCCAGGTGCAGTGAATCATGCCAGTAATCCCAGCACTTTGGAAGACCAGGGCAGGAGAATTGCTTCAGTCCAAGAGTTCGAGACCAGCCTGGGCAACAAAGCAAGAACTCATCTCTACAAAAATAAAATAAAAATAAAAAATTAGCCAAGCATGGTGGCAGCACCTGTAGTCTCAGCTACTTGGGAGGCTGAAACTGGCGGATTGCTTGAGCCCAGGAGTTTGAGGCTGCAGTAAGCTATGATCACACCACTGCACTCCAGCCTGGGCAACAGAGCAAGACCCTGTCTTTAAAAAACAAAACACATTCACTGGGCAAGATGGCCGAATGGGAACAGCTCTGGTCTGCATCTCCCAGTTAGACCAACATAGAAGGTGGATGATTTCTGCATTTCCAACTGAGCCTCCTCTGGTGATACCCAGGCAAACAGCGTCTGCAGTGGACCTCCAGCAAACTCCAGCAGACCTGCAGAAGAGGGGCCTGGTTTTCCTTCCTAGTTAGAAGGAAAACTAAAAAACAGAAAGCAATAACATCAACATCAACAAAAGACACCCATGCAAAAATGTCATCCAAAGGTCATCAGCATCAAAGATCAAAGGTAGATAAATCCACGAAGATGAGGAAAAACCAGCACAAAAATGCTGAAAATCCCAAAAACCAGAATGCCTCTTCTCCTCCAGAAGATCACAACACCTCGCCAGCAAGGGAACAAAACTGGGGGAGAATGAGTTTGACGAATTGACAGAAGTAGGCTTCAGAAGGTGGGTAATAACAAACTACTCCGAGCTAAAGGAGCATGTTCTAATGCAATGCAAGGAGGCTAAGAACCTTGATAAAAGCTTACAGGAACTGCTAACTAGAATAACCAGTTTAGAGAAAAACATAAATTACCTAATTGAGAACATAAATGACCTGATGGAGCTGAGGAAACACAGCTCGAGAACTTCATGAAGTATACACAAGTATCAATAGCCAAATCGATCAAGTGGAAGAAAGGATATCAGAGATTGAAAATCAACTTAATGAAATAAAGCGTGAAGGCAAGATTAGAGAAAAAGAATAAAAAGGAATGAACAAAGCCTCCAAGAAATATGGGACTATGTGAAAAGACCAAATCTACAATTGATTGGTGTACCTGAAAGTGATGGGGAGAATGGAAACAAGTTGGAAAACACACTTCAGGATATTATCCAGTAGAAATTCCCCAAACTAGCAAGACAGGCCAACATTCAAATTCAGGAAATACAGAGAACACCTTTAAGATACTCCTTGAGAGGAGCAACTCCAAGACACATAATCTTCAGATTCACCAAGGTTGAAACAAAGGAAAAAATGTTAAGGGCAGCCAGAGAGAAAGGTCAGGTTACCCACAAAGGGAAGCCCATCAGACTAACAGTGGATCTCTCTGCAGAAAGCCTACAAGCCAGAAGAGAGTGGGGGCCAATATTCAACATTCCTAGAGAAAAGAATTTTCAACCCAGAATTTCATATCCAGCCAAACTAAGCTTCATAAGCAAAGAAGAAATAAAATCCTTTACAGACAAGCAAATGCTGAGGGATTTTGTCACCACCAGGCCTGCCTTACAGGAGCTCCTGAAGGAAGCACTAAATATAGAAAGGAAAAACCGGTACCAGCCACTGCAAAAACATACCAAAATATAAAGACCAATGACACTATGAAGAAACTGCATCAAATAATGTGCAAAATAACCAGCTAGCATCATGATGACAGGATCGAATTCACATGTCACAGTATTAACCTTAAATGTAAATGGACAGCTGGGTGCAGTGGTTCATGCCTGTAATCCCAGCACTTTGGTAGGCCGAGGCAGGCAGATTGCCTGAGGTCAGGAGTTCAACACCAGCATGACCAACATGGTGAAACCTCGTCTCTACTAAAAATACAAAAATTAGCCAGGTGTGGTGGCGGGCACCTGTAATCCCAGCTACTTGGGAGGCTGAGGCAGGAGAATCACTTGAACCCAGGAGGTGGAGGTTGCAGTGAGCCAAGACCGGGCCATTGCACTCCAGCCTGGGCAACAAGAGTGAAACTCCATCTCAAAAAAAAAAAGTAAACGGGCTAAATGCCCCAATTAAAAGACAGAGACTGGCAAATCAGAAAAAGAGTCAAGACCTATCTGTGTGCTGTATTCAGGAGACCCATTTCATGTGCAAAGACACATATAGGCTCAAAATAAAGGGATGGAGGAAGATTTACCAAGCAAATGGCAAGCAAAAAAAAGCAGGGGTTGCAATCCTAGTCTCTGATAAAACAGACTTTAAACCAACAAAGATCAAAAGAGACAAACAAGGGCATTACATAATGGTAAGGGGATCAATGCAACAAGAAGAGCTAACTATCCTAAATATATATGTGCCCAATACAGGAGCACGCAGATTCATAAAGCAAGTCCCTAGAGACCTACAAAGAGACTTAGACTCCCACACAATAATAGTAGGGGACTTTAACACCCCACTGTCAATATTACAGATCAACAAGACAGAAAATTAACAAGGATATCAGCTGAACTCAGCTCTGGATCAAGTGGACCTAACATACATCTACAGAACTCTCCACCCCAAATCAACAGAATATATATTCTTCTCAGCAACACAACACACTTTTTCTAAAATTGACTACATAATTGGAAATAAAACACTCCTCAGCAAATGTAAAAGAACAGAAATCATAACAAACAGTCTCTTAGACCACAGTGCAATCAAATTAGAACTCAGGACTAAGAAACTCACTCAAAACCACACAACTACATGGAAACTGAACAACCTGCTCCTGAATTGGGTAAATAACAAAATTAAGGCAGAAATAAATAAGTTATTTGAAACCAATGAGAACAAAGACACAATGTGCCAGAATCTCTGGGACACAGCTAAAGCAGTGTTTAGAGGGAAATTGATAGCACTAAAATGCCCACATGAGAAAGTGGGAAAGATCTAAAATTGACATCCTAACATCACAATTAAAAGAACTAGAGAAGTAAGAGCAAACAAACTCAAAAGCTAGCAGAAGACAAGAAATAACTAAGATCAGAGCAGAACTGAAGGAGATAGAGACATGAAAAACACTTCAAAAAATCAATGAATCCAGGAGCTGCTTTTTCAAAAAGATTAACAAAATAGATAGACTGCTAGCCAGACTAATAAAGAAGAAAAGAGAGAAGAATCAAATAGACAAAATAAAAAATGATAAAGGGGATATCATCACTGATCCCACCAAAATATAAGCTACCATCAGAGAATACTATAAACACCTCTATGCAAATAAGCTAGAAAATCTGGAAGAAATGGGTAAATTCCTGGACACATACACCCTACCAAGACTAAACCAGGAAGAAGTTGAATCCTCGAATGGATCAAAACAAGTTCTGAAATTGAGGCAGTAATTAATAGGCTATCAACCAAAAAAACAAAACAAAACAAAAAGCCCAGGACCAGACGGATTTATATCCAACTTCTACCAGAGGTACAAAGAGGAGGTGGTACCATTCCTTCTGAAACTATTCCAAACAATAGAAAAAGAGGGCCTCCTCCCTAACTCATTTTATGAGGCCAGCATCATCCTCATACCAAAACCTGGCAGAGACACAACAAAAAAAGAAAATTTCAGGCCAATATCCCTAATGAACATTGATGTGAAAATCCTCAATAAAATACTGGCAAACCAAATCAAGCAGCACATTAAAAAGCTTATCCACCATGATCAAGTCAGGTTCAACCATGGGATGCAAGGCAGGTTCAATATACACAAATCAATAAACATAATCCATCACATAAACAGAACCAATGGCAAAAACCACATGATTATCTCAATAGATGCAGAAAAGGCCTTCGATAAAATTCAACACCCCTTCATGCTAAAAAATCTCAATAAACTAGGCATTGATGGAACGTATCTCAAAATAATAGCTATTTATGACAAACCCACAGCCAATATCATATTGAATGGGCAAAAGCTGGAAGCATTCCCTTTGAAAATCAGCACAAGACAAGGATGCCCTCTCTCACCACTCCTATTCAACATAGTATTGGAAGTTCTGGCCAAGGCAATCAGGCAAGAGAAAGAATTAAAGGGTATTCAAATAGGAAGAGAGGAAGTCAAATTGTCTCTGTTTTCAGATGACATGATTGTGTATTTAGAAAACCCCATCGTCTCAGCCCAAAAACTCCTTAAGCTGATAAGCAACTTCAGCAAAGTCTCAGAATACAAAATAAATGTGCAAAAATCACAAGCACTTCTATAGACCAATAATAGACAGAGAGCCAAATCATGAGTGAACTCCCATTCACAGTTGCTACAAAGAGAATAAAATACCTAGGAATATAACTTACAAAGGATGTGAAGAACCTCTTTAATAAGAACTATAAACCACTGCTCAAGGAAATAAGAGAGGACACAAACAAATGGAAAAACATTCCATGCTCATAGATAGGAAGAATCAATATTGTGAAAATGGCCATACTGCCCAAAGTAATTTACAGATTCAATGCTTCCCATCAAGCTACCATTAACTTTCTTCACAGAATTAGAAAAAACTACTTTAAATTTCATATGGAACCAAAAAAAGAGCCCGTATAGCCAAGGCAATCCTAAGCAAAAAGAACCAAGCTAGAGGCATCACACTATCTGACTTCAAGCTATACTACAAGCCTACAGTAAACAAAACAGCATGGTACTGGTACAAAAACAGAGATATAGAACAATGGAACAGAACAGAGGCCTCAGAAATAAGGTGTGTGCATCTGCAACCATCTGATCTTTGACAAACCTGACAAAAACAAGCAATGGGCAAAGGATTCCCTTTTTAATAAATGGTGTTGGGAAAACTGGCTAGCCATATGCAGAAAACTGAAACTGTACCCCTTCCTTACACCTTATACAAAAATTAACTCAAGATGGATTAAAGACTTAAATGTAAGACCTGAAACCATAAAAACCCTAGAAGAAAACCTAGGCAATACCATTCAGGACATAGACGTGGGCAAAGATTTCATGACTAAAACACCAAAAACAATTGCAACAGAAGCCAAAATTGACAAATGGGATCTAATTAAACTAAAGAGCTTCTGCACAGCAAAATAAACTATCATCAGAGTGAATAGCATGGGAGAAAATTTTTGCAATCTATCCATCTGACAAAGGGCTAATATCCAGAATCTACAAGGAACTTAAACAAATTTACAACAGAAAAACAAACAACCCCATCAAAAAGTGGGCAAAGGATATGAACAGACACTTCACAAAAGAAGACATTTATGCAGCCAACAAACATATGAAAAAAAGCTCATCATCACTGGTCATTAGAGAAATGCAAATCAAAACCACAATGAGACACCATCTCATGCCGGTTAGAATGGCGATCATTAAAAAGTCAGGAAACAACAGATCCTGGAGAGGATGTGGAGAAATAGGAACGCTTTTACACTGTTGGTGGGAGTATAAATTAGTTCAACCATTGTGGAAGACAGTGTGGTGATTCCTCAAAGATCTAGAACCAGAAATACCATTTGACCTAGCAATCCCTTTACTGGGTATATACCTAAAGGATTATAAATCATTCTACTATAAAGACACATATGCCAGCACCAGGCTTGATGGTTCATGCCTGTAATCTCAGCACTTCGGGAGGCTGAGGCGGGTGGATCACGAGGTCAAGAGATCGAGACCATCCTGGCCAACATGGTGAAACCCCGTCTCTACTAAAAATACAAAAATTAGCTGGGCATGGTGGCACATGCCTGTAATCCCAGCTACTCAGGAGGCTGAGGCAGGAGAATCGCTTGAACCAGGGAGTTGGAGGTTGCACAGAGCCGAGATCGTGCCACTGCACTCCAGCCTGGGGGACAGAGGGAGACTCTGTCTCAAAAAAAAAAAAAAAAAGACACATATACAAGTATGTTTATTGCAGCACTATTCATTCACAATAGCAAAGACTTGGAACCAACCCAAATGCCCATCAATGATAGACTGAATAAAGAAAATGTGGCACATATACACCATGGAATACTATGCAGCCATAAAAAATATAATTTAATGTCCTTTGCAGAAACATGGATGAAGTTGGAAACCATCATTCTCAGCAAACTAACACAGGAACAGAAAACCAAACACCGCATGTTCTCACTCATAAGTGTGAGTTGACAATGAGAACACATGAACACAGGGAGGGTAACATCACACACTGGGGCCTGTCGAGGTGATGGGGGGTAAGGGGAGGGATAGCATTCGTAGAAATACCTAATGTACATGATGGGTTGATGGGTGCAGCAAACCACCGTGGCACATGTATACATATGTAACAAACCTGTGTGTTCTGCACATGTATCCCAGAACTTAAAGTATAATAATAAAAATATATATTTTATATATATATATAATATATATGTATAGTCAGCTAATGTCACTCCTCTGCTCAAAGCCTGCAAAACAATGGCCCTCAACTCATATAAAGTAAGAGCCAAAGTCCATAAGACATTCTATAAGCCTGTAAAGTTAGAAGGTGGTCCCAAGACAACTCTCACTTCTGACACCAATTGCAAGTTCTGGGGTCCCCAAGACCACCCTCAATTTTTGATAACTTGTTGAAAATATTCACAGAGCTCACTGACAGCTATTATACCCACGGTTATGGTTTCTTACAGGGAAAGAATACAGATTAAATTCACCAAGAGAAGAGACGCATGAGGCCAAGTGCAAGAGAGTTCCACACGTGGAGCTCCCAGGGGTCCTTTCCCAGTGGAGCAACAAATAGCACTGTCTTCTCCCAGCCACGATGCATGATGTTGCACACAGAGTATGGCCAACCAGGAAAGGTCATCTGAGCCTTGGTATCTAGAGCTTTTCTTCAGGCTCACTACATAGATATTGTCGACTGTCTTCATGGCTGATGTTTTGTTTTCCTCCAGAAATCAAAACTTTCTCCAGAAATCAAACTGATATGACATGACCTAAGGCCCCCATCATATTGTTTCACAATCCAGTGTACCCCAAGGCCCCAAGGTAAAAAAAAACACTTTTACCAGGCAGGACATTGCAAGGCCACAGAGATCACCTCCCAGGAGCAGAGAGCCAAGGCCAGACCTCTCTTTGGGTAAGATTAACCCTTTACTACACAAGGCCCTGTGAGGTCAGGCTCGCTGTGGCCTCATTGGCCAACATACCCCCATTTTCTCTTTTCAAAGTTATCACTTTGAAACCAATCCCAGAGGGTTGACAAGAATTGCATGCCATGGTTCTGGACAAAAATATAGTTACAATCAAGGATTCATCAGGCTGCACTCAGGCCCACTTCCTTGTTGCTAAAAGTCAGCTGGCACCAGATCCTGCCCATTTGCATCCTCATTGTTCCTATAGACAGGATATCTAACATTAGAATCATAATGCTTTTGGTTAAGGATTGCTTAAGATGTTTTTCAGACCCCGAATTCTAGCAGCCAGTTTGAAGACCCCCACAGAGGAACAGGGTCAGCCTGAGAACACAGCTTCTTCCTCTCCCTGTCTCGTGACTTCACCCTTCACTCTTCTACCAGTCAACAATCTCAACACTTCAGCCCACTCCAAAACCTTTAAAAACCCTAACTTCCAAACTCCTTGGGGAAACGGACTTGAGATTTCCTCCCGTCTCCTCGTTCAGTGACCCTAGGATTGAACCCCTTTCTCTGCTGCAACCTGGAGACATGCTGTGTGCATGGGGCAATGAACTTATCAGTGTTACAACTTCTCTCCAGCCACACCAGCCTCCTTGCTCTTCCAACACATTCAGGACACCCCAATTTAGGGCTTTCATACTTGCCATTCCCTCTGAGTGCCACCCCTATTCCACCTGTGAATACATGGGCTTCTCCAGATCTTCCAGGTCTCTGCTCAGGATTCCTCTGCTAGTGAGGTCCTTCCCCATCATCCTACTGAAAATAACGACCCCACTAGCACACACCAGCCTTCCCGAGCTGCTCTCAACTTCATGTTCTCCATGCCACTCAGCATTGCCAGTTAAGTGTTTGTTTGCCACCCATCTCATCCATACAGGGCAGGAAAAATAATTTTCTCCTCCACCCTTCCTGAGTTCTTAGCTGAGCTTCTCTGTAACAAAAGACAGATTAACAAGAGAAAAACAAACAGTAGTTTAATAGCATATATTCCTCTTGTATCCATGGGAGATAAATCAGAGAGATGAGTAATCTCTAGAATAGATCTCAAAGGTGTAATTTAAACTACAAAGAAAGAAAGTGTAGGGAAAGACCCAGTTAAGATGAGATGGCCAGAAAAATCATCATAAAACGAAGGTATATTCTCTTCAGTCTGAAGACTGAAGTCCGTGCTTTCTCTGACAAGAGACTTCTCTGATTTAGTCATCCTTCTCTTCCTAGTGCAGAAGAAGACACACTTACAAATGGAGATTTCCTTTGTAGATGTAAATTTCTCTTCCAGAAGACTAACTTTTCAGGGCTTCTCCTGTGTCTGCAGTTTCTCAAAATAATCAAATCAACATAATCCTTTAAGCCAAAGGGCATATTTTGGGATGGCATATGCTAATCTCCTACAGTCACAGTTTGGGATGGCATATCCTGAGCCCCCTCATGCAAGACACTGTAAACTCTGGCTGGCTAGGATCCTCCCTCAGCTGATTTATTCACCACTCTGAGCATCTAGAACAGTGCTCAGCGCAGAGTACATGCTCAATAAATATTCAGTGAATGAACGATTCTACATGCCTCTGAAGGACAAATGAGGAACTAGCTGCCGTATGGGGTGAGGAAACAGCTCCTCCAGGAGTTGCCCTTGTCTCTGTTGGACATTAATGAGATAAAATCCATTTTAAGTGCTAAAGAAAGAAGTACTGTAAGTTGATTTTATACTTACTTCCTGGTGGAGATTGCCTGTCTTTGGAGCCTGGAAGTCTCTGGTTCCCGGTGGATTTTGTTCTTTTCTTTTCTCCTTCATTTACCTGCTGGTGATTTTCCAGGGAATTATAAATGATGCCAGTGTTTGAGAGCCGGGAGAACTGGGCTGGAGGATCTGTCAGGTCCTGACCAGTTCTAAAAGTCCAGATCCAAGCGTACAAACAATTCCTCTTGTAGTTTTCCCACCTCTCACTGTCACTCTGCTTTCTTCCTCCCTTCCCGGTCCCTGCTGCCCTCTGACATCTCCCCTGAAGCAGTCCCTGGAGCCCTGTCTAAGGCATGGGAGAAAGGGGCCGGTCTCACACCTGCTTCTTTGTGTCAGATTTCCCTTCGAGGACTCTGGACTCCGAGGACCTCTAAGAGGGAGGCACAGCTGATAACCACTATGCACTGTGGAAGCCACCTTTGTGGTCCCACAGGAAAATTATGAGGTCACAGAGCTCTGAGGCCCCTTGCCATCCACTGTCCTCACTGCCTGCTAGGTCTCTCCCAGATCCTCAGGCAGCTGCTGACTGCCACCACAACAGACCCCTCACCTCCACTCTGATGGCAAAACTGCCCCCTGCCAATCCCTCTCCACCCCCCTTAAAACCTCACCTATCGCAGCAGCTGACATCAGCCAGTGTGAGGCAAAGATGAGCTGAGCAACAAAGTCATGGCTGGGCACCATGGCTCACACCTGTAATCCCAGCACTTTGGGAGGCTGAGGTGGTAGGATCACTTGAGACCAGGAGTTTGAGACCAGCCTGGACTTGTGAGACCCCCATCTCTATTTTAATTATTTTAAAAAGAAAAAAAAAAGTCAGAAGGCCTGCATCACAGCCAAGTGCCAAACCTCCCCAGAAGGCTTATGCTCTTACCCTCCACAGGTTATTTGAGGTATAATTAACAAATAAGCACGCATGCAGTGGCTCACATCTGTAATCCCAATATTTCGGGGAACCAAGGTGGGAGGATCACTGGAGGTCAAGAGTTTGAGACCAGCCTGAGGAATATAGTGAGACCTCATCTCTACATAAAATACAAAAATTAGCTGGCTCTGGCAATGCACACCTTAGCCATTTAGGAGCCTGGGGAGAAGGATCACTTGAGCCCAGGGACTCAAGGCTGCAGTAAGCTATGATGGCACCACTGCACTTCAGCCTGGGCAACAGAATGGGATCCATGTCTCCAAAAAAACAACAAAAAAAGTATATACTTAAGATACACAACATAATGTTTTGATATATGTATGCATTGTGAAATGATTATCACAATTAAGCTAATTAGCATATCCGTCGCTTCACAGTTACCTTTGTGTAGTGTGGGGGGTGTGTGTGTGTGTGTGTGTGTGTGTGTGTGTGTGTGTGTGTGGTGAGACAACTTAAGATCTAACCTCTTAGCAAATTTCAAACCTAGAATACATTATTATTAATCCTATAGTCACCATGCTGTACCTTAGATCTCCAGAACTTATTCATCTTATAACAGAAAGTTTGTACCCCTTAACCAATAGCTCCTCATTTCCTCTCCCCTCCCGTTGGTCCAACCTCTGGTAACAACCCCCTACTTTCTGTTTCTACGAGTTTGACTTTTTTAGATTCCACATATAAGTGACATCAGCATTTGTCTCTCTGTGCCTGTCTTATTTTACTTCACAAAATGTCCTCCAGGTTCAATGTTGTCACAAATGACAAAATTTCTTTCTTTTAAAGATTAAATAATAGGCCAGGCATGGTGGTTCACGCCTGTAATTCCAGCACTTTGGGAGGCCAAAGCCAGCAGATCATTTGAAGTCAGGAGTTCGAGGCCAGCCTGGCCAACATGGTGAAACCCTGTCTCTACTAAAATTACAAAAATTAGCCAGGCGTGGTGTTGTGCGCCTGTAGTCTCAGCTACTTGGGAGGCGGAGGCAGGAGAATCACTTGAAGCCGGGAGGCAGAGGTTGCGGTGAGCTGAGATCATGCCACTGACTCCAGCTTGGGTGACAGAGTAAGACTCTGTCTCAAAAAATAATAATAGTAATAATAATAATTAATTAAGTAATACTTCATAATGTGTGTGTGTTTATGACATTTTCTTTATCCACTCATCCACTGATGGACACGTAGGTTGTTTTTATCATGGCTATTGTGAATAATGCTGCAATGAACTTGGAAGTGCAAATATCTCTTTGAGATAGTAATTTTCTTTCTTTTGGATATATACTGAGATTTGAGATTGCTGGATCATATGGGAGTTCTATTTTGAGTGTGTTGAGGAACCTCCCTGTACTAATTGACATTCCCATCAAGACTGTGCACGTTTCCCTTTTCCACACATTCTTGCCAATGCTGATCTTTTGTCTTTTTGATGATAGTCACCCTAACATGTGTGAGGTGATAGCTCACTCTGGTTTTGATTTGCATTTTCCTGATGGTTAGTGATATTAATTAAGTACATTTCATGTGCTCGTTGGCCATTTGTATGAATTCTTTGGAGAAATGTTTTTATCATTTTTTAACGGGGTTATTTGTTTTTTGGCTTCTGAATTATATGAGTTCCTTATATATTGTGGCTATTCACCTCCTATCAAATGGATAATTTGCAAATATTTTCTCCCATTCCATACGTTGCCTTTTCACGTCAATGATTATTTCCTTTGTTGTGTAGGAAGCTTCATACCCTTTAAAAGCCCAAAAGAATAACCTAGAACTCAAAAATTCTTCACCCTGGCCACACTTGGGCAGCTTTTTAAAAACTCTGATGCTTAGGCCTGTTCCAGACCAACAGAAGCACAAATCAGGGGCAGAGAGGAGGATGGGGCGGGTATGGGGGTCAGGCCTGGTGTTGTCTAAGCTCCCCAGAGGAGTCCAATTTACAGCCCAGGTGAGAACCCTGACCACTGCCACAAAGAAGCATCTATGACAGGCTCTCTGGGATTCCTGGGGATACAGCCACCTCCACCTATGAAGGATCAACGCTCTTGTTAATGACTCCATAAACCCCTTGCGCCCCCAAACTCTCCTCCACTCTACATCTTGGCACCTCTGCTCTGCCCAGTGGACTAAGGGGCAATATAAGGGTAAGGAGGCTCCAAGCAATATCATTTCAGATAATTTGAGAGGACTCTAAGCCAGAAGATGTTACTTGTTGTTTGTCCTTTACTAGCCACCCACAAACTCCTCCATACCCACCACCCTACACCTCACCTCTCTTGGCTTAGGAGAATCTGGGCCTGCAGTCTTGGTGGTAAAATGATGTTGAAAACCATCTGAGTGGTGACACTAATCAACCGCTCCGTGTGTCTGCTTGGGTATCAGCAGCATCTTCCCATGTGACACCAGGAAATGCCCATCACCTGAATGGCCCTGTGTTCATCAGTCCTGCTTCGGTGAACCAAAAATGAAAGCCCAGACAACTCTCAGAACTCTTAGAGACACCAAATTATTCAAAGCACCTTACAGGAGAAAGTGGCACCCAGAGCAGTGGCTCACACCTGTAATCCCAGCACTTTGGGAGGCCAAGGTGGGAGGGTCACCTGAGGTCAGGAATTCGAGACCAGCCTGTCCAACATGGTGAAACCTCATCTCTACTAAAAATACAAAAATTAGCCAGGCGTGGTGGCAGGCGCCTGTAGTCCCAGCTACTCAGGAGGCTGAGGCAGGAGAATGGCGTGAACCTGGGAGGTGGAGCTTGCAGTGAGCCGAACTCATGCCACTGCACTCCAGCCTGGACGACAGAGCGAGACTCTGTCAAAAAAAAAAAAAAGGAAAAAGAAAGAAGAAAGAAAGAAAAGAAAGAAAGAAGAGAGAAAGGAAGAAAAAGAAAGAAAGAAAGAAAAAAGAAAGAAAGAAGAAAGAGAGAGAGGAAGGAAGGAAGGAAGGAAGGAAGGAAGGAAGGAAGGAAGGAAGGAAGGAAGGAAGAAAGGAAGGAAGGTTGGTTTTGCAGCCCAACAGCTCTGGCCCCATCAACTGGGACTTTAACCAACAGCTCCTCATTTTCTCTGCAGATTGGGGCCACAGGTCTGACCCCTTGAGATTTTCCTGATCTCTTGATGAGACCCCTGCGTTACATGTGTGTAGAGAAGAAAATGAAAAAGCCAACCAAAATCTGCTCACTCTTTTCCTCTAGACTAGAGCAACCAGATGATGTATAATAGATACCATCTTTCTTGCCTAAAATATAACTCTAAACAGGTGTCTGTGTGTGTGTGTTTGTGTGAGACACAGAGAGAGAGAGAGAGTGTGTGTGTGTGTAGCCATCAGGCATAAACTTATTCAAGCTTGAGTATCTACATCTGTCACTTACCCACATCTGTACATATCCTCCTAGCAGTCAATTCCTGTGACTGATCCTTCTTGGCCATTGTGCAGTGATAAAAGAAAAACTGCAGTCGAATTAAATTTAAAGCAGTTTAATTGAGCAATGAATGATATGTGAATCAGGCAGCCCCCAGAATCACAGCAGATTCACAGAGACTCAAGCACAGCCACGTGGTGAAAGAAGATTTATAGACAAAAAAGAGAGAAATGACGTACAGAAATTGGAAGTGAGGTACAGAGTGGTTGGATTGGTTACAGGCTGGCATTTGACTTATTTGAACACAGTTTGAACACTCAGCAGTGTATGAATGGTTGAAGTATGGCCGCTGGGATTGGCCAAGACTTAGCTATTGTTACAGGTGCATACTGTGAAGTTAGGGTTTCAATTTTGTCTGCCTATTAAGCTAGGTTACAGTTCATCCACAAGGACTCAAATATAGAAGTATGGAGTCCTTCTCAGGCCATATTTAGTTTGCTTTAAAAGCAGGCTTTGACACAGTGACCATTCCCTTTTTGAACCATGCTCTCCCTTGGCCTCCATGATGTTGCTCTTCCCTGGCTCTCCTCTGAGCTCTCGGGCTGTTCCAACTCAGTCCTCTGCCTTCTCTGTCCATGTTGAGGCTCTTCCATGTTCTGCCTTTAACTCTTTTCTATCCACATCTCCCGGGGATTTCACCTATATATCCATAGATCTCTTATCACCTATGCTGTGACATTAAACCATCTCTCTCCTGCCCTTTCCTGAGTACAACATGCCCCCCAAACTCAACGTGCCACAAACTCATGATCTTCCTAGCCATCTAGATCTGCTGCCCCTCTTCTTGTGTCCTCAAGCTCAGTCAAGAACACAAGTGCCATCCATTCACTCTGGAGGAACCTGGGAATCATTCCAGCCTCCTTCATCTTCCCAAAATGCCCCATCCAATCAGGGACCTGATTCTGCCTCTTCTGCATCTCTCGTGTCCCTTTCCCCACTCTACCTCTGCAGTGAAACAGTCTGACTTTACACCTTTGTCCTCTCCCTCTTGAATCATTGCAATTGTCTCTCAACAAGTCTCCTCTAGTCTCAGCAACCACCATCCTTCTCCACATGTCACCAAAGCAACAATTCTAAGGAGCAAACCTTGACCTGCTCTTCCACGGCCTGGGATCCAAGTTTATGTCTGCATCGGGAAGCAATGAGTGGGTAGATATCTGTCATAAGATAGTAGATCTTACTGAATTTGAGTGGGAGGGAAAGTGGTGAATCAGTCCAACCATGAAAATGAAAATTATTCTAGATATTTCAAACAGAGGGCATTTAATACAGGGAAGTGGCTGCAAAAGTGTTGGAAGACCTGGGGGCTCAGAAGACAGTGAGGAAGTCCAAAAAGTTGGCCTGAAGGGGGCAGTGTTCCTGGAGTCCAGGATCTGGCAGAAGCTGGTGGAAGGTGGAACCACCGCAGGGACATCTTCTGGGATCAGGAACCTAGAAGAGACATGATTACTATTGGAGATGCCAGAAAGAGAGGACAAAATGTGCCTTGATCTCTTCCTACCACTTACCCTCCAATCTCATGCCAGTGCCTCCCATTGGCCAAACCCAGCCAGAAGGCAATTATGGAAATTCTGGAAAATGATTTTCCTACAATACAGACCAGAGCAAGGGAAGGGTAGAGAATGAATCTGATAGCAAACAGGCAAATGACTGGCATAAAATTGTAGAACATTTATACATCCACAGGGTTTTTTCAAAGATAGAAAGCTCAGTAGTCAGACCATCTGATTCCACATGTGATCGCTGGAAACCTTCAACTTCTTCGCCAGGCATGGCTTGCTCAAACTTAGCTTTTTAGAAACTCTTCAAATTAGTCAGCTCATGTATTTGTCCCCTAAATACAGAATGAATATTTCTTGGCTCAAATTGTTTCCTTCTGTCTAGAATAATGATCTTGCTCTTTCTACTTATTTAAATCAAACACATCTTTGGACTCTCAGTTTTTTCTTTTGCTTTTGTTTTTTGTTAGGGATGGCATCTTGCTCTGTCACCCATGCTGGAGTTCAGTGGCACAATCATAGCTCACTGCATCCTTGAATTCCTGGATTTAATTGATCCTCCTGCCTCAGCCTTCCTATTAGCTGGGACTACAGATGTGAGCCACCATGCTCGGCTAGAATGCTAGTTTAATTCCAAACTCTTTCACTAGCATTTCCTGACAACTACTATCGGGATAGGGTTGAAAAGTGTTATCAATTCTAGCGAACCATGGTATGGTTGAAAAGTTACAGGATACACAGCTAAAATCTATTCACTATAAGGTAAGGGGTGTCATGGATGAGTGGTGACTATCTAGACCAGTGGTGCCAGTGATGAAAGCATTTACCAAGACAGTTGTAGGTAAAGAAAGGCAGATTTATTAGAGGAAGTAGAAAAATACGTTGCAGGGGAGCAACAGGCAGGCCAGCAAAAAGGAGCTGACTGTCAGGAGACAAAGGCTTGCTGGGGATTTTAAACAATAGTGTTTGTGCTTGTGCTGAAGAGGGCTTTATGCAGTACTGATATTGCCAAGGTTGCAGCGAGCTAACTTGCATTTTTCTATCAGCTGAGGGTCTGGTGATAGCTGAGTGCAGGAAGATTGTAAGTTACTTGTGCAGGAGGGTTATGTGTCTTGGATCATGAAGAAGGGCAGATTTGTAGCTTATCTGCTTCTTTTTGCATTCCTTTGGTCCCACCAGCCCAACTCCTTTTCTCTAATTAGAACTCCACAAGGGGAACTTCTGGTGCTTCCTCCATGAAAAGGATGACCATCAAGACATTAATATAACATCTGGCCTCTCACCGTCTCTTATTCACTCTGTCTAAGAGGAGGTAGAAACACTTTTCTGAGAAGAATATACTGGGCATGAAACCATCATCACAGGGTTAACAAGAATTCCATGGCAGGTTCTGGACAGAAATAAGGTTACAATTAAGCATTCATCAGGCTGCACTTTGCCCACTTCCATGTAACTGAAAGTCACATAGCACCAGATACAGACCTTTTGCATCCCCACTGTTCCTGTAGATAGGATCTCTGATGATAGAATCATAAAGCTTTTGTTTAAGAATTACTTAAGATGCTTTTCAGACCCTGCATTCTAGTGAAACGGCTGACACAAACCAGTTTGAAGACCCCACAGAGGAACCGAGTCCGCATGAAAATAGCTTCTTCATCACCCCATCCTATGACTTCACCCTGCACTCTTCAACCCATGAAAAATCCCTACAGCTCAATCCACTCTAAACCCATTAAAATCCCTGGCCCCCCAGCCACGCCAGCATAGTGAGACCCCTATCTCTACAAAAAATAAAAAATTAGCCAGACATGGTGGTACACACCTGTAGTCCCAGCTACTCGGGAGACTGAGGTGGGAGGAAGGCAAGACCTACGGAGAGAGAGAGAGAGAGTCCTAACTTCCATTTTTATATATATAATATATATATTATACATATATGCAAATATAGGAATATAGAAATATATATAAATGCAAGTCCTATACTTGCATTTATGTATATTCCTAGCCCCAAACTCCTTGGGGAGGTGGATTTGAGGTTTCCTCCTGTCTCCTTGTTCAGCGGCCTTACGATTAAACCTCTTTCTCTGCTGCAACCCTCAGTGTTGGTATACTGACTTGCTGCACATCGGGCAATGTACTTCTTATGGTCATAGGCATTCTTGGATCAGCTACACCCTTTTCCCTCTTGGAAGTGAACTTAACTGCAAGCACCAAGAGTCCTCTGTTTCTCCATGCTGTAAGTTTTACCTGGTCCAGTGCCTACATGAGTGTGGGGTAAGTATGTTGAATTTTGGAATTACTTCACAGGTCCATTTGGTTCTTGCAGTGAGCTATGGCTTCCAATTTAACCTTGAACAAAAATAAAGGAGAACTGTGGCCCATCTGCTACTCTGGACCTGTCAGGTTTTTCAGAACTTGAGCAGGAAAAACAGGTGCCATTTATCAGCACTCCTCCTCCCACAAGAAACTCTAACATGTGATTTTCATCTCAGGTTCTTATGCATAGATTCCTTGATAGTCATGTTTTGGGTTTTGTTTGTTTGTCTGTTTGTTTTGTTTTGTTTTGTTTTAGAGACAGGGTCTCACTCTGTCACACAGGTTGGAGTGCAGTGGCACAATCATGGCTTCCTACAGCCTCAAACTCCTGGGCTCAAGCGATCCTCCTGCCTCAGGATCCTGAGTAGTTGGGACAACAGGTGCATGCCAGCATGCCTGGCTAATATTTTCTTTGTAAAAATTGTTTATAGAGACAGGGTCTCATCATGTTGCCCAGGCTGGTCTCGAACTCCTGGCTTCAAGCAATCCTCCCAGTTCAGCCTCCCAAAGCACTGGGATTAGAGGCATGAGTCACACTTGGCCAATATCCACTTTTTGTTTCACCCCTCTATCTCTGATCTGGTTCTTCCTGGACTTTTGCTATGACATGGCATTTCTCTATTCTGAAATGTCAGCAAAGTGGACCCTGATCTCCACCCCTGCTAAGTTTGCTGGATGGCTTCAGATTCTGCCTCCCTGCTCTTTGCCAGAGCAACCAATACTATTGGGACGACTCATCTCCAGCCCACAGCGATCTCTAATTCTTTTGAGCACTTGGTGAGGCATGATAGCATAGTTGCTAAGAACATGGGCTCTGTAGCCAGACTGCCTGCATTTGAACAGTTTCCCCATTTAACAGCTGTCTAGCCTTGGGCAAGATACTTAAACTCCCTATAATATGGCATTACATAATAATTGATGCTCTTAAACATGACATGAATCATCAAGCAAAGTTTAAAATCTGTCCAGCATGCTCTGTTTAAGAAAGTGAAAAATATGTAACACATTCTACGAATATTTTTGTCTACAAAAGTTTACAAAATGTTGGTGCTTAAAAGGCTAAGCTTTGATTATCTCAAAACATAATTTAGAAAGGATGCATCACTTCCTGACACAATTGCATAACTGAAGCATGAGTATTAAAACTTTTGGGAAGGTTGGCTGGGTGCGGTGGCTCACGCCTGTAATCCCAGCACTTTGGGAGGCCAAGGCAGGCAGATCTCCTGAGGTCAGGAGTTCAATACCAGCCTGGTCAACATGGTGAAACCCCGTCTCTATTAAAAATACAAAAATTAGCCAGGGGTGGTGATGCACACCTGTAGTCCCAGCTACTCAGGAGGCTAAGGCAGGAGAATCGCTTGAAACCGAGAGGCAGAGGTTGCACTGAGCCAAGATCAAACCACTCCAGCCTGGGCAACAAGAGTGAAACTCCGTCTCAAAACCAAAAAAAAAAAAAAAAATTTGGGACGGCATCCTGGTAGAGTGGAAGAGGTCCATATTTGAAAGCAGGCCTGAGTTTGAATCCCATTTCTGGCACTTGCTGTGTAAACACATGTAAGTTGTTTTATCTTCTTAAGCACCTGTATCTGTCTGTGAAAATGGGGATTGAAATTACTACCTTGCAAAATCATCATGAAGCTTAAATGAAATAATGTAGGTGCAAGAGGATACATGGGCAGCAGCTCTAGGGGTGAGGTGGGGTTCTTCAACAGCCACTACCCCAACCTACTGGGATTTGGACTATGAGTGCTGTGAGTGGAGTTGGACAGAATTCTTCTGCCCACTCACCTATTTGCCCCAGGAATTTACATAGGAACAGGAAGACTCTTGCAGAGAAAGAGATCTTTTCCCCTTGCTATTCAAAATCATTTAAATATATCTGATGGGCTTAACAGGACAATGAGGTCCCTGAGAGAGAATTCTCCCTGAGGGCAGAAGGAGAAGCACACAGGTAACTCCCTAGGTAAGGGCTGAGGAACAAGATGAGCATTGACCCTGGTTCATGACTTAAATCTGTCCTGATTTAGCCTGGTGACAGGCTCATGCCTTGAGAAGAGGCTTTGTGAATGATTCTAAAGAGCTAATGAAGCCATATGATATGCACAAAGGACATCCAAAGCAGTGCTACGAGGGAAATGTGTAGCCTTAAATGCATACAAGAAGAATTGAAATAAATAAAGCATCTAAATCAGGAAAAAGCAGGCAGAAGAAACAGTAAATAAAAGCAGAAATAAATTTGAAAGAAAGAATTATAAAACTAATAAGTATATAACAGAGCTAATCATAGGAAAAAGCAGGCAGAATAAACAGCAAATAAAAGCAGAAATAAATTTGAAAGAAAGAATTATAAAAATAGTAAGTATATCAAAGAGCTAATCATAGGAAAAAATACCCTTCTTTTCCATACCTGTTGGGTGTGAATGGATTACATACTCAAAAATTAACTTATGAGATGATAGATAGATAGATAGATAGATAGATAGATAGATAGATAATAGATATAAATGATAGATTAGATAGATAGATAGATAGATAGATAGATAGATAGATAGATAGATAGATAGATAGATGATAGATAGACAGACAGATAGATAGAATAGTTGTAGAGCTGGGGACCCACCCTGTCTTAGCTCCCTAGAAAGAAGTCTGTAGTAAGAAAGGTGGGTCCTGTCTTATTCCTGGGCACCATACTGCTGTCCCCTGGGCTCGCCAGCAGAAACTCATTTTGTCAGGAGAATGGCTCTCTTGGGTCCCCCACTTAATGGGACAGCACACCCAACTTCCCTCCACTTTTTTTTCCTCTCATGCCCACATCCAATCTATCAGCAAATCTTTTTTTCTCTACTTTAGTAATAGATCAGGCCAGGCTCAGTGGCTCATGCCTGTAATCCCAGCACTTTGGGAGGCCGAGGTGGGCGGATCACCTGAGGTCAAGAGTTCGAGACTAGCCTGGCCAACATGGCAAAACCCTGTCTCTAGTAAAAATGCAAAAAATTAGCCGGGTGTGATGATGGGTGCCTGTAATCCCAGCTACTTGGGGAGCTGAGGCAGGAGAATTGCTTGAACTCAGGAGGCGGAGGTTGCAGTGAGCCAAGATCAAGCCACTGCACTCCAGCCTGGGCGACAGAGCGAGACTCTGTCCCAAAAAAAAAAAAAAAAAAAAAGTATAGATCGGAATCCAACACTTCTCACACCTCCATCCCAGCCACGCTGATCTAAGCCTTCTCATCTCTCACCCGGATTATTAACAGCCTCCTAACCAATCTTTCCATCACCTCTTGCAGTTTTTCTCTCAACACAGCAGCCAGAGTGGTCTTTTTATAACAGGTCAGTCATGGCATTCCTCTATCCAAAATCCCCCAGAGGCTTCCCACCTCCTTCAGAGTAAATGACCAAGCCCTTTCGAGGCCTACAAGGCCTTTGATAATCTACCTCGCAACACACAAGCATCCCACACCAACTGCGTCCCCTACGCCTCTCCTAAGCACTTACTGAGCTCTGAAAACCGGCCCCCCTCACATGTTCCCACGTAAATGCCTGTGCCTTTGGGGTTTCTTCCGCCTGGAACTGTTTCACCCCAGACATCACACAACTCCCTCACATCCTTCAGCTCTTGGTGAGACACAGGTTATCAGCGAGGCCTTTCCTGACCACCTACTTAAAATAGCAACCTCACTCTCCTGGCTACACACACGCCCAGCCGGTCAACACTTTCTCTGCCTATTTCCCTCTGCAGGACTTATAGACTTACCAGTTACTGCATTTGCTCACTCATTTTTTAGCTCCTTCCATTAGAATATAATTTCCTAGAGGCAGAGATTAGATGTGTCTTGGTCACTGTGTCCCCAGTGCCTAGAACCATTTCTGGCACATTTGAGGTACTTAGTAAATTAAGAGAGTAAATGAATGAATGAATGTATCTGTGGTGCTGAAAGCAAGAATACCACTGAGGCTGAGCAAGGTTGCTCACGCCTGTAATTCCAGCACTTAAGGAGACCCAGGCAGGAGGATCATTTGAGCTCAGAAGTTCGAGATCAGCCTGGGCAACATGGCGAGATCCCTGTCTCAACAGAAAAATACAAAAATTAGTGGGCGTGGTGGTGTGTGCCTGTAACCCCAGCTACTTGGGAGGCAGAGGTGGGAGGATCGCTTCAACCCAGGTGGCAGAGGTTTCAGTGAGCTGAGATCCATGCCACTGCACTCCTACCTGGGTGACAGAGCAAGATTCTGTCACAAAATAAATAAATACAACAGAAAGGGAAAAACAAAACAGATCTTAAGCAAAGTCCTTACCCTTCAAAATGAGTCTTGTAACAATAGAAACAAGAAGACTGGGCGCAGTGGCTCACGCCTGTTATCCCAGCACTTTGGGAGGCCAAGGCTGGTAGATCCCTTGAGGCCAGGAGTTTGAGACCAGCCTGGCCAACATAGAGAAACCCCATCTCTACAAAAAATACAGAAATTGACCAGGCATGGTGGTGCAGGCCTATAATCCCAGCTACTCGGGAGGCTGACACACAAGAATTGCTTTAATCTGGGAGGCAGAGGTTGCAGTGAGCCGAGATTATGCCACTGCACTACAGCCTGGGTGACAGAGTGAAACTCTGTCTAGAAAGAAAAGGAAAAGAAAAGAAAAGACAGAGAGAGAAAGAGAGAGAGAGAGAAACAGAGAGAGAAAGAGAGGAAGAAAGAAGAAAGAAAAGAAAGAAAAAAAGAAAGAAAAGAAAGAAGAAAGAAAGGAGGGAGGGAAGGAAGGAAGAAAGAAAGAAAGAAAGAAAGAAAGAAAGAAAGAAAGAAAGAAAGAAAGAAAAAAGAAAGAAAGAAAGAAAAGAAAGAAAAGAAAAGAAAAGAAAGAAAAGAAAAGAAAAGAAAGAAAAGAAAAGAAAGCAAGCAAGCAAACAGGCCGGGCACGGTGGCTCATGCCTGTAATCCCAGCACTTTGGGAGGCCAAGATGAGGGATCACCTGAGGTCAGGAGTTCGAGACCAGCCTGTCCAACATGGCGAAAACCCATCTCTACTAAAAATACAAAAATTTGCTGGGTGGTGGCATGCGCCTGTAATCCCAACTACTCCGGAGGCTGAGGCAGGAGAATCACTTGAACTCAGGAGGCAGAGGTTACAATGAACTGAGATTGCGCTACTGCACTCCAGCCTGGGCAACAGAGCGAGATTCTGTCAAAAAAAAAAAAAGGAAGGAAGGAATGAGGAAAGGAAAGGGGAAAGGAAAAGGAAAGGAAAAAGGCACTGGACGGATTTTAATCGACTGTCAAGTCTACAAAGTCAAAATCAGTGTAAACATTTGGTTTCGTTTTCTGTCTCATTCCCCTGCATAACTGAACTCTGACAACAGGATAGGAAGCCAGAATCCCTCACTCCTGGCTCCTCTCATCTCTTCCAGCTCCAGCCCTGGGCATCACCTGAAGCCAAAACAGCCCCACTGGTAACCCCTAGCCAAGGTAGCGCTCACACCCCCAATTTAAACCCATTATTCTCTTTAGAAGAACCTGGAAGAAAATGTAGCATTCAAGAGGCCTCAAGCAAGCAGCTCTTTAGAAACAATTATCTCCTGCAAACTGTGGATGCCACTTTTTTTTTTCCTTTCTACTTTTTGGCACAAAACCCTTTAAAAATAGTGACTTACTGTTGCCTAACAGGATTAAATTCTTAACTGAGGCATTTTCGTCTAATCCATGCACTACCTTCTAATCCCCTGTGAGTCAGAATGTAAGGAAAAGTTTCTATTTTGACTCAAAAAACACATTCTTAGAAGTCCCCACACCCTTGCACTCCTCAGAGCCTCCTTGCTGAACAGGGCAACCCCAAAATGAATCTTCAACTGCGGCCTCAGGGAGAAAATTCTCAAAAGGACCTTAGCTCTAAATCCAGATCAACTCTTATTTACCACCCGATCTTGCCTTGAGCCACGACTTTTTTGCTCTTTTTTTTTTTTTTTTTTTTTGTCTCACTCTTGTTGCTTAGACTGGAGTGAAATGGCGCGGTCTTGGCTCACTGCAACCTCTGCCTCCCGGGTTCAAGCGATTCTCGTGCCTCAGCCTCCCAAGTAGCTGGGATTACAGGCTGTAATTGTGCCACCACATCCAGCTAATTTTTGTATTTTTAGTAGAGACGGGGTTTCACCATGTTGGCCAGGCTGGTCTTGAACTCCTGACCTCAGGTGATCTGCCTGCCTCAGCCTCCCAAAGTGCTGGGATTACAGGCGTGAGCCCCCATGCCTGGCCTCCTCTTTCCTTTTCCCTTCTTTTCTTTGATGTACAAGCAACAGAGATGTTCCTTCTTAGGGCAAGTGAACATTCCAGAGATCTTTCAAGGAAAAGGTCCCCTTGGAGCCGTGTTCCTGTGGACAAACTCAATGTTTCATTCTATGCTACAGATTTTATTTTGAAAATCTTAACCAGAGACTCATCAAGCATCACCAATCCATTCTAGATATTCCTTATTGTTGGAAATGTAGGAAAAATAATATTGAAGTAGGAATTAAAGCATCTAGATTTTTGTTTTGTTTTGTTTTTTTGTTTTTTGTTTTGTCTCATTCTGTCACCCAGGTTGGAGTGCAGAGGCGTGATCTCGGCTCACTGCAACCTCCACCTCCGGGGTTCAAGCAATTCTCCTGCCTCAGACTCCTGAGTAACTGGGACTACAGGTGCCTGCCACCACGCCCGGCTAATTTTTGTATTTTTAGTAGAGACAGGGTTTCATCATATTGGCCAGGCTGATCTCGAACTCCTGACCTTGTGATCCACCCACCTCAGCCTCCCAAAGTGCTGGGATTACAGGCGTGGGCCATCGTGCCCAGCCTAGATTTTATTTTATTTGTATTTATTTATTTTTTTAGAGACAGGGTCTCACTCTGTCACCTAAGCTGGAATGCAGTGGTGCAATCATAGCTCACTGCAGCTTTGAACCCCTGAGTTCAAGCGATCCTCCCCCCTTGACCTCCCAAGTGGCTGGGACTACAGGTATACACCACCACACCTGGCAAAATATGTATTTTAAAAATCTTTAGTAGAGATGGTGGTCTCATTATGTGGGTGGGGCTGGTCTTGAACTTCTGAACTCAAGTGATCCTCCTGCCACAGCCTCTCAAAGTGCTGGGATTACAAGTGTGAGCCACCGTGACCAACCTAAACACCTAGATTTTAAACCCAGTTCTCCTACCTACTAGCTGAGTCACTTTACCTTGCTGAACCTCCATTGTCTCATGCATGAGAATAATACCCACCTGGGAACCTTCACAGATGAGGAGCCTAATAGATGAGTTCTTGTGTGTGAAGGTGACTCACAAGCTCCAATGCACTCTACAAATACAAGGTATTAACATTTCCATCCTGAAGTTTGCGCTTGTAGAAAATGTGTCCTGTCCCCTTTGCCCAATATAAACACAGAATGTTATTGTAGTGTTATCTTCTGCAGGGCCTCTCCTCCCTCATAAATCCTTATTATCACTGGTCCTCTGGACAATCCTGCTGGCCTACAAAAAATAATATTAATGTTATTTAATCCTGGATTATCAGGGGTTTTCTGTTTGGCAGATGTTGCTGCTCTGTTGGCCTAAGATTAGACTATTAGGTAAGGTAAATGTTTTGCAGAAGTATTTATTTCTCTAGCAGAGAAGGAATTTGCACAATTAATTCACTGGAAAGATCCACATAGATATATGATATGACAGGATTCTTTTCCATGAAATACTGCCATCACAAAGCAAAGGAGGAAAAGTGGCATGTATTCATTGAGAAGCATTTTGTAGTCCCATTTATGCCATAAGAGGGAAGGGAACCATGTTCCAAATGTTCAGAAGTCTTGTTGGAGACCAAGTCTCTGGCTTCTCGGTGCTGTACTGAACACTCTTCTATTCCACAAGGCACTTCATGCCCTTAGTGTGTCCAGCGTCAGCCTGAAAGCACACACACAGGTGTGCATTTGACAGCAGCTTTTCACTACAGCACTTACATTTCTTGAGAACGAGACCAGACACAATGACAAATTACCTCTGGGGAGGAATCAGGTATAAGCCAGGCCACCAGGCCACCAAGCTGTGTGTCCCAGGATATCAGGGCCCAGGTGGGCCTTTCCTCTTCCCTCTTTTGCTCCAAGTACTGGTCTGACCAGAGAACATTCTGCCTGATATACAGGTAAATTTATCAAAGTACGAGATGCAGAATGTTTCAGCCACATTCATCATGCTCCATTATTAGTCCGTTTTCACACTGCCATAAAGACATGCCCAAGACTGGGTCATTTATAAAGGAAAGAGATTTCATTGACTCACAATTCCCCATGGCTGGGGAAGCCTTAGGAAACTTACAATCGTGGTGGAAGGTGAAGGGGAAGCAAGGATCTTCTTCACATGGCGGCAGGAGAGAGAAGTGCAAGCAGAGGAAATGCCAGACACTTATAAAACCATCAGATCTCGTGAGAACTCACTCACTATCACGAGAACAGCATGGGGGAAACTGCGCCCACGATCCAATCGCTTCCCTGCTTCCACACTTGGAGATTACAACTCAAGATGAGATTTGGGTGGGGACAGACAGTCGAAGCTCATCACTCCATCTCTACAATCAGATAGTTGCAAGGGTAAGTAGTTGTGGAGAGAAGGCCTTGCAAATTCTACTTAGGACAAGTGGAGAGATGTAGTCTGAAGTCTTCCTAGCAGAAATACTTTGTGTGCCCATGGGAAGAAAACTGTTCCTTTTCCTTCTTTCCTTCTTAACTGAGATAATGGAGCAACTTTCCTGGTCTGTCTTTATTAAAATATCTCTTTGCAGGCCAGGTACAGTGGCTCATGCCTGTAATCCCAGCACTTTGGGAGGCTGAGGTGGGCGGATGGCCTGAGACCAGGAGTTCAAGACCAGCCTAGCCAACATGGTGAAACCCCATCTCTACTAAAAATACAAAAATTAATCAGGCATGGTGGCGGGTGCCTGTAATCCCAGCTACTTGGGAGTCTGAGGCATAAGAATTGCTTGAACTCAGGAAGTCGAGGTTGCAGTGAGCCAAGATCACGCCACTGCACTCCAGCCTGGACGACAGAGTGAGACTCTGTCTCAAAAAAACAAAAACAAAAATCTCTTCACGCAGTTTTATTCCAAGTCTGATCTTTACAAAAGATGAATGGGTGGGGTGCTCTGGAAGAAGATGATATTTGACAAGAAAGGCAGCTCATATGTCCTTTCTAGAGCATACTGTGGGTTAATAACACATTGCTGTGTTGAGGCCTGTAGGAAGTCTGTTCTGATGGGGAACTTAAATAAATCGTATTTAGCCTCTTGATGGTTTCTCCCTCCCTATTTTGTGCTTCTCAAATCCTCTGCATTTTATTTGGTCATCAACTATGAGCGACTCTTAGTTTGCTGAGCAAAGGCTGTCAACTATGCAAAGGCAAGCTTCAGCTCTCAGTCTTTTCAACCTGTTTCATTCCAAGATCTGGCTTTGAGAGGTTTGAATTGATGAGGTATTATCAAAGTACAGCCAGTAAGCACCAAAGACTCAAATTGTGTGTGTGAATGTTTACTGTCGGACATCCAACCTCCTCATGAATCATGAATCTGTGTGTCCCACGGCATGTTCCACTTTGTAGGATACATGAAATGACTGGTCCTCACATCTTTGAATGGCATAAAATTTAAAACCCACAGATTATTAATACCAGATTCTCGTTTATTGTTTCATCATTCCTGAAATCATGCTCTGTAGTAAAGACTTTCCAAGTATCTTCATATTCATGGGGCTGCCCTGGGGAAAAACAAAACAAAAACAAAATTATCCCTTGACTACAATATGTGGCACAAGAAAAATCATTTTCTACTGAATTGGCCCCTGTCACAATTATCCCCTGATGCCTGGTTTTGAATACAGAGCTTACATTTCTAATCATCCATGCTGGCATTTTCTTTACTTGATTGCCCAATTGCTATACACACAGACATTATGGTGGATTGACCTGAGTTCATTTTCGCCACAATATACTCTGTTCTCTTATGAATAAAAGACTCGAAATTCCTGAAGGGAGGGCTGTGATTGATGGCTGTGTTTAGGTAAACCTTTATGTGGGGTGGGTGGAGTGAAAGGGGCTGGGAAAGGGTCGGATCTGTACCTCTAAAATATGTAAATGAGGATAAAATTACTTCCCAGAAAATGGGGGCTAATGCAACCATCTAGAAATTTTGTTTGTTTGTTATTTTCTTAGAGACAGAGTCTGGCCCCATCTCCCAGGCAGGAATGCAATGGTGCGATCATAGCTCACTGTAACCTGAACTCTGGGACTCAAGCAATCCTCCTGCTTCAGCCTCCCAAGTAGCTGGGACTACAGTTGCGTGCCACCATGCCCTGCTAATTTCTTTAAATTTTTTGTTGTCTCTCTGTGTTGTCCAGGCTGGTCTCTAACATCTGGCTTCAAGTGATCCCCCTGCCTCAGCTTCCCAAAGAGCTGGAATTACAAGCATGAGTCACCATGCCCAGCCCAGAACTTTTTTTTTAAATTCAAAATTGGCTGGGCACGATGGCTCACACCTGTAATTCCAGCGCTTTGGGAGGCCGAGGCGGGTGGATCATTTAAGGTCAGAAGTTCAAGACCATCATGTCCCACATGGTGAAACCCCTTCTCTACTAAAAATACAAAAATTAGCCAGGCGTGGTGGCACACATCTGTAATCCCAGTTACTTGGGAGGCTGAGGCAGGAAAATCAGTTGAACCTGGGAGGCAGAGGTTGCAGTGGACCAAGATCGTGCTACTGCACTCCAGTCTGGGCAACAGAGCAAGACTCCATCTCAAAAAAAAAAAAAAAATCCACCATAAATTGTTAATGGATTGGGAGGCCAAGGCGGGCGGATTACGAGGTCAGGAGATTGAGATCATCCTGGCTAACACGGTGAAACTCCATCTCTACTAAAAAATTCAAAAAAAAAAAAAAAAAAGAAAAAGTTAATGGAAAGAGCATGCCTCTCTACATAGGGCCAAGCCTGAAGTTGATCAGATGATAGAAGCATCTTTTGGTCCATTTTGTAGGATTCTCCAATGTCCTAAGTCCAAAGTTCCCAATATAATGTCTTAATCTGTTTTCTTCTTACCATCATTTATCAGAAAAGATGGGGTTCATTTTCAGAGTGGTATGGCCATAGACCTTACCATAATTTAAAAGCCCAGTTGTTATCATCATTCATTTTAATTTGGTTTTGGGAAAAGATAGGAGGAAAGAGAGAAAAAGTTATATTCTATCAGTCTTAAAATTCAATATATAAATCAAATTTAACTTCAAATTTTCCACTTTCTGGTATTCTGCAAAAATCCACTAAATTTCTGCCTAGTCCCAAGAGGTGATGCTACCATCTTATAAGTTTAACTTTCTCTTATGCCAGATATTTAATGACCCAACATACAGCACTGCAAAATCCTTTCTTGGCTAGACTCTGCATCTAGCCATTACATCTGCCTTTAACAGACTGTCAGTCTGGCAAGAACACCCACTATATGAAGAGCTGCTATTGATCTCAGGTATAATTGGTTCACAGCCTGGCCTGTGTCAGGGTTGGCAACACAGGTCAGTGGAAATATGCACAAATTAGACATGATCAATAGGTGGTTTCCAACCTCTTTCCCATTGGCCCAAGTGAAGGTAACAAGCACACAACAATCTTGCCCACCTATAAACTGGAATTTACCACACAAGCAGTCCAACTTTTCCAGAGGATTAAGCGGGAAGGCAAGAAATTAAATTATTAAATATGATTGCTCTTTGCAAAGCATGATACTGTATAAATACCAAAAATATTACAGGTCAGATGTGGTGGCTTACACCCAGAATCGCAGCACTTTGGGAGGCTGAGGTGGGATGACCACTTGAGCTCAGGAGCTCAAGACCATACTGGGCAAGATAATGAAACCTCGTCTCTACTAAAAATAAAATTTTAAAATTAACCATGTGTGGTGACATGTGCCTGTAGTCCCAGATACTCAGGAGGCTGAGGTAGGAGGCTCTCTTGGCCAGTGAGGTCAAGGCTGCAGTGAGCTATGATCGTGCCACTACACTCCAGCCTGGACAACAGAGCAAAGACTCTGTCTCAAAAAAAAAAAAAAAAGCAAAAAAGCAAAAACAAAAAAGTTACTTTGTTAGGCTGGGCACAGTGGCTCACACCTGTAATCCCAGCACTTTGGGAGGCCGAGGCGGGTGGATCACCTGAGGTTGGGAGTTCAAGACCAGCCTGACCAACATAGAGAAACCCCGTCTCTACTAAAAATATAAAATTAGCCAGGTGGAGTGGTGCATGCCTGTAATCCCAGCTACTTGGGAGGCTGAGGCAGGAGAATCGCTTGAACCCGGGAGGCGGAGGGTTGTGGTGAGCCAAGATCACGCCATTGCACTCCAGTCCGGGCAACAAGAGCAAAACTCCCTCTCAAAACAAACAAACAAACAAACAAGCAAACATGATTTTGTATGGGGGAAAAAATGGAAGGATTCATGTATTTCCTCATCACAGTTGAGAATATGGATTAATACAACTGCATCACAGAGAATTCATTGTATCTTATGTATACACTATATCATATCACTCCTTTGGATTTTAAATTTACTAGGTCAAAAAATTTCCCTTAACAGCAACAACAGTAAAAAATAATATGTGTAGATGTTTTACACGGTGGGCTGGGGGGGCGGGAATTAATTCTTCAAGCATCAAAGGGGAGACTTAATGTTGTAGAAATGTGGCCAAGTTCATCAACTTGGAAAATTAACTTATGTGCCTGGGTTGTATTGACTTCATCTGCTCTTCCTTCTCCAGAACAAGTTAGAAACACTCAAGATTTTGCAAATAAGGAATCCATCTGTCCATGTAGTCATCAAGAAGTTGGGGGTCTCTTTCCAGTTATCTGAGAAAAGTGATTTCAATGCTCTGAAAACCCCCTCGCCACCCCCCACCTCCCCCAGGACTTTCACAAGAAATTCCAAGGTCTTTCAGCCTGGGCCAAAGGAAAAAGAAAGATATTTTTTAATTAAGAAATCAATGCAAAAGCGAAATGCCTTTGGTGTAAGTCCTCTCCGAGTCGCTTAGAAACGTGAGAAAATCTGCTCGAGCTAAGCTATCTTTAATAATACCAATTCTTCAGCGAGCTCCTCCTAGGTGGATTCACATATAGGCCCCCCCAGAGAGAGGCACCTCTGCGGAAATGAACATTGACCTCACGTGGCTGAGTCTTCTGCAGCAAGGGGATGCCATCCCTGCGGCTCCTAGAGCCACGTGTTGCTGGGGCGCATTTACACCTGGCACCGGGATGGGCGGTGCGTTGAGGCGCTTGGAGGATCCCACCTGGGCGGGGAGACTGAGCGCTGATGTTAGCTGGAGCTGCCTCAGCATTTTGTGTTCTTGATCACATTTCACAGGGATTTCACTCCCGCCCGAGCACCCTCTTTCGGCTGCTGCTGATGGGACGCGTGCATCAAGAGATCAGTGGACCCAGAGCGAGGTGGGGACGTGACACAGGGCGGCGGGGCCTCGGGGGACAAAGGGGACCCGCTCTCGGAAGGGGACGTCCGGGCGTGCGCCATCGTGAAGCGGAGACGTTTCTATTTCCAGCCGGTCTGCCCAGAGGCTGAGTTTGCCACATCAGTGACGGCTGGCCTGGGAAGGTTTCTCTAAAATAGCCTCCCACTTGTGCTCAACATGAAGCTGAACCCATTAATTCAAAACACAGCTCTGCGCTTCCTCCCCGCCGCTGCTTTCGCGACAGACGCTGCCCCAGCAGAACAAACCCTTGCATTTGGAGGCCCGCGCGGCTCCGGAGCGCTGAGCCCGTTTGTCTAAACAGCTCTCAGCGGTGGTTCTCATTACAGGGAGACAGCCCCACGCAAACAGACAGCCCTGCTCCTTTAAACACAGCAATTTGGGCTTGTCTGTTGCTCCCTGCTCTTTTTTTTTTTTTTTTTTAAATCATTTGGACTGTAAAGTAATTAGAGGGATAGACATTCCCAAAATAAGAAGATCAACAGCTGAGCTTTGTAATTCTAACGTGAGCACACATATCATTTCAGGCTCTCCCAGGACCCCTAGGCAGGTACGATTTCAATAATCAAAGCGTTTTGCATACATTTTCTAATTACCACTCTTGCCCTTGGATTTTTTTGTTTTTGAACTTCCAAGCTCGCCAGTGCCACAGAGGGTGGGCTCCATCCCCTCTGTCACCGCCTGGCTTCTCGCTCCCATCCTCAGCCTTGCCCACCGCTGAGCACAACCTTGGTTTGTTTTTTTCCCTATCAAAGCGCTGTGCGAAGAAAGGAAAATAGTGTTTTGAGGGGGAAGAGTAAGGAGTGGTAATTATATTCCTAATCACATGTAATTTAAGAGAAAATGAGTAGATGGGAGAGGCTATTTAGCTCTTGACTCCGTGTAATTCCACAGTCTGGGACCACAGGCACCCCACTGTCACCTGGGTGTCTTTCAAAGCCACCCTAGGCTCAGCAGCCAAACGGTTAATTACAAGGGAGAAGCTGCTCTCCAGCAACTGCAGCTCTAACTGTGGAACACTGTCATTAGATGACAATGGCAGCCTTTGCCCCAAATCCAGAGCCTACCTCAGACTGTTCCCCTGGGTTCTCTGCCCCACTTCCGAAGTGGGAAAGGCACCAGGCATGTACAAACACATGACAACAAACAGTAGGGCTGCACTCCGTTTAACATACCAGTATTTTTGTGCTCAGTACATTAGATATGTCACTCATGACATTTGCACAATTCAATTAATGAACGATTGAATAATTTACTGAGCAAAAGCTACTCACATGGGTAACATTGTGCAAAGAGTCACATTTGTTAGTTCATCTGTGAAACAAACACCGACTCAAGGATTGCTGAGAGGATTTAATGAGATAATAAATAATAATGACTGGGTGCGGTGGCTCACACCTGTAATCCCAACACTTTGGGAGGCCAAGGTGGGCAGATCACTTGAGCCCAGGAGTTCAAGACAAACCTGGGCAACATGGAAAATCCTCATCCCTATAAAAAATTAAAAAATTAGCCAGGCCTGGTGGTGCATGCCCGTAGTCCCAGCCACTTGGTAGGCTGAGGTAGGAGATCACTTGAGCCCAGAAGATTGAAGCTACAGTGGGCGGTGATCACACCACTGCACTCCAGCCTGGGCAACAGAGCAAGACCTTGTCTCAATAAAACAATAAAATGAAATAAAATTAATAATAATGATAATAAAACTTTGAACACTGCCTGACACAGCAGGTGCTTAGCAAATATTAGATATTAATACGTAAAATTCAAGCCTGAGCAACATAGTGGGACTCTCTTTTTTTATTTCTTTATTTTATTTTTCAATTTTTTTTTGAGATGGAGTCTCGCTCTGTTGCCCAGGCTGAAGTGCAGTGGCACGATCTCGGCTCACTGCCACCTCCACCTCCCGAGTTCAAGCAATTCTCTTGTCTCAGTCTCCCCAGTAGCTGGGACTACAAGCGCCTGCCACCATGCCCTGCTAATTTTTTGTATTTTTAGTATAGACTGGGTTTCACCATATTGGTCAGGCTGGTCTCGAACTCCTGACCTCAAATGATCCACCCGCCTCGCCCTCCCAAAGGAGACCCTGTCTCTTAAAAATTTTTAAATTAGCCAGGCATGGTGATGCACACTTGTAGTTCCAGGTACTCAGGAGGCTGAGGCAGGAGGATGACTTGAGCCCAGGAGTTCGAGGCTGCAGGGAGCTATGATTGCACCACTGCACTCCAGCCTGGACAACAGAGGAAGACCCTGTCTCAAAAAAAAAAAAAAAAAAACCTTAAAATTCCGTGCATATGAGTTGTGTGTCCAGTACTTTACATACATCTTATTTCATATTTACAATAATACCATGAAGAAGACTATTCTTGTTCACATTTCACCAAAAACTGAGAATTAAAGAGATCAAAAAACTGTGCCCAAGGTCACACAGCCAGTAACAGAAGTGGGATTTAAACTCAGGAAACGTGACTCAGCAGTCTGTTATTTAATCAAAACATTCCTCTCTTTCTCTCCCTCCCTACGTCTTCCTCTGTCTTATCTTGTGCATATAAATATATGTATAATATTTTACATCTTTAAATAATTTCATACAAACGACCTGTTGTTAGAACCTAAGGATTATTATTTTCCCTCAAAGAGATTTACCGCATCTCACAATTTATAGCTAGAGTGCTTGATTGACATAGAGTTTTATTGAAAGTTATGTTTTAAGTGTGTTGTCTTATCTCCAAAATTGTACTTTAAGCTCCTCTATAACCACACTATATCTATTCAGCTTTGTATCCCCCCACGGTTTGCCCTTTAACATCAGAAAGAGTGCAATAGATAGTATGCATTAATTAAGTTCAAAATGAATTAACAAATACATATTGAGTGCCAATACAAGGCATTATTCACCATGTTCTTTTCATTCAAAAAAAGTTTAACATAGCCAGAAATTAAAGATAACTTCACAATATCTTTGCCACATGGCACCAATAGCAGACGCTCTCAAAAACAACAACAACAACAACAAACTTCAACGTTTGAATTAAATGATGAAATTTCTTTCTTTTTTTGAAATAGGGTCTCACTCTGTCACCCAGACTGGAGCACAGTGGCATGAACACAGCTCACTGCAGCTTTAGTCTCCTCGGTTCAAGCAATTCTCCCACCTCAGCCTCCCAAGTAGCTGGGGCCACAGGTATGCACCACCACACTTAGCTAATTTTTCAGCTTTCTGTAGAGATGGGGTCTCACCATCTTTCCCAGGCTGGTCCCAAACTTTTAGGCTCAAGTGATCTGCCCTCTTCAGCCTCCCAAAGTGCTGGGATTACAGGTGCGAGTCACCGTGCCAAGTCAATAATTTCTTAGACTAACATGGGGCAGGAGCCATAATGGTCCCATGACTTCTCAACTACAAATAGTTGCCAAAAGTGGTATCCACAGCCATACTTTATAAGTGAAATTTTATTAATCAATTGATGTATATGAACATAAATGCAGAAAGGGGAGCAATACGTATTTGATGTTGCCCTGGACTATTATAGTGGTTAAAAATGGAGGAAAATTATTATGATAAAGGTAAGGACCTATTTATTCAATATATAAGTACTGATTATCATGTCTTCTACATTGAAGGTGTTACAAAGACGTTTAAGAAATGGACTGGCAGCCAGGTGTGGTGGCTCACACCTGTAATCCCAACACTTTGGGAGGCCAAGTTGGATGGATCCCTGGAGGTCAGGAGTTCAAGACCAGCCTGGCCAACATGGTGAAACCCCATCTCTACTAAAAAATACAAAAGTTAGCCAGTCGTGGTGGTGTGCACCTGTAATCCCAGCTACTCGGGAGGCTGAGGCATGAGAATCACTTCAACCCCAGAGGCAGAGGTTGCAGTGAGATGAGATCACACCACTGCACTCCAGCCTGGGTGACAGAGCAAGACTCCATCATAAAATAAAATTAAATTAAAATAAAATAAAATAAAATAGGCCATCCATGGTGGCTCACACCTGTGGTCCCAGCTACTCGGGAGACTGAAGTGGGAGGATCGATTGAGCCCTGGAGGTCGAGGTTATGGTGAACTGTGATCACACCACTGCACTCCAGCTGGGCAACAGAACAAACCCCTGTGTCAAAAAAACAAAAGGGAAAAAATTAGCTAGGCACAGTAATGTGTGCCTGTAGTCCTAGCTACTCAGGAAGCTGAGGTGGGAGGAGCCATTGACCCTAGGAGTCGGAGGCTGCAATGAGCTATGATGGCACCACAGCACATCAGCTTAGGCAACAGTGACCTTGACAAAAAAAGAAAAGAAAGAAAGAAGAGAGGGAGGGAGGGAGGAAGGGAGGGAGGGAGGAAGGAAGGAGGGAAGGAAGGAAGGAAGGAAGGAAGGAAGGAAGGAAGGAAGGAAGGAAGGAAGGAAGGAAGGAAGGAAAGAAAGAAAAATAGGGAAAAAAGTGAATAAGACACTGGCTGTGAGCTCAAAGAACTCAGAGTCCAATTGGAGAGGTGAACATGTAAATAGACAATGACAACACAATGTGGTAGGTGCAATAACAGCTAGAAACATAGAAACGGAATGTCCTGAAAGCCCTGGAGAGAAGTCAAGAAACAGCAGAAGAAGTGACATATTAACAGGGTCTCGAAGGCACTATAGCAGTTGGCTGGGTAGAGCAGGAAAGAAGAGCCTTCCACACAGATAACAACATGAACACACAGCAAGAATAATACTAACAAAGCATGTTCATGTTCATCATTTCATTCAGCAACTTGAGGGTAGGAAGGACAAATATTATTATCCCCATTTTACCAAGATAGAAGCTGAGGCTCGGAGCATTTCACTTTCCTAAAAATTAGTACTTGCAGGTCATTTAACCCCAAGTCCAGCTCCCTTCTGTCTAAGATAGACACCAACCCCTGAAAAGTGGAGGAAATATTGCTCCTGAAAGGAGTATTTTACTTGTTTTAAAATTGGAAACTGGCAATGGTGGAAGGAGTGGTGAGCATTCATAATTTTATGAGGCTTAATGATATTATGGCTGCAGGTTGAGAGTTGAAGGTTCTGGCTGGATGTAACAGTTATGTCCCCTTTCAATCTAGGTGTCATAAAAGAAGAGAGGGCCACTTCATTAACAGTGCTCTCAGGGTGGGCTCAGTGGCTCACACCTGTAATCCCAGCACTTTGAGAGACCAAGGTGGGAGGATTGCTTGAGGCTAGAAGTTTGAGTTAAGCCCGGCCAACATAGCAAGACCCCATCTCTATAAAACAAGACAAAAGGAAAAAAAAAAAAAAACCACCACACAATGCTTTCATTTTCCCAGAAGGGGCTGCACTTTAAAATAAAAAGTGGTTTGAACTGCATGCCTGTGTTAGTCCATTTGGTGATCCTACAACAGAATACCTAAAACTGGGTAATTTATCATGAACAGAAATTTATGTTTTCACAGTTCTGGAGGCTGGGAAGTCCAAGGTCAAGCCTCTGGCATTTGGTGAGGGCATTCTTGCTGTGTCACCCCATGGAGGAAGGCAGAAGGCCAAGAAGAGGTGGTGAGGGACAAACTCACCCTTTTATAAGGAACCACCTCCCACAATAGGAGCATTAATTTGTCCATGAGGGCAGTACCCACATAAACCAAACACCCCTCATTAGGCTTCACCTGTCAGCACCACGACACTGAGGATCAAGTTCCCAGCACAAGAACTTTGGGGCACACATTCAAACCATAGCAATGCCTTCCTTTGTTTGGGCCCCTTTGTCCTGCCAATAACAAGCTGTTATCATTCTTCCTCTTTAGCATTTTCAGGCTCTTCTTCATCTTCATCATTAAACAGCCATCTTCCTTCAATGCCTTCAAAGCTTGACACATGGACAAAGGGCACATTTTTATATCAATTGATGCAAAAATGAATTAAGATCTTTATCCATTGTGCTGGTGTATGATTTTTAAAACTTGAATTTAATACTCAGTAATGGCATCAGAGTTGGGTTGATCTGGGTCCGACTAACTTAAAAGTAACTTGCCACAGAAGACAATAGTGATTTCCAGTGACAAAGAGCTCAGCCAAAAGTGTTGTTCTTCTCACTTGGTACATTAGGAGGAAAATACCATAGGTCTCATCCCCCACCAGATCCAAGACTTCTAGCTTTTTACTTGTTGGGTATCAGAAAAGCACAGAAAGAGTTTTTTCCACATTGGTCGTACTCAACTATAAAACTTGCTCCAAGGCTAAAAATATTCCTTAAAATATACCCCTGTCACCTGCACACAGAGTAATGGCACCACTTTGGGAGGCCAAGGTGGGCAGATTGCTTGAGCTCAGGAGTTCAAGACCAGCTTGGGCAACACAGTGAAACCACATCTCTATTAAAAATACAAAAAGTTAGTTGAGCATGGTGGCATGCATCTATAGTCCCAGCTACTTGGGAGGCTGATGTGGGAGGACTACATTGAGCTCAGGAGGTCAAGGCTGCCGTGAACTGGGATTGCACAACTACACTCCAGCCTGAGTGACAGTATGGGATCCTGTCTCAAAAACAAAATTTTTTTAAGGAAATTACTGGGAGGAAGCCTAGGCTGTGCCCTTTGTCTACAAGCCAGTTGAACTTCTCCAGAAGTGGTCTAAGTGTTTGCTCCTAAGATTAGAGAATGAGTTGAAATAAAATTTTTAAATTGCCCGCCAACTAGTTAATGCATTTTAAAATAGGCAATGCCAATCAACTTTTTCAGACATACTTAGAAAATGAAGCCTATCATTTGCATCCTTCTGAATTGTACTTCCTGCCTTTGAATTTTAAAAAAGCAACACTTGTGTTCTCAAAAAGAAGGGTAACATCAAGTTCACACAGCAGCTAGAAACGTGATAAATCCACCAGGGCCACAGTGATGCCTGCCTAAACTAACAATCCATTTATTGCTACAGTTCGCTGCCGTTGTCATCACTTTCATGCCTCTAATTACCTTACATCTGTTTTATGTTTGAAGTTTACAGCACTTGCCCACTTTGGCTACACTAGTTTACATCTAACACCAAACACATGTTTATGTTTACCACATACCAGTTCTGCATTCTTAGACTTAAAATTATATCAACTTATAATCCCATTAATGGAAAACTTATGAGAAGGATCCGGCTCCTTTAATAAAACTAGAAAGAACAACCATTTGGATGCTGTTAAGTACAAACCCATACCGAAGGCTAAATGCTTCAATTAGATGCACCCCGTTCAGGTAAGTGGGCTTCATGAAACACTATCTTGGCTGCTGAGTATAGACGATGTCTTGTAGTCCATTTTCTGGCACTCCATGCTGGAGTTCCCATCTTCATTGAAAAGATAAAGTGTGATCAAAGAGTAATTTGGGTGTGCTTTGTTCAAAATATATCAAATTTATATTGGCATCTTGGAACTTGGCATTTTTAAAGTCACATTTGTGAATAAAATAAGTTTTCCATTTTGAGACTGACAGGGGAGGCAAGCGAGCAGTGTTTTACCATTTGGCAACACCTGCCCCCTCCATATATAGAGCTCCCTACAACAGAGCTGGGTACGTGTCTGGATATCTGTGTCTACTGCTGAACGATCTCCAAAGAAAACCACAGATAAGAACATTATTTGGATCTTGGACCATTTCTGAGGGATTTCAGCTCTATAAAAAAGGGGGGAAAAGACCTTGGGAACTGTAAGCAATTAAATTCTGCTCACGTATGCTTCGTTCCACTTAAAGGAGAAACTACCCTTTCCTTTCAACCTGTTTTGCCAATTTCAATCCTCTTGTTGGGAACCAGACTGAGAGTCTTGCCCTCTACTGGAGTCCAACATCTATTAACAGGAAACTTGATCTTCAAAACCAGTAAATAAACAAGAGGTTTGATGACCTTTTGATGACCTTTCTAAGTAGCATTCCTTTAAAACAAAAAATAGCTCTCTATCTAGAATACACTAATATAGACGACTGGTCTAGCTGTCTGAATAAGAGGTCGTATCTTAAAGGAAATGCACTATGTAGCCTGAACAGTAGCAACTCTTCTATCTTTTGCCTCTACCTCTCCAGAACCGACACTGGGTTTTAGAGAGCTTTTCCCAGGTACATCAGAATCTTGCATTAAAAATCGAAGACATAGCCTGGGCAATATGGCAAAACCCCATCTCTACAAAAAATACAAAGAAAACTAGGCATGATGGTGCACACCTATAGACCCAGCTGCTTGGGAGGCTGAACAAGAGAATCATCTGAGCCCAGGAGGTCAAGGCTGCAGTGAGCTGTGATGGCACCACTGCACTCTAGCTGGGCAACAGAGCGAGAACCTGTCTCAAAAAAAAAAAAAAAAAAAAAATCGAACACATCAAATGAGATTAGAGTTTGTCCTGAAAAGCCAGCCTGGGCTTGTCTGAACTCAATGATCGGATGCCTTTCCCTTTCATCTAGTGGCCTGCTCAGCCAACACGAAATCTAAGTGGCACTTTTCCCCCATGGGATACTTGCTGCCCTGGACGTCTCCCTGTTTCGTGGGGTCTCTGAAAATCCTCTCTGATGGGGATCAGCATGCCTGCCCTGTGTCCAGCACAACCCAGAATAAAGATGTGCTGGACAGCACAGGGAAAAGGGTGAAGGAGGGAAGGAGCAGGAAGGGAAGGAGTACTCGTGACTGAGCTCAGCAGCCTGAGTCCTGCTGAATCATGTCAAAGATTGTAATTCATGCTTGCAAAGCAGCATCAATTCTGTTCACTCGGGAGCCTTTCTTTACCATGTCAGGCTAACTTTTGTATTTTTAGTAGAGACGGGGTTTCACCACATTGGTCAGGCTAGTCTCGAACTCCTGGCCTCATGATCTGCCAACTTCGGCCTCCCAAAGTGCTGGGATTACATGCGTAAGCCACCGCGCCTGGCCATAATGGGTTCTTAACAAATGGTAGCTCTGATGATGGGGACCAACCCCCAAGATCACAGAGCTGGGGACTGGAGGAACAGGGACTCCAGCTTAGATCCTCCACCACCAAAGGCCTTACCCTTCCAGTACAGGCTGTCTGGCAGTGGCTGCAGAGGTGAGCAGCAATATGGTATTCTGCAGGGGCTGCACTGTCGGCAAACAAAATCCGTTAAGATCAGGGATTGTTGGGCTGAGCATAGTGGCTCATGCCTGTAATCCCAGCACTTTAGGAGGTTGAGACAGGAGGATTGCTTGAGTCCAGGAGTTCAAGACCAGCACGGGCAACATGGTGAAACCCCTTTTTTTTACCAAAAAATAAAACAATTAGCTGGGTGTGGTGGTGGTGCTTACCTGTAGTCCCAGCTACTGGAAAGGCTGAGATGGGAGGATTGCTTGAGCCGAGGAGATCAAGGCTGCAGTGAGGTATGCTCATGCCCTGTACGGTAGCCTGGGTGACAGAGTGAGACCCTATCTCAAAAAAAAGAAAAAAGACCAGGGATTGTCTCAGTCCATTCAAGTTGCTATAACAAAGTGCCTTAGACTGGGTAATTAGTACACAACAGAAATTGACTGTTCACAGTTCTGGAGGCTGAGAAGTCCAAAATCAAGGCACCATCAGATTCGGTGTCTCTTGAGGGCCCATTCCTCATAGATGGTGCCTTCTACGTGTCCTCACAGGGCAGAAGAGGAAAGGGGCCAACACCTCTCTTAAGCTTCTTTTATAAGGGCACTAATCCCATGCATGAGGGTGGAGCCCATGTGACCTAATCACTTCCCCAAAAGCCCCATCTCTCAATACGATTACACACTGGGGATTCCATTTCAATACATGAATAGTGAAGGGGCTCATACCTGTAATCCCAGCTCTTTGGGATGTGTAGGCAGGAGGGTTGCTTGAGCTCAGGAGTTCAAAACTAGCCTGGTCAACAGAGTGAGACCCCATCTCTACAAAAAGCCAGGCATAGTAGCGTGCACCTGTAGTCCCAGCTACTTAGGAGGCTGAGGTGGGCAAATCACTTGTGCCCAGGAGTTTGAGGCTGCCATGACAGCCTCGGTGACAGAGTGAGACCCCATATCTAAATTAAAAAAAAATTAGGGGGACACAAACATTCAGATTATAGCAGGGATTTAGGTTCTATAAGATACATTTGTCCACATATCCCCAAGTCTATAAAAAGATACTAATGGACAAGTACCAAGGTGTTATCAGTGGTTGTCCCTGGGTATTAAGTTTTCTGGGTGTTGACATTACAGTGGTTTTTATATTCTTTTTATTTATCTGTAGTTTCTAATTTTGCTCAAATGCTCATGTAGTAAGAAGAAAGTTTGGAATCTACTGAAGAATATCTATAGCATGGAGTGTCTGCCTAGTGGACCTATGATACTTAAAGAGAACTGGGGCCTAGTGCAGTGGCTCACACCTGTAATTCTAGAACTTTGTGAGGCCTGAGTTGGGAGGATCACTTGAGTCCAGGAGTTCAGGACCAACCTGGGCAACATAGTGAGATGCAATCTCCACAAAAAGTTAGTCAGGCATGGTGGTGCATGCTTGTAGTCCTAGCTGCTCAGGAGGCTGAACTATGACCACGCCATGGCATTCCAGCCTGGTGACAAAGCAAGACCCTGTCTGTGGGAAAAAAAAAAAAAAAAAACAAAACTGAAACCGAGTACCTGTAGGTAGCCTTTGAAAATCTTTATTTTAGACCCCCGAAAGGTCTGCTCCAGCAGAACTATTCTTTTTTTTTTTTTTTTTTTTGAGACGGTGTCTCGCCGCATCGCCCAGGCTGGAGTGCAGTGGCACAATCTCAGCTCACTGCAACCTCCGCTTCCTGGGTTCAAGCGATTCTCCTGCCTCAGCCTCCTGAGTAGCTGGGATTACAGGTGTGTGCCACCATGCCCAGCTAATTTTTGTATTTTTAGTAAAGACAGGATTTTACCATGTTGGCCAGACTGGTCTCGAACTCCTGACCTCAAGTAATGGGCCCACCTTGGCCTCCCAAAGTGCTGGGATTCTCAACCAAGCCCAGTTGAGAACTGCTCTTTTAACGGGGGTTGGAGGGTACTTCGTTTTTTGTACAGAAGCTTTATTAATGGCATTGAATGCCATATCAAGCATTAAAGCAAGCCTAGTGACAAGATGTTGCTGTCCTTCCCTTTCATTTCTGTCTCTATTCCCAAATGACAACAGCCATTTGAATCAGAGATACATGCATAGATTGGCCTTGACTTCTGCCATAAGGAATTACTCACAGGGTGTGTTGCAATTGTCTTCAAGGATGTCTTTCAATAAAAAGAGCATTTGACAATCTTGGCAAAGCCGGGCCTAAGCCCCCTGCTCTAAGCTGATGAACTTGGGACTCCCTCTGGGGACAGAGTCAAGTGTTCTGAAAGTCTCCTGCTCACAGAGATTTCACATTCTCAGTTTAGTCTTTCCTGCCAGATAAATGGCCCTAGACACCATGACCAAGTTCATTCACTTTGTCCATCCACCCACCATCCAGTGAACTCCTGGCCTCTAGGCATCTCTTACCAGTGCCAGGGCCTGGACACCACCTCTGTCCACTGCACCTTCCTTTGCCTTCTAGAAGCATTCCATCTAGATCTGCTTTTTCATTTTCATTCTGAACTTCCTGGATCTAAAATGATGTTTATTTCCCCATCAGAATTCCAGCTCCTAGCTAGTTTCCAAAGTCGACAATAGTGAACTTGTTCATCCCGAGATTGTTAGTGACTGATACAGATTTATGAGTGCATGTCCTGGGAAAACATGTCCTTGGAAGAGAGAAAAAAAAAGAAAATTAGAGAGAGAAAGGCCCAATCAAAGGAGAGGAGTGGCAATGTTGTAATCATGGGTACTGCAGGCTAGTAGAGGAAACATTTGCAAGCCTGCACATTTCCAGAACCTTTGAGTATAATTCAGAGCTGCAGCCTCGCCTGCATGTGAGGCTCACCCTGCTTTTGACATGACATGCTGCAAAGCTGTGCCCTTGGAGAACTCTAATGACCTTTCTCACTGCTGGAATCTGTATCCACAGTTTCCCTTGTCCACTATAGTGGCAAGGGCTTCTCTGTTCACTTTCCGAGTGACAGCTGGTGGAGGACAAGAAGCCAGGCTGGGAGGCAGAAGGCTGGAGCTGGCCCATTTCCACCCCAACTCATACAGCAACCTTGGGGAAGCACAGTGGCCTCGCCCTCAGCTTCTTCATCTGTAAAATGAAGAGATTACACTAAACCACTGCTTCCCAGGCTCTTGGATTTTGTACCAAAAATGCTTAAAACAAAGCTCTTTTCAAAAACGTTTTAGCTTTATCTTTCTTTTAAAAAATACTTTTAGACATATTGTCCAATAAAAAAAACATGGGTTGGGGGCAGTGGCTCACACCTATAAGCACTTTGGAAGGCCGAGGCAGGCAGATCACTTGAGGTTAGGAGTTCGAGACCAGCTTGGCCAACTTGGTGAACCCCATCTCTACTAAAAACACAAAAATTAGCCAGGCATGGTGGTAGGCACCTGTAATCCCAGCTACCCGGAAGGTTGAGGCAGGAGAACTGCTTGAACCCAGGAGGCGGAGGTTGCAGTGAGCCGAGATGGTGCCACTGCACTTCAGCCTGGGTCATAAGACAAGACTCCGTCTCAAAAAAATTAATTAATTAATTAATTAATGATAATAAAATAAGATATTTTATACCAACAAGGGAGAAAAACAAAACTTCAAAGTAAAGATCAGTCATTTAAATGAATAAATGTAGTTTCTTAAGAAAACTCACTATAATCTGAATTTTTCTCTTTGGTTGGGAGCCGTCAACATTCTGGCCTGGAATCATCCCTGAGGTCCCTTCTAGCATCATATCCTAGAGAAGGAAAAATTTAAAAGGGAAAAAAAAAAGCAAACCTTTAGGATAGAGTCAAAGCAGCTCCTTCAAAGCCAATAAGGATGCTTTAGAACTCGGGATAATTTCAGGCTCCACATTTAAGCAAAGGCTTTGCCATCCAGTAAGACTTTAAGAGGAAGGATTTAAAAATCCATCTGTTTGCCTCGGGGGACTCAGAGCAAAAGCAAAGTTTCAAGCTGATAGGCTCATGATAATATAACATATTCATTAGGTCATAAAGGGTGAAATACATGACGGCAGGTTTGGAGCCCCTCATTTACACAGCTTTTAGCAAACTCACTTTATATACCCCCAGCTGGAACTGCTTCTCCAAAGCCATTCCCCAGATTGCATAATTGTTCATTATGTCTTCAGGGAGGGTCCCATCTGCAGTCACGAATCCCCATGAAAATTTGTGGGAAAATATCCTTGCTCTTTCATTACATCTAAAATGTGATCACCCGATATTAAAACACAAAGCGCGGCTACATTTTAAAGGTAAACTGCAGAGCTAAATTGAGACTTGACTTAATCCCATTTTTATGGGCTGATTAATGTCCCGAGTAACCAGGCTGGGAGGAAAGTTAATGCCTCTTTCCTTTAATGGAATGCACCATGTTTCTTGCTTTTTATCAGGGGAGCACATTGCTACCACTGTGGCTTCATACAGAACAAGACTCAAAGCGACTGTCAGAACTTTCTCCTTGTGTCAAATGGACCTCAAATTATCCATGCACCAAAATTCTTAAAAGTCCAAGTTTCAATAAAGGAGGGAAAAAAGGAAAATAAATGGGAAGTTGAGATTTCTTCACAAGAAGATAATCGTGTCTGCTTGTGGCAGCTTGAGATGAGATGATGTGTAAACTCTGCCTCAGTGGTAACAGTAATAGCCACTTGTTGAGTAGCTACTCTGTGCAAAGAATTGTGCCAGGCACTTTGCGTATGTCTTCTTCTTCTTTTTTTTTTTTTTTTTTGACAGAGTTTTGCTCTCATCGCCCAGGCTGGAGTGCAGTGGCTCCATCTCGGCTCACTGCAACCTCCGCCTCCTGGGTTCAAGCAATTCTCCTGCCTCAGCCTCCTGAGTAGCTGGGACTACAGGCGTGTGCCACCTCGCCCGGCTAATTTTTTATATTTTTAGTAGAGATGGGGTTTCACCATGTTGGCCAGGCTGGTCTCGAACTCCTGACCTCAGGTGATCCGCCCACCTCGGCCTCCCAAAGTGCTGGGATTACAGGCATGAGCCACCGTGCCCGACCTCTTTGTGTATGTCTTTTTATTTAACCCTCTGAGATAGCTGATATGAGCCACACAGAGGCTGAGCAACCTGCTCAAGGAGCAGACTTAGGCTTGCCTGACTTATGGGCCCCCCTGCCCACCAGATTGACCTCCCTGACTCTTCAGTCTCCCATCTACCTTGGACAGATTCACTTACCCACCAACGTGCAGCAGTTTAAAGAAGACATCCTTTCATTCATCCATTGACTCATCAGTGAAGAAATTAACATTGTATAGCGCTCTTTCCAAAAACAATATGGCCAGGCTGTCTAGATCCCTCCCCTCAACCTTCGCCCTGACCACAACCACCACCCCAAGCACCCTGATCACAGCTACCACCCCAAGCCCCCACCCCAACCTGAGACATGTGGCAATTTCACTCCTTGTCCCTTGAGTCCATACCTCCATAACTCAGCATGTCACATGCATACCCATTGTGAAAAATATCCATTATCACCATAGTATTACCAACACATTATTACAGGGCTTTACATGTCACAGAACTCTTTCTGATGAATTATTTCATTTGATAATTACCTTAGGCTGAGGGAGGAGGGAGAAAGATAAATTATTTAAGGCTGGGCACGATGGCTCATGACCTTAATCCCAGCACTTTGGGAGGCCAAGGCAAGAGGATTGCTTGAGCCCAGGAGTTCAAGACCAGCCTGGGCAATATAGAGAGACTCTATCTCTATAAAAAAATACAAAAATTAGCTTAGCATGGTGGCTCATGCCTGTAGTCCCAGCTACTTGGGGGCGCTGAGGCCAGAGGATCACTTGAGCCCGGTAGGTTGAGGCTGCAGTGAGCTGTGATCATACCTCTGTACCCCAGCCTGGATGACAAAGTGAGACCCTGTCTCAAAAAAATTAATTAATTAAATTTAATTTAAAAATTAAAAAATTGGCCAGGTGTGACAGCTCATGCCTGTAATCCCAGCACTTTGGGAGGCTGAGGTAGGCAGATCACAAGGTCAGGAGTTCGAGACCAGCTTGGCCAACATGGTGAAACCCCATCTCTACTAAAAATACAAAAAGTTAGCCGGGCATGGTGGTGTGCATCTATAATCTCAGCTACTCAGGAGGCTGAGGCAGGAGAATCACTTGAACCTGGGAGGTGGAGGTTGCAGTGAGCTGAGATTGCACCATTGCACTCCAGCCTGGGTGACAGATAAGAGATTTCGGGAAAAAAAATTAAAAATTAAACTAACTAATTAATTAATACTAATAAAATTATTTAGGCCAGGTGCAGTGGCTCATGCCTGTAATCCCAGCAGTTTGGGAGGCTGAGGTGGGTAGATCACTTGAGGTCAGGAGTTTGAGACCAGCCTGGCCAACATGGTGAAACCCCATCTCTACTAAAAATACAAAAGTTAGCCCGGCGTGGTGGCAGGCGCCTGTAATCTCAGCTACTCAGGAGGCTGAGGTGTGAGAATAGCTTGAACCCGGGAGGCGGAGGTTGCAGTGAGCCGAGGTCGTGCCACTGCATTCCAGCCTGGGTAACAGAGCAAGACTCCATCTCAAAAAAGAAAAAAACCAAGCTGGTTACAGGTTGGTTGCAACCTGGTTACATTGTCACTTGATTGTATAGTATTTTGGTTTCCAGAAGCTCCTATATTAGGCTGAAGGGTGAAGAAGTTATCATTTTCCAACACATCTGCCTTTTTCTCCCCTTGCTTGAATCTCCAATATTTATCCCACCCAGTTCCTTTCTTTATCCTCTACTCTTCACTTTCAAGAAAAAATAGGGCCAGGAGCAATGGCTTACACCTGTAATCCCAGTGCTCTGGGAGGCCAAGGTGGGAGGCTCACATGAGGCCAGGAATTCAAGACCAACATGGGCAGCATAGCAAGAACTCCACTCATCTCTACAAAAAAAAAAAAAAAAAAAGAAAGAAAGAAAAAGAAAAAGAAAAGAAAAGAAATTGAGGAATTGACTGGTCATGGTTGTGCATGCCTGTAGTTCCAGCTACTCAGGATGCTCCTGAGGCAGAAGGATCACTTGAGCTCAGGAGTTCAAGGCTGCAGTGAGCTATGATTGTGCCGCTGCACTCCAGCCTGGGCAACACAGAGCAAGATTCCGTCTCTTAAAAGAAGCGACAGAAAAAAAAGAACAGAACCTATTTGCATGCACTAAAGTATAATAACTGAGAACAGATCAAAATGTAACTCTTGCCACGCCATTTTTATCAATAGGGATTCAATGTCTTATCGAAAGGCATAGTTTTAAAAGTTCACACGTTAGCTGATGGGTCGGGAGAAATGGCAGCGAGAGAGCAGCAGAGCTTCTGGAATTAGAAAACACACAGCTTCAGCCGGGCACAGTGGCTCACACCTGTAATCCCAGCGCTTTGGGAGGCCGAGGCAGGCGGATCACCTGAGGTCTGGAGTTTGAGACCAGCCTGGACAACATGGTGAAACACCGTCTGTACTAAAAATAATACAAAAATGAGCCGGCCGTGGTGGTGGGCGCCTGTAATCCCAGCTACTCGGGAGGCTGAGGCAGAAGAATCACTTGAACCCAGGAGGCAGAGGTTGCAGTGAGCCCAGATCGTGCCACTGCACTCCAGTCTGGGCAACAGAGCAAGCCTCCATCTCAAAAAGAAAAAGAACACAGCTCCTGGGTGTGCTTTCTAGCACCGTCCAGTGATTTGCCTCTCATCAGGTCAGACAGTCCTGAAGCAAACCCAAGTATCTGTGCTTCATCTCCCTCCCAGACCCCACCCCGCCACCAGGAGTCAGTCCTGATGCTCCCTCAGAGTCTCCAACTGCCCCACAACCTGAGTGGGCCACACAGCCAGGGCTGCTGCAGGCCCACGGTCGTCTAGCAGCCTGGTTGGCCAGGGATATGGGGCCAAAAGGGGTGCAGACCGCCGCTGTTATCTGCCACTTCCTTCCCAGTTGGTTGTTGTAAAACTACGGCAAATGAGAAGAGGCAATCAGCCCCCCTTTTTTTTTATGGTGTTACTCTTAAAAGAAATAATAGCTAATGATAAATAACATGTATTTAATACTTACCATGTGTCAGGCACTGTTCTAAGCATGCATTAACCTATTTAATCATTACAGCAATCCTTTGACGCAGATGCTACGACTGTCCACATTTTATTAGGAAACTGAGGCTGAGAGAGGTTTGGTGACTTTCCCAAAGGCACACAGCTGCAAAGTGACAGCTGGGACCCAAAGGAAATAGACTTGAGTACTATCCACAGCAACTCCATTAAGGAGTGATGTGATCCGGAGCCAATCCTTCAACTTCTCTGGACTCCTCCGAAAAGGACGCTGGACTAGATCACCTCTGACCACACTTAACTCTCTCATCTAATGAATTTAAGCTCTTTTGGGAAGTCCCTCACCCACCCCTGAGCGCTGGAACCTAATTCATTTTCTTGGGAGTGGGTGTGAATCAGATCCTCCTGTTTCAAAGCCCAGTGGAATCCCAGGCATGAAGTACATTCTATAAATGTTCGGTTGTTATCGTTATTACTGCGACTTTAATGGGAAGTATCAGCACTAATTTCCCCTAACCCCTTCAGGGGTTTTTCTTATCCCTGGATTCTTTTTCATTCACCACTTAGACAACAGCAAGGGAGAACATTTTATTATTAACATTTTATTATCTGCGTGGAGGCATCTGGCTTTGCACTCTCCCTCCTCCCCAAACCACCTCCACTTCATCAATTCCAGTGATAAATTATTTATTCCCGAGACGACTGTTTTTTCAATCCTAGGCTTGGAACAAGGAGGAAAATAGCTACATTCCCTTCACGCTCACGGTCAGCTGTCTGATTTATTTTCCCCTTTTGCCAATTCTTCTCCTCTCTTTTCTCAGCAGCTTTTCTGCTAGAAGAGTTATATCTTAAAATTGCCCTGAGGCCTTAGGCCACCAGTGACAACCCATCCCATGCCGGAATGCATTTCTTTTCTGACTTTGGGACTAAAAGCAGAGAGATTGGACAGTATTTTAATGGCTTCTTTTTGGAGGTTGTAGGGGTTTTTATATTTTGGTTTGGTTTTCAGGTTTTTGTTTTGTTACATTTTGTTCTGTTGTTTTTGGTTTTTTGTTTTTTTTTTTGAGACAGTGTCTTGCTCTTTCACCCAGGCTGGAGCACAGTGCTGTAATCAAGGCTCACTGCAGCCTCATCCTCCCAGGCTCAAGCAATCCTCCCCCTTCAGCCCCCACAAGTAGCTGGGATTACAGGCATGCACCACCACACCCAGCTAATTTTTTTTATTTTTTGTAGTAACAGCATCTTCCTATATTGCCCAGGCGGGTCTCAATCTCCTGGGCTCAAGTGATCCTCCCACCTCAGCTTCCAAAAGTGCTGGGATTACAGGTGCCAGCCTTTGTGGCTGGCAGGTTTTTGTTTTGTCTTTCTGCCTGAGGGAAGGATCTCTAGGTGGGAGGATCCAGAGGGGTCCCACTCGAAGGGAATATGGAGTTCCTATGAAACTCACTCCAAGCAAGTGAGGCAAGCCTTCTTGTTGCCTAGTGGCCCTGACTGACTACTGTAGAAATGCTGCATTTTTTTTTTCTTCCTGAGACGGAGTCTCACTCTTGTTGCCCAGGCTGCAGTGCAATGATCCGATCTCGGCTCACTGCAACCTCCACCTCCTGGGTTCAAGCAATTCTCCTGCCTCAGCCTCCACAGTAGCTGGGACTAGAGGCGTGCACCACCATGCCCAGCTAATTTTTGTATTTTTAGTAGAGACAGGGTTTCACCATGTTAGCCAGTCTGGTCTCGAACTCCTGACCTTGGGCATCCACCCACCTTGGCCTCCCAGTGTGCTGGGATTACAGGAGTCAGCCACCGTGCCTGACCCAGAAATGCCACTTTCAAGATGACACTGCAGCGCCCTCTTACCCCCAGGAAGACACATCCTGACTTCTTTCTTTGGGGTGAAGCTTTGTCAAAAATCTGTTTAGGCCAGGCACAGTGGCTCACACTTGTAATCCCAGCACGTTAGAAGGCCACGGCAAGAAGATCACTTGAAGCCTGGAGTTCAGGACCAGCTTGGGCAACACAGCAAGACCTTGTGTCTACAAAAATTCAAAATAAAAACATTAGCCTGGCATGGTGGTGCATTCATGTAGTTCCAGCTGCTCAGGAGGTGGAGGCAGGAAGATCGCTTAAGCTCAGGAGTTTGAGGCTGCAATGAGCTATGATCACACCACTGCACTCCAGCCTAGACAACAGAGTGAGACCCTGTCTTAAGAAAAAACAAACGACAAAAAAATATGTTTAAAGGCAACAACAACCAGAAAAGAAGAAGACATTCCAGAACCAGATCACTGCGCAAACTGATATCCTGCTCCTAGAGAAAAGGAAACTTCAGGAGCAACTCAAAAAGCAAGAAGAATGGATACACTGCAACAAACAGAATCTTCGGTCCAAAGCAGGGTGCTTTTCCTGTATGAGGAAAATTAGCAATTACAGGAAAGCCATCTCCAGCTCAGCCTCTTAGGGCACAGTCTACAGAGCCCCCTGATTTTCAGAGGAGAGAAAACAACGATTAATAAAATTCCCGAAATTGAAGTATTGAATAAGATACTGCTTTTAGTGGCCAGTTACGGTGGCTCACGCTTGTAATCCCAGCATTTTGGGAGGCTGCGGTGGGTGGATCACAAGGTCAAGAGATCGAGACCATCCTGGCCAACATGGTGAAACCCCGTCTCTACTAAAAATACAAAAATTAGCTGGGCGTTGTGGCACTAACCTGTAATCCCAGCTACTCGGGAGGCTGAGGCAGGAGAATCACTTGAACCCGGGAGGCAGAGGTTGTAGTGAGCCAAGATCATGCCACTGCACTCCAGCCTGGCGACAGCAAGACTTCGTCTCAAAAAAAAAAAAGAAAGATACTGCCTTTAGCAAACTCTAGTTTTTCAGGAACAGGTTTAGTTTCTGTTAAGAGATTGAAGAACATCAGTCAGAAGAAGCAAAGGGAAACTCAGCATCTCCGGAGTCTTCAGGTTCCTAGAATTCCAAAGCTGGACACATAAATGAGGCTTCTCTGAAAGAGACATGCAGCATCCAAGAGCAAGACCCAAGTCAGAACTATAAAATCACCCACGTCTAAAACTACAGTCATCGAAACTGCTGACTTGAAGCTTGGACAAGAAGGTGGAACATGGGCCGAGCACGGTGGCTCATGTCCGTAATCCCAGCACTCTGGGAGGCCAAGGCGGGTGGATAGCTTGAGGTCAGGAGTTCAAGACCGGCCTGGCCAACATGGTAAAACCCCATCTCTACTAAAAATACAAAAAAAAAATAGCCGGGCATGGTGACATATACCTGTAATCCCAGCTACTCGGGAGGCTGAGGCATGAGTATCGCTTGAACCTGGGAGGCGGAGGTTGCAGTGAGCCGAGATTGTACCACTGCACCCCATCCTGGGTGTCAGAGTGAGGCTCCATCTCAAAAAAAAATAAAAAAAATAAAAAAAGAAGGTGGAACATGACGTGGAGAAGAATTACCATAGACCCGTACTAGACTGGTATGTTAGAAGTTAGAAGTTACTGATAATAGCTGGCACAGTGGTTCACACCTTCAGTCTGAACACTTTGGGAGGCTAAGGCAGGAGGATCACTTGAGGCCAGGAGTTTAAAACCAGCCTGGGCAACATAGCAATACCTTGTTTCTAAAAAATAAACATTTTAATTAGCCAGGTATGGTGGTACACATCTGTTGTAGTCCCAGCTACATTGGAGGCTGAGGTAGGAGGATCACTTGAGCCCAGGAGTTTGAGGCTGCAGTGAGCTATGATAGTCCCACTGCACTTCAGCCTGGGCAACAGAGCAAGACCCTTTATCTAAGAAAAAGAAGTTGCTGATAAATTCATTAAACTAATTCAATAAAAAAGAATAAGATTAAATGTAATAATGTAATAATACAGAATGTAATGTAAATAACCCCTCTTCTGGAACACATGATGTTGTGTGACACTAACCTGCATCCACAGCACATTTGTGTTCCATTCTATCAGTCCTTGCTCTGCCTGGATCAGCCAGGACTGTGGCTGCTGGCCTCTCGCTGTCTCTGACCCAGCCTGACCAGAACAAGGTCCCCCTTAGTAGCCCCATTCAGCAGCAGTTAGAATCTGGAATTCACTTTGCACTTGTGACCTAGAGGACATTTACAGTCAAGTACACCTTAAATCAGCCAACCGTGTCCAAGTGGCTGTGTCCCTCAAATTCAAGTTAGTTGCCAATTCTCTCTGCAGGACTGGAAATCTGAACCCAAACCCCAAGCCAGAAGCCTTTCGTAGTACTTGTTAACCTTCTCTCACCATGGGCTGAATGAATTTGGCACATATAGCCCTGATGGAGTCTCGGTCAGAATGGGTGACCACTCAGCTCCAAGGCACTGCCTGCCGCCTGCCTATGTTCAAGGTCCTTGTCCCCTTGGCAATGCCAGGTCAGATCAGGCCACATGGGCCTCAGCTCTCCACCAGTCATCTCACTCAAGGGACATGTGTGCTGCCAATGTCCCTTTGGACCAACCCCGCAAAGGCCTGATTTCCTCCCTCTTCTGTGGTACCATGGAGGTCTCAGGTCGGTGGGCTCCAAACCAGCTGAAGATGTGATAAATCCTGACCATCCAGGAACTATTTGATAAGAACTAGGAACAACAAGACCTGGTTTGGATGTTTGTTCCCTCCAAATCTCACGTTGAAATGTGATTTCCAGCCGGGCACGGTGGCTCACGCCTGTAATTCCAGCACTTTGGGAGGCTGAGGTGGGTGGATCACCTGAAGTCAGGAGTTCGAGACCAGCCTGGCCAACATGGTGAAACCCTGTCTCTACTAAAAATACAAAAATTAGCTGGGTGTGGTGGTACACACCTGTAGTCCCAGCTACTAGGGAGGCAGGATCAATTGAGCCCAGGAGGTGTAAGCTGCAGTGAGCTAAGATGGCACCACTGCACTCTAGCCTGGGTGACAGCCTGTCTCAAAAAAAGAAAAAAAAATTATTAGGTAGGTGCAAAAGTAATTGCAGTTTTTGCAATGACTTTTAATGGCAAACCTCACAATAATTTTTGCACCAACGTAACAACCATTTTGTGCTTACCTCATCAAGAACCAGTACAAAACAGTTTGTGCAGTAGCCTCAATCTGTGGGCCTTACCTCAAGGCAGCCCACCCTACAGTTTGGCCAGCAAGGCCAAGGACGGTGTGGGGAGCTATTAAAAATGATGAGGAGCCCAGATCACGAGGTCGGGAGATCGAGACCATCCTGGCTAACACGGTGAAACCCCGTCTCTACTAAAATCACAAAAAATTAGCCGGGCGTGGTGGTGGGCACCTGTAGTCCCAGCTACTCGGGAGGCTGAGGCAGGAGAATGGTGTCAACCCGGGAGGCAGAGCTTGCAGTGAACCGAGATTACACCACTGCACTCCAGCCTGGGCGACAGAGCGAGCCTTCATCTCAAAAAAAAAAAAAAAAAAAAAAAAGAGGAGCCAACAGTCTAGGCGGGCCCAGGGCATGGCTTTGCCTCAAATCACTGCAAACTCCGGGAGTGAGCCTTTGCTGGTGACCCTGCTGTTTCCCTACTCCAGGGTCTCAGTTCTCAAGGCTCCTGGCATCGGATTTAGCTTCTGCTTGGAGACCACCCATGACCCTGCGGCTGACTCCACTGAATGGTAACCTGTTCCATTTGTTTCCCTGTTCCACGTCCCAGAAAGAAATTTAATTTCCTCCTACTCTTCTAATATTCCTTTATGTTTTCTTTCTTCTCCCTCATTCTTTTTGTTTGTTTTGATTTCTCTCTCTTCTCTCTCTCATGCAACCATAGAATACAGAAAATCAAGATGATGGCCATGCATGGTGGCTCACACCTATTATCTCAGCACTTTGGGAGGCCAAGGTGGGTGGATCACTTGAGGTCAGGAGTTCGAGACCAGCCTGGCAAACATGATGAAACCCTGTCTCTAAAAAATACAAAAATTAGCTGGGTGTGGTGGTGGGTGCCTGTAATACCAGCTACCCAGGAGGCTGAGGCAAGAGAATCGCTTGAACCCTGGAGGCAGAAGTTGTAGTGAGCTGAGATCACGCCATTGCATTCCAGCCTGGGTGACAAAGCGAGACTCCATCTCAAAAAAAAAAAATAAAATTAGCTAAGCATGGTGGCAGGCACCTGTAATCCCAGCTACTCTGGAGGCTGAGGCAGGAGAATTGCTTCAGCCCAGGAGGCAGAGGTTGCAGTGAGCCAGGATCACGCCACTGCACTCCAGCCTGGGTGACAGAAAGAAAAGAAAATCAAGATTACTCAGGTACACATAAAGACTTCTCGAAAATTGCTAAAACTGGCCAGGCATGGTGCCTCACACCTGTAATTCCAACACTTTGGGAGACTGAGGCAGGAGGATCACTTGAGGCCAGAAGTCCAAGACCAGCCTGGGCAACATAATAAGACCCTTTCTCTACAAATAAAATAAAACAATTAGCCAATGTGGTGGGGTGTACGTCTGTATAGTCCCAGCTACTCAGGAAGCTGAGGTGGGAGAATTGCTTGAGCCCAGGGGTTTGAGGCTGCAGTGAGCTGTGATTGCACCACTGCACTCCAGCCTGGGCAACAGAGCCAGACCTTGTCTCCACAAAAAAAAAAGAAAAAAAGTAACTTCCTTCCAATACCTTGTCCAGGGCACTTTTTAATGTGTTGAAATAACCAATCCAGAATTATTTTTCCCTCCCTCTCTCCCTCTTGCTCTCTCTCATACATTTCATTTAAGCAAAATTTGGAAAAGTTAAACGTTGACCTTTGATACGCTAGTTATTCTGAAGTAACCTGAAGTCTTAATTTTCTTATTCTAGCATTTTATCAGTGCCTGACAAGTTCCATTAAGCTGCTTACTTTAGTTCTGAAATATCAAATATTCACTGCTCAGTGAGAAGCTGAATGTCTCTGGGCTGGCTGATTATTTTGGAAATAGAACTCTGCTCTTCCATGAATTCAATCAAGGAGAAAATTCCCCCTGACTTGCACTCATTGACTGTTTTCTGAAAGGAAATTCTTTTAAGATACTGTTATGGATAAAGTGAATGAGTTGTCAAAGCATGGTTTTGAAAGACGTTGTTTGAGTCTGTTTTGTGAGTAAGACACTGTCAGGATATAATTATAGTGTCTGAGTGCTGTTGAGGATTTAGAAATACAATTTACATGAAGTTTGACATTTTGCGACTTTACAAACTATATGCTGATGCTAGTCACTGAAATTGCACCAGGGATCTCCTGTTCTTAGTGAGGAATTAAACATCAAGACTATTGAAAGAGTAAATTCAATACATCATTTTTTTCCCTGCAGGTAATTCTATATGTTTCCAAGGGAAAAATTACTCACTTTAAAAAAACGCATTTCAGAATGGTTCATTAATATAAGCCACAAAAAAGAATCAGAATCAATTGATTTCTGCTTCTTTTGGTCTCAAGGGTGGTTTGTAAGGAAATAGGCAATGAGAAGTAAGTGAAAGGATGAGATTGTGTTTTTCCCCCATCTTTCATCCCCTACAAAGCCAAAAAAAAAGTGGGGGAAAGTTAGTTAACAGTGGTCTCTCCTTATCCCTAGAGTAAGTGGGTCATGAAAAAGGAGAATAAAAATTTGTTTCTCAGACGGGCACAGTGGCTCACACCTGTAATCCCAGCACTTTGGGAGGCCGAGATGGGTGGATCACTTGAGGTCAGAAGTTGGAGACCAGCCTGGCCAACATGATGAAACCCCATCTCTACTGAAAATACAAAAATTAGCCAGGTGTGGTGGTGTGCACCTGTAGTCCTAGCAACTCGGGAGGCTGAAGCAGGAGAATCGCCTGAACCCGGGAGGCAGAGGTTGCAGTGAGCCGAGATCATGCCACTGCACTCCAGCCTAAGCAACAGAATGAGACTCCGTTAAAAAAAAAAAATTGTTTATCATAGATTCCAGAATGTTCCAGAATGACACATAACATGTGGAATCTTCCCTTAAGGAGTCAAACCTGGAGAGAAGAGGAGAAATTTCTTCTGATCCCCCAAACTGCATCCCAGAAATAACTATACCAAGAATTCCTTCCCAGTTCCATAGGTAGGATAGGGTGTGTCTTGGCAGAAATAGTGCGATTGGGGCAGGGCGCGGTAGCTCACGCCTGTAATCCCAGCACTTTGGGGGCTGAGGCAAGCAGATCTTCTGAGGTCGGGAGTTCAAGACTAGCCTGACCAACATGGAGAAACCCCGTCTCTACTAAAGATATAAAAAATTAGCCGGGCGTTGTGGCACATGCCTGTAATCCCAGCTACTCAGGAGGCTGAAGCAGGAGAATCTCTTGAATCCCGGAGGCGGAGGTTGCAGTGAGCTGAGATCACACCATTGCACTCCAGCCTAAGAACAAGAGCAAAACTCCGTCTAAAAAAAAAAAAATGAAGAAGAAGAAATAGTGCGATTGGGGTTTAGCATGGTTTTGCCTCCTGAAAAGCAGAGAAGACCCTATATGAGACAAAGTGTCATTGTACGGTTTCCATTCGGATATAAAACCTTGAAAATTTAATATTATTGTTCTCACAAGTTTTCGGTATCCTTTGGGGTGAATGTGTCCCAGTGATTTAATCCCAGCAAGAAATCCCAGGTCTGAGTCCTCCTCACAGCATGGCCTTGAGTGAGTCACTTTGCCAGTGTTTTCCAACTAGGAGGTAGGGAGAACACCCAAATTTGCAATATTTTTGCACCATTTAAGTATTAAACATTTAGGCCAATAAGAAACATAATTATTTGGCCAGACACAGTGGCTGACACCTGTAATCTCAGCACTTCGTGAGGCCAAGACAGGAAGATCACTTGAGGCCCAGGATTAAAAACCAGCCTGGCCAACGAGGTGAGATCCCATCTCTATTAAAATAATAATAAAAATAAATAAAAAGAAGCATAAATATTCCTTCTTGTTGTTTCTTTTGTTTATTTATTTTGGGTTTGTTTTTGTTTTTCAGAGACAGGTTCTCGCCTTGTTATTCAGGCTGGAGTGCAGTGGCACCATGATGGCTCATTACAGCCCTGAATTCCTGGGCTCCAGTGATCCTCCCACCTCAGCCTCCCGAGTAGCTGGGACGACAGGCACACACCATCATGCCTGGCTAATTTTTTATTTTTTGTAGAGACAGAGTCTCACTATTTTGCCCAGGCTGGTCTTGAACTCCTGGGCTCAAGCCATCCGTCCACCTTGGCCTCCCAAAGTGCTGGAACTACAGACATGAGCCACCACATCAAGTCCTTGGTGATCTTTCTAACCAACACACAGTCTACTCATCTTAACATTTCAGCTTATTGTAGAAAAATTTCAAAAACAAAGGGCAATTTCATTGCTGTATAATATTCATCTCAAGTAGGAAGAAAAACACAAAGTTATTTTTAAACTTATTTTTAAGCAGGATTGTCTCTAAGGTTCTTTGTTTTCAGGGTTTTTTGGTTGAACTTTGTTTTGTTTTGTTTCATCTTTATTTGGGAGACTCAAAAAAATTAATGCATTTGTTTTAAGCTATACAATAATGTTGCTACTGCTTTTGTTAATTACAATGTTTGGACTTGTTTTTCTCTGCCTTCATTCTTTAGCTCTAAGTCTGAGGTTTATTGTAAATTCAATTACAAACAATGTTGCAAATAGGTAGTGGTTTTATTGGTTGAAAAAGGAAAGATGGCCTCAAGAATGTAACTGTGTATACGCCATTTTCCATCTTCTTAAAGCAAACTTTATTGGTTATAAACATGAGAAAAAGCAGACACAATTCAAACCTGTATTTACAAAGGAATGAGAATGAAAAGTATGAAAGAAATAAAAATATATAAATACATAAAAAAGGCTTATCTTTATTTCAAAATAGCATTTTAATAATAATTCCCGTTTTATAATGCCTTACCCAAGGAGATCAAACGGCCTTCAGGGCACTGTAGAATTTTAATAACATGCATTTGAGGGTGGAGGAAAGCACTGTGATCCTCTAACTCTCACTTTACAAATGAAAAAGATGAAACTGAAAGATGACTTGGTTCACTAAATCTCGCTACTCAGTACAGAATCTTGGAATAAGTTGCTCTTTTTTTTTTAAAATTAGCTGGGTGTGGTGGTGTGTGCCTGTGGTCCCAGCTACTCAGGAGGCTGAGGCAGGAGGATGGATTGAGCCTGGGAAGTCAAGGCTGTAGTGAGCTGTGATCATGTCATTGCACTCCAGCCTGGGTGACAGAGAGACCCTGTTTCAAAAATAACAATAATAACTTATCCTTTTAAAAGAAAGAGGATGGGTGTGGTGGCTCACACCTATAATCCCAGCATGTTGGGAGGCTGAGGCAGGCAGATCACTTGAGGTCAGGAGTTCGAGACCAGCCTGGCCAGCATGGTGAAACCCCATCTCTACTAAAATACAAAAATTAGCTGAGTGTGGCCGCATATGCCTGTAATCCCAGCTACTAGGGAGGGTGAGGCAGGAGAATCGCTTGAACCCGGGAGGTGGAGGTTACACTGAGCTGAGATTGTACCACTGCACTTCAGCCTGGGCAACAGAGCAAGACTCTGTCTCAAAAAATAATAAGAAGAATAAATAAAAGAGAAGAAGGACATGAAGTCAGAACAAAAGGAGGCAGAGTAAGCCAGAGGTGGAACCCCAGAGACAGCCTGAGCTGTGGAAACTTGCAGATGGGGAGGAAATATCAAGTCAATAGGGAGAGTTGACGGTAAAACATCATCATCAGCAACAAAGGTCATTTCAAGGGAGCAGAAGGGGGTTAAGAGCAAGACCCAGGATGGAAGGAAATATTCACAAGCTGGTCTGCTAATGCAAAACATGCTGGAACTGCCTTCTGGGTCTCACGCCGCAAGTGCCTGCGGAAGGGGCTGGTGGCTCCTTAAAGGTGCTGGACAGATGTGGAACACACAGATCAATTCCTGGGCTTGGGGAAGCCCCACCGATTTGTCAATATCTTAAGTAACATACACATTAGCCTGATATATGAACACTAAATCACAGGAGCATTTATGCCCCAACTTTTTTTTTTTTTTTTTTGAGGTTCTTGCTTTGTCACCCAGGCTGGAGTGCAGTGGCACAATCATAGCTCACTGCAGCCTCAAACTCCTGGGCTCAAGCAATCCTCCTGTCTCAGTCTCCTGAGTAGCTGAAATTATAGGTGCATGCTGCCACACCTGCCTAATTTTTTGATTTTTGTTTTTTGTAGGGACAGGGTCTTACTATGTTGCCCAGTCTGATCTTAAACTCCCAGTTTCAAGTGATCCTCCTGCCTCGGCCTCCCAAAGTGCTGGGATTGCAGGTGTGAACCACTGTGCCCAGCTCCAGCATTTCTTAGTAAGGAACAATAAATGACTAGGTGTTGGGTTTATGATTTATACTAAAATTATTAAAGCTGTATTGTGTTTTTAGTCCAGCTTTTTTTTTTTTTTTTTTTTTTTTGGAGACAGCATCTTGCTCTGTTGCCCAGGCTGGAGTGCAGTGGCACGGTCTCGGCTCACTGCAGCCTCCACCTCCTGGGTTCAAGCAGTTATCCCGCCTCAGCCTCTCGGGTAGCTGGGATTATAGGCACATGCCACCACGCCCAGCTAATTTCTGTATTTTTAGTAGAGACGGGATTTCACCATGTTAGCCAGACTGGTCTCGAACTCCTGACCTCAGGTGATCCACCTGCCTCAGCCTCCCAAAGTGCTAGGATTACAAGCATGAGCCACCATGCCCGGCTAGTCCAGCAAATTTCTTAGAAGCCCAGATTCTCATGAAAACAGACCTCACTCAGTTTATGAATTAGAAACATGCTCTAGAACAACAACAACAAATTTAAGAGAAGATCTCGCTCTGTTGCCCAGGAGGGAGAGCAGTGGCACCATCGTATCTCATTGCAGCCTCAACCTCTCAGGTCCAAGCAATCCTCCTACCTCAGCCTCCTGAGTAGCTGGGACCACAGGCATGCACCACCATGCCTAGCTAATTTTTAAATTTTTTTGTATAGATGGGGTTTCACCATGTTGCCCAGGCTGGTCTCCACCTCCTGGGCTCAAGCAATCCTCTTGCCTCAGCCTCCCTAAGTCCTGGGATTGCAGGCGTGAGCCACCACTCCCGGCCTGGGACAAAATTTTAATTTGCCTCTTTCCTCCCTATGAGACAAACTTTGCCAGCCCTTCACCTGGACCCCCAAGCAGAAAGACAGTGCCAGGAGCTCATACCACCCGTGCTCCAGGCACAGCTGTCGCCTAGAACTGTGGCTTGGTGCCCCGTCAGCAGAGCAAACAAGCACACTCAATAGGTGTGTATTCATTAATAGGATGTGCAAAAACAGGTATCTGTTGTAACATGGAGCAGATAGCATGCCCTTCCTGAAGAGTGTTAAACTATTGTGCTGATATTGCACATCGTAACTGTTCCTAATATGTAATATTTTCCTACAAGGGATATGTTAGTTTCAATATGTTTAAATAAAAATTAAGTACTTTCCTACTGTCTTGAGCAAAATAGAATCGTGGAAAGTTAAAAGGAATTCAAGACACTCACACCCACAAATGAAAAACCTTAAACATCACTGGATCTTTTTTTTTTTTTTTTTTTTTTTGAGACAGAATCTCACTCTGTCGCCCAGGCTGCAGTGCAGTGGCATGATCTCGGCTCACTGCAACCTCCACCTCCCCAGTTCAAGTGATTCTCCAGCCTCAGCCTTCCAAGTAGCTGGGATTACAGGCATATGCCACCACGCCCAGCTAATTTTTGTATTTTTAGTAGAGACGGGGTTTCACCATGTTGGCCAGGCTGGTCTCGAACTCCTGACCTCAGGTGATCCACCCACCTCGGCCTCCCAAAATGCTGAGATGACAGGTGAGCCACTGCGCCCGGCCTGGATCTTTGGGTCTACCTGAAATCCAGCTCTTCCATTTGTAGAGTCAGCGTGGTGACCTCTATCATCTGTGTGTGTTTCCTAGGCATTGTGAGGGCTCATGAAGGAACGATACTTAATAGGAATTGCTAACTTTCACAGTGTTTTTAGGAACTGTGCTAAATCTTTATTTGTATTATCTCATTTAATCCTCACAACAACCCAGAGTGCTAATAAAACCCAGGGTCGTGGCACAAACCTGTAATCCCAGCTACTCAGGAGGCTGTGGTGGGAGGATCACTTGAGCCAGGAGTTCGAGGCTGTAGTGAGCCATGATTGCACCATTGCACTCCAGCCTGGGCAACAGAGCAAGACCCTGTCTCTAAAAATAAGTAAATACAAACTTTAAAAAATAAAGTGCTGATAATATTATTACCTTCATTATGTAAGTGAGGAAATTGAGAGGTTAATTAGCCCAAGGTCATACCACTAGTAACAGGTTAAGTCTGAACTTGAACCCAGGTCTCTCAGAGTCCGGAACCATACATACTCATAGCAGCTTGTTTTAGTTCATTCTCACACTGCTGTAAAGAACTACTTAAGACTGGGGATTTATGAAGAAAAGAGGTTTAATTGACTCAGTTCCACAGGCTTAACAGGAAGCATGGCTGGGAGGCCTCAGGAAACTTACGATCATGGCAGACGGTGAAGGGGAAGCAAGCACTTTCTTCTCATGGTGGCAGGAGAGAGAGAGAGATAGAGAGACAGAAAGACAGAGACAGAGGGAGGGAGAGAGGGAGAGAGGGAGTGGAGAGGGGGGATGGAGGGGGGAGAGAGAGGGAAAGAAGGAGAGAGGGGAAGAGGGAGAGGGAGGGAGGGAAGGAGAGAGGGAGGGGGAGGGAGAGAGGCGGGAGGGAGAGAGAGAGAGAGGTGCCACACACTTTTAGATAGGGAGAGGGAGGGAGAGGGAGGGAGGGGGAGGGAGGGGGAGGGAGGCGGAGGGAGGGAGAGAGAGGGAGAGGTGCCACACACTTTTAAATAACCAGATCTCGTGAGAACTCACTCACTATCATGAGAACAGCAAGGGGGAAATCCAGTCCCATGATATAATCACTTTCTACCAGGTCCCTCGCTGACAGGTGGGGATTACAATTTGACATGAGATTTGGGAGGGGACATAGAGCCAAACCATATCACAGCTATGCAGGCTTATAAAAACATTAGGATGTGGGCTGGGTGTGGTGGCACACACCTATAATCCCAGCACATTGGGAGGCCAAGGTGGAAGGATCACTTGAGCCCAGGAATTCGAGATCAACCTGGGCAACATAGTGAGACTCCCCGTCTCTACAAAAATTTTTTTTAAATTACCTGAGTGTGGTGGTGTGCACCTGTATTCCCAGCTACTCATAAGAGTGAGGTGGGAGGACTGCTTGAGCCTGGAAGGTTGAGGCTGCAGTGAGTCAAGATCCCATCACTGCACTCCAGCCTGGGCGATAGAGGGAGATCCTGTCTCAAAAAAGAAAAAAAAATTAGGATAAGCACTTTCAGAAAAAGCTTCAGAAAAAAGGGCAGGTTCTTCTTTAGGCCAGGTGCAAAGGTGTGACTTCCCAGAAGAAACGGGAAGACCAAAAAAAAAAATGGCCAATGTATTTTTCTCCAGATGAGGTATTTGTGTATGGATATTCTGAAGAAAGGGTTTTCTTTTTCCCCCTAGCAGTTGTTTGCTGTCACATGCCAGCAAACATGGCATGTCACAGCAGTTTGCTGTGACTAGCCAGCAGAGCCCTAGAGGAACTGCAGGACGTGGTCACCACTGTCTGTGTTAGTCCAGGGAACCAGCAGAGCTCTTCTGCTTCTGAAGCCTACTTGAGTTAATGAAAATCCTAGGGACCCTGCTGAACCCAATTCATTGCTGAGAGCCATGAAAAATAGCTCCATAAATCTGCCTCTGAAGAAAAGGTCAGGCTTCCCAGGTTGGGGTAAACAAATTGAGGATTTCAAAGCAACCTGTTAGCTACTCACGCCAATTTGCATACAAAGCCAACAAACAACCTCCCATTGTTAAAGAAGATGGTGAAGGATGTTCGGGTTTTATTGTCCAACTATGGTGACTGTCACAGTCCAGTCCCTTGAAAGAGTTACCTCGCAACCTGCTTCACAATCAAATGTCAGGACAGGGAAATGACCCTTGACATTTACCAAGCCCAGATGGACAGACGATCCCCCCCGGCAGGCCGCCTCCTAAACCAGCCGCACCTTCTTGCTCTGTCCAGGCTGTGAAATTGGTGACCAGATGCCTCCACTTCAAGCGTGTTAAATGCTACACCAGGTTTAGCAGAGAGAACACGATTTCTGACTTCCAGCCAAGGCGTTTGCATTTTAAAATGTCCACAACAGTGTTCCTTTTAAAGAGGGAGATTTTCTCTTTTCCACGTTTATTCAATTTTTAGTAAGCACCACTGGAGGGGGATGAAGAGAGCTTGGTTAGTAGGTACCAATAGATAGTTTGACAGAAAAAAAAAATAAGACCTAGTGTTTGACAGATCAGTGGGGTGACTATAGTTTACAATAATCTATTACATATTTCAAAATAACTAGAAGAGAATAATCCAGATGTTTCTAGTATACAACAAAGACAAATATTTAAAGTGATAGATACCCAGCTATACTGCTTTGATCTGTACAAATTACATGAATGTATTAAATTATCACATGTGCCCCCAAATTATGTATATCGATCGTGTATCAATTTTTTAAAATCTAACACATTAAAGAAAAAAGCAGGAAGCAGGTTGATACTGGTTTGAGCCAGGACTCAGAAAATATAAAGATATGTATAATATTTTAAGATAAATAAATAAATAAAAGGAACACAGGACACTAGAAAAAATAGTGTATAAGGATTGTGAAGTCAAGAATGACCTCCCCTTCTCTTCCGCTCCTGCCACCCCTGCCCAACATATACATTCTTTTTTCAAAATTTATCTTTGCACTTTGGGAGGCTCTGGAGGGAGGTTCACTTGAGGCCAGGAGTTTGAGACCAGTGCGGACAGCAAAGTGAGAGCCTCACCTCTACAAAAAAAATTTTTTTTAATTAGCTGGGCATGGTGGTGCACAGCTGTGGTCCCAGTTACTCAGGAGGCTGAGGCGGGAGGATTGTTTGAACCCAGGAGTTTGAGACCAGCCTGGAGACTCCCTCTACCAAAAAAATGAGATAAGGCCAGGCGTGGTGGCATGTGCCTGTAGTCCCAGCTACTCGGAGGCTGAAGCAGGAGGATCACTGAGTCCAGGAGTTCAAGGCTGCAGTGAGCTATGATCCCACCACTGCACTCCAGCCTGACCTACAGGCTGGGCTTACGAAAATAAGTAATTTTTGTAAAAGAACACTATATAATAATGTGATAAAATAAATAAATATAGGCCGGGCTCATGCCTGTAATCTCAGCACTTTGAGAGGCCAAGGCAGGTGAATCACCTGAGATCAGGAGTTCGGGACCAACCTGACCAACAGGGAGAAACCCCGTCTCTACTAAAAATACAAAATTAGCCGGGCATGGTGGCACATGCCTGTAATCCCAGCTCCTCAGGAGTTTGAGGCAGGATAATCGTTCAAACCTGGGAGGCAGAGGTTGCAGTGAGCCGAGATCGCACCATTGCACTCCAGCATGGGCAACAAGAGCGAAACTCCGTCTCAAAAAAAAAAAAAAAAAAAAGAAAAATATAAAAGTGTGAATTATAAAACTGCAATGGATGCACAAGAGCTATTTGGATTTTGAAGTTAAAGGTAAACTTTTCATGAAGACGCTAAGTGTTTGTGAAGGGAAGGGAATTTATAACTTGGTGTGTCCTTGAATGAAAGAGGCAGGGAGCTATTTGTTGCTTTTATTACAGCTTCTGGGCAGAGGTTCATTTCCATGAGAAGAAAAGAGAATTTGCCAAAGTTGCCCTGGTATAGCAGGGCCTGTCAAGCCATTGAGGATGAAATACTAAATCAGGTAGCGTATTCCAGGTTCTCAACATTTTTGATCAACAAAACTCTCAGTGGCTTGTTCTTAACTCCTTGGAGAGACAATGGTGGAAATTTTGGATTATCTTTAAATACTAAAATGAAAGTACAACTCTTAGTTCAAAGGAGAATAGTGATACACTTCTGGGTGAGAATTAGTCCTTAAATGAGCTTAGAGCCTGCACCAAATATAAAAGGTAGACTCAGATATTTGACCTTAGCAATGTTTCGTTAATGTTCAGGCCCATTGGAATTTTTTCTCAACTTCCTTCACTAGCAATTTGTTTTCCTTTAGGCTCTCCAGACAAAAATTATAAATCTGTAAAGCAATCAGTTAGGATAGAGAAATGAAAGAGAAAGACAACATTTATTTACTAAAAACCAGAAACAGGTGCCTGAAAACAAAAGGTCTTAATCTGTCCTTCATCTAATTCTCTCCTTTGGATTTTGGAAATGTACAAAGGTTATTGATCACAGCTCCTGCCCACGGGGAGTTCACAGTTTAATCCCCAAATCCAGGTGAGAAAGGCCCTCATTTACCAAGGCAACTGTGAATTAAAGCTATGGTATCAAAACCACATCCACTAAATTTAGGGGGAAAAAAACACTCCACCGTGAACTTGTAACACTTAAAAAGTAAGAAACTTGCTTTGAGAAGTGTGGTGTTTTTCCACTGTCCTCATCGGTTCCCTAGGGAAATTCCAAGGGGAAGAAACCGGGGATAAAGAGCTTTTTGTATTTCTCTTGGTTTTAACTGCTAAAACAATTTTTGTTCCATTAGGTTTGTAATGTGAGATCTTTCAGAGTGAATTGACACAACAGCCTCTGAGTTTATTAATTCATCACAACTTAGTCTTCATGTGTCTAAAAACAAATTGCTGACTTCTTGCAAGTTCCAAATGTACTTATGCAATGCCTTGAAAATTGTTAAATGTAAAGTTATTCCAGGATTACGAAGTCTATTCAATTAGCATGGCATACACACACACACACACACACACACACAGCATGCATAGTTTTCAGCTGATCTTTCCTGAGTTCTATTCAGATTTAGTCCAACATCAATCTAATCTGCAAGATACAGGGAGCTAAACACCATTTGAAATTGCCCCTGAGAGGTCAGCGGGCCATTAGCTCCTAGATAGAATGAATTTCCTAAAAGTCTTGAGGAATGACAAATGCCTTGAGATATTATCTCACTGCTTACCCAAGTTATCTCCCCAGATTGCTTATCAATGCCTTTCCTGTTACCCTTTTCATATTCAAAGAATGGGAAAAGTTTGCAGAAGTTTGGCTGATAGGTCTTCCCTAGCAATAAATACTCTGAAATTCTAAAAAAGCACATCCCTTGGAAAATTGCTGCCTTGCTGGAAGAAGTAAATCCCCAACTGGTTAATCTCAGCTCTGCCACCTTCCTGATTCTATCCTCAAATTCCTGGAATGGCAGACAAATGAATTACACCACCACGCTGCAAAACAGTGCAGTGTTAGCAGATTAACAAGGACATGTTCAGAGTGTAAAATGTACTCCAAATAAAGAGTTGCCAAAATTTGAGAGTTGAATTTCGTCATTCTATGGGATCTCTAATTCCCCAAAAAAATCAATGATCTGCTTTTTTTGAGGCAGCAGATAGAGTCATATTGACAGGATGAATTGGGTAGAGGGAAGGGGAGTCAGTTGGGATCTGGAGCAGTCAATTTTTCTATTATAAATGTTGGTATCTGGAGCATTTAATTTTTCTATTATAAATGTTGGTATCTGGAGCATTTAATTTTTCTATTATAACTGTGACCCACAGAGTAACTAAATTAATTTCATCCAGGGTAATTAAATGATTTTTAACTCACTCCTCCACTTCCAAATTCACAAAGTTCTAAAAACTAGTTCTAGAAGTATTTGTATTTTGTTGGGAGCACCCGTGGGGCAGGCTGTAATCGATTGTGGCATTGAGAATCAATTGTTGAGAATGAACCAATCAGACATAAGCCACGCAAACAATATGGACACATTATCTGCTACCTATCAAATCCATTGATTTTCTCAATGGTTTGACCATTCGGAGCAGCTGAAACTCCAAGGGAACTTCATTCTATCAAATACTAGAAACTCAAGTAAGTTTATATGATTAAAACATTCTCATCAGTAGCCATCTGTATTATTCCAGAAGGAAACAATTACAAATGAACCTATTTAATAGGCATGAGAGGCCAAAAATAATAAATTGAAAATGAATATTTAAAATGCCATATCCAGTCTGCAGGTGACTGGCAAGTCTCAAGTATGCAAAGATCTTAAATATTAAAAAGCAATATTAATGTACGGTACAAATAATGGGCACAAGTTCTCAGATTTTAAGGAATATTATGTGGGCACAGTTTATGCAAGAATGTTGTGTATATGAATGAAAATAGCTACAATGTCTCTTCACAATAATCCTACAAGGTGTTACTACGGCCCCCATTCCACAGGCAACCACAGGCAACAAAAGTGAATATTCAAAGAGCTTACATAATTTGCCGAAGTTCGCACAGCTGTGGAGGTTTAAAGACATTTGAGCTGAGAGGCAGAGAAGAGGACCAATTAGAGGCTGTAAGGGAAAAAAAAAGCTATCCCGGCCCCAAAAGAGCCAGTTCCCTAGTCATGATACTAGATGCCACTGCTTTCAAGCTTTTAGCCTATAATCAACCCATATTGAAACCAGATTTATGAGCTCTTCAGAGGAAAGCTTTGTGATTTTCTAAAGCAGACATGTTTGGTATTTTATAAGGTCAAACCCCCTACGGTGTAGTGTTTTTAATAAAATCAGTTCAGCAGAAATTAGAGACACACCAGTCAATTTCTAGGAAGCCTCTAAGCCATTCAAAATAAAAGGAAAAAAAAATAACATAAAAGACATAACCATGCACAGATCAATTTTTTCAACAGTGGTAGAATGTAAGGAGTTGTAGATAGAAAATCATCTTGGCAAATTTGGTCCCATGTCTCTAGTTTGGGCAAATTTCCACTCAGAAAGGAAAATTCCTTTTGGGGGGAGTTCTATGACAATATTAAGCAAGGGTTGTTCCTGGTTAGCCTGGCCTTGTGACACCTCAGAGTAACAGTAAACATCTCTAAGACGGAAAAACAAATAAACCAGTCACCACCACTTCTGACATCACTGAATCAGGTAGACCCTGGACCTTATCTTAGTCCTTAATCTCTGGCTCCTGGCAACTTCTGCACTCTCACAGGGAAGCAAAAGTAAAATCTATATGTAGTTCTTAGTTACATCCAAAGTTGAGGTGCCTGCAGTATTTTCATAAGAAGGCGGATCTGACTTTCAGATTGGTGGTGAGGACACGTGTAAAAACTAAATGAATATCAAGAGAGAGGATTTTTTTAGGAAAAGAGGCAGGGCTGGCCTATTATGTGGCTAGAAGCGGAGCCCCAGAAAACTGAGAGGCCATGGGCACAGTGCCACCTCCCCACAGTACAGGGAGCTGTAAATAGCCTCGTGAATATACAATAGGAAGAACAAAGGCCCAAGATCAAGTGGAGAGGCTGCATGCATCCTCCATGAAGTTTGTGGTAACACCAGTCCAGACATAGGCCTCTCTGGGAGGAAGGGGTTCACTGATTTCAAAGTGTTTCAAAGCACATGACTTTAAATCCTTCATTGTTTTATTTCCTAAAGAATTGCAGAGTTCCTGGTTAACCTGTACTTGGAAAAAATGAGGTGAACCGGCCCTCATCAGGGCAAGCAGAGAAAAGAAACTCTGACTACGTAACAGATATAAAAACTGGCCACTTGAAGAATTGCTGAGCTTGCATAATGTCGTACATGAAATGAGAATGTACAAGGAGCAAGAAGTCCTTTCATCTCTAAACTACAATCTACTATAATGTGATCAAGAGCCAGAGTGGGGTTGGGCAGAGTGGCTCACACCTTAATCCCAGCACTTTAGGAGGCTGAGGCAGGAGGATCACTTGAGGTCAGGAGTTTGGGACCAGCCTGGCCAACATGGTGAAAACCCTGTCTCTACTAAAAATACAGAAATTAGCCAGGCATGGTGGTGGGTGGCTGTAATCCCAGCTGCTTCAGAGGCTGAGGCAGGAGAATCGCTTGAACCCGCGGCGGGGCAGGGGGCAGGGTGGTGTGCACCACGTGTGGTGTGTGGCGAGTGGGGTGGAGGTTGTAGTGATACATATGGCGCCACCGGACTCCAGCCCGGGCGACAGAGTGAGACTCAAAGAGCCAGAGGTGGAGGTGAGGGTGGAAATTTCACCAACAGACAACTTTGATCAATTCCCTTGACAGGTTTGAAGGGTTGGGTTCAACAATTCTTTGGCTTCCTCAAAAACTGACATACATAAAGCTTAACATCTTTTATAAAATATAAGGCATGCATGCAAGAGCTGCTCATCTTAAAAGGGACAGTACGAATGCTATCATTTATTAATATGTGTTTATTCCACAGCTTAGTTTTTTGGGGCAGGTGGTCTATTAATATTAATAAAAGAAAACCCCATACTCGAATATGCAGGCTGTAATTTTTTTTTTTTGAGATGGAGTCTCCCTCTGTTGCCCAGGCTGGAGTGCAGTGGCACAATCTCAGCTTACAACCTCTGCCTCCTGGGTTCAAGCAATTCTCCTGCCTCAGCCTCCCGAGTAGCTGGGACTACAGATGCACGCCACCACGCCCAGCTAATTTTTGCATTTTTAGTAGAGACAGGGTTTCACTATGTTGGCCAGGCTGGTCTTGAACTCCTTACCTTGTGATCCACCTGCCTCGGCCTCCCAAAGTGCTAGGATTACAGGTGTGAGCCACCGCGCCCGGCCTACGGGTTAACTTTTAAGCAAAAATTTCACATATACAAAGGAATTCAGAAGATACCCTCCATGGCATAATATTCTCACATTTAAAATAAGAAAGATCCACTGGGGGCACGGGAAGTACACAAATAAAGCATACGTTTAAATTCAGGATGGGCAATGTTATCAGGACAAAAAGTCTTATAAGAGGAAACATTGTTTCCTAGCTGTATTAGTTACTGGCTAAAGCCAATGTTCTATTTGGTTACATAAAGGATCATTTGGGAGGATGAAACCTAGTAGCAGTTATTTAAATCAATTGGTGTATCGTGTTCACTACAGAAAAGCTTTCTAAGTATTAAAAAAAAAAAAAGCATCACACTGTTGAAGCACAAGGTTTAAAATTAAGTGTGTTGTACAGTAAGGTTTGGCTAATTGGGGAGCCAAAATACTTAATTTGGCTTAGGACAAAATAAACTGGCCAATTAATCAACAGTAAAAGGAGACAGTGACTGACTTGAACAAAAAAACAGTTGTTTAGTTGGTTTTTTTTTCTTTTTTGGGTGGAGGTATACACATTGGAAAAGGTATTCCGGAACACCTGGATCAAAATGACCTTTGCTAGGTCAACTCCAGAAATTGATCAATCATATCTGACCTGGTACACATAAATTCCAGATCTCCTTCTTAGATGAAAGCTAAAACCAGAGTTATCCTATAGCCAGAATGTGGGTAAGACACTAAAAGATGGTCAGTATACATTTAGAAACTCCACACTGTAAGAAAATTACACAGGCACATGGAAGAATAAGCAAGATCTTGGTCTTGTTTAAAAAAGAAAAGAGAAAAAAAAAAACCAAGCCACATCCTAGAGTTGAGAACAAATTATTAACAGCAAATGGCCATTTGTATAATTAACATGTACTGTCTCACGTTTCCCAGTTAAATTTATGAAAGACACTATTAAATTTCAGACAAAATATATATATTTCTTTTAAATCTTTACAATAAATCAAGATGTAGAAGCTTACATAGGGCACATTTTTGTTTATTTAGGTACTCAATTCCAGCTCCCTTGGATGCAAATAACCCTGGTGACAGTGTGTACAAAGTCTTCTCTTTGCTTTTTATAATTTTAAAAGCAAATAACACATTTAACTGTATTTAAGTCTGTGCAAATAATCCTTCAGAAGAAATATCCAAGATTCTGTTTGCAGAGGTCATTTTGTCTCTCAAAGATGATTAAATGAGTTTGTCTTCAGATAAAGTGCTCCTGTCCAGCAGAACTCAAAAGGCCTTCAAGCTGTTCAGTAAGTGTAGTTCAGATAAGACTCCGTCATACGAATTCCAGCTTCCCGTGCCCACTGTACATGCCCCAGTGAACAAGCGAGAGGATCTTATCGTTGCTGAGGTCTGCTTGTCTCATTTTATCACAGGTCAGACAGCAGTTCTCGTGCCCACTGACCGGCACCATGCATTCCAAGTCTAACTTTGCAACCTGCCCCTTTTTGGAATGGTGTCCGTGAAAGCTGTAGTGCAAACGGGAGAGCATCTGTTGCCGCTGATCCTGCAGCCTCTTATTTTCACTTCGAAGCATCCTCAGGGCCAACATAATAAGCAACACTAAAATCAGCCCTCCAGCAATGGGCACGGCAATGACCGCTGCCCGGAACCACAACTCTTTGGAAGAAGTCAGCTCCTGCACCTTGGTGATAAGGTTTCTGCTACCATCATGCTGATACCTGTTTCCTTGTCCTAAAGGAGTACAAAGAAAATGATCAAACTCCATGCTAACTCCTCCTAGGGATATTCATAATCATCAATTCATTTTAACCAAGAATTCCATTAAAAAGAAGCTTACAATTAAATCAACGATATTTAGAAAACATTGCAAAACTATCTGAAGAAGCTTACAAACGCATTTGTTTACAGACTGTCATTACTGAGATGTAATGGCCTTTTAATGTCTTCAAAATGTTGAAAAAACAGGCAAAACCTATTATGTAGACAGACATCTAATGCTCAGACATAAAAGCCACTCAATCAAGATGCATCTTTGCATCCAGCCAGGCTTCTCCCTCTGGTGTCTCTAATTACATTAACAACAAAATCAATAGCAGACATACAAAGTCGTGGCTGTCACAAGTCTATAGATCAGGCAGGCATTCTGGTTAGAAACGGCTTCCACCTACCTGAGGCCTCACCCCTGGGAGGAGAGAGAACATCGTGCAGCCCTCTGTAATTGCACATGTCTTCATGACAGCATTCCAATGTGGGTATGGTGGTGCCAGAGTGGTTTCGGGCCTGTTTGGCTTGGCAGATGTCTGTCGTGCTTGCAAGAGAGTCCAGGCAGCCATGGGTGAGTGGGGAATTTGAGTTCTGAGGATCAAGAAGTCTAGAGAAGCAGGCGCTGAGCTCAGATTTACACATATAACCAGTGGCTACACAGTGGGCAGCATCACAGTAGCATCGAATTTCACCTGAAAACAATGAGAAACCACCTCAAACTCTGCTCCAGAGACCAGATAAAGCAACTATTTAGGCAACTGCTAAATCCCAAATTCAAAGGCATGAACTTTTAGATCATCCAAGCTGAGGGCTCCAGTCTACAGAGCCTGGAGAAGCCCTTCCTGCAGCCAGTGCGTAAGTTTCAATCCAGTTAAACGTCATTTTGGCAATGTAGTAATCCCAATAGCAGGTTTCTGAGGAGTTTAGAGTCATTTTAAAAAAACTTTTGCTTTTTGAAGGAAATAGTAATGAGTATAATTTCTCCTACCATAAGGTATAACACATTATTTATTCATTTTAATCCTACATGACCATACAACATAAAAATGTTAGGCTTTTTGATTTTGTCAGTATAAATATTTGATCGGAACTACTGAATTGTTTACTATCCCACAGGACTGCACCAAGAGTTAAGAGCTTTAGCTAACACCTTATAAAGTTATTAACTAGAAACACAACAATCTAGAAACTGCCCAGGTCAGGAGGTTTTAAAACTATGAAACTAGGCAGCTATTTGCAACCTCTCTAGAAAAGGCAAACTTTTTGCCTATAAAGATCTTTTCATGCAGAGGAGCTTTTAGTCAGTATATTGTAAAACAGGAACTAGGCAGTTTACAATTAGTGGTTTGCTTGCCAAAGTCAATTTCTTTCAGCCCAAATGGAAAGTCATAAAAGGTGGGGGGAGTATAAAACTGCAAGGCTAACTTCTCCTCCTCCTCCTCACAAGTTTTACATGTAATTCGACATGTGATCTAAAAGGGGAAACACTGAAACTGAAAATCCTCTGCTGGTTGAATGAAAAATCCTTAAGGAAACCTCAAATTTTCTACAGGAAGTGATTAAAAGTTTCCTTTATAAAAACTTATTTTGTGAGTTGCATGGCTCCGTTCACATTTTGTCGCAGGGCAAGATTGGAGGCTTTAATATCAGTTTCTCGTTGAAATAATCTGGGTCTTCAAGTTCTCACTAATACAATATCCACCTAGTGGACCCTGGTCGCTGTCACATGCCACAGCGAGTAAACTAAACTAATGCACACGCCTCTTCCAGTTTCCCGTCTGAAGATCCGAAACCTCCACTCTGAAATTAAACACCGGGATCTGCTGTTTTACAAACCTCTTCCCACCCTTACCTTTATTCTTCCCCCTCTCTCTGAACGCCCCAGTAAGGTGTCTCATTTAATTATCTGTCCAAATTCCAGACCACGGTATTGTATGCTCAGTTTTCACCGGACGCTGCTAATGCTTCGGTTCTAAGGAAAACCAGCCCGCTAAACACAGATCTTTGGCAACCCTTAACAGTCCAAAGCTAGGGGTCTTGCTCCTAAATCTGCACTGGTTGGGCCCAAGTTCCTTCTCTGCTTCAAGTAAGAACCTTGCTTTGCAGAACCACTTCTCTGCTCTTTCTCCTCCTCCCTCCAAGCTCACTTTATTTTCCACATAAAGCTCACCAGTCTTCTGGGGTGATGACTACATATCCCTAGTTTGACAAATTCCATATATAGATTTAAAGTATAAATAAAACAGATTAAAAGCCCATTTTGACCCTATTAGCTTCAGACCTTGTACAGAAAAGGAAGACTGAATACAAGTAAAATGCTGCTTAAATGTTTATGAGAGCCTATTTTCAATGACCTAAAAACAGCCTAATAAAATTTTGACAGGTAACTGGGAAAGTTCTAACTACCTTTTTTTTTTAATTGGAGCCACATTTTAAGCAAGGAGAATGGACTTTTGTACCACTGTATTAAAACTATATTTCTGTCGTTCATAAAGTTTCTTCCTGTGGCATGCAAAAGGCCAGAAAGGGGACTGGTATTTTGAAACTGTGGAACAATGCCCTTCTGTTTCTGTCCCCTTCTCGTTACTGTATGTAGTGATTAAACAAAAATGTCTGCTTTAGTCAAGATGGCTACAGGAGAGACTGCTGGCTTCTTTTAAAGCTTTTGAAGTCCGCAGCCGTCAGAAATCTCTGATCCCCTAATTATATCATTATCAGGCACATAGTTTCGGTATCTGTGACTTCATGTCAGCCTCAGTCCCTCCCTGTTCTGCCCGCCTTTGATAGGGCCAGGAGGCTCCCCTCTGCAAGCCACAAGGGCTGTTATTTAGGGTTAATTACACCCTTCCTTCCAAAATAAATAAATACTGTAGCACATCATCCTCGCTGGGCTAGCTTATGCTTTAACCTCATGCCTGCTACATAGCAATTAAAGAGAAGTAGGGGGCTGCAAAGACTAAACTGCTTCCTACTTAAAAAAATTATCTGTTCACAGAACAGTAGGTAGATTTCACAGCAGGGAGGTGAGGAGAACCTTGAAATTCGGAGACAGTTCGGGTTATTTCTTTCTAAAAGGTGAAAGCCTGCAGAGGAAAGAAGAAACTGACCCGCTGCCTTTTTTTTTTTTTTGGTCCTGTTTGTAAAATATGAGGTGAGTGGCAGTGAGACGCTGACAGAGCCTACTCCTCCCGGCTGCTGAAAAGCAACACAACACACACTTCTGCACACCTCGGACACCTAAACTCTCAGGGAGACCCACACACTCGCTCGCACACAGAGAGATGTACGCAGAGACACACTCACACAGAGACTCAGATGCACATTCAGAGATACAAAGACACTTAGAGACAGACACAGAAATGCATTCAGAAAGACACACTCAAGATCAGAGATACAGAGACTCACACATTCAGAGACACAAAGACTCAGAAAGAGACACAGAAATGCATTCAGAGATACATTCAAAGAGACACAGAGATACGCTGAGTGATACAGAGGTTCAGACACACTTTCAGAAACACAACGACACTCAGAGACACAAAAATGCATTTAGGGATACTGAGACTCAGAGACACACTCACAGAAATACACCCTGAGGCACTCACACAGACACGCTGAGGGCACGCGGCAGCTACAGGCCAGGATCTGCGATTCCTCCCGGCCGCCCGAGCCCCCAGGGTGCGGAAGCGGCGGCGTCGAGGCCGAGACTCCGGCCCCGCTCCCCGCTGGGCTGCAAACGCGCCGCTCCCCGCAGGCAGAGCCAGGAGGACCCTCTGATCAGCGCCTGCCCTTAGATCGGAGTCCGCATCCACGCGCCAGGCCACCGCCGCGACTTCTAAGAACACAGCAACTTGTCGCGACCTGCGGCTCCGGCGCAGGAGGGAGCCTCGCCTGCCGCTAACAAAGCCTCTGCAGCCGGCTCCAAAGCCCCGCGGCGAGGACGGGACCCCGGGCCCCGTGCGCCCCCGGCACCCACCTTTGGTGAGCAGCACGGCCATGGCGCAGAGCTCCAGCTGCAGCCAGATGAAGATGTAGCTGGAGTGGCGATCCATTGACGCCCCGCACGGCCGCGGCGCCCCCGCCGGCTTCCGGAGCCCCGGCTCGGCGGCAGCCTACGACCCCCGGAGCGCGCAGGGCATGGGCCCTGCCCGGAGCGGCGGGCGCCGTCAGCGGCGGGGCTGGGTTTCGGGCCGCTGCCGGAGCATGGAGCGCGGCTACAGGGCGCGCCCAGGAGCCCAGAAAAGTTTCCCGGTCCCCCGTCGGCGGCCACTGGCTCCCTTGCCCCGCTCGACTCTAGGGACGCACGCTAGCCCCGGGTCGGGAGTGGGCTCCCGGCCTTCAGTCCCCGCTAGCGGCCGTTCTCAGCGAAGAGAGTAGGGTCTCCACAGCACGCAAGGGTATCCGCCGCAGCTCCCGCCCGCGCCAGCCCAGGTCTCTCCGGCTCCGCGCCGTAAATAGCGCCCCGCGCCGGGAGCCGGCCTGCACCGCCCCGCCTCGCCCCGCCCCACGGCGTCCGATTGGCCGCCGGGCTCCTGTCAATCCGCCCCGCAGCGGGGGGCGGGCCCAGACGCGAGCGCTGGGGGACCTGCCCGGCGGCTCCGAGCGGCGCCGGCGTCTGGGGCGCCCGGCTGGGGCGCCCGGCTGGTGCGCTGCCGTCTCCCGCGCTCCCCCTTGCGGAGGCCTGCGCGTCAGTGACCTTCGCGAGGCGCCGGGGGAGCCCAGCCCCGGGACCGGCTCGGGAACCCGCCTCCGAGACCCTGACGGCTCAGCCTCGGGTGGTCAGCGTTCCCCAGCGCGGGGCTTCTTTTGGGTGCCCCCCGAAACACGCAGGGGGTCCGTGTGGTCGTCCTCCCCGGCCGCACTGCGTTTTCTGGAACCCCCAGGGGCGAGTGACAATGCCCCGGCCTGTGCAGGTGGCGGAGGAGGGTTCGGGTGGGAGCCCGGGGGAGGCGGCCCAGCGCTGGGGTCTGCATTCAGCCTTCGCCCCCCACCCCCTCAGCGTGTCCGCCTCGAGCTGCCCGCCATGGGATCAATAAAGCCCAGACAGACTGACTGTTGATCCGTTAGGAGCCGCTAGGTTCTCCCGGGTACGCGGGACGAGTAGCGGGCTAGAGACACTTAACGAAAATTAGCAAATCCAAAAGCACCCGGCGCCAACGAGACGACACTGGCCGAGACTGACACTCAATTAACCACCCCCCAAACAATGGCTGGCAAACACGCCGGCTGACCCTGATCAATATCAGCCCCGCAGTGATCTCCTCCTTGAGATGCTAATTCATTTATTAGGGATCGCGGGGCTGCCCTTCCCAAGGTACTCAAGGTGGTCTTGCTGTAGTTTTGTTTCCCCCTCCGCTTTGGAAGGAATTAAGGTTAAAACTCATTATCTGAGGGAATGTTCTTTTATCCTCTCCCTCCAAAACCTGAGATGAACAAAAGTCGACCATTTGCAAAATTCTTCTTGAGAATCTGCCAGAGCTTCCCTACCGGATATGTCAAAAGGGGGTGGGGGGTGGGGAAGGAAAGAAAGAGAAGCACATTTCATGCTAAGGTGAGAATTATAAAGACAAATCCTTTAGGACTAGAGTGCAGACATGAGCTTTGAGACTAAGAAAAATGTACATATGTCTTGAGGACTGAAAGTCAAGGCGAACATATCTCAAACGCCTAACCTTTTAAAGTTGTTGAAAGTCTGCAGAGCTGCAGGATGTAGTTAATGAAATTGTCTTTGAAAAATAATGTTTATGTGCAGAAAAATAAAATAATTTCATAAACTGATGCTCAGACCATTACTTCTCTAGATCAAAATTGCATCTAAAAGGAGAGAAGGAGAAATCCAGTAGAAGTTTTAAAAGAAAATTAAACTGGTTAGGGCACCAGGTAAACAGCAGGTTTCTCAGAAAAGTTTCTCAAGGGGCGTGCTGACAAGGCAGTCCTGGGGCCGAGTTTGATTAGAACTTCCTGGCTACTAGAACCTTGACAAGTTAACAATTGTAAGGGTTTTATGCAGACAAGACTTTTTTTTTTTTTTTTTTTTTTTTTGAGACGAGTCTGGCACTGTCGCCCAGGCTGGAGTACAGTGGCGCGATCTCGGCTCACTGCAACCTTCCGCCTCCCGGGTTCAAGCCATTCTCCTGCCTCAGCCTCCTGAGTAGCTGGGATTACAGGCACCTGTCTCCACGCCTGGCTAATTTCTGTATTTTTATAGAGACGAGGTTTCGCCATGTTGGTCAGGCTGCTCTCGAACTTCCGACCTCGTGATCCGCCCGCCTCGGCCTCCCAAAGTGCTGGGATTTACAGGCGTGAGCCACCGCGCCCAGAGGACAATACTTTTTATGTAATGATTACACTCTCTTTTAGAGTCAATTATTAGCTAAAAGGAAACTTTCAGGGTATGTTAGTTCAACCTGGCCTCCCACCGTAGGCGAGGCTTGCAATGTCTGGGGGTATAAAGATGTCAGAAACTAGATAGTAAATCTCAAAACAATGGAGCTGGACAATAATGGAGATTTATGTGCATGATGTTACAATGCCTAAAAGAAAGAGGTTAACTAGTCTAGGAAGGTAAAGAGAGCCGGTAAAGTCTAGAAGCAATGACATTAAGGATTGGAAGAAGACCATTACAAGCACAGAGGACCACAGGACTTAGGCATGAAATATGATTGTGTAGGTGAGTAGGAGTGGTAAGCAGCGAACAGGTAGTTGGGATGACAAGCAAGTCTTTGTGATTGCAGCATAAAATGTGAAGAAGTGAACAGAGACGTATCAGAAATGAACTATACTTCCCTTTGATACAGATAAATATTTAATGGAAGAGGTCTGGGGAATGTGTTGGTGAAAGTTGCATTCTAGTAGACACTTTCTGAGTGTCTCCCAGCCCAAGTCAGAGAATGTCCCTTTTCCCGGAGTGGGCGTTGGCAACCTGATTAGGAGACTCTGATCTCCTAATCTCTGGCCATAGCTAGTCACATGACCCAGGTTAGGTCAGTTAGATTCTCTCTTCTGTGTCTTTGAGCAGACATGCTGCTCAGTCCCTTGAGGTCATTTCACGGGAGACATAAAAATTTTGCTTTGGGGCAGCTGTAGTCCACCTGTCTGCAGAGGAAGAAAAATAATGAAGATATGCAAAGTGGCAAATACATAAATCCAAATGGATTTCCAGGCACTCAGCGTCACTTCTTGTCCTTAGGTTAATTCAGTAACCTTAATAAAGTCCCCTTTTTACTTAAGGTTCTTTTCCTTGCAACCCAAAGAAACCAAACTAAGATATTTGTATTTTATTGAATTAATGTTGACTTTGAGCACTCCAGGTTGTATATATTTTTTTGTTCCAAGTCCAATTCTGAATAAGAACTTGGGATCCATTTTTTAGACAATGATTTCAACTATTTTGTTTTTATTATTAATGGGCAAACTTTCTAAATGACCAGAAATTAAAGAGAAACAAGTCCGCACTTTATCTAATGGTTCTGGGGAAGACATGGACTTTTCAACTAAATGAATCAGAGTGTTTGAATCAATGTAGAATATCAAAATCAGTTTAGGGATAATGTGTCAATCATAAGGCCATATCAATAGTTGAGAGAATAGGCAACAATTTTAATTCAATTTAACATTCTTAAGGAAAATTGCTTCTCTAGAGAATTTTACTTATGCTTTGCACATAATTCAGTTATTACTTTCCTACATGTAGGTTGATAAGTAGAGGGAAAAAAAATAGTACAATCTACTGTCCTTTTGAAGTTTAAAGCAAGAAATGAAATCAACGACCAAAATTCTTTTTACATCTACAAAGGGATTCCGAAAATACCTAGGAACAAGCTCTCTATACCCAAGAACAGAAAACTGATTCTAGACCTAACTGAAACCGTTAAACAGTAGAATAGTTTTTTATTACCTTCAAACAGCATTCAAGATATAATTTATCCATGGGAGATATATATGTATATATATAGGCGCGAGCCACCATGCCCGACTAATTTTTTAATTTTTTTGTAGAGATGGTGGTCTCCCTATGTTACTGAGGCTGGTCTCAGAATTCCTGGGCTCAAGCAATCCTCCTGCCTGAGCCTCCAAAAGTGCTGGGATTATAGGTGTGAGCCACCATGCTGGCCGTATAGATGTTTTAAAGATTTTAAATGATGTCTTTGAAATTATAGGCTAAACATGTAACTAAATGGCACTAAATTGTGAATGGGAGAGTAGAGAGTTACTTGCTTTTTTTTGCTTTTTTAGAGACGAAGGCCTCCCTCTGTTACTCAGGCTGGAGTACAGCGCTGCAATCATAGCTCACTGTAGCCTCGAACCACTGGCCCCAGCCTCCCAAGTAGCTAAGGTGCTCCCCACTGCATGGGGCTAATTTCTATACTTTTTGTTGAGACAGAGTCTCCTTATGTTGCCCAGGCTGGTCCCAAACTTCTAGCCTCGAGTGACCCTCCCACCTTAGCCTCCCAAGTAGCTGGGATTACAGGTGTGAGCTTGACTATCTTATCAGAGAGTTATTTGTGTTTAAGGGATTCATAGCAGAATAGGAGCTTATTTGTTAGGTGACCAGATAGAACAAAGGAAGATTATACAATCTGAGAAAAGCGCATCAGAAGTTCTTCCCTTAATACCAAGGATAAGAACAAGAATTCTGTTCATTGATGACCTCACTTAGGGTGTACTCTCTTCATAACCTGTGTCCATAAATCTCGTTAAAATGCATTAAATATTTGAAGATATGCACGTTTGGCTGGCATTTTATTTCATGGCTTGAACTCACACATCAAATATAATGTGTGTCTTGATACTTTGTAAATGATAAAACAAATACTATATAGTTAGTTATTTTCTCAGGAATTATTATGAAATAAAAACAATGACAGTGGCCAGAACATAATAGCAAATAAATAAATAAATAAATAAAAATAAAACATTTATAGTACATCGTTAGTCAACTTGCTTAATTAAAAGGAAGAGAGACACACTAAAGATTAATTTAGGAGGGGTTTGTGGTATGGACAAAATAGGCTTATGGTATGGTTACTACTAACTGGTCATTGACAAGCACCGCTTATCAGCTCGGGGAGCCAACCTTCCTGGAGCCAGAAGCCAGAGACTTGGGCCTCTTTTTCTCAGGGTTGTCTTTGCTTCTCACCTCTTTGCCAGTGGGCTGTCATCCTCTCCTTATTTGTAGTTTTTACTCTCATAATTTCTGCTTTTATTTTTTTTTTGTCCAAGCATGAGTCCCCTATACAGAGAGATACTACCCAAGAGATGGTTTCACCTTCTATCACTACTGCAAACTATCACAGTCATTTGTTCAGCTTACGGAGACACCATCCCCAAATACTCAGTCTGTGATCTCTTGGGCTTGGATAGGGTTCTGGCTAATATAAAACCTGGGTACTGCTCTCAGCAAGGGTGTGAGCCAGAAAGAACACACAGAAAGAGATATGGGCAGGCTGGCACCATAAAGCATGTCATATTATATAAAGTTAATTCACCTATAAAGCAAAATAAAGTAGGCCAGGCTCAGAGGCTCACACCTGTAATTCTAGCACTTTGGGAGGCTGAGGTGGGAGGATCACATGAGTTCAGGAGTTTGAGACCAGCAAGCCCGGTAGCAGATGCCTGTAGTCTCAGCTACTTGGGAGGCTAAAGTAGGAGGATTACTGGAGCCCAGGCGTTCCAGGCTGCAGTGAACTAAGATCACACCACCACACTTCAGCCTGGGCAACAGAGAGAGACCATCTCAAAAGAAAAGAAATATATTAGTGAGTGAATTTTGACCTTAGCCAAAAGGCTGAGAAGTGATTAGTGAGTGGAATTAAGATCATTCCTCCAAGCCAGGCACGGTGGTTCATGCCTGTAATCCCAGCACTTTGAGAAGCTGAGGCAGATGGATAACTTGAGGTCAGGAGTTTGAGAACAACCTGGCCAATATGGTGAAACCCCATCTCTACTAAAAATATAAAAATTAGCCGAGCATCGTGGCACATGCCTGTAATCCCAGCTACTGGGGAGGCTGAAGCAGGAGAATCTCCAGGAGGCGGAGGTTACTGTGAGCCAAGATTGCGCCACTGCACTCCAGCCTGGACAACAGAGTGAGACTCTGTCTCAAAAAAAAAAAAAATCATTCCTTCAAATTATTACTTCTGTGTGACTTTATCACTTGAGTGTTTGCTATCATCTAAAATAACTTAATGTAGCCATTTGAAGACAGCCCATTTTAAACAGACTGAAGACTCAGAACCTTGCAGAGTACAAGACTTTCCAGAGTCCAGGACCATTTTGAACTCGTGGATTATTTTTAATATACAACAATCTTGAACATCTTGTCTTCTTAGTGGGGCCATGGCAACGAGCAGAGCTTTTTATTAGTTTCTTGAGAAAGGTGAGTATTTGGAGTGAATAGTCAACCTGGCATTTTCCACATATAGTGGCGGGGGGAAGAGCAGGCAAGATGCCCATGATGCAATGTCTATGAGCAATGGCATTGCTTGCCAGTCTGTATGGAATACATGAGCAAAATCCATCAATATTACAGCCAAAGGGTCAAAGTAGTCACTTGTTTCCTTGGAGGTCCATCCACTTGGCTCCACCCCATACCACTTAGTTGTTCCTCATTAAATGACAGGAGTATATAAAAAGAGTTCCCTGGGCCTCGCAAGGTGGTTCACACCTATAATCCCAGCACTTTGGGAGGCCAAGGAGGGTGGATCACTTGAATCCAGGAGCTCAAGACCACCCTAGGCAACGCGGTAAAACCCCATCTCTACTAAAAATACAAAAATTAGCTGGGTGTGGTGGTGCATGCCTGTAATCCCAGCTACTCAGGAGGCTGAGGCTGGAGAATCCCTTGAGCCAGAGATGGGGAGGCTGCAGCAAGCCGAGATCGCACCACTGCACTCCAGCCTGGGTAACAGAGCAAGGAAAAAGTAACACTAAAGTAAGAAACTGAAGTCCTGCATTTGTATCCACACTCCATTACTCAATGTTTTGTTTGTGTGTTTTTTGAGACGGCCTGGCTCTGTCACCCAGGCTGGAGTGCACTGGCACAATCTCAGCTCACTGCAGCCTCCACCACCATGGCTCAAGTGATCCCCTCACCTCAGACTCCCCAGTAGCTAGGACTACAGGTGCATGCCACCGCACCCTGCTAATTTTTAAATATTTTGTAGAGACAGGGTCTCGCCATGTTGCCCAAGCTGGTTGTTTATTTTATTATTATTATTATTATTATTATTATTTTTGAGATAGAGTCTTGCTCCATTGCCCAGGCTGAAGTGCAGTGGAGCGAGCTCACTGCAGCCTCCACCTCCCAGGTTCAAGCAATTCTCGTGCCTCACCCTCCTGAGTGGCTAGGATTACAGATGTTTGCCACCATGCCTGGATAACTTTTGTATTTTTGATAGAGGCAGGGTTTCACCGTTTTGGCCAGGCTGGTCTCGAACTCCTGGCCTCAAGTGATTCGCCTGCCTCAGCCTCCCAAAGTGCTGGGATCACAGGCATGAACCTCCACGCCCAGTATACTCAATGAGTTTTTATGAGCCAATCAATTGGCCCCTTGGTACTCAGTTTTCTTGCCCATAAAATGAGAACAAGAGTGTTTGGTAGCCTGCCTGCTCCAGAGATTGCTACTAGTACAACTTGAGGTCTTCGTGTAAGTTTTGTTAACTGTGAATCTCTATAGAAATGGTGACCAATTTTCCTTAGAAATCGGTCTAAGGAAAAAATTTGTAATATCTGAATGTATTTATGATGGCTTCAGGACTTCCCAGGTGGTTTCAGGATTTTCTCCTCCCTGGAGCTGAAGATTTGAAGTGCAAATAATGTTACTGCCAAGTCAGACTGCAGCCTGGGCAGGGTGGTGGTATCTCTCTAAAAACGCGGAATCTTGCCAACAAACGTTTGCTCCCATGACTGGTGATAGTCCAAGAATCAGCTGAGACAAATTGGTCGCCTAACTTATCATTACGCAAGAAACTTAGCTGCTCTCATGGAACCATAACTCGTGCCTCTAGTCTGCTGGAAAACACAACTCTTCCACCCTGCAACGTGACACCTTGAGATAACCCATCTCCTATCCAATGGCATTTTTCGAAGAAGTCTGATGTTGCTTATTCACTTTCAAACGGAAGCATTTCCCAAGAAAATCCTGACTAATTATGGATACACTTGCCATGAACTGTACTCATGAGCTGTCCTTTTTTTTAGGGGTGATCAAGAGATTTCTGAAACGGCTCCTGCCCTCAAAATGCTTCTAATCCACCTGCCTTTTTTTTTTTTTAGGTGACTGCCTAATGTTAACAAAGATCTGTAGGAATGATGGGAAGGGGCACTGGTACTTCTCTCTTTCCTAATCCTTCAAGTCATACCTGAAGATCCGCAGTTTTTCTGGAGACAGGTGAAGTCCAGCCCCTGAAAGACGCAGACAGTGCAGAGAGAAGAGCCTATGTTTTTATATTTTTGTCAAGGTGATGTCTCAAGGTACAATCAAAGCCTTTTCAGATCTGAAATCTTTTCGTTCCCATCAGCCAGCACGACTCCAGCGAAGAGAGTGGGAGGAGGGAGACGGGGGTGTCCAGGAAGATTAACCTTCCTATTGACAGATCGGGAAGTTTCGGGAAAATGTACTCCAGGTTCCACACATCGTTACTAATTCCCGGTTCTTTGGACTACAAGTAGAAAAGTACTTAGAGAAATTAGTTTAAGTATAAGATAAATGCTGATCCCCGGGTCCCTCTAAGTTTCTATTGACAATGGAAAAGTAGCAGCCGCAGCGCCATTTCGGTTCAATCGAAGAGATATTAGCATCCGTTTTAGGCAGGGAGAACATCCAAAAAGATCGATACTGAGGGGAGGGCGAGGCTGGGAGAGCGATCGGGAGCCGAGAGCGAGTGAGCGAGAGAGGGCGAGGAGAAGGAACGGGAACTAGTGAGAGATCCCTCGGGGGAAATGCAAACGCTGGAGAGAGGCACCAATTATGATAATTGAAGGTAATGGTGCCGAGGCGCCAAGGAGCTCCGCGCTGTTTTACATCATCCAGCTCCAACCCAGACGCGCCCGAGCCCGCCCCTCCCCGGCCGAGTCCACGCCCTCCCGGGCTCTCTGGGGCCCCCGCCCCGGGCCGCCCGTGCGCAGCTCCGGTGCCCAGCGCGCAAGGCGCGCCCCAGTCCCGCGCGTCCCAGCCGCTGTCTGTCTCCCCCACTGCCTCCTCTGTGCTGACTCATTGAGCGACCCCGACTTGTCTCAAAATAAAACAGGGGCACAGACACTTGTAGTCTGGACAGACTCCCCCCGAGGCTAGAGTCTATAGGAACTGGAGACATCCCTGTACCGATCCTGGTACCAATGCGCCCCTGTTCGCGCTGTGGTTCTCAGTCTCGCTCCCACCGCAACCCCTTCCCCCCGTAACTCGAGAAATTTAAACCAGCGTCTTAAAAATAAACCGCGTGGGAGCCCGGGAGTTCGTGAATGTGGCCGACAGGATAGGAAAAGGTTTTATTGTTGTTCAACTTCTGACCAAAATGGGATCTTTGAGTCACTGAATTTTAAGGAGTCAGGAGATATGGAACAGCAGTTTCCCTGACCTAGAGGTTCAGAGAACAGACCCAGGGACTTTAGGGGCTGGCCTTGGTATGAGTGAGGTGTGTTTTTCAAAACTACTGGGTTTTGTTTGTTTGTTTGATTGATTGATTTCTTTTCTTTCTTTTTTTTCAATATGTTTCATTTTATTTTGAAATTGAAACAGCAAAATGAAGTGGTTTGTGGCTGAAACAACCTCCACGGGAAAGAAAACTGGAGTGTTCGTTCATCCATCAAAGAACAAACGCCAACGTCTGAGCCAACGACCCCAGCTCCCCCAGACAAAGCAGTGAACAGATTAAAGGATGGGAGGAAGGATACAATCAAAATCGGGTGGTGATGGCTGGCAGATAAAAATATGGAACGCTTCATGAATTTGCGTGTCGTTCTTGCGCAGGGGCCATGCTAATCTTCTGTGTATCCTTCCAATTTTAGCATATGTGCTGCCAAAGCAAGCACTTTTTTTTTCTTTAATAGAGACAGGGTCTCGCTTTTATGCCCCGCCTGGTCTCAAACTCCTGGCTTCAAGTGATCCTCCTGCCTCAGCCTCCCAAAGCGCTGGCATTACAGGCTTGAGTCACCATATCTGGCCAATTGATTGCTTTCTTTTCTTTTTTGTTTTTTTTTTTGAGTTGATGCCTCACTCTGTCGCCCAGGCTGGAGTGCAGTAGTGCAATCTCAGCTCACTGCAACGTCTGCCTGTGTTAAGCGATTCTCCTGCCTCAGCCTCCCGAGAAGAAGGGATTACAGGCATACGCCACCCACACCCAGCTAAGTTTTGTATTTTTAGTAGAGATGGGTTTTTGACATGTTGTCCAGGCTGGTCTCAAACTCCCAACCTCAAATAATCCGCCCACCTGGGACTCCCAAAGTGCTGGAATTACAGGTGTGAGCCACCTTGTCTGTGCCAGTTGATTGTTTTCTGATTATAAAAGTAATGGATCACTGTAGAAGACTTGGAAAATACAAAAAAGAATCGTGAAAACGTCTGTGGCTGCGGCGGGTGGCAGGGAGTCTGTTCCTAGGCCAGTTCCCGAGGCAGAACCAGACACAAGGAAGCAGTGGCGAGGTGGGCTCCTGTACCTGGGGCCCAGCATTAGCTTGGGGCTTAGTCACTTACCAGTGTGTGGCTTCGGGCAAACATTGTTAAACCTCTCTAGACTTCATTTTGTCACCTGTAAAATATGACTAATAAAATGAACTCTAAGATCCCTTCTCGGCTCTGTGAAAGGCAACCTCAGAAATCAACTCTGCCTCCAAAACAAGTGGCATGAGCTTCTCCACCAAGTCGAATAAAGTGGAATTACTACTTTCCTAGAAATGCTTTAAGAAAGCGTTGGAAAAGCAGATCTATGACTCCATCTGTCTTTCAGGAGCGCTGTCTCTTAAAAACAGATGTGACTAATAACACAAATATTTGGCAGGTGCCAATACATGTTAAAAGTCCAGTCCAAGGCGATGACCATTCTGATCACACCATTCTAGAATGGTCAACCCAGTGGAAAGTGTGGCATCTTTAAAAATTCTGTAATGAAGCAGAGTGATCAAGTTGGTAAAAGCACTTAATACCACATTCACACAGGGAATGTGAAGGAGGGACTTACATGATAAGAAAGGAGACTTCATTTGTATAATTGCAGAGGTCACAGCAAGGACTAGTGGGTGCCAGGGAAAAGGCACCACATAGGTTTAAGATAAGGAAGAACTTCTAGGAATTAATTCTGTCTGAAGACAGCACAGGCTGTGGTTCCCAAGCACCAGGAGAAGTCCAGCAAGGGACACATGGACTAATTGTTGAACCAAGTGACCATATAAAATCTCTTTCAATGTCAAGATGTTGTCATAACAGCGACATCTTCTAGTTATCATTTCCTTTAATATTAGAGATGACAATGATTTTTCACAACTAGGAAGAACGCTGCACACTGGATCTCATCTAAGGAGTAAGAACCTGAGTGTCAGCTCGGACTTTCCTGAGCTGTTCAAGACCAAAGATGCCCAACTGCGGAGAGAAATGAGGGCAGGTGCGCAACTCACTTCAGAACAGGCCGAGCACCAGGGCTGGCGGGCTGGCTGCGACTGCTTAAGAGGAACAAAAAAAGGCATGAGATGAGGCCATCACATTCCTATGACCCAGCCCTCCCTAACCTAGCAGGCCTGCTCACAAGTGAATAATTACGGGAAGGGCTGCAGAGGGCAGAGGGCCCACAGAAGACAGCTGTAAGTAGGATCTTTTTTTTTTTTTTTTTTTTTTTTTTTTTTGAGACAGAGTTTCGCTCTTGTTGCCCAGGCTGGAATGCAGTGGTGCGATCTCAGCTCACTGCAACCTCTGACTCCCTGGTTCAAGCGATTCTCCTGCCTCAGCCTCCTAAGTAGCTGGGATTACAGGCACGCGCCATTATGCCCAGCTAATTTTTGTATTTTTGGTAGAGACGGGGTTTCACCATGTTCACCAAGATGGTCTTGATCTCCTGACCTCATGATCTGCCCGCCTCAGGCTCCCAAAGTGTTGGGATTACAGGCGTGAGCCACCGTGCCCAGCCCATAAGCAGGATCTTGATTCACGTTTAGGATCCATTTTAAACCAATGGGAGTCTCCCAAACGTGTATTCTGTATGACTGAAAGGCACTTTCTCTCTCCCTTTTCTGACCAGTCTCTAAACAATGCCTCATGTCCATTTTGTTTTGGTCAACAACTGGACAGATTTAACTTTCGATGGATTAAAGGTAAATTCTGTCTGGCAGGCTCTACCAATCTTCCTTATAAGTTATTTCATATCATGGCCGGGCACAGTGGCTCACACCTGTAATCCCAGCACTTTGGGAGGCCGAGGCGGGTGGATCACCTGAGGTCAGGAGTTCAAGACCAGCCTGGCCAACATGGTGAAACCCTGTCTCTACTAAAAATACAAAAATTAGCCGGACCTGGTGGTGGGCACCTGTAATCCCAGCTACTCGAGAGACTGAGGCAGGAGAATCGCTTGAACACGGGAGGCGGAGGTTGCAGTGAGCTGAGATTGTGCCACTGCTCTCCAGCCTGGGCAACAAGAGTGAAACTTTGTCTAAAAAAAAAATCATTTCATACCGTATCATAATTCCAGACAAAAAAGGCAGAGGAAGGAGGTGGGAGAGAGAGGAGGGAAAACCCAAGTAGATCTGATATCTTTCTTTAAGGAGCAGTCATAGTTTATTTTCCCTGCTTTTGCTAACACTTTTCCTTGGTAAGTACCTCTTGAGGTGTACCTACTGGAGGTGTACTGGACCTTCCAGTACCAGGAATAGATCACCATATCCCAGCCTCTTGGCTTTTCTTCTCTTGAAAACACTGTCCTCCCCAGTCCCCTCCCAAGTTTTCTGCACATCACATAGCCTGGTAGCAAGAGAAGCAGCTTATGCTCCAAACCATCAAACCCTCTTTATTTTTTTTCTTTTTTGAGACATAGTCTCACTCTGTTGCCCAAGCTGGAATGCAGTGGCACAATCTCGGTTCACTGCAACCTCCGCCTCCCAGGTTCAAGCGATTCTCCTGCCTCAGCCTCCCCAGTAGGTGGGACTACCGGCACGCACCACCATGCCCGGCTAATTTCTTTTGTATTTATTTTTAGTAGAGATGGGGTTTCACCATGTTGACCAGGCTGGTCTCGAACTCCTGACCTCGTGATCCACCTGCCTTGGTCCCCCAGAATGCTGGGATTACCAGTGTGAGCCATCGTGCCCAGCCTCAAACCCTCTTTTATCAAATGTTTGGATTCTTACACGTACATCATTCAAGTTACTTAAAATAATGTGTTCAGGCCAGGCCTGGTGATTCATGCCTGTATTCCCAGAGCTTTAGGAGGCCAGACTGGGGAATTGCTTGAGGCCAGGAGTTAAAGACCAGATTGGGCAACATAGTAAGAACCTTCTCTACAAAAAATATGAAAATTAGCCAGGCATGGTGGTGCATTCCTGTAGCCCCTTAGTCGGGAGGCTGAGGCAGGAAGATTGTTTGAGCCCAGGAGTCCGAGGCTGCAATGAGTTCTGCTCAAACCACTGCCTTCCAGCCTGGGCAACACAGTGAGGCCCTGTCTCTAAATAATAATAATAATAAATAATAATGCTGTGTTCATTCTCTAGAGAATAATTATGTTCCAAGCTCTAAAAGACTGAGGCGAGGGGAAGCAAGCAAACAAACAAAAAACCCACCAGGGTAACCACTGTTTCTTCAGCCAACACTGGAACTTTGGCATCTCTTATTACTTTTATTTTCCAGAGAATAAAATGCCCTCTTAACGGAGCCCAGAGCTTTCTCTTCCATCCTCCCGCAGGGAGGGAGAGGTCCTGTCGCAGGTCTTTCTCGCCCTCTTGTGGTGAGAGGGAAGCAGCGCTCAGCTGGGAAGACAGCAGCTGCTGTTTGCTGTTGATACAAGAAGCAAGGTCGTTCTAGGAAATATTTAGACTCGATATTTTAATGACTCTGTCTCCATGTCATGCAATGATCTCAGTAAAAGAGGACTGTGACCCCTGTTCCCAGAGTCTTTTTAAGGCTTCAGACAATAATGAGCCAAATTCCCTTTGTGCATAAGACAGAGAAGAGGTGGTGTTACCTCCAGCAGGTGCATATATGCCATGAAGTGCAACAGTGGCCATTGTTCTAAATAAATCACCCTTGCCTAAGAGTGTGTGCCACCCACCAGAAGGGAGAGTTTCTATTCTGGGCCATCCGAGTTCATTTCTGGGTCTTAATATTTTTGAATGGAAATGTGCTAACTGAACAGTACAAGGCATCATTCCTAATCTCTATGATCTAAACCTGGCCTTTTTTTCCCCTACAAATTTAGAAACTTTTTGTTTGTTTGTTTGTTTGTTTTTGAGATGGAGTTTCACTCTTGTTGCCCAGGCTGGAGTGCAGTGCAGTGGTGTGATCTTGGCTCACTGCAACCTCCACCTCCTGGGTTCAAGTGATTGTCCTGCCTTAGCCTCACAAGTAGCTGGGATTACAGCCTCCCAAGTAGCTGGAATTAGCCACCATGCCTGGTTAATTTTTGTATTTTTAGTAGAGATGGGATTTCACCATGTTGGCCAGGCTGGTCTTGAATACAAACTTTTTGACTGACTCTGACTTTAAAAAGCAAACAAACAGGAAGCCCCCAAACAGATGAATTAAGAAATGATCCCCTCCTTTCCTGATCTATATAACACCAAATGATGGGCGACTGAATTTTTGTCCCTAACTGAAACTGACAGCATTGTATTAACAGGAACTCTTATCCAGTTGGAGACCAAAGCCAAGAGACTAACAGGAAAAATCAGCCTCTAACTCTACATTAATCCCCAGTCTATACTGATCATATTAATCATATAGTTCATGCGGATGCTAAGAGCTATGTGAGACCACATCAGCCACTCTTTAAATTAAATGATGGGGGCTGGATGCGGTGGCTCACGCCTGTTATCTTAGCACTTTGGAAGGCCGAGGCATGTGGATTACTTGAGCCCAGGAGTTTGAGATCACCCTGGGCAACACAGTGAAACACTGTCTCTACAAAAAATACAAAAATTAGCCAGAAATGGTGGCATGTGCCTGTAGTCCCAAATTCCTCAGAGGCTGTGGTGGGAAGATCGCTTGAGCCATGGAGATTGAGGCTGCAGTGAGCCATAATCATGCCACTATACTCCAGACTGGGCAACAGAGCGAGATCCTCTCTCAAAAAACAAACAAAAATTAATTAATTAATTAATAAAAATGAGGCTGGGCACGGTGGTTCACGCCTGTGATCCCAGCACTTTGGGAGGCTGAGGCGGGTAGATCACCTGAGGTCAGATGTTCGAGACCAGCCTGGCCAACATGGTGAACTCTGTCTCTACTAAAAATACAAAAAATGAGCCAGGCGTGGTGGCGGAAGCCTGTAATCCCAGTTACTCGGGAGACTGAGGCAGAAGAATTGCTTGAACCCAGGAGGCAGAGGTTGCAGTGAGCAGAGATTGTGCCATTGCACTCCAGCCTGGGTGACAGAGTGAGACTCCATCTCAAAAAAAAGAAAGATCACATCTGTCTCTGATTTTACAGTTGAGGGGACCAAGACTAGGTTAAATGGCTTCCTCAAGGTCACACCAACTGCACCGAAGCTCTGAGTTCAGGACACCACCCTCCATCTCAAAGGCTGGGAAGCTATGAAGGGATCATCACTGGCAAATAGTGGTTTGTTTCTCCTTGAACAGGATGTGGCAAGAAATTGTTAAGAGAGGGAGGAGAAGGGAAGGAGAGGAAGGGGAGAGACTTTATAGCTGAAAATATGGGCTGTTTTTGAGTTGATTAAATAACTACCACTCCCAAACTTGTCTCAGTTTCTATGAGCCTAAAGTAAGGAATTCTGGGAATGAGTTTTAGGTCATTCTTGGATTTCAGCTTTCAGTTACAGGAAGCAACCTGTCTAGGGAGCTGTCAGTAGCTGCTTTCTCCAATGCTTCATTTTATTTGCAAGGTCCTTCTGCACAGAGCTTGGCCTTCTCCTATGGAAAAATGCTCTATGGGAAATTCCTGACCCTCACACCAGTCAGGGAAATGGCTTCCATGGAAGGGACACCCCAGGGCCCCTGGGGTCCATACCTGGTTCCATTTCAAGGACCATAAATGGGAGACCCACCAATCGCTAAGGACCTGGAGATGATTTTATCTTCCAGGCTGAAACTGCCTTTGAAAGATGACGATAGTGAGGGAGGTGTAGCATGGCTGACTCCATCTTGCTCTAGCCTCACAGGCTGGCTGTCTTTGCTCACACCTGGGCATAGGCCAAGTTAACCATGGGAGGAATTTAGTTTATAGTTTAAGTTGGAAGCAAGAATGATAATGGTCCCTCCCTCAAAGTAACCCCTTCCTTGCTCAGGGACCAAAAACTAATGAAAGGCGATGAGATTAAAATTATGGGAGGGTCCTGAACTCTGCTAAAATGTAGGAATAGTTTCTATAATCCCTTACTGCTCAGGAGTTCTGTGGCCAGAAGCCACAAGATTTGTGACTTCCCCAGTTGCTCCTATAGATACCACCATTGGTGTAGAAGCTCAGATTGGTCTTTTGAGATGTTTTTCAGATATTTGCATTCTGGCAACCGACTGGCCCCACCCAGGATCGTGACTCATGACTCAACCAGTCCTGTGGCCATCAACCAGAGGCAGACTCAGTGAACAAGAAGCATTTTTCCACACCCTGTGATTTCATCACCAACCAGTTAGCAGCATCCATTCCCTAGTCTCCAGCCCACCATACTATCCTTGAAAAACCCTAACCCCAGTTTTCTGGGAGACTGATTTGAGTGACAATTCCAGTTCTTTCACACGGCCAGCCTCAAGTCAGTTAAACTCTTGCTTTTGCTCTGTCGCCAAGGCTGGAGTACAGTGGCGTGATTTTGGCTCACTGCAACCTCCGCCTCCTGGGTTCAAGCAATTCTCCTTCCTCAGCCTGTCTAGTAACTGGGATTACAGGTGCAAGCCACCATGCCTGGCTAATTTTTGTATTTTTAGTAGAGACAGAGTTTTGCCATGTTGGCCAGGCTGGTCTCAAACTCCTGACCTCAATTGATCTGCCCACCTCGGCCTCCCAAAGTGCTGGGATTACAGGTGTGAGCCACCACACACAGCTTAAACTCTTTCTTTACTGCAATACCACAGTCTCAGCGAACTGGTTTTGTCTGTAGCAGGCAGGAAGAACCCATCAGGCAATTTACAAGACCAAGAACAAGGAAGGTAGCTGTAACTTCCCCTGGGGCCCCACCCTCTGGGCTAGAACGAAGTGGGTCTACCTAAACCCAGCTTCTCCACCTGACCTTGCTCCTTCAAGCTCTACTGCCTTCAGGTCACAACTGCATGGTGCTTTTGCTCTGACTACAAGACAGGGAGAGGACACACAGGAAGGGCCCTGGGCTGAGAGTCGCCTTGACATCAGCTGTTGGCCTGGCTCTGGGTCAGACTTCACTTAGCCCCTTGGGTTGCAAAGTCCTCAGCTACAAAACAAACTGACCTGAGAAATGGCTTCTCAAGTCCCTCCTGGCTCTAGGAGTTGAAGCCTCTTTTGTGCGGCTTGCTCACACTATGCAAGATAGATAATGAAAAGGCTGTTAAAGTGGAGTCCTCGTTCTTGGTTCTTGCAGAGGCTCCAAAGACCTAGGTCAGTGATTCTCCAACTTCAGCATGCTTTAGAATCATCTGGAGTGCTTGGAAAAACAGATTCATGGGCCCCATTCCACAGTGTACAATTTAGTAAGGTTGAGGTAGGGCCTGAGAATTTGCATTTCTTCTTTTTTAAAAGTGTTTGCAATTTTTATTCCAATTACATAAAAATAAAATATATTTGAATAGAAGTAGAAGACTAGAAGGCACTAACAAATAATAGTAACTGGTTATCTTTTAAAACAATAAAAGAGGTGGGACCAAGGCATGGTGGCTCATGCCTATAATCCTAGTGCTTTAGGAGGCTGAGGTGGGAGGATCGCTTGAGGTTAGGAGTTTGAGACCACTCTGGGCAACATAGCGAGATGCCATCACTACAAAAAATAAAATAAAATAACATTTTAATCAGCAAAGGAAAATACATTTGTTTTGTTTTGTTTTGTTTCGTTTTTGAGACGGAGGCTCACTCTGTCGCCCAGGCTGGAATGCAGTGGCACGATCTGGGCTCACTGCAACCTCCTCCTCCCAGGTTCAAGCAATTCTCCCAAGTAGCTGTGATTACAGATGCGCCACCACTATGCCCAGTTAATTTTTTGTATTTTTATAGAGATGGGGTTTCACCATGTTGCTCGGGCTGGTCTTGAATGCCTGAGCTCATGTGATCTGCCCACCTTGGTCTCCCAAAGTGCTGGGATTACAGGCCCAGTGTTTTCTTTAATGCCGAAAATTTCTGCAAATAATTCTTTTCACAAAACATCCTTTTCACAAAACATTCTTTGTTGACATTCTACAAATACCATCCAATAATGTTCCCAATGCTTTCTTCTTGTGGAGGGAGTGTATATTTCTTTTTGACTTTTGTAATATTTATTATTTCAGGAAGATTTTTCAGAGAAACCTGCTGACCTTCTATTTGAGATATTAGATATCCTTGATTTATTTGTTTTTCTCCCTCGTTAGTATAAACAATTGGAATTTAAGTGTCATTTGCTGAGATACCACATTTTTTCAATGCCTCTGAAATATTGTTATTTGGGGAAAGGTTGAAAATAATTTCAGTAGATAGAGCTCTTGTCTTCATTTCTCCCAGTTTGTAGAGGCAAACTGCTTTCTTTGTGGCTGCAAATATCTCAAATGGATTGACAATCACTGCAGGATGTATCAGTGAGCCATCAATGACACCTTCCATGGCTTTCTTTCTCAAGTTCCCCACATTTTTTACGTCTTTAAATAATATTAATAGAAGGGTCAGCCGGGCACGGTGACTCACTCCTGTAATCCCAGCACTTTGGGAGGCTGAAGCGGGCGGATCACCTGAGGTCAGGAGTTTGAGACCAGCCCGGCCAACATGGTGAAACCCTGTCTCTACTGAAAATACAAAAATTAGCCAGGCGTGGTGACACATACCTGTAATCCCAGCTACTTGGGAGGCTGAGGCAAGAGACTCACTTGAACCTGGGAGGCGGAGGTTGCAGTGAGCCGAGATCGGGCCACTGCATTCCAGCCTGGGTGACAGAGCAAGACTCCGTCTCAAAAAAAAAAAAAAAAGTGCCGAGCACAGTGGCTCATGCCTGTAATCCCAGCACTTTGGGAGGCTGAGGTGGGTGGATTACCTGAGGTCAGGAGTTCGAGACCAGCCTGGCCAACATGGTGAAATCCTGTCTCTACTAAAAATACAAAAACTAGCTGGGCATGGTGGCACATGCCTGTAGTCCCAGCTACCCAGAAGGCTGAGGCAGGAAAATTGCTCAAACCCAGGAGGCAGAGGTTGCAGTAAGCCAAGATGGTGCCACTGCACTACAGCCTGGTGACAAAGCAAGGCTCCATCTCCAAAAAAAAAAAGAAAAAGAAAAAATAGAACAGTCACCCATCCAGTCACCTGTCCAGTCTCTGGTGCATCTCCTGCAGGTCTTGTAAGTTCCCAGGTGATGCTGATGCTGCCAACTGGGGACCACCCTTTGAGAACCTTTGGCCTAGAGCTAGAGGCACCAGGTATTCTCCAGTTCTTACAAGACATGCCAAGAGACTGGAACCCTACTCTGCCAGCAATAAGAAGGCTCCTACAGGCAGACACCTAACCCTATACCTGACGACAGATTCCGACACAACCTGTTTCCTAAGGTCAGTCTCATGGAGACTGTTCAATGATAACTAATATTCACACGGTGCATTATAGTTTTCAGAGAGCTGCACTTTACTTCATTTGTTTCTCCTCACAATTCTGTGATATGGATACCGTATCTTCATTTTTGGAGAAAAAAAAGTCAAGTCAAGTCTTTGATGAGTGTCATGGTCAAGACTTGGACGAGTGTCATGCAGCTACAAAGAGGTGGAGTGGGGACCCAGGACTCACCCAGGTCTTTTGAGTCATCCGTGATCTCTGTACTTTACCAAGCTGCACTTCAATCTACTCTTCTGGTTTACTGGAGCACTGGGGTTTTTTTTGTTGTTGTTGTTTTTTGAGATGGAGTCTTGCTCTTTCACCCAGGCTGGAGTGCAGTGTCACCATCTCAGCTCACTGCAACCTCCACCTCCAGGTTCAAGTGATTCTCCTGCCTCAGCCTCCTGAGTAGCTGGGATTACAGTTGGGTGCCACCACCCCTGGCTAATTTTTTTGTATTTTTAGTAGAGACGGGGTTTTACCATGTTGGCCAGGCTGGTCGCGAACTCCTGACCTTAAGTGATCTGCCCGCCTCAGCCTCCCAAAGTGCTGGGATTACAGATGTGAACCACCATGCCCAGGCTGGGGCACTGTTTCTTTTCTTTTCTTTTCTTTCTTTCTTTCTTTTCTTTTTCTTTTCTTTTCTTTTCTTCTTCTTTTTTTTTTTTTTTTTTTTTTTTTTTTGAGACAGAGTTTCTCTCTTGTTGCCCAGGCTGGAGTGCAATGGTGTGATCTCAGCTCACTGCAACCTCCACCTCCTGGGTTCAAGCGATTCTCCTGCCTCAGCCTCCTGAGTAGCTGGGACTACAGGCATGCGCCACCACGTCCAGCTAATTTTTGTATTTTTAGTAGAGATGGGGTTTCACCATGTTGGCCAGGCTGGTCTCAAACTCCTGACCTCAGGTGACCCACCCACTTCTGCCTCCCAAAGTGCTGAGATTACAGGTGTGAGCCACCGCGCCCAGCCCTGGGGCACTGTTTCTGACCAGAAAACTACTTATTGAGGTGCTAATTAGGGATCATTTTAACACACGCAAAACTGTGTTATTCAGATGGCCATTTTTCCCTGGTTCCATTGCAAATCCCAGTAGAAACCTGACCTGGAAGCCCTTGCTCCTGCATTAGAACATGGCATGGAAATAGTCTGGTGAAATAGTGAATTAATTTTCATTGTGTTTCAGTCATTGTCCTCAGTGGTGTCAGTTTTTCTGTACCGTCCAATGTGCTGGAGAACAACTCTCTAGATAGGATTGTCCAAAGATACATTTTGATACTTAGTTCTCAGTTTTGATTTTTCAAATCCCTGATCACTTTCTTTTTTTTATTTTTTGAGACAGAGTTTCGCTCTTGTTGCCCAGGCTGGAGTGCGATGGCATGATCTCAGCTCACGGTGACCTCCACATCCCAGCTTCAAGCGATTCTCCTGCCTCAGCCTCCCTAGTAGCTGGGATTATAGGCATGTGCCACCATACCTGGCTAATTTTGTATTTTGGGTTGAGATGGGGTTTATCCATGTTGGTCAGGCTGGCCTTGAACTCCCGACCTCAGGTGATCCGCCTGCCTCAGCCTCCCAAAGTGCTGGGATTACAGGCTTCTTTTTATTTTTTTAAAGATGGGGTCTCGCCATGTTGCCCAGACTGGTCTTGAACTCCTGGGCTCAAGCGATCAACCTACTTTGGCCTCCTAAAGTGCTGGGATTACAGGCATAAGTCACTGCATCTGGCTCTGATCACTTTCTTAATTCCTTTCTGTCCACACAGAACATAATGAACAGCAAGTTCTTAGAAGTATTTGGCAGACAGTTAACATAAAGTGATGACTGCAAACAGAATAAGCTCATTCTCCTCTGTAGGTAACTCTTCTGCATTGACTATTAGGAACTTCCTAAATAATGTTACTTAAGTGATGTGTCAGCCTCATTCTTGATCAGTCCTTCAGGGAATGCCAGCTGTGGAGAGGATGCTGTTGCTGTCTTTCATGATGAATGACCCAGTGTAGTTAAAGGGAATTCAGCCCAGTTTACTAGGATGGACACACACACACACACACACACACTCACAATCACCTATCACCTTAAATGTTTCTACTTTAGGACAAATGGACCATCTTACAATGACTTAACTATGCTTGTCCTATGGTGAAACATTGACTCTTGACATAGGTTTTTGTTTGTTTGTTTGTTTGTTTTTCTTTTGGAGACGGAGTCTTGCTCTGTCGCCCAGGCTGGAGTGCAGTAGCACAGTCTTGGCTCACTGCAACCTCCGCCTCCTGGGTTCAAGCAATTCTGCTGCCTCAGCCTCCTGAGTAGCTGGGATTACAGGCACCCACCACCACACCTGGCTAATCACCCAGCTAATTTTTGGTATTTTTAGTAGAGACGGGGTTTTTTTTTTTTTAATTAATTAATTTATTTATTTATTAATTGATCATTCTTGGGTGTTTCTCGCAGAGGGGGATTTGGCAGGGTCATAGGACAATAGTGGAGGGAAGGGCAGCAGATAAACAAGTGAACAAAGGTCTCTGGTTTTCCTAGGCAGAGGACCCTGCGGCCTTCCGGCCTTCCGCAGTGTTTGTGTCCCTGGGTACTTGAGATTAGGGAGTGGTGATGACTCTTAACGAGCATGCTGCCTTCAAGCATCTGTTTAACAAAGCACATCTTGCACCGCCCTTAATCCATTTAACCCTGAGTAGACACAGCACATGTTTCAGAGAGCACATGGTTGGGGGTAAGGTCATAGATCAACAGCATCCCAAGGCAGAAGAATTTTTCTTAGTATAGAACAAAATGAAGTCTCCCATGTCTACTTCTTTCTACACAGACACAGCAACAATCTGATTTCTCCAACTTTTCCCCACCTTTCCCCCTTTTCTATTCCACAAAACCGCCATCGTCATCAAGGCCCATTCTCAATGAGCTGTTGGGTACACCTCCAAGACGGGGTGGTGGCCGGGCAGAGGGAGACGGGGTTTTTTAGTAGAGACGGGGTTTCACCATGTTGGCCAGGCTGGTCTTGAACTCCTGACTCAGGTGATCCACCTGCCTCAGCCTCCCAAAGTGTTGGGATTACAGGCGTGAGCCTCTATGCCTGGCCAACATAGGCCTTTTGAATGAGAGATTAAAAACCATGTTCATTCATCCTGAGATTCTCCCCCCATCACAGGGTCCTCCTGCATTCCTCATCAGTGATGCTGAGAGATGAGTGGGGCATAGGGTGTCAGTTCTGACCAGTGGAAGTCTCCCAAGCCACAAGGGATGGAGAGAATTGGGCTTTCTGGTCTTACAGTCAAAACCCCATCTTCGAAAGCCTATTTCCCTAAGACCAGACTCTAAGGAGAGAGGAAAGGGGAAATGCTGTGGCCTCAAGCCCTCTGGACAATGTGAAGGTTGGATAGTTGGTCTTGAGCAGCAGTTAGACAGAGATGAGCCCAGAAGGGCAGTAGTGGCCGAGCAGAGGTAGGGAGAAGTAGGGAAAACGCCGCCCTGATGCATGACGAGGGCATGGACAGGAGCACCAGGGCCAGGGGCAGGAACCAAACTTTCCCAAAGTCCTCAATGAGTTGACAGAATGCATTTTTTAGCAAACTGGTTGAGAGTCATCCAGAACAGGATGATTCTGCCTTGAGATCTTCCTCGTTTGCTCGTTTGGTTTTTTTTTTTTTTTTGAGATGGGGTCTCACTGTGTCACCCAGGCTAGAGTACAGTGGTGCGATCTCAGCTCACTGCAACCTCCACCTCCTGGGTTCAAGTGACTCTCCTGCTTCAGCCTCCTGAGTAGCTGAGATTACAGGCGCTCACCACCATGACCGGCTAATTTTTTGTGTTTTTAGTATAGAGATGGGGTTTCACCATGTTGGTCAGGCTGGTCTTGAACTCCTGACCTCAGGTGATCCGCCCACCTCGGCCTCCCAAAGTGCTGGGATTACTGGCATGAGCCAACATTCTGTGGCCCCATTCTTGGATTTTATGCACTCAATCAACTACCTTCTCACCTAAATTTGGTTGCATAGCTTTGGTGAAAGTCAGGCCTCTCCTTCAGTGAAAAAATAATTTTAATACCTAATTATTCATCTTACATAGTAGCACAATAAAACGCACCACATTCTGAAGAAATTTCAGAATTACGGAAATAAGAGTCAGGAAAATTCAGATGGGCTACAATATCCACTACCTTAAACTCCAAAGACAAGGTTAATATTTACATATTTGTGGCTGAGCATGGTGGCTCACATCACACCTATAATCTCCAGCGCTTTGGGAGGCTGAGGCAGGAGAATTGCTTGAGGCCAGGAGTTCGAGACCAGCCTGGGCAGCATGGTGAGATCTCATCTCTACAAAAAAAAATTAAAAAATTAGCCAAATATGATGACATGCACCTGTGGTCCCAGCTACTTGGGAGGCTGAAGTGGGAGGATCACTTGAGTGCAGGAATTCAAGGACACAGTGAGCTATGATTGCAGCATTGCCCTCCAGCCTGGGTGACAGAGGGAGGTGCTGTCTCTAAAAATTAATTAATTAATTTAATTGATTAAAAAAACCATTTGGAGTCTGGGCGCAGTGGCTCACACCTGTAATCTCAGCACTTTGGGAGTCTGAGGTGGGCAGATCACCTGAGGTCAGGAGTTCGAGACCAGCCTGGTCAACATGGTGAAACCCCGTCTCTACTAAAAATACAAAAAATTAGCCGGGCATGGTGGCTGGCACCTGTAGTCCCAGCTACTCGGGAGGCTTAGACAGGAGAATCGCTTGAACCTGGGAGGCAGAGGTTACAGTGAGCAGAGATCCCACCACTGCACTCCAGCCTGGGTGACAGAGCAAGACTGTCTCAAAAACAAAACAAAAACCATTTGGTAAGCTGTAAAGATCCATTACTGGTATTCCATGGAACGGGTATCCTAGAAGGGACCATGAACGGGAGAATGAGCTCAAAAGAAGAACAACGGGAAGATGCTGAACACAGACTTCTCCTGCTCACAGTTGTGCCTAAAGGCTACCATAGCTGTCCTTGGAATATGCAGCTCCTCAAATAAAGTTCTATTGCTGGTGTTTGGTGTGTTCTATAGGCAGCATTTCAGTATGACTTACTCTAAACTGAAATGTTTTGGACTCCCTGCTCATGTTCCCTAGGTTACAGACAAACAGCCTACAGATAATCTCAGATGCTACCAGCACTTGGGATGAGAGGCCACTAGGCTACAGGGCGCCCGCCCATACTAGGGAGCCGCCTTTCCCCACACTCAGCCCATCAGCACTGGAGAGAGGAGGCAGGGGGAGGAATTGCCCCTAATGCACTGCTTTTGGTTTTTTCTTTTTTTCTTTTTTTCAAAAATTGCACGAAGATAAAGCAAAGCTGTAGTTGACGCAGGTGTGTTGTGTAGACGCTTGCAGTTCCACCCTCGCTGTGTGCTCATTGGATAGTAACGCAGCCCCAAGTAAAGGATGGTGGTTGCTGCCAATGTACTTCCATTCCACCGGGGTGAGGCCCACCAAGCAAATGGTCTATTTGGAAAAAATATAAGGACATTTGCTCTCCTACCCAGAAATGACCTTTGAACTTAGAAGAAAATGAATAAACACATAAAAATAAAAAAAGAAAGAAAATGAATAAACACAACAGAGTTAGGTTATTACATAGTGAGGTTCATTTTCTTCTAAAGTAACAAGAGTCACAACATACATGTTGAAGTCTGATACACTCTCTGTTCCTCTCCCTGCTATGGGTTCCCCACTAATAACTTTATGAGCTCAGGCTGAAATGTCAACTTGAACTTTAGCGCTTGCGGCACAACCAACTATAACTCAGTTTAAGCATACTTATTTTATTTGATTGAGTGTTTCAATTTACTCTGCACTTCCTGAGGTTCTTGGGTTAAAACAACATGATCTAATGCAATAAAAACTAGCAAAAATATATATTTATTCTTTATTTCCAGTAGCACAAGGCCAGTTGAATCTACCCAAAGCATACCTAAACAGTGTTAACAAGCCTGCATGCTAAATGATTTTCTCTCCTTTCTGGTGCCCACACATTCAATTCAGAAGCCCCTTGGTTTTGCAATGGCATATCAACATACGCAGTTTCAGGACTAACCAAGAGTGTCTGCAAGCTAAAAGGTGGTGTTAATAGTGAGTGCATAAGGAAGTTTCTGAATAGTTTTGAGGCAGATCAGGCCAAGGAGAAACAAGGTTTATTCTTCAATGATTAATATTAATTTCATAACTCCTGCCAGGAGTATAGAGCATACGAACTTTACAATTTTTATTTTTATTTTTTTGAGATGGAGTTTTGCTCTTGTTGCCCAGGCTGGAGTGCAGTGGAGCAATCTTGTCTCACTGAAACCTCCGCCTCCCAGTTTCAAGCAATTCTCCTGCCTCAGCTTCCCGAGTAGCTGGGATTACAGGCATGTGCCACCAGACCCAGCTAATTTTTGTATTTTTAGTAGACAGGGTTTCACCATGTTGGCCAGGCTGGTCTTGAACTCCTGACCTCAAGTGACCCACCTGCCTCTGCCTCCCAAAGTGCTGGGATTACAGGTGTGAGCCACTGCGCTCAGCCTGAACTTTACAATATTCTTGAACACATAAAACCAGGAAAGGGACCAGGGAGAAGCTGGTACTTGACTTGGACCTTAAAGCAAGAACAGGAGATTTAAAAAGAGAGAGAGTGAAGGCAGGAAAGAACAAGTGAGAGTGGCATGCATGCACTCAACAAATATTAATAGTGCATGAACTGGCTGGGTGCGGTGGCTCACGCCTGTAATCCCAGCATTTTCAGAGGCTGAGGTGGGTGGATCACTTGAGGTTGGGAGTTGGAGACCAGCCTGATCAACATGGAGAAACCCCATCTCTACTAAAAATACCAAAAAAATTAGCTGGACGTGGTGGCGCACATCTGTAATCCCAGCTACTTGGGAGGCTGAGGCAAGAGAATTGCTTGAAGCCAGGGGGCAGATGTTGCAGTGAGCTGAGATCACACCATTGCACTCCAGCCTGGGCAACAAGAGCGAAACTCTGTCTCAAAAAAAAAAAAAAAAAAATAGTGCATGAACCATGTGCCAGGACCTGGACTAGATGCTAGGATACATCCGTGAATACAAATATCTCCTGGAACTTACATTGTCACAGAGGGAGACACACAATGGACAAGTAACATATAGAGGTTACAGATGGTAATAGGTCCAATAGAGAATAGTGCTAGGAAAGAGGATGGGGGGTCCCGAGTGAGTTAAAACAGAGTGACCAGGTGGTGCCTCTCTGATAAAGTGACCATTTTAGTGAGACCGCAAGGAAGTAAGAGAGCGGGTTGTCCAGCTATAAGGAGGAAGTTTTCTGCACAGAGGGTACAGTAAGTGTAAACGCCCTGTGGTAGAATTATGCTCAGAGAAAGCATGCATTCTCAACGGGGCAGACAGCATCCTGAGGGAGTGAAAATTCATTCTTGGAAGATGAAGAAAAACTTCTCTCTTTTTTTTTTTTCCCCCGAAAGGGAGTCTCACTCTGTTGCCCAGGCTGGAGTGCAGTGGCGCGATATCGGCTCACTGCAAGCTCTGCCTCCCGGGTTCAAGCGATTCTCCTGCCTCAGCCTCCCGAGTAGCTGGGATTACAGGCACATGCCATCACGCCCGGCTGATTTTTTGTATTTTTAGTAGAGACGGGGTTTCACTGTGTTAGCCAGGATGGTCTCTATCTCCTGACCTCGTGGTCCTCGCGCCTTGGCCTCCCAAAGTGCTGGGATTACAGGGATGAGCCACCGTGCCAGGCCTTTTTTTTTTTTTAGACAATGTCTCACTCTGTTGCCCAGGCTGGAGTGCAGTGGCGTCATTTCAGCTCACTGCAACCTCTGCCTCCCGGTTCAAGCGATTCTCATGCCTCAGCCACCCGAGTAGCTGGGACCACAAGCACATGCCACCACACCCAGCTAATTTTTGTATTTTTGGTAGAGATGGGGTTTCACCACGTTGGCCAGGCTGGTCTGCAACTCCTGACCTCAAGTGATCCGCCTGCCTCAGCCTCCCAAAGTACTGGGATAATAGGCATATAGGCATGAGACACCACATTCTACCAAAACTTACTCTTTTCTTTTTTTTTTTTTTTTTTTTTTTTTTGAGACGGAGTCTCGCTCTGTAGCCCAGGCTGGAGTGCAGTGGTGCGATCTCGGCTCACTGCAACGTCCGCTTCCTGGGTTCACGCCATTCTTATGCCTCAGCCTCCCCAGCAGCTGGGACTACAGGGGCCCATTGCCATGCCCGGCTATTTTTTTGTATGTTTAGGAGAGACGGGGTTTCACCGTGTTAGCCAGGATGGTCTCGATCTCCTGACCTCGTGATCGGCCCGCCTCGGCCTCCCAAAGTGCTGGGATTACAGGCGTGAGCCACTGCGCCCGGCAAATCAGTGGCATTTCTATGCACAAACAATGAACTAGCTGAAGGAGAAAATCAAGAAGGCAATTCTATTTCCAATAGCTACAGGAAAGTATCTAGGAATAAATTTAACCAAGGAGGTGAAACACCCCTACAAGGAATACTACAAAACACTGGTGAGAGAAATTGCCGAGGATACAAACAAATGGAAAAACACCCCATGCTCATGGATGGAAATAATTAATATTGTTAAAATGACAATACTACCTAAAGCAATTTACAGATTTAATGCAATCTCTATCAAAATACCAATGACATTCTTCACAGAAATAGGAAGAAAAAATCCTATTATTTGTGTGGAACCACAAAAGACCCTGAAGCAATCCTAGCAAAAAGAACGAAGCTGGAGTCAGAACACTGCCAGACCTCAAAATATACTACAAAGCTGTAGTAACCCAAACAGCATGGCATGAGCATAAAAACAGACACTTAGACCAATATAACAAAATAGAGAACTCAGAAATTAATCTGCATATCTACAGGCAACTAATTTTTGGCAAAAGTGCGAAGAACACTCATTGGGGAAAGGACAGTCTGTTCAATTAATGGTGCTGAGAAAACTGAATATTAATATGCAGAAGAATAAAACCAGACCACCACCTCTCACCCTATATAAAATTCAACTCAAAATGGATCAAAGCTGGTGGGAGGGGAGCATAAAAAAATAAAAATAAAAATAATGGATCAGAGACCTAAGTATAAGATCTGAAACAATAAAAATACTAGAAGAAAGCATAGGGAAAATCCTCCAGGACACTGGTCAGGAATACATTTTATGAATAAGACCTCCAAAAACACAGGCAACAAAAACAAAAATAAACAAATGGGATATATCAAACTAGAAAGCTTCTGCACAGCAAGGGAAGCAATTAACAGAGTGAAAAAACAGCCTACAGAATGGGAAAAATATTTGCAAATGATTTATCCAACAGGTGATTAATATCCAGAATATACAAGGAATTCTAACATCTCAACAGCAAAAAATAATCTGAGGTCAGGAGCGGTGGCTCACGCCTGTAATCCCAGCACTTTGGAAGGCTGAGGCGGGTGCCTCACCTGAGATCAGGAGTTTGAGACCAGCCTGGGCAACTTGGTGAAACCCCATCTCTACTAAAAATACAAAGTTAGCTGGGTATGGCGGCGCATGCCTGTAATCCCAGCTACTCGGGAGGCTGAGGCAGGAGAATCACTTGAACCCAGGAGCGGAGCTTGCAGTGAGCCAAGATTGCACCATTGTTTTCCAGGCTCGGTGACAGAGTGAGATACCACCTCAAAAAAAAAAAATCTGATTAAAAAATGGGCAAATTATCTGAACAGACATTTCTTAAAAGAAGACATACAAATGGTCAACAAAGATATGAAAAAAATGCTCAGCATCACTATCAGGGAAATGTAAATCAAAACCACCATGAGATATCATCTCACTCCAGTTAGGAGGACTATTATTAAAATGACAAAAAGTAACAAATGCTGGCGAGGGTGTAGAGAAAAGGGAATTCTTACACATTGTTGGTGGGAAAGCAAACTAGTACAGCTACTATGGTGAGTGGTATGAAGGTCCTTCAAAAAGGGCCTTCCATTTGTAGCTACAAATGGAACTACCATATGATCCAGCAATCCTACTACTGGAAATTTATCCAAAGACAAGGAAATCATTATATCGAAGAGACACCTGTATCCCATATTTACTGCAGTACTATTCACAATAGTCAAGATACGGAATCAACCTAAGTGTCCAACACCAGATAAATGGATAAAGAAACTGTGGTATTTATACACCATGGAATACAATTCAGCCATAAAAAAATTAAATTTTGTCATTTGAGGCAGCCTCGAAAGAACTAGAAGACACTATGTTAAGTGAAATAACCCAGGAACAGAAAGTTAAACACTGCATGTTCTCACTCATAGGTAGAAGCTAATAAAAGTTGATCACATAGAAGTAAAAAGTAGAACAGAGCCTACTAGAAACTGGGAAGGATAGGGGAAAGAGAGGGATAGGGAGATTTGTTAAAGGATACAAAATTACACTAAGAAGGAGGAATAAATTCTAGTGTTCTATAGCACTACAGGATGACTAGAGTTAACAATAATATATTAATATTACATAGTTTCAAATAGCTAGATGGAAAATATTGAATGTTCCCATCACAATGGAATGATAAATGTTTGTGAAGATGGATATGCTAATTGCCCTGATCTGATCACTATAAATTGTATATATCAAAATATCACTATGTACCCCATAGGTATGTGCAATTATTATTTGCCAATTTAAAAAATAAACTAAATTTTAAAATTGTCCATTCATCAGGAAGACATAACCATATGTTTGTATATGGTTTGTATATGTTTGTATATGTATATCTAATAATAGGTGTTTGAAACACATGAAGCAAATATCGATATAATTAAAGAGAAGAGAGGCATTTTCACAATTATAGAGGTTTTAATATCTCTCAGCAATTAACAGAACAACTAGGTAAAGAATAGAAAATACACAGAAAAACCACGCATGGTGGCTCATGCCTGTAATCCCAGCTACACAGGAGGATTGCTTGAGGCCAGCAGTTTGAAACCATCCTGGGCAACTTAGCAAGATCCCATCTTTATAAAGAAATAAATAATACTTAGAAGTTCTGAACACCATTGACTACCTTCCTAGAACACTATATCTAACAAGAACAGAATACAGATTATTTTCAAGTATATATGATACTTACCAGGATGGACTATATATATATATGCTGGGTTATAAAAAAAGCCTCAATAAATTTTAAAATATTGAAATTATGCAAAGTATATTCTCTGACTATAATGGAATTAAATCAGAAATTAAAAACAGTAAAATAATTAGGAAAGCCTCAAATATTTGAAAATTAAACACAGGTTGGGTGCGGTGGCTCACGCCTGCAATCCCAGCACTTTGGGAGGCCAAGGTGGGTGGATCACCTGAGGTCGGGAGTTCAAGACCAGCCTGACCAACATGGAGAAACCCTATCTCTACTAAATACAAAATTAGCCGGACATGGTTGCGCATGCCTGTAATCCCAGCTACTCGGGAGGCTGAGGCAGGAGAATCATTTGAACCCGGGAGCTGGAGGTTGTGGTGAGCTGAGATCACACCATTGCACTCCAGCCTGGGCAACAAGAGCTTGACTCCATCTCAAAAGCAAAACAAAACAAAACAAACAAACAAACAAACAAAAAACCAAAAAACACACTTCTGAAAAATCTATGGGTCAAAAGAAAAAATTATCAGAGAAATTAGAAAAGATTTCCAACTAAATGATAATCAAAATAAGCCAGGCAGAGTGTTTCATGTCTGTAATCCCAGCAATTTGGGAGGTTGAGGTCGGAGGATTGCTTGAAGCCAGGAGTTCCAAGACTAGTCTGGGCAACACAGTGAGATACTGCCTCTACAAAAAATAAGAAAAAAAAAAAAAATTAGCCAAGTGTGGCCGGGCGCTGTGGCTCACTCCTGTAATCCCAGCACTCTGGGAGGCCCAGGCGGGCGGATCAGGAGGTCAGAAGATCGAGACCATCCTGGCTAACATGGTGAAACACTGTCTCAGTAGAGACAGTGCTTATTTTTAGTAAAAAATACAAAAAATTAGCCGGGCATGGTGGCGGGTTCCTGTAGTCCCAGCTACTCGGGAGGCTGAGGCAGGAGAATGGCATGAACCCAGGAGGTGGAGCTTGCAGTGAGCCAAGATCGCGCCACTGCACGCCAACCTGGGCGACAGAGCAAGACTCCGTATCAAAAAAAAAAAAAAAAAAAATTAGCCAGGTGTGCCTGTAGTCTTAGCTACTCGGGAGGCTGAGTGGGGAGGCTCACTTGAGCCCAGGAGTTTGAGGCTGCAGTGAGCTATTATTGCACCGCTGTGCTTCAGCCTGGGTGATAGAGCAAGATACTAACTCTAAAAAAAAAAAAAAAAGTGAAATACAGCTGAAGCCATGCTTAGAATCTAGATGTCCAGCATAGCTCACCCTAGTCTATATTTTGAATATTCCTGACCTTTTAATCCTGCCTCAACCAGGGAGAAGGTCTCACTGAACTCCTGGAGCTCTGCAAAGCCAAAGCTTCTTCAGGTACACACCCTCTGTTACAGGAGGCCTCAGAGCGGAAGGAGAAAGGAGCAGGCTGGCTGTGGTACAGATTTACGAAAGATCAGTGATCAAAGGCCATAAAATACAGTAGGTTTCTGCAAAGTCCAAGCACTTTAAACATCACCATTCTAAATAAACTACATGAGGAGATGCCCCAATAAGGTTCTGAAAACTGGAAAGATATTTTTTCCCCGCTCCCATGTAGATACGTCACAGTCTTCTGCTTTTCAGTCCAACTCTGATTCAGTTTTCTAGATAAATAAACCCTCCCAAGACCTGATTCTGTAGCTTCACCCGAGTGGACGTCATCCGATGTCAATGGAAGTTCTGCCAGTGTAAGAACTTCCTGACTGAGGCCTGAGCTGGTATTTGCTCAGGTACCTCCAAACCTCTGTCATGGTACCTCTGAGCCTCTTTTATTTTATTTTATTTTTGCTATAAAAAGGCGGTGGGGATGCTCAACAAGAGTTCTGCTTAAGTGTCACCAGTAAAAGTCATTTGCCAAGGCATGAATAGTTTATAATCACAGTAGCATGGCAAGAGAAGTATCTCTCACTTCTCTCTTGATTGACAGTGTCAGTGTTGAAACTCATTTTGCCACCTCACACACCAGAACTCTCATTTCGCAGCTGCCTGTTGGTCTCCACGTTCTTCTGTTCCCTGAACCCATTTCTTGGTTAACTCAGACCACAGACACTCCCCTCCCCCAGGCTAGGGAGAAGCTCCTCCCTTCAACAGCCCACACTCAAACCAGGACCAGCCTTGAGGCTGTGTCAAGAAGGCCCCAATTCCCTCTGCGTTCCCTCGGGCTTAGTGACTCCCACTACCTGGGAAGTCTTCCCTTTGTCAAACCCATACATTTTACAAAGTTTGAAAATTTCATTTCCCCGCTGGGCACAGTGGCTCACACCTGTAATCCTAGCACTTTGGGAGGCTGAGGCAGGCAGATCACTTGAGGCCAGGAGTTCGAGACCAGCCTGGGCAACATGGAGAAACTGTCTCTACAAATAGGCAAAAATTAGCCGGACATTGTGGTGCACTCCTGTAATCCCAGTTACTTGGGAGGCTGAGGCAGGAGAATTGCTTGAACCTGGGAGGTGGAGGTTGCCGTGAGCCAAGATGGCACCACTGCACTCCAGCCTGGGAGACAGAGCAAGACTCCATCTCAAAAAAAAAAAAAATTTCCCGTTGGATCAACCTTAGCCGAGACAGACAGTTGACTCCCATTCTTCCCATGATACCCTTTTGTGTATTTTTTTTTTCAAGATGGGGGTCTTCTTCTGTCCTCCAGGCTGGAGGGCAGTGTCACAACCATGGCTCACTGCAGCCTCTACCTCCCGGGCTCAAGTGATCCTCCCATCTCAGCCTCCCTAATAGCTGGGACTACAGATGTGCACCACCACATCCAGCTAATTTTTATTTTTATTTTTTGGTAGAGATGGAGTCTTTCTATGTTTCCCAGGCTGGTCTTGAACTCCTGGCCTTGAGTGATCCTCCTGCCTTGGCCTCCCAAAGTGCTGGGATTACAGGCATGAGCCAGTGCACCCAGCCAATCCTTCGTGTATTTGAGGACCATTTATGACATGGACTAGCCATATTAATGACATTAATCACTCGAGTTCCTTTCCCAAGATTAGTCACCAATGTGGCTGTCCCATGACCTCTCTTCCATCTCTGGGTACTGCTCCCTTTTTGCCAAGGTCAGCCCTGAATGCTCAGTCTGCTGAGGGCCTGACCAAGACAGCAAACTGGCAGCCCTCAGCTCGCAGTCAGTTCCCTAGCAGTTCTGAGCCTAGGCTGTGTGCTGCTGTTCCTTCCTCCATGTCACCTCCCTTGGTAACTCTGCTTTTGCCGAGCATTAAGAAGAGGAGCTTGTGGCAGGGCTTGAAAGGCAGGGACCCTACATGTGGCAAACAGCACTGATCCCATCTGTGTCACTCCTTGGCACACTGGATGGGACAAGACAGCTTCAGTAGCTGCCTCTGCCTCCTCTGCCAAGAATAAATGCCCAGACCTTAACTTTTGTGAGAAGAACTTCCTGTACCATGTTCATCTCAGAGTGTCCTTCTTCTACTCACAAGACAGGGCTCTTCCCCAACTGCAGTGGCAGCCTTAGGGCCACCACCTTGGGTTCAATGTGGAGACTCCAGACGCACAAGGCAGGGCCTGGAAGGGGCTCCAGGAGACAAGGCAGGAGGGATGGAGCACATGGGCAGCCTTCCTCTCTCTGCCAGTTTCATCCACCTACCCTTGGGCCCTGCCATTCTGCAGGAGGAGAGGAGTTGGGTGTTGACGAGGAGAGACTTTACCTGCTTGGCACTCCAACCCATGGCTAAGGATCCTTCACCCACCAAACTTCACAGCAAGTAGGCTGAATGCAGCAGGACTCACCCTCCACCCGCCACAGCCAGGAAGTAAAGGGAGGGCCCCCCAATTCTGCACCCAAACTCCCTCTGGGAGCACCCTGGGCTCAATAAAGGGCTCTCCTTCCAGCTTATTTTACTTCCAAATACTTATTTCCTTTTTATTTATTAATTATTACTATTATTGAGACAAGATTTTGCTCTGTTGCCCAGGCTGAAGTGCAGTGGCACAATCACAGCTCACTATATCCTCGTTTTCCCACCTCAGCCTCATGAGTAGCTGGGACTACAGGCACACATCACCACACCTGGCTAATATTGGTATTTTTTTTGAAGAGACGGGGTCTTGCCATGCAGTGCAGGCTGGTCTCGAACTCCTGGGCTCAAGTGATGCAACCGCCTCGGCCTCCCAAAGTGCTAGAATTACAGGTGTGAGCCACTGCACACAGCCTAAATACTGATTTTACTTCTTGGCAGAACAGCTGGAGGTAAGAAGCCCAAGAAGGGCTGCTTCCTGGAAAAAGGAAGAAGCGCAAAGCCTTGAGTTCAAGATAGTTCCCCAGCACGTTCTATAAATTTGGGTTATAAAAACATCTGTCATTTATTCATGTGTTAATGTTAATTGCTTGAGTTTCCACCTTCCAGTGAGTAGGAGCGTGTTAGTAGAAGAAGAAAGAGGTAGGTGCGGAGGCTAAATGAGACAAAAAGGAGCAGAGAGGGGAGAGGGGAGAAGGAGCTGAATGCAGACATTGATTTTCTTCCTATCTTCTCTCTTTTTTTTTTTTTTTTTTTGAGACAGAGATTCGCTCTTGTTGCCCAGGCTGGAGTGCAATGGCATGATCTTGGCTCACTGCAATCTCCACCTCCTGCGTTCAAGCAATTCTACCTCAGCCTCCTGAGTAGCTGGGATTACAGGCATGTGCCACCATGCCCAGCTAATTTTTGTATTTTTAGTAGAGACGGGGTTTCACAATGTCGGCCAGGCTGGTCTCAAACTCCTGACCCCAAGTGATCCACCTGCCTCGGCCTCCCAAAGTGCTGGAATTACAGGTGTGAGCTACTGTGCCTGGCCCCTATCTTCTCGTTTTTTAATCTGCCCTACAACTTCCCTCCCATCTTTTTCTTTTTTATAAGCATATAAGGGCTTCCTTACTTAAAAGCTGAGTGTGGCTCTCCCCTTCCTTGATGGCAAGGGCTTCCTAAGTGTGGGACAGACCGACCTCAGTGTTTCTGAGTTTATGGGGCTCTGTGGGGCTGCCTCCTACGTAACCACCTGCATGACTGGCTTTGTTGGTGACTTGGCCTCTTGAACAACCCCTGTGATTCCTGGATCACTTTACTCTTCCTGGTGCGAGACAGTGATGGAGAAACACCTCTTCCAAGATTTTTAGTAGGAAGTAGGGAAGAGTTGTATTTTAATAAGCAAATAGTGAAAACAGCAAGACAGTAAGCTCTTTCAGAATGGTATAATTGGGAAGAGACCAATGATTCTGGTTAACAGAGCTATTTAATACATAATATGTTGGTGGGGCACAGTGGCTCATGCCTGTAATCCCAGCACTTTGGGAGGCCGAGGCAGGTGGATCACCTGAGGTCCAGAGCTTGAGACTAGCCTGGCCAACATGGTAATACCCCATCTCTACTAAAAATACAAAAATTAGCCAGGCATGGTGGCGCATGCCTGTAGTCCTGTAATCCCAGCTACTCAGGAGGCTGAGGCAGGGGAATTGCTTGAACCCAGGAGGCAGAGACTGCAGTGAGCTGAGATCACCCCACTGCATTCCAGCCTGGGCAACAGAGAGAGACTCCAGCTCAAAAAAATAAATTAAAAAAATACATAATATATTAACCAATAATTTTTAGCAAATATTTATAACACTAAGACTGTAATGAAAATAGGTGTGATCTTCTGATGACTGAGCTAGACCATAAGTTGCTTGAGAATGGGGGCCATCTGCGCATCTCCCAGAGCCCTCCCCTCCCTTATTGCTGATCTGTGTGGCAGTTGCCTCTCCCTGGGGTCACCTCTGTGAACATCCAGCGTCCCTGTACTAAATGGATGGAGTGAAGCACTTGTTACCAATAACGATAGCAACAACAATCACATATCTCTTCGAACACTTTCGCATACATTCTCTCATTTGATTCTCACAACCAACCATGCAAGCTTTATAGGGAAATATTTCCATCTGCATTTTACAAATGAGAAAACTGAAACTCAGAAGGTTAAATGACATGACTGCAACTCTAGTCAATGAGAGACCCAGGACCCCAATTCTGTGGGGCTGGGAGTTTGTCCACTTCTCCTCTGAGCTCTGATGCTGGAAGGCAAAGCCCCATCAGCATGTGCAGAGATCACATGGTGAGAAAGGAAGCCAGAGAGAGCCAAAGGAGGTGCCACACTCTCTTTAACAACCAGCTCTCATGGGAACAAATAGACTGAGAACTCACCAGCCTCCCCCCGACCCCCTCATAGGGAGGGATCGACCCCCATGACCCAAACACCTTCCATTAAGCCCCAACTCTGACCCTGGAAATCCAGTTTCAACATGAGATTTGGAGGTGTCAAGCAACTATATCCAAACTATAGCAATGCTCCACATCACTAATGATCAGGGAAGTGCAAACCAAAACCGTGAAGAGATACCACCTCACTGCTGTTTGGATGGTCATTATATATGTTAAAAAACAACAACAGAAAACAACAAATGCTGACAAGAATGTAGAGAAGTGGGAACCCTTGTGGACTATTGGTTGGAATGTAAGATGGTGCAGCTGTTATGGAAAATAGTATGGAGGTTTCTCAAAAGCTTAAAACTAGAACCACCATATGATCCAGCAATCTTGTTTCCGGCTATTCTAAAAGAATTGAAAGCAGAGTCTCAAAGAGATACTTGCACTTCCCTGGTCATTGCAGCATTATTCCCTATAGCCAAGAATTGGAAACAACCTAAATGCCCCTCAAGGGATGAATGGATAAAGAAATTGTGGTAATACATGTACAATGGGATGTTACTTTGCCTTAAAAAAGAAGGAAGGCCAGGTGCAGTGGCTCACACCTGCAATCCTAGCACTTTGGAAGGCCTAGGTGGGTGGTTCACTTGAGTCCAGGAGTTCAAGGCCAGCTTGCCAACACGGTGAAACCCTGTCTCTACTGAAAATACAAAAATTAGCTGGGTGTGGTGGTGGGCGCCTGTGATCCCAGCTATTCAGGAGGCTGAGGCAGGAGAACCGCTTGAACCCGGGAGACAGAGGTTGCGGTGAGCCAAAACGGCACCACTGCACTCCAGCCTGGGCAACAGGGGAGACTCCATCTCAAAAGAAGAAGAAGAAGAAGGAGGAGGAAGAAAATTTCTGCCATATGCATGGATGAACTTTGAGGAGATTATGCTAAATGCAATAGGCCAGTCCCAAATCAACACACACTGCATGCACAATTCCGCTTATATGAGGCAGCTAAAGTAGTCAAACTCATAGAAGCAGAAAGTAAAATAGTTACCAGGAGCTGATGGCAGGGGGAAATGGGAAGTTGCTGTTTAATGGGCATAACATCTTAGTCATGCAAGATGAAAAAGTTATGGATATCTGTTTTACAAAAACATGCAAGTAAATAATACTGTGCTATACACTTAAAAATGTGTTAATGGCTGGGTGTGGTGGCTCACCCCTGTAATCCCAGAACTTTGGGAGGCTGAGGCAGGTAGATCACCTGAGGTCAGGAGTTCAAGAGCAGCCTGGCCAACATGGTGAAATCCTGTCTCTACTAAAAATACAAAATTAGCCAGGCATGGTGGTGGGCACTTGTAATCCCAGCTACTCGGGAGGCTGGGGCAGGAGAATTGCTTGAACCCCGGAGGCAGAGGTTTCAGTGAGCCGAGATCCTACCACAGCACTCCAGCCTGGGCAACAAAAGCAAAAACTCTGTCTCAAAAAAAAAAAAAAAAAAAAGTGCGTTAAGAAGGCAGATTTCACGTTAGGTGTTTTTTATCACAATACAATAATGAGGGTTAGCTTGAACACTAATTTTTCACCTATTTTCCCCTTATTGAATTGTAAGCAATTTTCTTCTTGTCATTAAATATCTTGGAAAACAAAACAAACAAGTCATAAATTGTGAAGTAATATTCGTAATACACACATCAATAAAAAAAGAGGATCTTCCCTATAGAAAGAGTTTCCTAAAGTCAACATTTTATATGATCATTTTTCACTCATCAGATTACCAATATATAATAAGAATGACAGTGCCTGGGCCAGAAAGGGTGTGACAAAGGGCATTCTCTTCAATGTTGCTGGCCAGATTAATTGGTCCATACTGCTGGAGGTCAGTTTGGCATTGTCAAAAGTCTTAAAAATAGATATTCCTTTTGGCCTAGCAATTTTGCATCTCAGAATTTCTCCTGAGCACTAAACAATCAAGTAATGTTACATATATAAGAATGTTATCTAAAGCACTATAAAAAATTAAGAAAAGCCTCCAGACTAGCTTACTGAAGTAGGCCAAAAAATTTTTTTTAATTAAAAAACTTTTAAAAAAAACCAACCTTGATGTCTAACAACAGGTGGTTGTCAGGAAATAAATGATGATATTGCTGTACTTAGAATAATATGTGGGCAGTAAAAATCATCATGTGGTTCTATGTTCCTTGACATGCAATGATATCCATCTATATGTTAAGTGTAAAGAGAAGTTAACAAAACAATATGGATGGGATGATTCTAGTTTTGTAAAGATATATTTTGTTTGTATAAGTTAACTAATTAAAAAAATCTGGAGATATATCTGTGTGTATATATATACATACATATATAAACAATGGTTATCCTTGAATAGAATAAATAAAGGATGTTTTATTTTTCTCCTTACACATTTCAATATTTTTCAAGCAATTTTTTTTCTTTTTTGAGACAGGGATCTTGCTCTGTTGCCCAGGCTGGAGTTCAGTGGCACTATCATAGCTCACTGCAGCCTCGAACTCCAGGCTAAAGTGATCCTCCCACCTCAGCCTCCCGAGTAGCTGGGACTAAAGTTGTGAACCACTATGTCCAATTTTTTATTTTTGTAGAGATGGGGTCTAATTATGTTTTCCAGGCTGGTCTCAAATTTCTGAGCTCAAACGATCCTCCTGCCTTGGCCTCCCAAACTGTTGGGATTATAGCTGTGAACCACTGCATCTGGCTTTTTTTTTTTTTTTTTTTAATGAGCATGTGTTTACTTTAAATTGGGGGTGGTTGCAGTGGTAGTAACTTTCCACTTTGAAAAAAACATTTCACAAAAACATAAAAAAATAATTGTGGTCCTTCTACATGAAATGACTGAGCAGTTACCAAAAATCCAATTTTGGTTTTGCATTTTCCCCCAAGACGGAAAGCTCTGTTTTGTCTACAATGCTCCTGGCAGAGGCTATGTTCCCTGCGTTCCCCTGTGTCTTCTCCCCAGCCCTTCTGAATACGTTGGCTTGGTTCAACCTAAATAACAATCAGCTAGTTCGACTCTAAGTCCTTGGAGCAGAAGGTGCAGATTAGTTTAATCTCATAAATAAACTAATTCCTCTGGAAGCAAGGACAAGTCACAGCTTAATTCAGATCTTCTTCCAATCAATGAAATCTTCGCTGGTGTGGACCAGGTGATCCGCTCAGGCTAGCAGCCCGATGGGTAAGGACACATGAGTCTCACCAGGACCCTGGGACCCCAGCCAGTAACACACAGTACTAGTACCCTCACAGTGGCCATGTAATTTATCATCCAAACAGAAACTGGTTTTTTTTTCTTTCTTTTTTTTCTTGAGACAGAGTCTTGCTCTGTCACCCAGGCTGGAGTATAGTGGCATGATCTCGGCTCACTGCAACCTCTGCCTCCCGGGTTCAAGCAATCCTCCTGCCTCAGCCTCCTGAGTAGCTGGGATTACAGGCATGCACCACCATGCTGGCTAATTTTTGTATTTTTAGTACAGACAGGGTTTCACCATGTTGGCCAGGCTGCTCTCGAACTCCTGACCTCAGGTAATCTGCCCGCCTCAGCCTCCCAAAATGCTGGGATGATAGGCGTGAGCCACTGCACCCATGATAGAAACACTTTTGAGAGGGAAATTTAGGGTTACTTGAGGTGCCAGTTCAACAGACATAAGTGGAACATTGCCAAGCAAACCAGGCTGCAGGGTCGCCCTCCCCAAGATGCTCATGGCTTTTAAGCTGAGATGAAGGCCTGTGGTCAGTGCCTACAGAAGCACAGTCCCACCTGCTCTGCCCTACTCAGGAATTCCTGAGATATAAGAGCAGTCAACCTCACTGGATTTATGGGTGACTTTGGGGTCTAACAGGGAGGGCTGAAAAAGAGCTCAAAAAACAAAGGTGGGTTCTTTATCTTATTTCACAAGCCTGGTTTTGTGTGTTTGGCAGGTGTTGCAGTAACCCCCTGACCGGAACAGCCCAGTAGCATGCCTGGATAGAGAAACCCTGCTCCATGCACACTTGCAACACAAGCCGCCCTGAGTCCGTGCAGGCCTGCAGGTACAGACAGGACCTCGTGGGAGGTCACTCCTGCAGCTTCATGGGCACTGTCATATCCAGTCTAAGGCTGGACCCTGCTCTCTGAAACCTCACTCAGTCACTTTCTTTTTTTCTTTCCTTTTTTTTTTTTTTTTTTTTTTGAGACAGAGTCTTGCTCTGTTGCCCAGGGTGGAGTGCAGTGGCACGACCTTGGCTCACCGTAACCTCTATCTCCCAGGTTCAGGTGAGTCTCCTGCCTCAGCCTCCTGTGTAGCTGGGATTACAGGCACCTGCCACCATGTCTGGCTAATTTTATATTTTTAGTAAAGACAGGGTTTCACCATGTTGGCCAGGCTGGTCTCACACTCCTGACATCAAGTGATCCACCCTCCTTAGCCTCCTAAAGGGCTGGGATTACAGGCGTGAGCCACCGCACCTGGCCACACTCAGTCATTTTCTAAAGGAGCTTCTCTGAAAGACTAACATCACTGCTCCTCCCGATGGCTTGAGGGACCAAGACTAGAGGTGGAAATAGGGTCCCTCCATTGGATCACTGGGCCCTTCATGGATGCTGTGCTGCTCCCCACAGCCCCCGGTGCTGCAAGGTGCCAAGAGCGACCTGTGCCATCCACAGCCTCCAATGCAGCACCAAAGCTATAGGGTACCCTGTGCAGAACCGGGAAACCTCCCATCTCACTTACTGCCAACTTTATTCTTCTAAAAATCTTGGAGTCATCCTCAACTCCTCTCTTCCTCTGAAACCATACATCCCATTCAACAGGCAGTTCTATTGAGCTGCCTTCAAAATCTCCCAGGACCCTGCCTCTTGTCACAATGTTGCTGCCTTGCCCTGGTCCAAGCTACCAGCAGGTGTACCTGGGTTACGGCAGTAGCCTCCTGAAGGGTATCCCTGCCTCTCTCCTCACCACCACCCCCATTCAATCTGTTCTCAAGACACAGCCCTTGGAAATGTAAGTTAGATCACGTCACTGCCATGATCAAAACCCTCCAATGGGCATATCTTGCTTAGGGTGAAAGCCAACGTTCTTACCAGGCCTCCAGGCCCTGTACCATCTGCACCATGTGTGCCCTGTTACCTTTCTCCCCTTCTCTCTTCCTCATCTCCACACTGGTCACTCCATTGCTCCACACACTAGTAGTCCTGTTCTAACCTGGGGACTTTGTGCCAGTGGTCTCCTCTTATGTATGTATTATGTATTTATTTTTGGAGACAGCATCTCCCTCTGTCCCTCACACCCAAGAGCAGTGGTACAATCTGAGCTCACTGCAGCCTCGAACTCCTGGGCTCAAGCGATCCTCCCACTCCAGCCTCCTGAGTAGCTAAGACTACAGGCATGTCTAGCTGAATTTTTTTTCTTAAAATTTTTTGTAGAGATGGGGTCTTGCTATGTTGCCCAGGCTAGTCTTGAACTCCTGGGTTCAAGTAATCCTCCCGCCTCAGCCTCCTAAAGTGCTGGAATTACAGGCATGAGCCACTGTGCCAAGCAGTTTCCTCTTTGTGACGCTCCCTTAGCAATGGCCAAATCAAGTCTTGGCATCAATGTCACCTCTCAACCAAGTCTATTCTGACCACTCCATTTAAAATTGCAGTTGGTTCTTCTGGCCACATGCACATCTGGATTTTCTTATCCTGTCCCACTCTATATCATTTCCCACCTCCTAAATGACCACATAATTGGCTTATCTATTATATTTACCATTTATTGTCTATTCCCCACTGTGGAAGCTTGTGGGTTTCATGATGGCAGGGGTTTGTTACCGTTGTTGTTCACTGATGTATCTATCCTAAGTACCTAGGACAGTTTCTGGCACATAAGTAGTTGCTCCATTAATATTTGTTGAATGAATGGGCTGAGTGCAGTGGTTCATACCTGTAATCCCAGCACTTTGGGACGTCAAAGCGGGCAGATCACTTGAGGTCAGGAGTTCGAGACCAGCCTGGACAACATGGTAAACGCCCATCTCTACTAAAAATACAAAAATTAGACAGGAATGGTGGCACGCGCCTGTAATCCCAGCTACTCAAGAGGCTGAGGCAGGAGAATCGCTTGATCTCGAACTGCAGTGAACCGAGATGGCGCCGCTGAACTCCAGCCTGGGCAAGAGAACGAGACTTGGTCTCAAAAAAAAATTTTTTTTGAATGAATGAGCAAAAAATCCGTCTCTCTTTACCAATAGGCATGACACCTTGTCACTTGGGCGTTGAAGCCACTATGCTTGTGCTCCTGCCTGTGAGTCCTAGAGTCTCTTGTGAAAATATTCCTTTCTCCTAATTCATAGGTACATCTGAATCTCAGAGATAATTGCACGACTGAAATTAAACTGGTCCCAAAGATGGAAGAAAACAGGAGAAAGGGCAGGAGAACTCCCTGAATGCAGCCTCTCCGATGTGGCTCCGTATCAGAGAACACATAGGCGGTAAAATCCGGGCTTAACCTCCCAACCACCCAATGACTGCTTGGGCAGGTGAATGACAACCCCACAGGGTTGTGGCTTTGTTTGGTTATAGAGATTATTATATACAACCACCTAATATATGGTAGGTATTTGATAAATGATTGAACCTTTTAATCTGCCTTTTCAGCCCAAGAAGCATGTTTGTAATTGCCATTACAAGGTGGTTGGGCATTTCCGAGGCTCGTTACCATTGACTGGGCACCACCAGCTTGCTGGGTAGCTGCTCCTATCTGAGTCATGCATGGTAGCCCTGGCTAAATAAACAAACTGACCTGGAATGGAAAGCTGAAAGATAAGAGAAATGTAGCGCGTGAAACAGTCTGACACAGTTTTGATATTTGCCCTGGCCCAAATCTCATGTTGAAATGTAATTCCCAACTTTGGAGGTGGGGCCTGGGGAGGTGTTTGGATCATGGGGGTGGATTCCTCATGAATGGCTCGGGCTATGCCCTTGGCGATAAGTGAGCTCTCGCTCTGAGTTCACACGAGATCTGGTCATTTAAAAGTGTGTGGGACCTCCCTCTGCCCCCACCCTCAATCTCACTTGCTCCTGCTTTTGCCGTGTGACATGCCTGCCCCCGCTTCACCTTCCGCCATGATTGTAAGATTCCTGAGGCCTCCCCAGAAGTCGAGAAGATGTCGGCATCACGCTTCCTATACAGCCTGCAGAACTGTGAGCCAGTGAAACCTCTTTTCTTGATAAGTTACCCAGTATCAGGTATTTCTTTACAGCAATGTAAGAACGGCCTAACACACAGTCATTGATGCAAAAACAAGTGACTAGTTAATGATGTTAATTCTCTTGATGACTTCTCTTTCCTTTTTTTCTTTCTTTTTTTTTTTTTTTTTTGTTTGAGACGGCGTTTCGCTCTTGTTGCCCAGGCTGGAGTGCAGTAGTGCCATCTCGGCTCACCACAACCTCCACCTCCCGGGTTCAGATGATTCTCCTGCCTCAGACTCCCGAGTACCAGGGATTAGAGGCATGTGCCATCACGCCCGGTTAATTTTGTAATTTTAGTAGAGATGGGGTTTCTCCATGTTGGTCAGGCTGGTCTCGAACTCCTGACCTCAGGTGATCTGCCCGCCTAGGCCTCCCAAAATGCTGGGGTTACAGGCGTGAGCCAACGCTCCCAGCCCCTCTTCATGATTTCTAATTGTAGAAAGCAACAAATGAAGATGCAGTAAAGAGACACACACACACACATATACACACACACATATGCACACATTCCTGGTTCAAATTAAGCACTCTCAGGTGTTAACTGTGAAATCAACTTATATTGCCTTTTCTCTCAGGAAGATTTTTCAAGTTTCCTCCTCTTAAGGTTTAAAAAAAAAAAGCTCCCAGGCATTGGTTACAAAGCAGTCATTAATATGCTTGCAGTTCTGCAGAGGTAAGAGAGCACCTACTCATTGGTGAGTGCTCAACCCACTAACTAGCATCTCTGTCTTTGGCAAAGAGAAGAATGATGTGTCATTCAGTAGACTTGGCTTCTCCCAGCTGAATTTTACTTTCTTTTATTCCTCTAAGTGACCTGAGTAAAATAGCAAAGCTCAGAGTTAAGCAGGCCCATATGAATATCATCAGTCTCTTTACACGTGTTTTTCTGTTTTAATTTCTTGCTAACTCCTTAGAAAAATAAACTTCACTATCTTACTAATGCCTGCTTTTCACCCAATTATCCTAGCTGTAATAAGTACTATTTCTTGAGCACATTCTATGGGCCAAACACTGGGCTGGCACATTACCTACGTGATCTCATTAAGTTTTTACAGTCACCGTTCAGAGAAACTTATGCAGCTGGGCACTGTGACTCATGCCTGTAATCACAGTACTTTGAAGGGTTGAGGTGGATGGATCGCTTGAGCTCAGGAGTTCAATACCAGCCTGGGCAACACGATGAAACCCTGTCTTTACCAAAAATACACAAAAATTAACTGGATGTGGTGGTGCCCACACCTGTCATCCCAGCTACTCAGGAGGCTGAGATGGGAGGGTCATTTTAGCCTGGAAGGTGGCAGGAAGCAGAGATCATGCCACTGCACTCCAGCCTGGGTGACAAAACAAAACCCTGTCTCAAAAACAAACAAACAAAAAAGCCAGAGAAGGTCACCCAGTCCCCTGGTGAGGCAAGAGGAACTCACATGCACTCTGAGAGCTGATTTGCGCAGTCTTACAATTAGAAATGAGCAGGGTTGACATTTGAACTCAGGTTCACCTGAATTTCTTTGTTTTTTTTTTTCTTTTCTCTCTTTTTTTTTTTTTTTTAGAGAGAGAGAGAGACAGGGTCTTACTTGGTCACCCAGGCTGGAATGCAGTGGCACAATTACGGCTCATTGTCACTGTAAACCCAACCTCATTCCTGGGCTCAAGCAATCCTCCCACCTCAGCCTCCAGAGTAGTTGGGACTATAGGTGCACCACCTTGCCAGCTAATTTTTTAATTTTTTTGTAGAGATGGGGTCTCGCTATGCTGCCCAGGCTGGTCTTGAACTCCTAGCCACTACATTTCTTTTCACTGATTGTCTTGGCTGACAACTTGGTGCTCACTTTGGAGATTAATTCCACCTTGCCCTGTACTATAAACTCAACATGTAGAGAAAGCCCAGGTCCTCCTGTGCCAGCTGAGTTTCAGCTTGTCCCCAATCCTCTCAGGGCACTCGCCTTTCTTAGTTTCTTTGCCTTCCAACCCAGACTCTGTTGAGAATAGAGCTTTGCACAAATCCATGCAGTGAGTTCCATGTGGGCTGGAACCTTTGTGCCCCTCCACTAGGTGCTCATTGTGTCCATGGTTGTTGAACTAAGCCTTGGTCTCCTCACCCATGACCTAACCCCTTTCCTAGTCTGTACAGGCTCCTGCCCTCTCACTTGCTGTCAGCCTCTGGCTGCTATCTTCCTGTATAGATCAATCACTGTTAGCTGGGCATGGTGGCTCACACCTCTAGTCACATGTACTTAGGAGTCCAAGGTGGGAGCATTGCTTGAAGCCAGGAGTTCCAGACCAGCCTGGGCAATAGAGTGAGACCCTGTCTCTATAAAAAATTAAAAAATTAGCCGGGCATGGTGGTGCACAACTGTAGTCCCAGCTACTCGGGAGGCTGAGGTGGGAGAACCACTTGAGCCCAGGAGTTCAAGGCTACAGTGAGCTATGATTGTCCCACTGCACTCTAGCCTGGGCAACAGAGCAAGACTGTCTCAAAACAAACAAACAAACAAACAAACAAAAAGAATCACTGTCCACTTTGGGCTGTTGCTCACCTGCACTGCTAACCCTGTTCCACCCGCAGCAGCCCTATGTCCTTCTCCTCTAAGCCGGTCCATGGCATGGAGGTACAGAAGCCAAGTCGGCTTACACGATGAGAGTGAATGGGAAGTAGATCCCTCCAGCCACAAGGCTTTGGGTTTTTCAGAGTGGTTAGAATAGGGCAGGCAGATGCTTCCTGCAGCTTCCATGTTGCTAAACAGTTTGCTCCTTTATTCCTTTCCTATGTCCTAGGCGCGGTCTAGACTGCTTCCACTGCTCACGGATCAATGCAGATCTGAGTGGCATGTGCATAGGGTCACCAGAATGGTAGACTTGAGGATCCTCCCCAGCTCAGAAAACTCCTATAAACACCAAAGGATAAACCTGAGGCCAGAAGACAGCCAAAACCAGCCAAGGAATGATACACAAGGCAAGCATTCTCAAAGACACAAAGCTGAGTGTGCTGGGGCTGCTGTTTCCCATCTCACTTCCAGCTTGTCTGGACAGAAGAGCCCCAGAGCTATCAGCTTCCACAGGATGAGAGAGGTTCAGACAAAGAGCAAGAGGGAGTTTGCCAGAGTGTATGACTGCTTCCAGTTTGGGGGCCGGGGTCTTTATTCATTCAGTAATTTTTACCAAGCACTTTATTTTTAAGAGATTGGCTCTTGCTCTGTCACCAAGGCTGGACTGCTGTGGCACAATCATGACTCATTGCAGCCTCGGACTCCAGGGCTCAAGTGATACCCCTGCCTCAGCCTCCCAAGGAACTAGGATTACAGGTGGGTATCACTGTGCCCAGATAATTTTTGATTTTGTTAGAGACAGGGTCTTGAACTCCTGGCCTCAAGTAATCCTCCCACCTTGGCCTCCCAAAGTGCTGGGATGACAGGTGTGAGCCACCACATCTGGCATATGGAGCATCTCTCATGTGCCAGGCCCTACTGTAGGTGTGGGGACCGAGCAGTCAATAAACAAGACCAAGTCCCTGCCCTTGGTGAGTTTATTTATTACTCGAGTAGCAGGAAAGAAACCATAAATACGTTAAAAATAAAATGACCTTTCCTGATACAGATAAATTAGTGTAAACTTAGAGAGGGCCACATGCCATGAAAAAAATACGCAGAGTGGGCCGGGCATGGTAGCGCACGTCTGTAATCCTAGCACTTTGGGAGGTTGAGGCAGGCGGATCACCTGAGGTCGGGAGTTGGAGACAAGCCTGGACAGCATGGTGAAATCCCTTCTCTACTAAAAATACAGAAATTAGCTGGGCATGGTGGCGGGCGCCTGTAATCCTGGCTACTTGGGAGGCTGAGGCAGGAGAATTGCTTGAACCTGGGAAGTGGAGGTTGCAGTGAGCCGAGATTGCGCCACTGCACTCCAGCCTGGGTGACAGAGCAAAACTCCATCTCAAAAAAAAAAAAAAAGAAAAAGAAAATACCCAGAGTGACAGGATAGCGAGACTAGGAAGGGAAGGTCCCCCGGGGAGGGGCACTGCAGCCAAGACCTAGGAGGTGTGAAGGAACCAATCACCTGAGACTCTTGGGGGATCATTCCAGGCAGAGGAAACAGCTGGAGATAGCAGAGTGGATCTGCACTAAGAAGGGGCATTTGCCCAGCTCTTGAACGATGCTGGGTGCAGATACCTAGAGGAAGAGGCGGGCATTCCCAGGAGAAAGGGGCAAGAGGAGCTCTGACAAGGGAGGGCACACACCGGCAGCAGGTAGAAGAAATCAGTGCAATGTTGGGTGGACGTGGGCAGTGGCAAGAGCTGTCAGGGAGGGCTCTGGGTCAGCTTGCTGGCTGGGATGAGCCACCCAGTGACCCCGAGTCCTCTCCAACCTGCTTCTTAGGAGAGGCTGATGCCATCCTATGAAACAAAGCAGCTACTGTGCATGCTCCGGAGGGAGCTTGGCAAAGCCGGCCGAGGGCCTGAATGTTTCCATTCTAGGGTGGTTTTGTGCCAATATATTCTGAACCCAAAATCAAGATTCTTTGTCCATCAGGTATAAGTACACTTATGCTACAGGATGGACTCTGGAGGCCAATGGATAACTCTCCTGTGCTTGCAGCCTGTGACGCAGTCCTGCTCTCAACATGTGGGTGCTGTCCACCTCCCTGACTCTGCAAAAGAAGCCACTGTCCACCCATACCCAGGTAGCTCTGCGAACAAGGTGACTAGAGCAGAGGCAGAAGAGGTTTTCGAGAGGACAAAGCCAGCAGTGGCTCAGTTGTGGAGAGAAGTGAGTCATCATGGTTAAGTAGCCAGCACGTTGTATGCACTTGCACGGTGTCAGGCCCTGTGCTCAGGGCTTTCGTCACCCGTATCCCTGCCAGTCATCCTACATAGGATAAAACAAAACCCAGCATTCTCTGGGTCAAGTTGCTTGTACATGGCAAGTCAACAAGGAGGGGACAGAATGAGGGTTTGAATTCAGTAGATCAGCCTCCTGAGACAATGTATAGAACATCTTCCCCCAAAAGAGGTATATGTTCATTAAGTTCTCCGTCATTTCCCCCTTCCTATGTCTTTAGGGATTTACTTGAAGTTCTGACATTTACTTTGAAAGTGCAACCACCCTTCTCTTGCCCCATCCCTAGTTTCCCAGGGAGGCTTCTCACCGGGTAGTACCGGCTTGCTGAATGTAGCTCAACACCGCCACCTGGTGTTGAAGGCCCACGACAAGCCCAGTGGCCACCACAGACGTGGCTGAGACCCAGTGTTCCTGACCGCTGCTTTAAAAGGTTTTGTATTTTTTTTCGTTCTGACTCCAAAAGAACATGCTCATTGTAAAACATTTCAGTATGCTTGTAGGGAGTAATTGGAAAAGCCTGCTTGCACAATAGAACGTGAAACCTCCTCTGCTTTGACCTCCATAGGGATATTTCTCTAATTATTCCTGTCCCCAAATTCCATCAAATTGTGTTTGCTTTTGTGATGACAGTATATATGTAAATTTTTTTTTTTTTTTGAGACAGTCTCGCTTTGTCACCCAGGCTGGAGTGCAATGGCGCGATCTCGGCTCACTGCAACCTCCACCTCCCAGGTTCAAGCGATTCTTGTACCTCAGTCTCGCAAGTGGCTGGGACTACAGGCATGCACCACCACACCTGGCTAATTTTTGTATTTTTAGTAGAGATGGGGTTTCATCATGTTGCCCAGTCTGGTCTCGAACCCCTGACCTCAAGTGATCTGCCTGCTTTGGCCTCCCAAAATGCTGTGATTACATGTGTGAGCCACCATGCCCAGCTTATTATAGTTATGTAGGATGATGGCTTTATTCTTAGGAGAGTCACACTAAAGTGTGTAGGGGTATGTCCCACCGTTTCTACAATTGGCTTTCAAATGGTTCAAACAAAAGAGCATACAGAGACAGAGAAAGAGAGGTAGAGAAATAGGACCACGTTAATCATTGAATCTCAGTGGGGAATATACGAGTAGGTGCTCACTGTATAGTTCTTTCAACTTTTTATACGTTTGATATTTTTCAAAATAAGAAGTCACAGCATCACTGTTGAGTGAGGAGAGAGGAGAGACAGCTGGAATGTCAAACATCCACACTTAGAAAAGCTGACATGAGTGCCCTTCCATATGAGTGGGACTCCTAGGCACTGCATGGTGCTAACGAGCAAGCTGAATGATGTGGGATGGATTCCAGCCAAGAAACTCAATGGTAGCATTAAACCTTCTTGGAGATATGCAGTCTTCCCCTGCCTGAGAAGTTCAGTGGCCCCAGCCAAACAAAACATGGTAATTCTTACACGGCATTAAATGCAATTCACCAGAGTGATTTGCAGCAAGAACCTCCTATTGACCATCATCAGTGATTCTTTGGAAGCAGAGAGGATGCAGACAAGGGGGTCCCCATGATGAATGGCTGCCAAGGCATCAGTGGAAAGGCTTGACATTTGCTCTGCAGTTTGCATTGACCTTGTCCCCAGGCACAGTTTTCCTCTTTCCTGGTTCAACTACATGGTAACAGCTCAGTTCCTTCCTCTAGTGCTGGACACAGACACATTTCTCTTCCTAGGTTCTCACCTTCATTCTCTACCAGCGGCTTTTCTAACACTTTTCTGTTTTTACACTAAAGCAGGAAATGCTAGCTCCAGCAAAGTCCACATGGAAAATAACAATAGGTGAAGAGACTCGATTAAGGTTCCCAAAGTGCTAGTTGATATCTTGTCTTGCAGGGTTGGGGCAGAGGGGAACGGGCATGTGTGGAAGAAGTAGAATGAAAAGATCTCACTAGGATCGTGGGAACCAGAGAGTGCGTCCATTTCTGAAGTTAATCGCTCCCGTCATCTGACAAATTCTTCTGGGAGACATGCATTTAACCAAAGTAAATGTTGAAAAAATTTTGCAATTGGTTCACATAATTGGAAACCCCACTGAGGGAAAAGCAGTGAAAAGGATTTTGTAATGAAGCCTCTCCTTCCCCAGATCTGCATCTTTTTGTCCCAGGCCTGCCTGCAGGGCTCCACTGTTATGATGTCATCCCTGTGAGATTTCTTGAAGGCAATTCACACTGTGTTCAAACTGGAAAGTTTTTTGCACATTTAAAAGAGGACCCTCGGCTGGGCGCGGTGGCTCACACCTGTAATCCCAGCACTTTGGTAGGCTGAGGCGGGTGGATCACCTGAGGTCAGGAGTTCAAGACCAGCCTGACCAACATGGTGAAACCCCATCTCTACAAAAATACAAAAATTAGCTGGGCATAATGACAGGTGCCTGTAATCCTGGCTACTCAGGAGGCAGAAGCAGAATTGCTTGAACTTGGGAGGTGGAGGTTGCAATGAGCCGAGATGGTTGCAGTGAGGTTGAACCTGGGAAGCAGAGGTTGCAGTGAGCCCAGGCTGCACTCCAGCCTGGGCAACAGAGTGAGACTCTATCCCAAAAAAAAAAAAAAAAAAAAAAAAAAAAAATCAACTAGACAGCCTACAGTGCTATAGAACACTTTTATTTCTCCCGTCTAGCTGTAATTTTATATCCTTTAACCAATTAATCAGTTTCTCCCTATTCCCTCTCCCCTTCCCAGCCTCTAGTAACGACTTTCTACTTCAATGATACCAACTTGTTTAGGTTCTGCATATGAGAAGTATGTATCTTTCTGTTCCTGGCTTATTTCACTTAACATAATGTCCTCCAGGGAATGACAGGATTTCATTTTTTTAATGGCCAAATAGTATTCCATTGTGTATACGTACCACACTTTTATCCATCCACTGAGAGACACTTAAGTTGATTCTCTATCTTAGCTATTGTGAATAGTGCTTGCTGCAGTAAACATGGGGTTGCAGATATCTCTGATACACGCTTTTCTTTAGGTATAGGAAATGCTACTAAAGGAATTGCTGGATCATATGGTGGTTCTATTTGTATTGTTGTTTGTTTTTTAAGACAGTGCCTTTCTGTGTGGCCCAAGCTGGAGTGCAGTGGCATGATCTTAGCCCACTGCAATCTCCGCCTCCCGGGTTCAAGCGATTCTCTTGCCTCAGCCTCCTGAGTAGCCGGGATTACAGGCATGCACCACTGTGCCCGGCCCTATTTGTAGTTTCTTAAGGAAACTCCATACCACTCTCCATAATGGCTGTACTAGTGTCACATTCCCACCAACAGTGATTGAGTTCTCTTTTCTCCAGTCCTTGCCAGCATGTTATTTTTCATCTGATAACAGTCAAAAGTGGAGTTGATATCTCGTGGCTTTGATTTCCATTTCCCTGATTAATGGTATCAAGCATTTTTTCACACCACTGTATTTTAGGTAGTATCTTTGGAACTCTTGTGCTTGTGAAGATACAGACAAGTGTAGCCTGAAACGACTCTTGACATCTTAAAAGTGAGAGCCCTCACCAACCATGGTAGTATTTTCAGCTTATCACTTTTTTAGTTCATAAAGGTAATAAAATGTCAAGGCATCAAAATGTGGGGCAAAACGTGAAATTTAAAAGGCTTATTGACAAATATCTGTTGATTCTCCAACGTGTGTTGATTCTTCTAGGTGATGGGGATACATAAGTCACAAAAATGACAAAAATCACTGTCCTTACATTCTGTTGTCCCAAGATAAAGCCCTTGAACTGCCTACAAGTGTAAGAAACAGTTCATACTAGCACACTTAGATACGCTGATCAAATTGGGCAATTAACAGAAGGCATCTTAAAAAAGGAAGCTCATTTATGGGGAAAAACAATGGCATCAAGTTCTGTTCAATCTTAATCTTCCCATCCATTGCAAAGGCAGGCAATTCTTACATCCTAGCCTTTTTCCTTTAAGATGGGTATGGGTAGTACAGATGTTTCATTAGTGACACAGCTTAGAATGTGATGAGTGCCTGGTTCCTGTTCTAGAAGTCAGAAGGGGGCTGGTTGGATGTCAAAGCATCTTCTAAACCACAGGTGAAACCTGTGAAACCAGGTGACCTAGTGAAACCAGGCCAATCTCCAACCCCCATGCCTCACCCAATCCTGGCTTTAGAAGCAGGGTCACTTCCTCCTACCAGTCCATCTCCCCAGGATTGTCGCATCAGAAGCAGCATCTCATTTCTCATTGGCTTATTTACTCCTAAAACGTGTTCCTCTTAGGAATATGCTTACTGGTCCCTCTTAGGCTATGATTACCGGTTTAGTTGGTTACCCTTGCTTAGAGACTACATATGCTAACAATTTAGGACAGGTTTGCAGTTAGGTTTTGGTGATCAATCGTAAAGTGTAATCATTTTTTTTAAAAAAATGCTACTTGCTGTTCCTCTTCCATCTCTCAAGGTGAGGGGACCAAAATCAAAACGAAGAAAAAAAATTCATTAACCTTTTTACATCTTCACAGGTTCAGATTCGTCCAAAGCCCTTTAAACATTCACAATTCACTCAACACATCTGGTGTTCTTTCGAAGAAAACCTGAGTGAAGAGTGATGGAGGTGTTTTTAGATGGTATGAGCCATCAGCAAAGGCTAAAAAACAAAAAAAGTCTCACTAAGGCTGGTCTCAAACTCAAGCTCAAGCAATCCTTCCACCTTGACCTCCCAAGTGCTAGGATTACAAGGGTAAGCCACTGCACCTGGCCCAGGAACGGCCTCTTTGAGGAGACTGATAAAGGGGCAGCAAGCTGTACCAATTTCTATCACGAGCTTTCTAGGCAGAGGAAAGCAAACCTGCAAGGAGAGACTGCAGCGATGAAAACGTGGCAATAACCAGGGGCTTGAACACGCAAGCCATGGTATGAGCTCTGGGTTTTATTCTGAGTGTGAATCATTGCAGGATTATGAACAGAACAGCCTGGTGGAGAACAGGTTGTGTGTGTGCGGAGGTGGGGTGGAGAAAACCTTGGGAGATCTGAGTAGAAGCAGAAAGGTTAGGAGGTTGTGGCAGGGATTTGGTTCAAAGATGATCGTGGATTGGACTAGAGAGGTGAACATTAAGGAAACATTTTCAAAGAGCTTGTGGGTCTTGATGGATTAAATATCGAGTGTTAGAAAAGAAGGATGACTTGATTTGGGTTTTGGGCAACTTTAACAATGATGGTGTCAATTACTAAAAAACTAAAAGAGAATAATCTGAGGCACAAACCGTGAGTTCTTTTTGGAGTGCATGCCGTGTTAAGGAAAGCATCTAAGTGGACTGTTTTTGGGAACTCAAAGAGATCAGGGCTGGAGATAATCGGGATGTAAAGTAGCACATGAAGGGGTTTTTAGAGCCAAGAGCCTGGATGAGATCTTCTAGACAGGCTGCACTTTAGGGCACTATCAAAGGTCGTGATCAGGAAAAGGAGGGTACCGCAAATTAGAGCAGGACCTAAAGAATCCCAATTTTACGTCATAATTTTCACTAAAATGTTTCAGAGACTATTGAAACACACCGACTGATTAAAATCTCAGCAGTAATCTGTATTTTAAATTTCCTTACTCAAATGCAAATTATGCATTCTAAGACTTTCAAAACACAGTTCTGAAATAACTGCACAATATAGTCAAAACATATTTATTACTTTTCAGTGTCATTTTGTACACTCCCGTACAAATACAAGAATATAGCCATATTTACAGGTATTGAAAAGAAATCTGTATATTCAAACCCAACATCTAAATACAGTAGCTGGAAGTCCTGAACTACAATAGTTCCGGTGCGCAGAGTGAATTATTTCCCGCGTTGCCCTCTCCCCTTTCAAACAGTCCCTCAAAGATATGGTGGTTTTTGAACATAATAAACTGTTTTTGGAAATGGGTAACAATTCCTGGCAAAGTTTTAAGAACCTCCTTCCCAAGATTTTACAAGTGTGAAACAAAGATTTAGAAGAAAAATAAAACTACTAATTTGGACTGTTAAAAGAAGCATAATGTCTTGAAACAGGGCTGAAGCATGTTTTTAGTCTGGAATTGCAGTCATTTTAAAATCAGGTTAGACAAGTTAGAAAAATAAAAAGCGTAGGAAAGCTGGTTCTTCAGGGGAGTCTGTAACCTTCTTTCATCAAATATATTGTTACAATACCACGACATTTTAAAAGTTTGAATAGAGACTACTGATCTTTTAAAACGGGGGGGGGGGGGGGGGGGCAGGGGGAGGGAAAGGCCACTCAAGTTCCCTAGAGGCTATTCAGTACTTCTATTTTCAAAGTATCTAAACCAAGGTACATGTTCAAATCCATAACCAACTAGATAAGGAATACTCTAGTCCAGAACATTATGCTTATTTTAATAGATATTCCCTAGTTAAGGTTAGGAGCTGGATACCTTGTATTAAGGTGCAATATTTAAAATATTTCCACAAAATTTTAGATTTTCTGTGTTTAAAAATTCACTACTGGCCAGGAGCGGTGGCTCACGCCTGTAATCCCAGCACTTTGGGAGGCCAAGGCAGGCAGATCACCTGAAGTTGGCAGTTCAAGACCAGCCTGACCAACATGGAGAAACCCCATCTCTACTAAAAATACAAAATTAGCCAGGCGTGGTGGTGCATGCCTGTAATCCCAGCTACTCGGAACGCCGAGGCAGGAGAATCGCTTGAACCCAGGAGGCAGAGGTTGCGGTGAGCCGAGATCGTGCCATTGCACTCCAGCCTGGGCAACAAGAGTGAAACTCTGTCTCAAGAAAAAAAAAAATTCACTATTAAGAAATACCAAATTAGGCATCTTCTCCTAAATATATGTGACTAATTCATTTAGGGATGTAAACTTTTTTGAAAAACAAAACATAGGTACACAGACCAGTAGACTATAAGCAAATCAAATTCAAATTTACCTAAATCACAAATTGCCATCTGATCAGGAAACATTTGCCTATTACAACAAATTGCTCACTTCTTTCCAGGAAAGATACAGTAAGGTTTCTAGCTGAACACACAGCTCTTTGGGGTTTCATTTACATGCACTAGTTAAATTCAGCAGATGTTAACAATCTCACAGAGGTATAAACATGACAATAAATTAATGACATGTCTTTTCTTACATTTAAAAAGTATCCTTAAATTACAGGAAAATATCTTCAAGATTTTAATTCCTTTTAATTACACTGGAACATTTTTGTATTTTAGAAAACACCAACACTATCGCTTACAGTTAACTTTTTGAGCTTACTGAAAAGCCTGAACATTTAACTTCCATACTTTCAATATATGCTTAAAGCACAAGAGCAATTTCAAAATTTATGTTAGCATCCGAGAATGTAGTAACATTGACATTGATGTCTAACATAAAAAATAAGCCCTTGGTGCTGCCAGTTTTGGAAGCACTTATCTGCCCCAACAGAAAAAAAAAAAAAAAAAAAATCACCAAAAAACCCTAAACCAATTTAAAGAAAAAAAAGAAGAAGAAGAAGAAACACCTTTCTAAATCAGATGGCAAGATTTTGATGGTAAAGGTTTTTTTGTGGGGGAAGAAAAGATTTTTTTCATGCGGAAACCCTTGTGATTTGATACATTACTGGCAGTGTGAAGCTAAGGCTATGTGACTAATATTTCAGCAAAGGAAAAAAAAAGTCAAGGTAATTTTATAGTAGCAATAGTTTCTTTTTTTATTTTAATATACTTTAGGAAACAATATACAAAGCTGCGCTTTCCTGCTATTTCCAGATAACAGCAGGAAGCTCCAATTACACAAATTTAGCGTTTTGTGATGGCTAAGAACAGCAGTCAGCACCAGACTTGAACAGTTAGCTACAACACAAACATCCTTCCAAATGAAATGTCATAATAGCAAGACAGGTAAACCAGGGTTTAACAAATGACAACCACTTGGGAAGTGACTTAATCATTCTTGTTGAATTTCTTATTTCATTAAATATCTCATACACAATTTCCTGTTAATACGTTTTAAACAAAACCTCCCTTAAGGAATTATTTCAATTAAGTATAAATATTCAACAAGAACAGTTCTGATAAAGAATCCCCAGGTAGTTCAAATGCTAATGTGCACTGACCGAAGGAAAAGAAAAATAACAATTTTTGTTTGTTTTAACATGTTTATTACAACAGATACAATTCACATCTGACTAGCTCTGTTTCCTCTTTCCCCTCCCACAACCACGTTCATTGGGCCATTTCCTTATATTTGAGCAATCAATGTACTTTGAGCACACATGCCTGTCCAGCAGTACTTTTAAGTCCATTCTTAACAGGGTGCAAATGGATTTCAATAATTTATACAAACAAGTAGGTTATGCTCAATCACTGCAATTTTAAGCTACTGTACACAGGAATGAAAAGGTTATAGAAAAGTGCCATAGCAACAGTGCCTTAAGAAAGGAGATAAAGAGGAGCCTTAAAAAAATGGATAAAATCAGAATTTCAGAAGGAAATGGAAACACACGGGAAATGAAAAACATTTCTCTGCAAAACAAATGGAGAAGCACTGCTCTTGATCAGGTGCAAGTGTGGAAACAGTTGTTTCATATTTTGTACACTGCCCATATGGTTCAAAATCGTATCCTTAGACACAAATCGCCTGGCGCTTGCACTGAATTTTTGAAAATGCAAGATTTCTGAATGATAAATTAACCCCCCCAATTTTTTTTTTTTTTTTTTTAAAAAAGCTAATTTTGCAGACAGGTTTACATGTAAAAGGCTAGGTATTTAGCCACCTCAGCATTGATTAGTTTTGGATGTCTAAGCTCTGTTACACATGGCTTCCCATGGCTTCACTCTACAAAACATATTTACAACGTGAAGGATACATCTACAAGAAATCTACATTTCAAGGGTTTTACAAATCAATCTTGTATCTTTCCCCTGAATTGACTCTCACAGACCCCGTCCCCTTGTCATTTCCTTTGCCCAGCTTAACGGTCCAAAGTCTACTTAAATGCAGCTCAAAAATGTTAAGATTGGGCAACAGATTTACAGTTCCTGTTCTCAAAACCATGTGCAATTATTCACATCTTCACACCATGAAGGAATTCTGATTTTTTAGCTTTTCAAGTTCCTTAATTTGTTGTCTCAAAAATAGTATCCTGAAAAAAAAAAGCAGACATTAGAACCTGTGTACATATACAAATATTACAGAAAACCCGAGCTTTTATAATTAAAATTTTTTAAATTAAAACAAGTGATTTCTAATTAAGGCAAAGAAATTTAAAAAATTATTTAACTATAAATTGGTTTACAGTTAAGACAAAGTAAACATTTAATACATAATATCTATTAAAGTATAAGGATGATGAAAGGATGTTTTAGTTTTCAAACAACTTTTTATTTTATTTTATTTTTTGAGACAGAGTCTTGCTCTGTTGCCCAGGCTAGAGGGCAGGGGTGCAATCTTGACTCACTGCAATCTCCGCCTCCCGGGTTCAAGCAATTCTCCCTGCCTCAGCCTCCTGAGTAGCTGGGATTACAGGCACCTGTCCTTACGCCCGGCTAATTTTTATATTTTTAGTAGAGACAGGGTTTTGCCATGTTGGCCAGGCTGGTCTTGAACTCCTGACCTCAGGTGATCCGCCCACCTTGGCCTCCCAAAGTGCTGGGATTACAGGCGTTAGCCACCGCGCCCAGCCTTTTCTAACAATTTCTTAATAATTCCTTTGGCTCTAACAACTTAAAATGTATTACTTTATAAACCGTATCATCACAATAAAGAAAGCAGTAGCTATTATACATGAAATAAACCTATACTGCATGTTTTCTGGCCCACTATACAGTAAAGAGTAGAATTAACCAGGTGTAAGAGATTAATCATTTAGAAGAGCAATTCTCAATGTAGATGTAGGTACATAAAAATGAAGCCAAAAACCAAAAGTTGAAACACACAAACCCCAGTTACCCAGATTCCCATGAACGTAAAAATATTTCCTGTTTTTACTCTTCTCTTCTGGGAACTATAATATTTATTGCCTGTACACATGAATTAGGCATAATCAGGCTGGCTTGATATTTGACTGTATATACTGTTTTCCTAAGATGCAATAATGAATAATTTCCCAAAAGTCGAATGATGTAACAAGCCAAAATGAAGTTTGTTAGAACTACTTTCAGAGCAATCTGACTATAAGAACCCAAGTTGTTACTCAGAGAGTACCTCCAGATATTTTAGTAACTGTAAATAAACTTACTTTTTCAAGTTGTACTATAAACTCCATTTGGTATTTACTAAATATTTATGGTTTCTTGACAAGATTCAATCGACCTGTAACTCTGTGACTTGCACAGACAGGACATAAAGCCATTGCCAAGTTTGTCCTCAATTCTGTAATAGGCATTAAAAAATAATACCTATGCTATTATTATTGTGACCTAGATATTCTACTTGAGTGAAACACTAGATTAAGAAATACAAGACAAGAGTTCAGGTGAAAAATACTAAGACAGCAGATACACTAAACTTGCTAGACAAATTCTTTCTATACTTTTCAAGGGATCTATTGATGATGCAAGGACAAATAATCTGAAATTTCAATGGAAACACCCTCAGCAAGAGAGGACATTTATAATTAGTTGTGGTCAATATTTCATTTTTTCAGTAATATATTATTGCAGCTTATGGAGTTATGAGAAAAGTCTAATGAAGCATTCATCATGGGTTAAGAGAAAATCGACAGGCTTTATCCTTCACGAGAAATATTAACTTATGAAAATGCAGTGATAGAATGTGATCAATGTATCGAAGAGAACTTTACATTTCATAAATAAAATGTGATTTACATTCTTTAGTTCGATTTAAGAATCATAATCCTGAGAAACATAAAAATATATTTCAGTGAAAGACTTACCTTTGCTCTCGCAAAGTTGCTTGAATTTCACATACTCGGACTAAAGATCTTAAATTTTTTAATTCAGTACAAATTTCGGACATGTGAATAGTTCCCATGTTATGCGCTTCTTCGCGTAATCTTGATGCCTGTAATTAAAGAAATGAAGAAAACATAAAATATAAACATTAACATACACAAAATAAAACATTAAATTTCTGAGTACAATTTTATACTAGGATTAGAGAATAATCCTTTTCCCTTCAATACACAAAAATGCTGGTGAACCTAATGGGGAAAATTAATTTGTTTTAAGAAACTGTCTCTAAGGGTGGAAGGTACTTATTTTAATATTTCTCTTCTAAGTTGGAGAAAATAGGATTTCCAACCTGAAGCTAATACAGCACTAAGAAAGGACTCATAATTTGTGGTTAATAAAAGATGCTGGGTCAGCCAAAGAGATTGTCATTTCTGCAAGTTCAGGTATTAGATATTGATTCAAGAGCCTCACTATACTCCTCTATCGTAAGACACACAACATATTCTCTGTAAACTTTCGAACACCCCAGATGGTCAGTTATCTGATAAAAAGCAAGAGGCAAATGGCAGTAACTGGAATGTCCTAAGGTCTCTCATCCCAAAGCAAAAATGTTTCCTAACTTCCAGTTGCTAGTCTAGTGAGAGAGTCATAGAAAATTAAGTGGGGTTTTTTTTTGTTTTTTTGAGACAGAGTCTCACTGTGTCACCCAGGCTGGAGTACAGTGGTGCAATCTCGGCTCACTGCAACTTCTGCCTCCTGGGTTCACGTAATTCTGGTGCCTCAGGCTCCCGAGTAGCTGTAATTACAGGTGCATGCCACCATGCCTGGCTAATTTTTATACTTGTGGTTAGAGATGGGGTTTCACCATGTTGGTCAGACTGGTCTCGAACTCCTGGCTGGCCTCAAGTGATCCACCTGCCTTGGCCTCCCAAAGTGTTGGGATTACAGGTATGAGCCACTGCGCTTGGCCAGTAGATTAACAGTGCTAATGGAATCTGAAACTATCAGAGAAGCTGAGTGGAAAAAGTACACTGGCTTTGAGCCACATCACTGTTAACTGGGTGACCCTGGGATCAAGGTCTTATGCACTATTTGGTCTTAAGGACTTCAACTCTATCTACACTGCTTAGCTGTTTTAAGAAGTAGAGAAAATAAATATAAGGCATTAAGCACTGAGCTAACTGCTGAGTACTTGACAACAGTGCCTATAATTATGTTAAAATATTTTGTAAAACCAGAAAAGTTATCTTATATATCAAATATTTTTTAAATGACTACAAAGTTAGAGATTCATTATTTTAAATATTGCTTGAATTCAGTGGTCACATTAGATTCTCTAGAAGTTGATTAAATTCTGTTTTGCTAATCATCCAAAGGTAAAATCTAGGCTGTACATAACATACCTGCTTCTCTGCATGATCTGCAGGCCATCCTTGAACGTGTTTTATGAGATTTTCACTGAAGTGTGCTGCTAGTGCAGGCGTTAATGAACACGTGGATCGGGCAGAAGAATTCTGTGGTACAACTGTTGCATTTGATGCATTACTACTATTAGAAGTATGATTGGGACCAGGTGATGGACTTCTCTGGCTACTAGAAAACAGAATTGAATGTGTAGTATGTTTAAAAGTAGTTTCTGGGTATCCTTATCCTAGAAACTGCATGTTAATACCTTTTATTAACTTAAAGATATCCAAATTCCTAAGAAAAATTTGTTATTTTAATGTCAAATAAAGAGAATTAATAATCCAAAGTATATGATTCCTCAAAACACTTTAGGGGGAAAAAACCCTTTTAACACTACTGTCAGAGTCAAATGTAAACTACTCTCCAAATCTGAGAGCAGAACCTGTTAACTTTGTGTACCACAAACACTAATAATATAACTAAAAAAAGTCACATTTTAACAGCTGTAGATGCACATCTGAAGACTGCTCATACACATCTAGATAAGGGGAAAATATATATTGCCTTTGTTCAACGTCAGAACTGCTGAATCAGAGGGTGAAATAATGTGAAGCAAAATACAGACATTTTATTGGATAGCACTGAACAAGCACAGTGGCAAAACAAAACCAAAAAAATAACACTCTGAGATTCTTTATCTTCTTTTAAAACTGAATGGTTTGGGCCAGGGTTGGGGATATGGTGGTGAGAACCAAAAAATTTAATCACCCAAGTTGATCTCCTACCTGCTTCACCAGACTTGGCTCTGAATGAATTTCAGTTATTTCCAAAAACTAAATCTCCCAAAGGATGAAGAGTTTTCATCACTGAGGATATTTAAAATAATACTGCAGCCTCTAAAAACAATTTAAAAGAAGAATTTCCCAAAAATGTTCAGAGCAATGGCAACATTGCTGGAGTAAGTAGACAGCTTCCCAAGGTCATTATTTTGAAGGGAACAACTCTCATTTGGAGGTGTAAGTTCTGAAATGCTTGTTTAGAAAACAACAATAAAAACAACAGTTGAATTATTTTGCTACCTCATAGCATGAAATAAAAAACAGGAAAATCAATCAAATGAAAACCATTCATTCAACAAATGTCATTTAAAGTTGTGTTGTTAATGAACAAAGAAAAGTGCTAACACAATACAGCAGTATAGAACTATCTAAAAAGCCATCCGTATAGGGTCACAGTTAAGCTATTGGGAAAGCCTGACATATACCAGTTGGGAAACATTGGCCCAAGTTTTAGATACCAGACTTTGGCTTTCATCAATATACTCAAACCAAAACTGCTATGAGGAGGTTAAAAAGTAAGGTAATTCCAACAAATATTGTAAAATCGTGTGCCTTTCTGGTACAAGTATCACAAATCTTTAGCCCCGTCATATTCCACTGTGTAAAATTTTAAAGAGCCACTTTCTTCAAAATAACCCGGGCTTCACTACTAGAGACAATAACCTACCTCTTGTATACAGGTTTGTCTTTGTAAATTTTACAACATGTAAGCCTACTTTAGGGTATTCATGGAGTTTAAAGGTTAAGTTCTATTTTACAGATATAATATTCAAACAATGCAGTGTACCATCATTAAATAAAACAATGTGGTCTCAATATACAATATCAACCTACCTTGAGCGCTGAAGACTTCGAGGAGAGACAGGTTCATGACCTTGCTGCTTGTCAGCAGTTACAGGCTGCTGTGTGGCTGACTGTGACACTGGTCCTTGCTTAACTACTGGAGTACTAACCTGAAATGTCAAAATCTGGTGAGATGGTCTCCAAATCTAATCCACATCTCTCCCCCCAAAATCTAGGTAATCGTCTTGAAACATGTAAAATGTGGCAGTCAAGTTCTGAAACTTAGATCTCATTTCTTTGTGAAAATGGCCCAAGGTCATAAAATTACTTCCCTATCAAACTAGGGCTGGGCGCGGTGGCTCACGCCTGTAATCCCAGCACTTTGGGAGGCCGAGGCGGGCGGATCACGAGGTCAGGAGATCGAGACCACGGTGAAACCCCGTCTCTACTAAAAATACAAAAAATTAGCCGGGCGCAGTGGCGGGCGCCTGTAGTCCCAGCTACTCGGGAGGCTGAGGCAGGAGAATGGCGTGAACCCGGAAGGCGGAGCTTGCAGTGAGCGGAGATCGCGCCACAGCACTCCCGCCTGGGCGACAGAACGAGACTCCGTCTCAAAAAAAAAAAAAGTAACTAGTTCTCCTTTACAGCTCAGTTTTCTTTCCAATACATTATTATCTCTTCTGATTTACTGTTACTTTTATATCAATAAAAGTAAATTATGTATGCTACCACATCATACACATATGGATGCTTAGATTTTAATGATATGGAGAAATATGTGATTGGGCTATCAGAAAATGAGTTATGGCCCATATAAAGTTCAACATGAGAGTTTTTCAAAGAGATGTTACTCTACAGAGGTAGACTGAAGTCCATGATTGCCAATCAGGATATGTATTATATTCAGAAGCCACATAGAGAAAAGCAGTTTAAAATATAAGCTCTAAATTGAGGCACAAAGGCAGATGGAGTCCTTTGTGATTAAGTCACACCTCACTGCTGTTTTTCTTTTGGTGGGGTGAGGGGATATGATTAATAATTCTCCCTAACAAATCTGGAATGTCCTGCTTAACTTCTGAATATTACCTATCAATTCTAGTCAAGTCTTATAAAGAACATTTTATAAGCACTACATAAAAGCTCAAATGTTCAATTATTTTAAAAACAACTTGAAGAAGTTTTTGGAACACAAAAAACGAACAGCTACCTGCTTAAAGGATTTTTTTTTTCCAGACAGGGTCTTAGTCTGGTTGCCTACTCTCAAGTGCAGAGTGACGTGATCTTGGCTCACTCCAACCTTGAATTCCCAGGCGCAGGTGATTCTCCTACCTCAGCCTCCTGAGTAGTGCACATCACCATGCCCAAGAAAGTTTTTCAGAGTTTCACTCTCTTGCCCAGGCTGGAGTGCAGTGCCGTGATCTTGGCTCAACTGCACCTCCACTTCCCAGGTCAAGTGATTCTCATGCCTCAGCCGCCCGAGTAGCTGGGATTATAGGTCTGTGCCAGCACACCCAGATAATTTTTGTACTTTTAGTAGAGACCGGGTTTTGCCTGTTGGCCAGGCTTGTTTCAAACTCTAGGCCTCAAGTGATCTGCCTGCCTCGGCCTCCCCCAGCAAATTTTCAAATTATTTTTGTAGAGATGGGGTCTTGCTATATTGCCCAGGGCCTAATTCAATCCTCCTGCCTTGGCCTCCTAAGTGCTGTAATTATAGCTGTGAGCCACCGCGCCCAGCCTTCTTAAAGGAGTTGAAATGCTCAGTTTACAAGTGACTATAAAACCAATACTACCACTTATTTCACTTTTAACCACTATTTACTATACTCTTAAAATGCCACCCTGAAGACAAGTTCTAAGCTCCAAAAATAACATCTCTTTTGCCAAAACTCACATTTTAATTCTTTCCTCCTTAAAATACTGGCAAATGATAAGGAACTGCATAATAAACTAACAACTGTAACTTGGAATTTTAAAAATCAATCTAAATTGACCCTAAAACATGCAATGATCAATGGCCAAGGTAGGGAAGGGATGAACAAACGGGAAGACTTAAAAGCTGACCAACCACCTCTTTCAAGTTATATTTCAATGCATTTTTATTTTTGGGCTTCTGCTTAATATCTTACAAAGAATTATTTGGCATTAAAAAGTCTGAAACAGCCCACTGTTTCAAAACTACTCAAAAGAAATTCCCCCTACATTTACCATTTAGACCAGCAATTTTCTAACTGCACCTATGGAGCCAACCATGTAAGATTCTGCTGGGACAAATACAGGCAATATAAGCTTAGTAAAATGGGTCCCTGTATTCACAAACACCTAGGTTTCAAATTCTGACTCTACCACAAAAACTTAACTGAGAGTTTGATTTTCTCATCTATTAAATAAAGCAAGTGATTCTCACGATGTGAAAGCTAAACATACATTAAGTTCTTAGCACAGAAACTGCCTCATTTTTGAAATACAAATATGGAAAAGTCACTGGAAAACATGTTCATTCATGTCTTTTGGAGTTTGAAAATTCTACAAATATTAAGACTCAGTATATCCTCTTTATCTCACTCTCCATGTGACAAATCCCAAAACCATTAGGGAACAGACTCAGATGGTTTATTAAAGTAGCACAGATTCAAAGCCCCCCTCTATCCCTCAGTGAACTGAGAAATTCTAGGCTGCATCTACTATCATACCTGTCATTCATTCCACCACTACACCTCATTCTCAGAGGGCTTTTTCTATAACAGATTCTAAAATGTTATTGACTTTCCAAAAGTAAGTAGTTTCTTTTCCGAATGTCCCTCAAAGGTGACATACCTTTGGCTGTGATGAAACAGGAGGAGTACTGATCAAAGGTTTGATAGGGACTGTGTTAGTTTGAGGTGTGCTTATTCTTGGAGAAACATATGATCTTGGGGATGACGCATCAGATGTTAAAGACATCGGAGACTGATTAGATGGCTGGGCTGTAAAAGAGGGAAGCAATTAATTTTAAAGAAAAACAAAACAAAACAAAAAACTAAAGTCCTTTGTAATATATGTGGCAAAGATATTTGTATTACTCTAAACCCCCCCACCCCCATATTACCCAGAGAACACTTATTGGAATAAATCAGAATCTGACCTTCTCACTGGGCCACACTGACTAAGTGAGCTGTGTGTTCAGAGGTAAGCACACCCAGTGTGGCCCACTCTCCTTTATGTGGCTGGAACAGGAAGCTAGGCCTGAACCTAATCTCACATGGAAGGCCTCCTCACCATCCTTATTTCTTCTTTCTTATTCTACATTTAGGCCCAGGTATCCCACGCAGTCTCCTGCTCATGAGGCTAGCCAGAGGGTTGCAAGAGTCTTTGCACCATTATACTTCCATTCCAGACAAGGCATTCCTGCTGTTTATCAGCTTTCTGACAAAGTGACCCTTTCACTTCCCATTTGCTCCTATGTGTATCTCTCTCCATTTGGATACCTTCATGAAGAGGGATATCTAATTCAAGGCAGAAAATGAGCATTTCCATATTATCCAGTCAAAAAACATCTAACGTCAATCTGAACCAAACTTCAACTCTTCAAATACATGCAATGTTTCACAAAGATATATGGCACATCATAGTTTACTTTCAGCTTTGGCATAAAAAAACTCATTAATAACAAAGTCTGAATTAAATACTGTCTTAAATAATTACAGATTTGATGGCAATACCTTAAGACAAATGTCAAAGCTTGCTTCATCTAAAAAGAAAGGAAATAAAAATACTACTGTATATGCCAGTGTTACAAAAAAAACAAAATTATTGTAGCTAATCTCTTAAAAAACTAAAAAAAAAAATGAAAGAAAAAACTAAATACAAAAAAGGGCTATTAATTCCAAAACAAAATCAAGATGCCATTCTAGAGATATCTAAGATGAGTAAGAATACCTTGTGTAGAGAGCTGAGCAGCTTGAGAAATCAGAGACGTTATGTTGAAAGCAGATGGTCCAGCAGTAAGAAACTTATGAATTATAGACTGCAGTGAGGCTTGTGTCACAGCTGCTGTAAGAACTAAAAACATATTATTTCATACATTCATATAAAAACAAGAGGCTTATGTGGCATTAGTAACAACCTGACAAGGAAGAGAACTCACAAGAAACTGGAATATTTCAACCTAGAACTCTCAAAATAAAAGCCTACTAGATAGGAGTAATACAATGGGTCCCAAATTTGAAATGATCTGAGGCAGAGAAAAAGAAACTTAATGGGTTTACAATAAAGGTAAACCAACAGAGTTTCTTTTACACTAATTAAGATGATCACCTGAACAAAGTCTCTCTACAAAATTTAACGAGTGTTCACAGGAACTTCCAATTATGTCAGAAACCTATTCATATGTGAGTGTTCAGTATGTTATATGGAATTAACTGGATAAACAACTGCTATTTCATGTGATTGCCCTTTTAGACAAGCTGGCCATTCAAATCCTATATCAAGATCCACCCTAATAAATCTAAAAATGGATACAAAAAAGGGAGTATTGGCCGGACATGGTAGCTCACACCCAGCACTTTGGGAGGCTGAGGCAGGTGGATCGCCTAAGGTTAGGAGTTCAAGAGCAGCCTGCCCAACATAGTGAAACCCTGTCTCTACTAAAAATACAAAAAATTAGCTGGGCATAGTGGCAGGTGCCTGTAATCCCAGCTACTAGGGAGGCTGAGGCAGGAGAATCGCTTGAACCTGGGAGGCAGAGGTTGCAGTGAGCCGGGATTGCACCACTGCACTCCAGCCTGGGCAACAAGAGCAAAAACTCCATCTCAAAAAAAAAAAAAAAAAAAAAGTATTTAGGAATACCATGTATTTTTGATGTGTAAGATATTTTATTATTGACATTAACTATTATTTCTTCAACTATTTATTTTGGAGACAGGGTTGTGCAATCACAGCTTACCATAGCCTTCACCTTCCAGGCTTAAGTTATTCTCCCACCTCAGCCTCCCAAGTAGCTGGAACTACAGGCGTTCACCACCACACCTGGCTAAGTTTTTGTATTTTTAGTAGAGATGGGGTTCACCATGTTGCCCAGGCTGGTCTGGGCTTAAGTGGCCCACCAGCCTCAGCAAGTGCTGGAATTACAGGCATGAGCCACTGCATCTGGCCTCCTCAAACTATCTAAAAGCCCCACTTTGCCTAAATGAAACATTTACCTACCACACAAGAGAACTGCGTGGTTAGAGAATAAAATAAAAATACAAAAAAATTAAGGACAGTAAGAACAGACTAATGACCAACTAGCCTGAGATAGCTTTATTTTTAGGATAAGAACTTAACCACTTAACACTACTTTTAAGTATATTATGTGAAAATGTACATAAAAATTGATCACTTTATTTTTATTTATTTTGAGATGGGGTCTTGCTCTGTCAGCCAGGTTGGAGTGTACAGGCACCATCTCAGCTCACTGCAACCTCCGTCTCCTGGGTTCAAGCGATTCTCGTACCTCAGCCTCCCGAGTAGCTGGGATTCACAGGCATGTGCCATCACGCCTGGTTAACTTTTGTATTTTTATTAGAGATAGCGTTTCACCATCTTGGTCAGGCTGGTTTCAAACTCCTGACCTCAGGTGATCCACCCGCCTCGGCCTAAAAATTTATCATTTTCAACAGAAAATTTTGCAGTGCTTTTAGGAATTAACGTGTGAATCTGAATAGTTTCCAAATTAACACATCTACTTTTATTCATACTTTTTCAAAGTGGCTGACTAAATATTCTGAAACGTAAGTAGCATTACTGAAAAGCAAGGCTGGAATTAAATAATGCAATTCACCAGGAAAAAAATGGCAACATTTTATCTAGTACCTATCTCCTCCCTTCTCAGAATTTTTTGAAAGTATTTTAAGTAGCTACCTGAATTCCTACTTTTCTAGTAATTAGCATATTTTAAATATTCTGAGTAATTATTTATACAGGTTTTTTAGAAACATACCAGAAGTTTTAATACCGATTTCAACAAACGCTCGATTGTTTTAATGTAAAATTTCACCATACACATTATGTATATAGAATGGCTTACCTCCAGTAACTACCAGACACATAACAAGTATTGAAAAATATACACAAGATCCAAGCACCACTAACTCAATTATACTACCAATGGTCTTAAACTACAGTGGATATAAATTTCCAAACTCCAAAAACAAAAAACAAAACAAAAAAAAGTGTTCAACTATAAATTTCAAAAGAAAACAAAGACCATTCCTAAACTGGGGATTTTACTACTTACATAACTTTGCACAATGCAAATAAATTTTTAAAAAACTGTTATGAAGATTTACCTTCATTTATTTTAGATATGTCCACATTAGAATTATTAAGCTGCAGCGTGGCTTGCAAAGCAGGAAGCAATTGTCTAAGAAGATTTGGGTCCTGAAGTAAGGGAGGTATTGGCGACTGTGGAACAGGAGAAACAGGGACCGCTGAAGCAGATGTTGGAGGTGCAGATGTGGGGTTCAGTCCAGAGGCAGAAGACGTGGAAGGAGTTGTGCAAGAATGTGATACGGGTTTGTCTCCTGATGTAGATTCTAAATAAAAAGATAATCAGCCTGAAAAATTACCTGAATAGAGAAAATTGGAACAAACATCAAAGGAACACCTCTCATGTGCCAGGCACCTAACGTAAGTAATCTCATTTAACCCTTACACACTGGAGCACACAGAAGATGCTCAGTAAACATTCACATGACTAGAATAATGATTTAGACATTTCTCACCCTATTTCATAGGTAAGAAAGCTGAACAAGAAAGGTTAGATAACCTGAAGCCATAAAACCTGGTAAATCATACCCATATCTGATTTGAAAAGTACCAATCTGTCTACCACCAATGCTATCTCAAAGATAATTATTTATTAACCACACATTCAAATAAGCTTCCATTAGGATAAAAGGACAATATAATTCTACAGGATTTAATTTATATCTCATGAAATAAGGTGAAAAATGTTTATGGCCACAGTAACAACCTACCTCAATAAGACACTGGTCTTAATACAAATCAGGGTAGGTACACCAAGGTGGTTACACCCAAAATGGGCTAAAGATGTGATGAGAAGAGACTTTTATACTTAATAACTGAGTTTTGTAACTACATACTTCCCTTTTGTAATTCAATATATAAGGCAATGAGCTATTTGTTTCATTTTAAGATTATTAAAAAGGACACTTTAATATTAAAAACAACCCACCTCATAGTATTTAGAAATAAAGGATGTATAAAATACGCATGGAAAATTATTTGAAAGCTGTTGTTTCAATTATTTATATAGATTTAATGTAACTGTAATCAAAGCCCCAAGAGCACTGTTAATACTATTTGACAAGCTAGTAACATAAATCCTGAAGATTCCATAACCTGAAGAAAAAGAACACTGCCAGCAGGACATGCCCTGCCAAATATAAAAACTTACATTTAAAACAAAGCCAGTTAAAGGTAGACTGAACTTTTGTGTAGGTATTTAAGTCTTTAAAACTCTTAGAGGAAAACACAGAAAGGTATCCATAACACCAAGCAGATGTGTAAAGTTACAAAAAGCAGAACAATTATATTCAAAGTAGTGGTAATCAGACTATTTAAAGAATTTCTATACGTCAAAATAGACAAACTGCCCAATAGAAAAATGTACAGAAGACATTATTTCAAAGAAGGAACTTGAATGCCTAGGAAATTCAAGAAAAGATGCTCAACTTCATTCAGAATCAGGACAATGTAAAATAAAGCAACATAACCCTTTACACTCACCATAATGCAAAAATTTTAAAGTCAGACATACCAAATGTTGGCAAAGAGTAATGAGAACATTTACTCAACATTTCTGATGGATAATAAATTGATATAACCACACTGGAAAGTAATTTGGCATTATTTAGAAAAGTTGAAGATACGAACACTACATGACCCAGTAATTCCCCTTTAGGTACACACCCTCAGTGAAACTCAGATATATGTAAATCAGGAGAAAATTCAAAGACTATCACAACAGCACTCTGTTTGCTTTTAGTATAAAACTAGAAACAACCTATTTCTTTAAGATTTTCAAGATCATATATACAGTACTAGCAAGCTTATTGAAAACAGACTCCCCTATGAGTCTTTTTACACTACTATAATGGTCGAAAGAACTAGGGATAATAGCTCTCTAAAGTGTGGATCTCACAGCTGATTTAAGTACATTTCAAAAATGTGTTGATTAACCATGATGAACTCAGAAGGACTAAGATATTTTTATTTGCGTAAGGGTATACACTTTTAAAGGAAGGTGCTTGAATCCAGCAGACTGCCTATTATTTTCAGCTTTACTGTTCTGGATTCATAGACAAGCATAAAGAAACTCAAATAAAACGATAAATGTTTTCCTTGCGAAAATTCTGCTGTCAGATGGACGTGGTGGCTCACGCCTATAATCCCAGCATTTTGCAAGGCTTGAGCCCAGGATTTCCAAGACCGGCCTGGGCAACACGGCAAAACCCCGTCTCTACTAAAAATACAAAAAATTAGCCAGCTGTGGTGGCTTGCGCCTGTGGTCCCAGCTACTCAGGAAGCTGAGGTGGGAGAACCACCTGAGCCACGAAGTCGTGGCTGCATTAAGCCGTGATTCAGCCACTGCAATCTAGCCTAGGCAATGGGAGTGAGGCCCTGTCTAAAAAAAAAAAAAACCAAAAAACTGCTGTCAGCTATTGTATTTTATGGGGCAATCAATTATAGAGCATATTAGCAGTATTCTCCAGATCACATCCCTCTTAAAGGTTCTTTCACACACAACTTGGGGGCATCCTGATTAATATTAATAATGAAATAAACTCTTTATTTCTACTTACTGCATGAATTAAACTAGTATTAATATCCCCCTGAAATTATCCTCATTCTTTGTTATTTCTGTAAATTTTCTTCTGCTTTTAACAGAAACAAGTTGGAGAAGAAAGTGCAAGGTGTTTACAATTTTATTTGGTGCTACCAAATCTACGAGACATGAAAATTAGCAGAAGGGCTTAAAAATCCTTCAGTGTTGCTCATCAAGCCAAGCAAAAGGGAAAATACTCCAAAATAAAAAAAATACACATCATCATTAACAAAAAATAACAAAAACATCCTTAATTTCTGTTTATTTACCCCAAGGATAGACTTCTTTTGCAGTTTTGGGGAATTACAGGTGAGTAGTGTGGAAACCAGTTGATTCTACTTAATATTTATGGGACTCTTGGGCAAGTGACATCTCTGAAGGCCACAACTTCTCTATGAAAAGGTTTGATTTTATTAAACCTTTTAATAAAGGTATTAGTCCTCAACAGACTGCTCATCGGAATCACTTCTAAAGTTAAAAAACAAAACAAACCAGATACCTGGGCTCCAAGCCACATTTACTGAACGGAAGCCTGGGCATATCTAACAACTTGTAGAAGTTCTATGTGTGATTCTGGCACTACTTGCTGTTTATGCAAAAATAGACTGGAGAACCTCCAAGGTTCCTTTTAACTTTAAAAACAAACAAAAGAAAAACATAAAGCAAAATTGAAAAAATATAGCACAATGTGGAGAACTGAATTGAATAAAGATACGATCAGGGACAGAAGCGAAATCTTTTATCCATGCAGGTCTTCAGCATGCTATATTTACACTTTTTTTATTGCTCCACTCTCTCAACCAAAGACACACATACAAACGTCCTTCCAAAGCATGTTGTAAGTTATTTACATATTTCTTATGTTACATGCCTCAATCTACATGTATAATACTAAAAGCTGAGTTTAATAATACAAACATAAAATGCTATTCTGAGAGGTAGTTTTAGTTTTATCACTGAAATAGTATAAAAGGTAGAAGTTTTATATTTAAAGTGTTGATTGGGTGCCCCTCCCCTTTGGTTTGGAGTGCCCTTACACAAATCTAGTGTATTACTCAGTATCTTCTATTACATAACATTTATTATCCCTCCTTTGTACTAGGAACATGAGCTTCCTCGGGAGAGGAATTGTGTTGTATCTTTTCTTTCCTGAGATACAGTCGTTCTCTGTCACCCAGGCCGGAGCGCAGTGGCGTGATCTTGGCTCACTGCAATCTCTGCCTCCGGGTTCAAGTGATTCTCCTGCCTCAGCTGGAATTACAGGTGCATGCCACCACACCCAGCGAATTTTTTGTATTTTTAGTAGAGATGGGATTTTGCCATATTGGCCAAGCTGGTCTCGAACTCCTGGCCTCAACTGATCTGTTCACCTCGGCTTCCCAAAGTGCTGGGATTACAGGCATGAGCCACCACGCCGGGCCTTGTTGTACTTTTCTCTGTAGCCCTTGTAGAAAACAGGACTCGGCACCAAAATGGCATCAACATACACTTGCTGCCTGGGTGCCAGTTAATGACAGCATTCTTCAATACAGGTAACAGGAGCATGTACACATGCATTCGCATTTAACTTCTAGGCCAATCATCTTGATTGGCCTCAAAACTGATAATGCTAAACAATAAAAAAAAAAAAAACACCTGATAATGCTGGGAAGGTAGGCCTTACACTTCCATCGACGTAACAGTCAAAGAAAACGATGAATAGCTCATTTTATGCTATATTCATAAAGCTAAGTAACACTATGTAGAGACAAATTTAACTTAAACTTATTTTAAATAATCTTATAAAAATAAACCACCTTTTGTAAACACAAAGGCAACAAAACTTTGGAATAACTTAAAAAAAATCAGTGTACTTTTAGTATAGAAATATATATATATATACATATATATATATATATATATATATATACATACATACATATATATATTTTTTTTTTGAGACGGAGTCTTGCTCTGTCACCCAGGCTGGAGTGCAGTGGTGCAATCTCAGCTAACTGCAAGATCTGCCTCCCGGGTTCACGCCATTCTCCTGCCTCAGCCTCCCGAGTAGCTGGGACTACAGGCGCCTGCCACCTCGACCGGCTAATTTTTTGTATTTTTAGTAGAGATGGGGTTTTCACCGTGCTAGCCAGGATGGTCTCGATCTCCTGACCTCGTGGATCCACCTGCTTCAGTCTCCCAAAGTGCTGGGATTACAGGCGTGAGCTACCGCACCTGGCCTACAAATACATAATTTTAATTAACAACTTCATTTGTCTGAAACCTTTTTGTCTAATTTGTTAGGATATGAGGCTAATATGCTTAATAACATGTTTTACATGTTTGCAACAAACTGAACATAAACAGAAAATCCACATCTTTGAAAAGAGCTAAACACAAAGAATGAATTTACGTGAGAGAATGTAGTGTTTTTCATTAAAAAGTCAGTTCAATGCTTTCTTCTGCGCTTGAAGAATATATCAGCCCTACTCTCACTGCTTCAATGCAAACTTTTCCAAGCATTAAGGAAACCTAGACTACTATAGATCAAGCTCGTCCAACCCATGGGCCACGGGCCACATGAAGCCTAGGACAGCTTTGAATGTGGCTCGACACAAATTTGTAAATTTTCTTAAAACATGCAATTTTTTTAAAAGCTCATCAGCTATCATTAGTTTATTTTACGTGTGGACCAAGACAATTCTTCTTCTTCCAATGTGGCCCAGGGAAGCCAAAAGATTGGATACTCCTACTTTAAATGGTCTTTCAAAATCACTCTTTAGTAATGGAATAATATCTGGTTTTAGCTCTAGTGTTGACTTGTGTGTGCCTATGATCTTTCAAAGGATATTTTGTGATCTCTTCCTAAGCTATTTTAAACTTTCCTTCACTCTCCCATTTGACATTTCTGTGACTTGTATATCTGACCAATTATTTGATATGTGCTGTAAATATCACCCTTTGATTTTAAATTCTATGTATTTAAGAGACAAAACTTCTTAATGCTTTATAATTATAAATTATTCACTTGTATTTCCAAATTCTGCTGGGGCAGGGCAGCCTACCAAAGACTAGACGCATAAAAATCTGTTGCTATAACCTCTTTCTAGGGTTTAAAATATTATCACTTCAACTCTTGTTATAGGTACCCTTGCAAACTACTGTAAAGAGCATAAACTAAAGTCAAACTTTATTTCTTACCTATATTTTTCTGGTATCTCAAATCCTTTTCAATATACAGAAGATCTAAAATGATACTGGTAATAAGTGCACTTCTAATCATTACTTTCCTGTTGTGTTTTGACAGTTGCTGTAATACTGAGCAGGACATGGGGACACATGAAACTCAAATTACTGCTACAAAGGCAGCCTGCTTTATCTATTTTGTAATAGTGGTGTTACATGGGAAACATAGAGCAGATTATGAAGAGGTATGTAAGTGTAGTAGGAAAAAACCATAAGGTAGGTAGGTGACAACACCTAAATCTGTGACTTTAATTTTTAAATTCATATTTTTACTCATGTATCCTTCTAGAACTTAATGCATTTATAAATGTATATAAATATGCTGTTTTACAACAAAGAAAGTATTCTTTAACTTGTTTTATTCAACTGAGAAAATCTTCATGTTAATACACACAAAAGATAAGCAACTTCCAACAGATTTTGCTAAAGTGACATCCCCTACTAGCAAGACCCACTTACACACTCCCACATACTGTGCTTCCCAACATTCAATTGTTGTCATTAGTCTCAAGAGTGAAAAATATCCTCCTAGTAATCTTAATTTTCAGCATGCACTGGCAATCTTTCTCTTGCATTGTTTTTACCCTGGTAAAGTATACGCAGCATCAAACTTACTATTTTAACCATTTTACAAGTATAATGCAGTGTCTTTAAGTACATCCACATTTCTGTGCAACTATCACCACTATACGTCTCCAGAACATTTTCATCTTCCCAAACAGAAACTTAACACCCACTCCCACCCCGGACACCACCAAACAGTCCCTGGTAACTACTATTCCAGTTTCTGTCTGTATGAATTTGACCATTCTGGGTACCCTAGTATATGTGGAATCATAAAATATGTGTCCTGCTCCTGGCTTATTTCATGTAATATTCTCAAGGTTCATCCATGTTGTAGCATGTATCAGAATTTCACTCCCTTTGAAGGCTGAATATTGTATTGTTAGTCTATGTATCACGTCGTATCCTTTCATCTGCTAATGAACACTTGATTGTTTCTATCTAATGTTTGTCTGTTGTGAATTACTAGGAACACCCGCATGTAAGCATGTTTTGAGTCTCTGCCTTTCTTTTGGGTATGTATCTAGAAATGGAATTGCCAGATCCTACACATAATTCTGTTTAACTTTCTGAAGAACTGCCGAACTGTATTCCAGAGTAGCTGCATCATTTTACATTCCTACCAACAATGTACAAGGGTTTCAATTTTTTCATACCCTCCAAAACACCTATTTCCATTTTTTAATTATAATAGTCATCCTAATGGGTATTAAGTGGTATTTCATTATGGCTTTTGAATTGCATTTCCCTAATGACTAAGGAGGCTGACCATCTTTTCATGTGCTTACTGGCCACCAGGATATCTTCTTTGCAGAAATGTTTATTCGAGTCCTTTGCCCATTTATGAACCGTGTTGTTTTACATGGTTAAGCTGGACTTCTACATATATTCATTCATCCCTTATCAACATACGTGATTTACAAATATTTTCATTCTATGAATAGCATTTTCACTCCCTTTGATGTACAAGTTTTTAATACTGACGAAGTCCAATGTGCCTATTTTTTTCTTTTGTTGCCTGTGCTCTGGTTATCATATTTCAAGAAATCATGGCCAACTCCAATACCATTTAGATTTTGTTTTCTTCCAAGAGCCTCGGTGTTTTAGTTCTTAAATTTAGGTCTTTGATCCATTCTCGGTGAATTTTTGTATATGGTGCAACAGCTCTTCTCTAATTTTCTGTTCATTGGATTGTCCACTGTTCTATTGGATTGTCTTTTTCATTCTGCTTTGTATGTATCTTTTTATGTATCTTTAATGTATCCTGTTACATGTCGCAAGTATTTTCTCCTGTCTGATACTTATCTTTCAACCTTTGTTTATTGTACTTTTTATAAAGAAGTTTTAAATGTCTATGTGGTCAAATTTATTAATTTTTAAAAAGACAAATCCATTTTGGGTCTTGATGAAGACTTTCCTTACCCTCAAATTACAAACAATATTTCCTAATATTTTTTATCAGTTATTTCTTCATTAAGTTGACTAAACCTAGTTAAATTTAATGACTAAGACTAAATTCCTACACTAAGTTATTCGATTATTCAATAAATATTTGAATAACTATGGCCAATCTTTCTAACTTTTCATGAATATTTAGTAAGCCTAAAAATTATTTTAAAGCAAAGCAACTGAGTGCTGAAGTTGGCCCACTACCACTGCCAGTTAATGACCATCTACATCAGCTATAAGAGCCTAGCTTTAACACATACTGAAGTTTTTGAGTTCATTCAATTGTCATTTAGTCTACAGATAGCATAAAAACAGAAGGAAATTTTACTTCAAGTGACTGACTCACACCTCATATTAAAACGACTAGTCTGTCCTGCCCTTTACATATGGCACCAGCATGTGAGTATGTGATTATTTACACATGTTCATACGGAGAGCTAGCTTGAGATTACTAAATAGGTCTAATTCTATGGCTACTTTGTTTTGTTTTCAAATTTATCTCTGCTAATAAATCATAATTCTAAATCACTAAATAGAGAACTTACTGAATAAGGATATTAAACTCTCCTGACAACTTGGTCATAGCAAACAATAAGGACCCACGTTTCCTATTTTGTCATTTCACCAATCTAGAAGGGATGGCAGAGTTAGAGCAGGTTTAAAATGGCCATTTGGGTGCCAACTGATAAAATTCAATTTTGTATTTTTTTGGTGTATCAGACTTTCTCTACTTGTTGTATGGTGGTCCAATAAAGTGATCATACATAGATGTTCAAATGTTACCCTAACAAACAACTATAGACCTAAATGGGGTCACCTCACTCCCTTGTTTCACTCTACCTAACATCAAGACTGTTCTCTGCAAAAATAAAAGAGCTCTGCAGCTTTCTCTACCGTTCTGACTACTCATGCAGGCACAAAACTTGAATTCACCTTAGGTTCTTTCTCTCAAATGACACACTGGCATCAAACAGATCTAAATCCATTGCTGGTATGCTTTAATCAGATGCACAACACATACACAAACTTCTTTTTCTCCAAATACTTTTTTAAAAACCATGACCAGTGCAAGTGCTCCCAACTCTCAACACCTGTTCTTGTAGCATCCATCTACAACAAATATTTTAACACATAGAACATGGATGCCTATACAACATCCATTACACACATGTAGTATAGGCATCCATCCAACATTTACACACTGTTGTATAGGCATCTACAACAAATATTTACACACTGCCTATTATCTGTCAAGCACTAGGAATAGAGCAGTGGTTAAGAAAGACAAAGACTCTGCTCTTATACACAGCATCAACCACTGACATCTTTAGACACAGCTCAGCTATACTATCAGTGCTTAAGAACAACAGGCCAACCTGATTTGAACCATCAGCGCTTAATATAAATTATTTAGTTGTTAAGAAAAACCTAAACAAGTAAAATCACTAATTTTACTTGTTTTAATCATTTTAATCATCTACTGATGAGAAGAGTCAATAGAAAGCTTAATTTAAATAACATGGATGTCTCCGTTGAGAAAAAAAATATGTCAAATGGACATTTCAGAAATATGGAGAACAATCTAAATGAACAATCTAAACAGACTAAATGGAAAACAATCTGTAAAGATTAAAGTTGCTATAAAACTTATCTAAGGATGTAACAGTCTTCAATTAACATACAAGGAGAAGTACTTGGAAAGACTGCACAATTTCCCCTATAAAAACAGATAATTCCATGGTAGGTAATCGAGTTTCTTCCTACAAGTTTAAGAATACTATATATAAATTATGCACATGCTTGTGATTAGCAAACACACTTCGTGAAATTTAAACTCGAATCTACTCTGTCAGAAATTTTACATTACGAGCGTCCGAACTGACATAGATGTGCTGTATGTTATGTCTTTCATTACATTTGGTTTTGAGGAAAGAACAGTGTTGTGGAGAAGCTGCCTCTAACACCACACGTTTGAATTGGGGTAATGTTTAGGCTCTTCATTTCTAAGATAAGAGATATTACCTTCCCTCACCAGTGTTGTTTTAAGGAATAAACTAAAATGAACATAAGACAATTAGCATCAAACTGCATGGAGGGAAGGGTTAGAAGGTGAACAAAGTACAAAATACAGTAAAACATAATGTTGAGCCCTAGAGGGGATATAATCTAAGTGAAAAAACTGAAATTACAATGTTTAAGTGTTGTAACAAAAGAGTATTGGATTCAACAGGACAGCAATGAAAGAAAGAACATGTTCTATTTAGCAAAAGCTCAGGACAGGAAAGATAATGGCAAGTCCTAACAAATGTCCAAGTTTGCAACAGATGAATTACAGAGAATTAAGAGTGCAACGGATGGAGACCAAGCTAGTAAAACAGACTGCAACCATCCTGTCAAGTGCTTGCTATAATCTAAGCATGGACTTTATCATCTGGATGTTTAAAAAACCACTAGAAGTTTCTAAGCAAGGAGCCGACACAATTCAATTTAAATGGTATAATGATGCCACTGTTAAGCGGATAGACTGGGTAAGAAGATAATCAGGAGATTATTTCAAGAGAACCTGGCCAGGTACGGTGGCTCGCACCTGTAATCCCAGCACGTTGGGAGGCCAAGGCCAGAAGACTGCTTGAGGCCAAAAGTTTGAGACCAGTCTGAGCAATACAGTGATTTTTACAAATTAACAAACGGAGAGAGATGACCTGAATTTCAGTAAGTGAAATCTCCACGAAAGATTTTTACAATTAAAACAGAGAGAGAGAATCTGAATTTCAATGAGTGCTAGGAGAAAGAGCCCAAGATTTCTCAATGGGTGGGTGGGTGAGAATGTTTAAGAATAAGGCAAAGTTAGGAAGAACAGTGCTGTCAATTACTGCGAATCTAAGAATAAATTGTGGGAAAGGGAGAAATTAGGGACACACTGTATATGAGGATACGTAACAAATACTAAGAGTTTACAGAAGGTAAGTAGATACGTAAGTCTGAACTAGAACTAAAGACTTGGTAGTCATAACAGTAACAAAATGACTACCAAGGAATATGGTTAACAAGAAAAAGAACCAAACAGAGGAAAAAAGGCTGAGATGCTGATATGTAAGCAGGAAGGAACAGAAATAGGCAACTGAAGGAGTGTAGTATCACAGAAGCCAGAGAAAGAATTTCAAAAAGGAGTTAAAAAGTGTTAAATGTACAAAGGTGACATGGGATAAATACTTTCAAAGGGTCATCAGAATTTTAACTGACAAGGATTGTTAAAGTAAAATTTTCTGTGAGCAAATTGTCAAAATTATAGGAACTTAAGAAACCAAAATGTCCTATGGAAAATATATTAACTATAGCATTAATTCAGATTTCATCTCTCAATATTTCTCTTTGCAAATATGTCACAGGGTAAATCTGACATTTTATGTATGAATTTTGGTACGAACCATCTTTACCGAATTTGACATTTGGAACAAGCAATAATCTGACACATTATGCACTGTATGATATATATACTAAAGTATATGGTTGAATAACAAGGAAAATTCAAATAACATGTATAATACATATGCATGTATTACATGCATATAACATGTAATAAGAAAATTTCAAATAAAATGTATTTATAGTTGAGTTTCTGCTCAACTATAAATATTAGTCTCTATTAATCTAGATTTTAAGGGGGCTACAAGTTCTTTTTTAGGATTCTTTAAAATCACACTGTAGTTCAAGGAGAGAGGAAATCAGAAACAAAAGAAATCCAACTATTTGAGCCCTTTTGTCAACAAATTGAATCAATGTGAATTAATGTATCAAGCCTCTCCTAAACCCACAGCACATTTAAAAGCGCATCAACACTTACTAATGGTCTGCTAATGGATCTACCTGTGACAATTTATTTACTACATTTTAATTTCCTTAGATTCTTAAAACATACTATGAAGTACAAGTTTCAGATTGTGAATGGTCTATGCAAATTTTATCACACTGCTTATGTTGTGTCACACCTTCCAAGTAGTTGTTCTTAAATTTTTCTGTAACTTTTTAAACATGCTATGATTATTGACACTGAGTTGGATAAACGCAATTTGGGTTGCAACGTTTAACTTCCACTCTTCAGACTTAAGGTCCAATTCAGACATTAACACGCCTTATCTTATGGCCCACAACTTAATTTTCTAATCACAAACTGAAACCAATAATGAAATGTTATACAGACATTAGTTTTAAAATACCTCTATTTATATTAAGTATTAAGAGAAAACTGAGACGATTTATAAACTAAACTGTCAAGACAATGATCACAAAAACAGAAAATTGAAGAGACAGTTACTTGACTTTAACAAATTACTTAAACCATTATTGTTATAAATTAAGCACTTGACTTAAAATTCAGAGGCAAGAAACAGTTCTGAGGCTGGATAATTATAAATTAAAGAAAAAAGCTAAATATTGCTAACTCTACACCTAACTCTACACAGAAACATTCTAAAAGACTTTTTTAAAAATTTATAATTCAGAGCCAAAGGAAATAATGTAATATATAAGAAACTTAGAAGAAACTTAGAAACTATAGTTCAACGTGCAGCATCTAGTAATAATGGCATACCTTTTCTTTCTGTTTTCTGTGCAGGGACAGAAGATGTGGGTGTAGGCAGTTTTGATAAAGTAGATGCTCCATTAGCATCAAATGATTTCTTTGGCTGGTGATCAGACTGTAGCGTAAATGGACTAGAAGGAACAGTGCTTGGGGTAGCAGTTGGATGAACCACTGGTTTGATGGGGTGCTGTACTGGCGTAGAACTACTGTGAGTCTCTGCTCTTGGCAGTCTGTAGTCTCTGTCATTGTGTCTGCTTGTTTGAGACAAAATATTCTGTGGGAGCAAACTACTGGCATCACTGGAATGCTTGTCTTCCACTTTAGTTCACAGTTCGAAAAAACAGATGTTGGAATGACAGAAGGGGGAAGAAAAAAGATTACATTAGAATCCTACCTTTAACATCAGCTAATTTAGCAACATACTTGTACTTACATATTCTTTTATAAAACTGCAAACCCAGTTAGTGTCTGCAGTTTTACCACTAGCATGTAAATATGCAATACTGGAAGAGGAGGAGTTTTTGCTCAACTATAAATATTCATCTATACTCATATTTCAAGGGTGCTACACATTTTTTAAGGATTCCTTAGAATCACACTGTAGTTCAAACAAAACACAAAAAAAAAAAATCAACATATGGAGTTATAATATCTTATAAAATTTTAAAAAATGTTTTAAAGGCAGAAAAAGTAAATGCTTCGTTCTTTTACACTACAGGTCACAGATTTTAATAACTGAATTATTCACAGTGGTTCAACTGCAAAGGAATATTAGGCTTTATTAGCCTGGTCTTTCTGAATACTAAGCTACAATTAGTTGCCTCTAAAGCAGTTTATAAGAAGGCTTAAATGAAATCATTTTAAGATGACTGAAGTTATGATGAACTGTGAACACAGTAAGTAAACCAATCTGTAGTATTTTTAATGTTACAAATACCAGAGAGTTAATAAAATCATGATGCATAATGCTATCTGAAAATAGAAGTCCAACACCCGCAGCATAGTCAGAACAATCTACTTATCACTAGGTGTATTAAAAACAAATCCTCTTTCAATTTAAAGCCACAAAAATACTTTAAGCTCAGAAATACTGAAAACAGTTCAAAATCTATCAATTTAAATTCTAACACCATGATTCCACAAAACAGTACAAAAAGAACGAAAATTTCAACTATCATGTTGAAGTTCATTCAAAGTGTCCAATCTAAATTACAATATTCCCAACAATAACTAAAGAATTAAAATAACCTCCAAGGAGAGAAACGACCTAAAATCCAAGCATGTGATGTACAATAATTTTACTAAAGGATGCCCTCTCTGTTGATTATTGTATAGTTTTTTTCAATTCACAGCTCCTCCAATTGTAAAGACCAAGACAAAACAACGAAGGAGGAACATTCAAACTAGAAGTCAGTTTCAAAGCTGTCAGTACACAACCACTACATGGTACACCACAACAAAAGGTACCGGAATACCACCCAAAAAGTCAATCACATCAAAGCACGAGGTCTTCTGACAATGACTTACTACATAAAATTCCGTGTTATAAATGATACAATATAAAAATCTACAAAAATGAACAGAATACAAACATCTGTTGTATGATAGTAATATATAAGTAAGCTATCAACTTGCATGAACATAAAATTTAAAAAGTTTTATTCTACAGTTTCTACCTGCAATGAGGTACAACTAAGACAGAAACCTTTAGAGACAGACATAGCAGGAATAATATCATGCCCAACCCTGTATACAATTTTTATTTCCTCAACCAAGAAAACTTCCTTTCAGTTCTATATCGCTAGTCAAAATGTATCAAGCGTATGTACTCCAATGAAAATTAAGGATGATACTTCTAACATTTTTGAATTAAAAAAACAAAAAGGGCAGCAGCATTACAGGAACAGGGGACGCTATAGCTGTAACAGCTTTCTATACTTACAACTCTAGATAAACACAGTTAAAGCAGTGCCTGTTTGTCACCCTCCCAGAGGGTGGTGCTTTGCTTGTCCTGACTGGAGAGAGGGGAGGTATGCTACTGGCATCTAGTGAGGAGAGGCCAGTTATGGTGCTCAACAACCTACAAAACAGGAAAGCCTTCCATAACAATTACTTCACCCAAAGTGTCATTAGTGCTTCTGTTGAGAAACCCTAAGTAAGGTTTCTCTAAACATAGAGCCATCAACATATAAAGCACAGGTTTGCAAAAATAAAAATTAGTAGCAGTTAAACGCAAATTAAAAATTTTATCCATATAATTTTCAGTATCAAGTTGTGGAGAATATTAACATTTGATAAAATATTTTATTTTTTTTTTTTTGAGAGAGTCTCACTGGAGTGCAATGGCATGAATCTCGCCTCACTGAAACCTCTGCCTGCCTCAGCCTCCCACGTGGCTGGGATTACAGGCGCGCACCACCACGCCCAGCTTATTTTTGTATTTTTAGTAGAGACGGGGTTTCACCACATTGGCCGGGCTGGTCTCAAACTCTTGACTTCAGATGATCCACCCGTCTCGGCCTCCCAAAGTGCTGGGATTACAGGCATGAGCCACCGTGCCTGGCCTTTGTTAAAATATTTTAGTGCTTTACAAACACTTAATATATTGCAAAAAAACAAAAACAAAAACCTCATTAAAACCTACTTTATCTCTTTACATGTAAAAATCTTCTGAATCCTTCCCCCTCTGCCATCCCCTAAAGTTCTTTTATTGGTAGTCAAGAACAAGCTTTAAGCCATACTCTACACAAACACCAATACACCGAAACACAAGGTAACACTCTGCCAATATGTTTTGGATAGACTAAGTTAAATACTTGAATGGCTTATTCACTTTATTACTAAGTTGACCAATTTTTTAAAAAAGCAACAACACAGCTAAGGTTCTTCCTCAAACATCACCTAAACTAAAAAAAAAGTGTGATACATGACTACATTTCAACACAAGCACAGACACAATGACTCATCATTTGCCTATCTAGGAATTTAACTGAAGGCAGTAATCAGAGAAGTGGGCAGATATGAAATCATAATCTTGTTTACAGTAGGAAAAGGCTGAAAACCTCCCAAGTATTCATTGATAGGGGATTATTTGTCAATGAAGGTATACCTACGCAATCAATATAACAACTGCAGAATTATAAACAGACATAAAAACATATTCCTGACACATTGCTGAATAAAAGAACAGGTAAAAAACAGCAACACAGAATCCCATTTTTCAAATACATACATATGTAATTTGTATACACATTTATATGCATACAGAAAAAAAAGTATATATTCCAAAATGTTCCAGGGTCATGGAATTTAAAAACTTTACCTATTTACGAATATGGCCTACTTTTGAAATCATGAAGAAAAACAAGTTAAAAAGTTATTTTTATACTTATCTATCACTCATCACTCATTTTCTTTTTTCTTTTTTTTGGAGACAGAGTCTTGCTCTGTCACCCAGGCTGGAGTACAGTGGTGCAATCTCAGGTCACAGCAACCTCCACCTCCTGGGTTCAAGCGATTATCCTGTCTCAGCCTTCCGAGTGGCTGGGATTACAGGCATTCACCACCACACCTAGATAACTTTTGTATTTTAGTAGAGACGGGGTTTCACCATGTTGGCCAGGATGGGCTCGATCTCTTGACTTCGTGATCCGCCTGCCTCAGCCTCCCAAAGTGTTGGGATTACAGGTGTGAGCCATCACACCCAGCCATCTGTCACTCATTTTCTGTGCATCCCCTCCCCTGCAATTTGCTCAAAAAACCCACAAGCTGGGTGCAACTTGTTTATGTCTAGAGGAAAACCTCGGTCTCATTTTTAATTGTTTGACAAAAGTCAGTTTATTAAGATATAAAAAGAAATGGGACTAGAATCTAATTCTTCCATCTCAAAATTCAATGTTCTTTAATATGCCAACTTCAGTACTTTATACCATTAAAAAAATTATATACAATTTCACTGATTTAAAAATTTAACACTTAATCCTGCAGATGTATGTTACTGTTTCATCTTAAATATTTTCTCCCATCAAAAACTCAATAATCCCTTCTAAGACCAAATACACCCCCAACTTTTTGGTTTGAGTTATAGGAGCAGGATTGAAACATTGAAGTCTAAGAATTCCCAGAAAACATCATCTTGAAATTCTTCTCAAAATTGCAAAAGGAACCCAGGAAGTCTATGTGACAGTTAATTTTTTTTTTTTTTTTTTTTTTTTTTTGAGACAGAGTCTGACTCTGTTGCCAGGCTAGAGTGCAGTGGCAAGATCATAGCCAAATGCCAGGGCTCAAGTCATCTTCTTGCCTCAGCCTCCCAAGTGGCTGGGATTACAGCTGCGTGGTTAATTTTTAATTCTGTGGACACTGGGTCTCGCCATGTTGCACAGGCCGGTCTCAAACTCTTGGCCTCAAGCCATCCTCCTGCCTCGGCCTCCCAAAGGGCTGGGATTGCAGCAGGCATGAGCCACGGCACTGGGAGTAAATTTTATTCAAGTTAAGGGAAGCCAGTGGAAATAGAATACCTTTAATAAAGCTTCAAATTTGGAGAATGAATTACAAAATAAATGTATGTTATACAAAATTGTCCCACGAGCACAAAATTTGGCCTCAGAAGAACACTGAAGTATGCCCACGGTTTTATAGATGAAGAGCACCTTGGAACAAAAAGGTGTAAGTTTTCTAGTAGACATTTTAAAATTGTGTGGAAATTCAAACTAGAGATGTTACACAGATCTGTGATCATGGTGAAATTAGTTTCTACATACAAGGATAAACAAGTTACTCACTGGTAACATAAAAAAACAAGTAGCTATTCTGGTGTCACTGTGTGTAGCTATGATTCAATTATTAGACTAAAAGCCGGTGAGATTTGTGTCCAGTTTAATAGGACACAACTTAAGGGCAGGCAGGTAGGGTGGGAGAGGAAGCTCCTGTCTGGGGGGATCAGGGGAAACCAATCCAAAACAAAATTTTACTGTTTGCAATTCAACTCCATTATAGCCATAATGTGTAGTGGGAAACACATACCTGTACTACTCGACCGTGTATCTTTTCCCTTTTCAGGGACCAAAATGGTGGAGGGTATAATAAATCCAACATAAAAGAATCTCCGTATGTTTCTATTTATTTTAATTTACATATGTAGATGGCAATGGATACAGATTTGAAAAATAAATACGAATAAGTCAAACATACATTTCAAAGAAAAAAAATTAATACTTACTTCCACTGGCAAACCCACTAGTGGCTGTTGCTTGCATCACCTCTCTTCTGTAATCCCTATCTTTTGGGAAGCTGTTGACTGCCATCTTGTTTGCTTCTTTTTGTCTCTGTTCTCTAAAAATAAAAAAAAAGATAAACATATAAAAATTACATTAAGGGCATGAGTTTCCATACTAAACAGCTCTGGCCAAATGCCTAACAAATGGTATACAGAAAACAAAAGGAGTGAACATGGTCATAATTTAACTGGTGTGTGAGATGGAACGTAGCAAACAGAACACTAACATGTCTCACTAATGGCAAAATTATACCAATTGTTATACCACTAACGCCATAACCAAAGCTCAGCAATTTTAATTCTACATGTGAAAGAAACATTACGGCCTTATTAAACTATTAAAATTTCCATCAAAATTAAAGATGCATAAATGTAGGTATTTTATTAACTATACTGACTATTCAAAAGTCCTTTGTGGACAGCTGCCTATCTATCCTAGATTTTTTTTTTTTTTTTTTTTTTTTGAGATAGCATCTTGCTCTGTTGCTCAGGCTAGAGTGTAGTGGCACCATGATGGCTCACTGCAGCTTTGGCCTCTTAGGCTCAAGCCATCCTCCCACCTCAGCCTCTTAGTAGCTAGGACTACAAGTGCATGCTACCACTCACAGCTAACTTTTTGTAGAGGCAGGGTCTCACTATGTTGCCAGGGCTGGCCTCAAACTCCTGGGCTCAAGTGATCCTCCCGTCTTGGCCTCCCAAAGTTCTGGGATTACAGGCATGAGCCACTGCACCCAGCCAGGTTTTTTGTTTTTAAAAGTAAAGACAAACTATGGAAAACACGAAGGGGCAACCAACCACCGCAACTAAAAAGTGTAGATGGGCAGCACTATAAAAAAGCTAAATTAGAATGTTTAATGCTGTAAGATGTTAACCAGTAGAACCAAGCTAGAGAAATAATGTTTAATTAGATTAAAAGCTAATTACCTTTCAAGCCACTCTTTTGGTTTTTCCCATTGTGAAACTTCTGTTCGACAATTGTAGTAGTACTTTTTCCCAGAAGAGCTAATATGCTCAGACCAGTCATCTGCAGAATCATAAGGCTTAAAAATATATTTTTTACAATTAGAAAATGTTAATACTATTTAATCACATGAAATATCAACAACATCAAAGCACACATACAGGAAAACACTTATGAGATAAAGGTACTCTGAACTAGAATGCAATTATCTGTGTAAGTATTTATAAGACCTTAGTTTATGAAAATCTTCAAAGACAACAGAACTTTATAAAATATCAAAATTAAGCAGAATAAAAATTAGATTGTTAGGCACAGAAAGAAAACTGTGAAATTAACATCACCTTGATTTTAGAAAGCATGACAAAATCTCCCACCACAATTTTAATTGTTGAAATCCAGTAACATGGGGGTGGGGAATGCACTCTCGACTAGATGATGGCATGAAATCATCAGTTCTAAATTCTAAGGCACAATACTAATTATATATGGTATAAAAGAGAACAATCTTGCCTGTATTAACTGTTACTCAGTGAGAAAAGGAACCAAAATATGTAAACATAAACAGAAAGCTAATTAAAAGCTGTAAGTTTGTTTCACCTTCAAAATCAACAAGATGGATCAAGTACACATAAACCAGAATCTTGTTCTCATGTAATATACAGGATTAGCAGTATCACTCTTTTTCCCATAACTAAAAATGGTCTTTCAAAAATTCTCAGGTACAGTCTCTTCCAGGTAGTTTTATAGACAACGTAACATAATGAAATTAGAAAGATCTGAAAGGTCTAGTTTCCACGAAACGAATCTCACAAAGATTAGTTAAGTATCTAATTGCCCCCAGGAAATCTGGTAGAATCTCAACTATCCTGGTTGAATTCCTTATTTTTTCAAAGGAGCTTACTGAAATAACATTGATTATATTTTGTCAAATAGCTAGAAAAGAGGATTTTGAGTGTTCCCAACACAAATAAATGAGATGATATGCAAATTACTCTTTTGAACATTATAAAAATATACTGTATGTATCGAAACATCACTATGTACCCCATAAATATGTAGAATTGTCAATTTAGAAAAATTAAAAAATATTTAAAAAGATTAAACCACTTAAAAAAATGAAATAATGTACTATACTATCATAGCCTATCCTTCTGGGTTCACTGTATCGTGCCACAATTTTCAAGCTTGAGGAAATGAAGTCTTATTCACTGCCTTACCCTTGGCCCAGCTTTAATTTTAACAACTAGGAAACAAGCTGAGAGAACTTATGAGTTGTCTATAGGTCACAAAACTAATTAGTGGTTTATCAAAGGACAAAAAACTCTGGTTTCCAAATGCCTATTATTTCCACTAAATTAACACCGAGTCTGGAAATTCCCCTAATAATTCTGAAGGCAGTTGGAAAAAGATCACAGACTCTGCCATGTATTTATATGCTCAGGTTTACATCCCAAAATAATGAGGGTGGCAAAGCAGCCCTGCGCCCTCACACCTCAAAAAGCAGTGGAGAGTTAATTTTCAATCCCACTAGCTTCCAGAAGCCTACAATCAAGCTTTAGGAACCCAATCACAAAGGGCCAAATTCAGGAAGTTCTTCCCTACCACCTACTCCTCCCTATACATAAATTATTATGCAACTGATCCCTTCTACGGATGTTATCTGGAAGGCTTGGTTTGCTTGCCAAGTGGTTATGTGGAATTACTGAACTGAAGAGGTAGAATGAGATTTGAGACTAGTGGACAGAGGACACCAGAGGTCAGTATGGTCTAGGCCAGTGCTCTTCCAAGTGATGGTTTGCCAACTTATCCTGGAGGAAATAAGGAGTTTGCATTTGAATATATAAACATACTGTTTCTTTCACAGAAGTTGTGCTTTAAGGAAAAAAAAAAGTCAGCTGAACTAAACATTCTATTTAAGTGATTAACATTCTGGCACAACCTCCAGGACAGAAAGTTCACAAACCCGAGCACCGGTCTACCACACTACATTGATTTTGCCTATCAAATTCTAGATTAGTCCAAGCTGATACCTTACACTTAACAGAATTCCAGGGTAGAGCATACAATCACATACCAATAACTTTATTTTCTCCACCCCACTGCCATCCTCAAGGAGTTAAGGAAAAAGAAACCCTTCAAATTATGGGATAATTTTTACAATGCCGATGTGCAATAGCAGGTGTCAAATTTCTTAACTTTACAAAAAGAGTAACTAATATTGAGGACTTAAACGAAAGGCCTGCAAACATTTAAAGTTTTCTAGATTTGGCCTGGGATGGTTGCCAATATATGCTCTAAAGCAGCTCTCCAAGTGTTATCCAGGAAACCTTGGGGAACCCCAACAGCCTTTCACAAGACCAGAACTATTTTCATAATAATACTAACATGATTATTTTTTTCTTCCTCATTTTACCACAAGCATACAGTGAAGTTTACCCAGAGGCTCAACAAAACACTGGATGTATCATAACAGATTGAATGCAGAAGCAGATACGAAATTATGAAATTCTAAGTGTCTTTTTCTATTAAGTCAAACATTACTAAGATGTTCAATGTCTATTTTTTTAAAAATTACTTTTCACAAAGATGTTACATATGTTACCATATAATGGGTTTACAATTGATATTTTAAATGAAATGAATAATTTCCCAGTTTTAATTTTTAATATGGTAGATATTGATGAGACTCAAACTTTTTCTTTCCTTTCCGTTCTTCCCCGAGATGAGGTCTTGTTATACTGCCCAGGCTGGTTTCCAACTCCTGGGCTCAAGCGAGCCTCCCTCCTCAGTCTCCTGAGTAGCCAGGACTACAGGTGGGAAGCACCTCGCCTGGCTCAAGACTCAAAAGCTCCAAAGTATGCAGATGATACTTAGTTGATAACAAGATGAGCTGGAATATGAATGCAAACTCATACAGGATTGAACTTAAGCACATCCCAGCAAATCAAAATTGGCATAGAATATTTAGAAGGGAAAATCTCAATTACAGTGTCTTTAAATAAAAATAAGCAACATTTTTTTCCTAATTCAGAGCCCCCTTTGAAAAATCAAATATGCACAACTAATCTAAAATAATCTACAAGTCATACCATGATTTTTTTATTTTACCTTTTATTATTATTATTTTTGAAACAGGGTCTTGCTGTCGGCCAGGCTGGAGGTGCAGTGGCGCAACCATAGCTCAACGCAGCAGCCTTAACCTTCTGGGCTCAAGCAATCCTTTGCTTCAGCCTTCCAAGTAGTTGGGACCACAGGAACACACCACCACACTTAGCTATTTATTTTTTTATTTTTATTTTTTTGTAGAGACAGGCGCTTACTATGTTGCCCAGGCTGGTTTTAAACTCCAAGCCTCAAGTGATCCTCCTGCCTTGGCATTCCAAAGTGCTGGGATTATAGTTGTGAGCCACTGCGCCCAACATTCCCATGACTTTTTTGTGAAGGAGGCATTCACCAAGCTTTTCCTAATCTTTACCATAAGCCAGGCTCTGCGGTAAACACCCCACAATAAATGTTTATCAGAGGACTTAGCAGGGAAGTACATTAAATGTTAACGCCTTAATCTGATACTGAAAATAAAAGATAATTTCAACTTGGTTTTTAATAGTTAACTTGATTTTAAAAAATCACCCACATACCCAAATATCTGTGTAGATAACTCTAAAGCCAACTTTTCAGGTAAGATTAAATTTACAGTTCATAAGGGCTGTTTGTATCATTCCCACTAGGTACATTATAATGCAAAAGACCACTACTTATGCACCTACAGGTGAAATCTAGAGAAACCAGAACGCGGATTCCAGAAACACAAAACATTTTATCTATTCTAGTAATGGTCTTCAACTTTCACTCACATAATTAAGTTCCCTGACACCCTTATGATTTGAATCATTCAAGCTTATCTACGCCCATTATTTATTCTTTCTGACTTCACTGGGTTAAACCCACTGCTGTAAAATCCTAATAATCAAAGTTTGTCTTCCCTGAATGAGGTGTTTGTTTTGTTTGCATTTGTGTTTTACAAAATAAAAAAAAAACAATGCCCACAAGGGCTGCTGCTGTCCTAGGAGTAGACAAATAGCAAATCTAAACTGTCAATGACAAGTGGAACTTTAGGTTAGTGTTACTTTGTAAAGTAATAGACTGTTTTCCAGGAAAACAGGCAGATTCATTCTAAAATCCTGAATATACATCTCACTGAAAATGATTTGCCCCCCCTTCTCCCCACTTGGCCTCATCCTCCCTTCCCTACTTGGAAAAAAAAAAAAAAGAAAGGAAAAAGAAAATGACCCATCACAAATAGTTTGACGATAGCACGCGTGAAGGCTTAGCGAGCTGTTTTCTCAGTCCCAGTCCCACCCTTTGATAGTCCGCTCTGTGATGCTAGAGCTGGGACAGTGCAAATTACTCTCTATTTAGCCAGATGGCTTCCTTCCTCTTAGAAGCATTAGACGAATGAAAGGCAGGAGAAAGGAGCAGCCGCCGTTGTTACCAGCTCTCGGCTACCATCCCACCACTAGAACTAGCTTCACCATACCCTCAGAGGTATTACTACCAGCTCTGTGGGGCTCCTCCTCTATGCTACTGGGTTCTAAAACCCCAAATTCATCCGGTTGTTCAATAGCCTTGAGTGGTGATTACTGTATGTGTTACCTGAGGGTTCCTTTGTTTTTTTTCAGTATCTGCTTAACCAATCCCATATATTAAATTCTGTGTTAAAACAATTAACATGATTTTCTTTTCTTTTTTGAGACAGTCTTGCTCTGTCACCCAGGCTGGAATGCAATGGGGTGATCTTGGCTCACTGCAACCTCCGCCTCCCAGGTTCAAGTAATTCTCCTGCCTCAGCCTCCCAAGTAGCTGGGATTACAGGTGCTTGCCACCATGCCAGGATAACTTTTGTATCTTTAGTAGAGATGGGGTTTCACCATCTTGGCCTCAAGTGATCCACCCGCCTTGGCCTCCCAAGTGCTAGGATTACAGGAGCGAGCCACCGTGCCTGGCCAATAGTATAATTTTCTAAATGGACACTAATACTATCTATTTTTATCCAAATATTATCCTAATGTCTCAATTTTCTATGGAAATGTACTATCCACACTGCTTCAACAAGAAACAAAAATAAAATCTGAAGGTCTTTCAACGTCAATTAAGACATGATGATCACTCAAATACTCAAAGCAAAATCAGTTGGACTCAACCTACACCTTTGTCAGCCTTCTCATTGTTCATTCTTTCCTATATTTCCACACTGCTACCCGAGATAATTTTTTAAATTGCAAATATGATGTTATTTTACTGATTATATCCTTCAATACCTCTCCACTGCCTTATATATGTATAATTAATATTCCTTGGCATGACATAGAGCTTCTTATGATATGCCTCCCACTTACCTCTGTAACTTTAGCTCCTGCCATTTTTCCACACTGTCAAAATTCTGGCAGTTCTCTAACCGTGCTACACTATTTTACACTTCTACATCGTTGCAAGCTCTATTCCTTTGTATGCTATGAAGTCCAGAGCTCTTTTACTGCCCAAGTTTTAGTCAGCCTGTTGGGAAGCATTAGTTATACTTTACTATCTTCCTCACCCAAGCTGGGAGTCCTGTGTTGAGCACCCTCCAAAGCAACTTTAACAGGCACTATTTGTTTACTTTTCTGTCTCTACCACAGGTCCCAGAATTCCTTTAAGATGGGCCACATTCCATATATATGCAGCTTAGCATATGCCTGGTGAATTAAAACCTTATTAATTTTTTGCTGAATTAAAAATTTCATTTAAACCTATGACTTAAAATTCAAAATAAATAACTTATTTCATTAAACTAAACTTCTGAAAATATTTAAAATCCCTCACTGGGTTTCACACCCTTGTGGACAGGTAACTGTATATCCCTAGCGTCTGGGAGAGTGTGTAAGACACAGTAGATAATAAATGTATCCTATAAGGAGTTTATACACTATGGAAAGAAAGTAAGCTTAACTTAGACCACTTTAAAGAAGTTTCAGCCTGAAGTTCTTTTTATCTCAGATATCACAACAGAAAAACATTGCTTTGTACAGGAATCCTAATTAAGTAATACCAAAGATACTATCTTCTGACAACTCTTCAGTTCCATTAATAAGCTTGGCTCATTGGTTTAAAATAGGATAATAATAATATCAAATAAACACATTAAGACTGTGATTGAAACATTTTTAAAAAAAAAGACATTAGATTTTACAAGACTTGCCATGGGTTGTATTTTTTTTTTTTTTTTGCAAAAAATTCCAAAGAAACCATATTGGACATGTTTATAATACTTACTGCATCTGAAGTTTTGCTTGGGTTATTGCTTGGATTAGAAGAATGTGAATTTGAACTATGAAGAGCACTGTGGTTGTGTGAATTTTCTTGTGGAGAGTAACTGGTCCCTTAAAAAAATAAAGAACAAAGTGAATTACAAGTAAACTGTATTTCATGTTTAATCTAAACTGTTTTCTATCATACTAGATATTATTTTATATCTCTAAACGAACATCTTACATAAGCATTAGGAATATATACACAGTCATACTTTTTATAGTATATAAAGTATCTGTGAACCTACTAAAGATGTGGCTTTAAATATTATACATAGTTGTCATCCTGATATGTCCTGGAACAGCAGCATATAACAACCTTTTTGAGAGAAACAAAACCTTATCTTTATCATTTGTAGCAACTTCTGGGTTTTCTTAAAGTTTTACTGGACAAAAATAGAAGTACAATGTGCACAGAAAAAAGGCACAAGAACTCAAATGATACAGAACTAAAAGTCACTGTTATCAGTATGTTTTTGCAACTGTATTTCAATTTCTTAACAGTTTCCCCTATTTGCCTTTTAATAGTCTTGACGATTTTTCAAATAAAACAGCATCAACTTTTTTCAAGAAGTTAAAGAGTCTCAGGGAAGGTGCTCACTTATAAGATGATAAAGATGACATCAAGACTCTTTTCCTAACAGGTCCAACTCTATCTAAAAATTGCTTAAGAGTAACTCAAGTTTTATGAAAATCTGTATATGTCAGTGACCACAGAAAAAAGTTTCTCTTGCTTTAAGAAAAAGCAGGGTATAAAAATCCAGACTTGCAAAAACACTTTGATGAATGACACAAAAAGGTTCACCACAGAAGTCTAATGTTAGTATTTCAATATCATTCCTTAATTCTAGATTTTTCAGCAACAAAGTAACATAATCCAACTGGTATTTTTTTTAGTAAGTGATCTAGGAGTGGCATGGAGGCTACACTATTATGAACAAAAACTAGAAGTGCAAAGAGCAATTTAAATGCTCCAGTGGTCCAGGAATTATCAGTTAGAACCAGGGTGGATAAAAGCAGAAATGAGTTAGGAATATTATTTCAATCAATAGAAACAACTAAATGGTAAGAGGAAAGGTGAACTGAGACAGATGATGACTATAAGGTTTTAGATATCCAAGTGAAAATGGTCCGATTAATACAGAACTAGGAATTCAGAAGAAAAGGTGTTAAGTAGATGTGGATTTGGAAGTCTTTTCTATTAGAAGTCAAAGGTAGGAGAGGTGACTAACTGCTTTGCATGTAAGCAGCAGGCACTAAAAAAGTTCATGGACGAAGTAAGAGTATGACAGGAAAAAAGGCAATGGCCAAGATTTACCCTCAGATAAGGGTCTGCTTATAATGGAAACTACATGCAGATTCAAAGACTCAAGAAAGCTAGTGATGTCACAAAAGATCAAAGAGAATTACCTAAGTACAATGGTTACTTAAGAACAACGTAGGTGGTATGATAGAGGATATTTCCTAAGAAGTCTGATGGGTTCTTCTACTTATTTTGATTTCATCTTGCTGTACAGTATTCTACTTATATAGATAGAATACCCTAAACCCCCTTTTAAATAACAGGAAGCAAGAAATAAATCCTCAATAAATGCTCTATGAATGAACAGAATCAAGAAGAAATCAGTCAAAAATAAGCTGAACACTTTGGGAGGCCGAGGCAGGTGGATCACCCGAGGTCCAGGAGTTCGAGACCAGCCTGACCAACATGGTAAAACCCCATCTCTACTAAAAATACAAAAGTTAGCTGGACGTGGTGGTGTGTGCCTGTAGTCCCAGCTACTCGGGAGGCTGAGGCAGGAGCATGAGCATCACTTGAACCTGGGAGGCGAGGTTGCAGTGAGCTGAGAATTGTGCCACTGCACTCCAGCCTGGGCAACAGAGCAAGACTCTGTCTCAAAAAACAAACAAACAAACAAACAAACAAAAAGGCTGAGTATACAGGAAAAGTTAACAGAAGCCCAGAGACTGCTATCTTTAGAAAGGCTTTCTGGCACAGCTGGCCCTTGACAGACATGTGGGAATCTAGACTTCCAGAGGGATCTCACAACCCTAACTGATAAAGAGGTGAAAGAGGTGCTCACTGAGGCCAGGCACAGTGGCTTGCACTAGTCCCGACTACTGAGGAGGTAGAGGCAGGGGAATCCCTTGAGTCCAGGAGTTCGAGACCAGCCTGGGTGATATAATGAGAACCCGTCTTAAAAAAAAAAAAAAAAAAAAAAAAAAAAAAAAGAATCGCTCATTGTACCTAAGCTGTTTGGGTATATAATATGGTTTGTACTGAACACCTGCTTTCCTACTGGAGTCTGAAATTTTGGTACATGCAAGGCAAAGAGTACCTATATAACTCACCAAATCCAGTAAAAGCCGTGCACACTAAATCTCTAGTGAGCTTCCCTGGTAGACAACATTCCACAAGTGTGTCACAATTTGTTGCTGGAGGAATTAAGTGCATCCTGTATGACTCTTAGGCAAGAATTCTTAGAAGCTTACACCTGGATTCCTTCAGATTTTGCCCCATGTGCCTTTTCTCTTTGCACCTGTCCACTGTAGTAAGTCACAGTCATGATAATGACTATGTTGAGTCCTGAGAGTCTTAGAGAATCACCAAACCTCACAAATGGTTTTAGGATCCCAAAATGCTTAGTAACAAAGGAAAATTAATACTTCAAGTTTTAAAGAAAAACATGAGATCTATGCTGAAATTTCTACTTTTCAGATATAACTCCAAAGATTTTTTAAAAATCAGATTTACAACTGAATATAAGAAGTAGAACTAGTAATATGGACTACTAGAATATATATGCACTACTCGCAGAGTGGGATTTCCATGAAAATTTCCTTAAGTTTGTCGACAGTAATGGAAAAAAACCTAATCTTACTGACTGAAATAAATCCCAGAGTAATCCATTAAAAAGCCTGGGTTAGATACCCCACTCAGACATTTATTTGCACACATTCTTGAACAGTATGTTCTATGCTTAAATCTATGAAATGAAAGTGCCACATTAAAAGTTTGCTGAAAGACCTGACAGGTATTCTACAAACATAAGGTATATTACAAATGAGGTCTATTGACCTCTCTCATGAGGTTAAGATCCAGAAATTCACTCCGCTTTAGTGACTATTCCTGAAGTCAATGAAAACTCAAATACTGACAAGCATTCCAATTAATTATACCTCTAAAGAAATGGTATGCCTTCCACCAGCCTGACAGAAGTTACCAACTAACTTTTAGGTCTAGTGTATGTGTTTTCAGAAGGCACAGCATAATAATCAAGTCATAAGCATCAAGGCACACCAGCCTGACTTCTCTAAAAGAGAAAACGGAATCAGTTGTTGATGGGGAAATTATTTTCAAAGACAAGAGCTTTTTGGATAGGGACCAGATTCCACATTCTATGGAGATTTACTTAGACTGCTTATCAAAAACAAAACTTAAAATGGGTGAGGAGTAAGATAAAGATATTTTTCTGAAAGACTAAGAATAAACTAACATTCTTAAACAGATTTCAAATTCACATAAGAGGTTTTATACAAAGCATGGCAGGCAGTACATCTTTACATTCCAACTAGAAAGATGCCCTTTGGACCTGAAGGTAGTGCAGATTTGCCCCTGAATAAAATGACAATAATAAGGTAAACAAAGTTAAATGTCTCAGAATAAAAGCTTCAGCTTATATTACCTTACATACTTTCTTTGGTATTTCATTTGAGCCTCTTACTTTCTCCGTGTATCTCTTTCCAAACTGAAGTAATACACAAGTAGAAGAACAAACTGATTGTGCACATCCTTCCCAAGGCTGGGGTAATGGTGGTTATGATTTTCTAGAGCCATACCGAAAAGAAGTGCTACAACACAAAATTCCTTTTAAATCTCCTATCTTAAAATATCACATGAATTTTTATATGCGACCTCACAAGTTTTAGATTTCTTTTATTATAATACAGAATCTAAGGCTAAGAGAAAGAATATAGTAAGACTTCTGAACCTATCCAGTAAGAGCAGAATCCACGCATAAAACTTGAACTCAGAATTTCAATCCCAAATCTAGTGAGTATTCAAGCACACAAAGGAAGATAATATATACATGCTGGTGAGAGACAGAGTGCATAAAGGGTACTTTTTACTGTATAAACAGCATTGTCTCCATTGCTTCATTGGGTCACACACTGGGTCACACAATGATCCAAAAAAGCAACGGAGGCAATGCCATTTATACAGTCAAGTACCTTTATGCACTGTGTATATTACCAAGGAAAAGCTCGCTATTTAACGACAAAAAAAAAAAAAAATTCATCTACCCAAGAAATACTGTATCAGTGAGTAAGTGGGATAAAAATGTTTTTAAATGTTGTACATTTAAACCAACCTCAAGAAATTAAAGTTAGGACTGATAAAGTTAAGTCTTAAAGGAGTCTAAGAAAAGGATGCTATTGGGAATGACTTGGTTTAGGGAGAAGAGCAGGACAGATATAGGGGCTCTATACTTAAGCTTGCAACTTTAAGAACTTAAATGGTGAGCAAAATTCTCCCTTCCAGTGCTTAGCCAGGGCAAATTATAAAATGGAGATGTAACAACATGACTGGATGCTAGTTTCAGACCACCGTCCAAGGGTCGGTACAAGAGAATGACATTTTCCCTGACAAAATCTTCAGTATTTTTGACAGAATAATCCCTATTTGGCATCTTCTGAAACTTCAGAAGCTAAAATTTAAGGGTGAGAAGGACACAACCTATAGTTTCAAAGAGTGAGGGCCTAGGAAAATAATCAGAAAATGGTCCAAAAAAAATTCATCAAAACATACCTGACTCAGCGAGAAATGGACATTAAGCAATTACAATGCCCTTCCATTTACAAAAGGGAACCAGGATATTAGGAGTAGGGAAAGCAGAGGGAGGACATACAACTCTATATGATTAAATGGCAGTGGGAAAGGCAACCAGCTTTCAAAAAGGTGGAACAACAGTTTTCAGTCTACTCAGGAGCAAAATATTATGGCATTTATGTCCTTATTCAGACCCTGACAACCGCCAGAATTTATTACCAGATCCACAGACTTAGAAGTCTTAGTGTCTTTATTCTCTTTAAGACACTAAGGAAGGAACAGGTATATCTGTATACTAAATGAAATAATTCAAAGACATCTACCATCTCATATTGCTTTCAGACAAAAGCAAAAATAGGACTGAATAAAGCTCAGTAGTGGATCTGAATCTTTAGTATATTAAAAATTGTAGATCTCAAAGTTGTCTTTCTCAGAGATTCTAATTCACAGTAATTTTTAAATTTTTTTGTTTTGTTTTGTTTTGAGACAGGATCTCTCAGTTACCCAAGCTGGAATGCAGTGGCACGATCTTGACTCACTGCAACCTCTGCCTCCCGGGCTCAAGAGATCCTTGTGCCTCAGCCTCCCAAGTAGCTGGCACTACAGATATACGCTACCATGTCCCACTAATTTTTGTATTTTTAGTAGAGACGTTCACTTTGTTGGCCAGGCTATTTTCGAACTCTTGTCCTCAAGTGATCCATCCACCTGCCTTGGTCTCCCAAAGTGCTGGGACTGAAGGCAAGAGCCACCATGCCTGGCTTAATACCTGAATTTTTAATAGGCATTCCCAGGATGGTTCTAGTATAGTTAGCACCCAGGCCACACATTGGGAAACAAAGGTTTACGAAGTCAAATGGTAGAGGACACTCAACGAATCTCCCCTGAAAAGATGGCAATATGCTAAAAATAAACTGATGATCATACCCTCTTCACTTACAGAGATTATTATACTCTACAGGTCAGTACCTTCCCAAGATCTTCTTCCTCTGTTACTCTGAATGCTGTACTACCTTCCAGTGTCCTTGGCCTTTCATCACTCCTAACCAGCGGCCACAGCACTTAAAAGAGTTTCACCAAGAAAGCCACATATCTGTACTATACGGTTTTTCTGCTATAACATGATAAATGTTCGCCTTGAAAAGACTGAATTCTGCAAAACTGCATATTAAAAAGTCTTATGGGAAAAATAGAACAAAGCCGTTCAAAATTATGCAACTTTATTATCAGAGTACTAATAAAAACTTGAATAGCACAGACAAGCAGCTCAGCATGGAAATCAATTACTTTCAAGAGATAATAATGCAAAAAAAACCATTAGGATAAAAATGCAGCTATTTAGGGGTAAGAACATGGAAATGGAAGTAACTTCTGAGCATTATCCTTGACTAAAAAAAATTTGTACACACGAACCAATACAACTTTAGTTTATAATAATATCATTCTGCAATTTACCAACTGTATATCAAGAAACCTGGTGGTGAAAAGCGAAACTTATAGCTAACCAGGTTTTGTCTCTTGCGGGAGGGAAAAATGGATCACAACAAGTATCAACAATTTGACAGCTGGTTGTACAGTTACTCCCTCTACATTTGTGCTATTCAATGACAGTCACTGGCCACACATAGCTACTAAGCACTTGAAACACAGCTAGTAGGAATTGGGATTTTCTGTATGTGTAAAATAGATACTAGATTCCAAGACTTAGGTAAAAAAACAAATGCAAAATATCACATTAATATTTTTATATTGATTACATGAAGTATTTTAGCTGTATCTGGTTAAATAATAAATATAATTGAAATTCCAGATGTTGGCTACTAAAAAACTTAAAACTGCATATGAGACTCACTGGACAGCATTGCTCTCCATGAAGGTGAGCTGATATTTAGTGAAAGGGGGCCAGGGATGCCTACTGGGCATTATACATGTCTCCCAAAGAACTGTCTAACATCTGAAAACAAGCTGCTTATAATTAACTGAGTCTAGAACCAAAATCTGCTTAGCACAGCATGCTAAATTTTCCAGGAATACAGCTGCTATGCAAATTGTACTGTATAAAACTTAATTCTTTTTTACACATGAACCAATACAACTTTAGTTTATAATAAGGTCATTTTTTGGAACTTTTATCAAAATGTTCACTACTTGGAAAAATCTCACCACTGACAATAATGCTATATATATAATACATCTGCCTTATATCTGTCACAAACAAATGACATTAAGTAGATTCCTTTGTTGACAGGTTCAAACATTGAAGTGGCAGAGATAAACGCTAGATGAAACACTCAACAAATTTCATTGTTTAAAAAACAGTACTGCCGTATCTTATCTTAAATATATATATATGGCTACATATTTTTAGCACAGTGCTACAAAGAGTTTGTGAAAATTACACGTAACATTATTTCTATCTGCAGGCAGTATATGTTATTATGTATATATTACTATGGCGATTTTATACCATACAGTCATGTGCTGCTTAAAGACAAGGATACGTTCTGAGCAATATGTTGTCGAGCAATTTTGTTGTGCAAACATCCTAAGAGTGTACTAACGCAAACCTAGATGGTATAGTCTACTACACACCTTGGCTATGTGGTATAACCTATTGCTCCTAGGCTATAAATCTATACAGCCTGTAACTGTACTGAAGACTGTAGGCAACTATAATACAATGTTAGTATTTGTGTATCTAAGCATATCTAAACATAGAAAAGGTACAGTAAAAATACATTATGAGATCACCTTCACATACACAGTACTTCATTTATGGAAACATTATGCGACAGGAGAGTTTTAAAATGGGAGGCGGCACGTGCAAAAGAATGAAACTGAGTTGTGTTTGAAAAGACACTACCAGAAAGTGAAAAGACAACACATAGAATGTTGCTAATCATACATCTGGTAAGACTTTTACCTAATTCTACCAGTAAGAACTCCACAGCTCAATAAAAATAATCTGATTAAAAATGAGTAAAAAATCTGAACAAACATTTCCTCAAAGATGACATACAAATTGCCAAAGCGCATATCAAAGATGAACAATGGCATTAGCCATTGGGGAAATGCAAATCAAACCTGCAGGGAAATAACACTTCACACCCACTAGAATAGCTATAGTCAAAAAGACAGGCAAAAACAAGTGTTGGTGAGGATGCAGAAAAACTGGAACCCTCTTATACAAACTGCTAATGTGAAAGTAAAATACTGCATCTGCTTTGGCAAACAGTCTGGTAGTTCCTGAAAATGTTAAGCATAGTTATCTGTAGCCATAAAAAAGAACAAAAGCACATCATATATACAAACAAAACATTGGGTACTCGGGGACGTAAAGATGGCAACAACAGAAACTGGGGACTACTAGAAGGGGAGGAAAGGAGGAGATAAGGGTTGAAAAACTAACTGTTGGGCACTATGCTCAGTACCTGGGTGATGGGATCATTCGTACCCCAAACCTCAGCATCACTCAATATACCCAAGTAACAAATCTGCAAATGTACCCAACTAAATCTTACACAAACAAAAACTTAAAAACAGGATATCCTCTATTAGTTGAAGATATATACAAAATACTAATAATAAACAAGTACTATAATCCTGGGTTAAACAGAACATCAACATTTACCAAATAATAAGCTCTAGGTACCATTAATGTAACTTTTTCTTTGATTCATTGATTCATTCATTCATTCAAACATCTACTTGTGTACCTAAAATGTACTGGCACTATACTGGCAAACAAGAATAAAGCAGTGAAAAAGAGATGAAAAAAACCACCGACCAACCAATCAGTTATATGAGCCAGCAATCCCACGCCTAGGTACATATTCAGAAGAAATGAAAATATATGCCCAAACACTGTACATGAATATTCATAATGCATTATTCTTGGCTGGGCACAGTGGCTCACACCTGTAATCCTAGCACTTTGGGAGGCTGAGGCAAGCGGATTGCCTGAGCTCAGGAGTTTGAGACCAGCTTGGGCAACATGGTGAAACCCCGCCTCTACTAAAAATACAAAAAATTAGCTGGGTGCGGTGCTGTGTGCCTGTAGTCCCAGCTACTGAGGAGGCTGACACAGGAGAATCGCCAGAACCCGGGAGGCAGAGGCTGCAGTGAGCTGAGATTGCACCACTGCAGTCCAGCCTGGGCAACAGAATGAGACACTGTCTCAAAAACAGCAACAGGCCGTGCACACTGGCTCACTCCTGTAAGCTCAGCACTTTGGGCAGCCAAGGCAGGCGGACTGCCCGAGGTCAGGAGTTTGAGACCAGCCTGGCCAACATGGGGAAACCCCGCCTCTACTAAAAATACAAAAATAAGCCAGGTGTGGTGACGCATGCCTGTAATCCCAGCTACTTGGGAGGCAGAGGCAGGAGAATCACTGGAACCTGGGAGGCGGAGGTTGTAGTGAGCCGAGATCGTGACACTGTACACAGAGCAAGACTGTCTAAAAAAAACAAAAACAAAACAAAACAAAAAAACACATAATGCATTATTCTTAAAGTCAAAAAATAAAAACCAAATGTTTACCAATTGACAAGAAAATGTGGCATAATCATGCAACAGAATATCATTTAGCAACAAAAAGAAATGAGTACTAATACATGCTACAACATAAATGAATCTCAAAAATATGCCAAGTGAAATACCCCAGTCACAAAAGATCAAATATGGTATGAGCCCATTTATTCAAAACATTAAGAATAGACAAACCTGTCGAGACAGAAAATGCAGTAATAGTTTCTTAGAGCTGAGGGTGAGGGGGGTGTTGGGGGATGACAGTTAAAGGGTTTGTAAGTGATATAAATATTCTAAAGTTGATTTAGAACATTGGTGACTACTAACTGTGAATATATTAAAAATCAGTGAACTATACACTTCAAATGGCTGAATGGTATGGTATGTGAATTACACATAAATAAAACTTACGCCCCCACCAAAAAAAGCAATCTACTATACATGTGACTTTAATTTGTCTAGCTTAGACACAGTCCTTAATTCTTCAGTTCTCAACACCTAATCCCATGGGATGCTTTGAATAGAAAGTGGTGCACGACTGTGAATCTGGAATAAGCTGTACTGACATTCTCTTATGGCTTAAATGTACCTTATAGGCTCTGAGAATTACTGGAGTAAAATTTTAACCTAGGAAGCGAAAGCCTAAGTACTGATATGTAAAACAATATGGGTGAGCTTTGCAAACACTAAGTGAAAGAAGCCAGTCACAAAAGACCACATACTGTGTAATCAGTTTATATGACATATCCAGAAAACAAAAATCTAGAGAGACAGAAAGTAGATCAGTAATTGGGGAGTTGGGCTTTGAGAAGAAAAAATGAAAGTGACTGCTAATGGGTATACAGTAATTTTGGGGGGGAGATGACAATTGTTATGTGAATTTCATCTCGATTTTTAAAAATAATCAGGAATTCCAGACCAGCCTAGGGAAATATAGGGAGAGATTCTGTCTCTACAATAATACTAACAAATATCTTAAAAATAGAAAAAAAAATAGCCATGTAAAATATTTTTTAAAAGAGATGGCTGGTCTAACCATGTTAAGAGCCACTCCTTTAGTGAGACTAGCAATCAGGCAATCTGGGCTTCACTTCAGATTTTGCCTCTACCTAGGTGGGGGCCCACCTGTGGTCACTTGTCAAATAAGATATTGCCTGACACTGTACACAGCTGAAATAATCACAACAAAGTCTAAAATGAGATACTTATGAATGTTTCTAACTTCTTTTGACCCCTGCCATCTGACTTTTCACTAAGGAATTAGCTAAGATTTCAAGAGTAAGGTTTTTGTTGTTGTTGCTGAGACTGAGTTTCGCTCTCATCGCCAAGGCTGGAGTGCAATGGTGCAACCTTGGCTCACCGCAACCTCTGCCTCCCGGGTTCAAGCAATTCTCCTGCCTCAGCCTCCCAAGTAGCTGGGATTACAGGTGCCCACTACCACGCCAGGCTAATTTTTGTATTTTTAGTAGAGACGGGGTTTCACCATATTGCCCAGGCTGGTCTGGAACTTCTGACCTCAAGTGATCAGCCCACCTCCACCTCCCAAAGTGTGGGATTACAGGTGTGAGCCACCACACCCAGCCAAGAGTAAGATTTTTAGATCCTTTATACATTCTGTATCTACTCTCCTCTATCTCCCACTCTATTTCTTGGTCATGTTTGATTTCTCAGCTTAAATGTCACATCCTCAGAAAAGCCTTTCTTGACCACCAAATTTAAAGCAAGCCCCCATCATAGCACACATCTCTCCTTAATGGCTTTTTTTTTTTTTTTTTGGAGACAGAGTCTCACTCTGTTGCCCAGGCTGGAGTGCAGTGGTGCGATCTCGGCTCACTGCAAAATCTGCTGCCCAGGTTCAAGCAATTCTCCTGCCTCGGCCTCTCAAGTAGCTGGGATTACATGCACCTGCCACCAAGCCCGGCTAATTTTTGTACTTTTAGTAGAGATGGGGTTTCACCATCTTGGCCAGGCTGGTCTTGAACTCCTAACCTCGTGATCCACCCGCCTCGGCCTCCCAAAGTGCTGGGATTACAGGCCTGAGCCACTGTGCCTGGACAACAGCTGCTTTTATGCAGTGTAATTACATCCTATATTGCTCCCTGTTTTATTTTTAAATTAAGTAGTTATTCTAAGGGAGGAAAGCATTCCTCTGAGAGAAAAAATATAGGTTAGTGTAAAACAGTAAGTTTTATAAAAATTTATCAAATTATAATAAGATTCTAAAAGGTGAGCAAGTAATATAGCTAAAAAACTGAGTATTATCCCTTTTCCAAGCTGACTGATTAGAGTTACAAGAACAGAAGGCAAAAAGAAACAGAGGCAGGTACCTGCATACACATAGGTGTCTCCAAGTAATTTTACCTCCTGACCCTAATTAACCAAGAAGTGGATTTCAACTTTGGAAGCCACATGGAACTCACCTCTCAATCTGAAAAGGAGTGAAAATGAGCACAAAGCAATCTTCAAGTACATGCTGCGCTTTCATCTGTCTGAGTTACATTAAGATAGTAAAGTAAGGCAAGCTACAAAAATCATCTCACACAGAAGATTTCAACTTGGTACAGTAGACAACAACCTTCAGTCAAGGGACACATTATGAACAACAGCATAAAAGTAGGAAAGTACATGGTGATAAAGATTCAGAGGGCAAAGTACAACAGTCTGACAGGAACACGGTTACTGTACCTGCGATGTAACAGATGTGTAAAGCTGTTATGCTAGACTACTAAGGGGCCTTGGATACTAAACTAAAGAAAGAACAGATCTCATCTTCTGAATAACAAATTCTCAAAATTATTTACTTTTCACTTTTAAGCATTTTTCGATGCTTCTGAATAGTACTCGCGGCATCACAAAAAAGCACATGAAAAGTATATATTTAAGGGCCAGGCATGGTGGCTCACGCCTGTAATTCCAGCACTCTGGGAGGCCAAGGTGGGTGGATCACGTGAGGTCAGGAGTTCAAGACCAGCCTGGCCAACATGGCGAAACCCCAGGTGTGGTGGCGAGCGCCTGTAGTCCCAGCTACTCGAAGAGGCCAAGGCAGGAGAATCGTCTGAACCCAGGAGGCCGAGGTTGCAGTGAGCCAAGATCGCGCCACTGAACTCCAGCCTGGGTGACAGAGTGAGACTCCAACTCAAAAAAAAAAAAAAAAAAAAAAAAAAAAGTATATCTTTAAGGATAACACAACTAAAGAAGAAGAGTCTTTCTAGAAAAACAGTTATCTAATTTTTTCCCCAACTATTTAAAGCCACAGAGTTCTTTCCTTATATGGCTGGCTGTTCATCCTTCAGGTGTTAATTCATAAGTCAGCCTTTCCCTGACCAATGTAACTACTCTGCCTACGTCACTAACACTACTGTTTGAATCACTATTTCCTTATCACACAATTATCCTTTTATATATTTTATATTGTCTGTCTCTTCCACTAGAAGAGAAACTCTGAGGACAGGGATCTTCCTGACATGCCACTGGAATAATTTCATAATTACAACAGTGCCCAGATCTGACAGTACACTCCAAAATAAAATAAATGCATGAATGAAAGTCCAATACTTAAAAGCAGAGCTGCTCCTATTGCAACAGGATAGTGGGTGATTAAGGATCAACTCTTAATTCAGTCTGTTCTTAGACCCTCTGGGCTCCATACAGCATCATTTAATAATAAGGGATACAGAGAGTGTCTGCAGATGAGCTGCCGAAGGCTGGAGATAACAAATCTTAGTGTCATATCCAAGAATATAAACATCATCTATTAAATACAACTATTATAAGCATAGCAAAAAAGTTTTAAGACAACACACTATACCTGTAATACCCACTAAAAATACTTAGAATAAAAGTTGGTAACTAGTAACTTTAAAATTACTCTAGCCTCCACTCTATTATCTGTACAAAATAAAATAAATTGGAATAGTACTTTTCCCAAAAATATGTGGTATTAAAGAGAGAAAAAAGGTAGCGTATTACAGCAGAGTTACCTCAAGGAAAACTTTAAGTAAATTCTCCCTTACAGATAAGGCAATTTCAATACTGCTCATGTGTCTCAGCTGAGACATGTGCTCACAAAGCAGTATTTATTCTAAAACTCCATCTGTTTTGGGTGCTTAGTCATCCTGCTTTTATGCTGAGACAACCAGAGGTGCATTTTTGGATAGAGCCATTGATAACCCAATATTGGACACTTTTGGTGCTGTTGAACTATGAAATGGTTGTTTATTCAAGGGAAAGTACATATTGCCACACTGCCTAAACCAATTTTATACACAAAAAGAAACAGATGGAAATGTTACTTACTATAAAGTACTGTACTAAAGATAAAAACAGAATCTCAATGATTACTGGAGGGGAAGCCCCAACAAACCATATGTATGACAACATCTCTAGACATATCTCTTCACTCTCCCTTCAGTCCCAATCTTTGCATTCCCCACCAACCTCCTTGCCCAGCCACAGCTCTAGCCGAACTAGATTATAGAAGTTCACTGAGGAACTGTTTCAAACATTCAGAGATTAATTCTCAGTGTATATATGCTCCAGAAACAGATTCAATCATAAAAGTAATCAACTGCAAAATGCCGACAAACAATAGAATAAGAGAATTCACAACTATATACACCCCTTAGCACAGGAATACAAAATGGCTGAATAATCAGACTGGCAAAAATATAATTCTTAAATGTTTATGTCTTTAAAATATGCTATCAAAAGAGAGCAGTTGATAACATTCAAACAGATTTCCAACAAAGCATTAACAACTAATTGTAGGAATAGATGAATGTTTCCTTAATATGAAAAAGTTTTTGCATAATGATCATTTACCACCAGGCACAAGAACGAAATTCTCATAAATCTATTTTTACCATTATTTTTAAAAACTGCAGTACTATTTTATCTGATTTTCTATAAAGAACAGTTATTAGTATTAACAGGCTATAGAAAAACACTTAGAAAAGGTGAGTCTCCTTATAGTTTTTCTATATGTACATATTGTAACCAAAAATAGAATCATGCTACTTTGTGTGGGGATTTTTCTATTTAGTATCCAGGAACTTCTTCATTCATCAATAAATGTGCCTCTTACACCATCATTTTTAACAGCAACTCCACATGTACAATGCATATATTGTATGTAATCCACATGTACAATGCATATATTGTATGTAATCACAGGGACATATATGTTCTCTAATTACTATTTATCTGGGTGTTGGAATTCCCAACTCATATAAAAAGAACTTAGGCCGGGCACAGTGGCTCATGCCTGTAATCCCAGCACTTTGGGAGGCCAAGGTGGGCGGATCATGAGGTCAGGAGTTCAAGAGCAGCCTGGTCAGCATAGTGAAACCCCGTCTCTGTAATAAATAAGCCTGACATAAGGGGAACATCACACACCAGGGCCTGTCGTGGGGTGTGGGGAGAGGGGAGGGATAGCATTAGGAGATATACCTAATGTAAATGACAAGTTAATGGGTGCAGCACACCATGATGGAACACGTATACATATGTAACAAACCTCACGTTGTGCACATGTACCCTAGAACTTGAAGTATTAAAAAAAAAAAATTAGCCTGGCATGGTGGCGGGTGCCTGTAATCCTAGCTACTCAGGAGGCTGAGACAGGAAAATTGCTTGAACCCGGGAGGTGGAGGTTGCAGCGAGCCAAGACCGTGCCACTGCACACCAGCCCGGCTGACAGTGCAAGACTCCATCTCAAAACAACAACAACAAAAAAAGAACTTAGTATCTAATATTGAAATAATCATATGAAAGTTATCTTAAAAGACCTATTTCCAATTGACTTAAAAAGCCATTAATTCAGCAACTGGAATAATGTATTTTTGCAAACAACTCAGATGAATCCGACAGCAAACTGACACTGAAAATTACGTTAAAAGTAAACTTTCAAAAAGAAGACAGTTTGAGAATATGTTTCTGTATTTGCCCTCTATAACACCTATCAAAAATAACTAAAGGGACCAAAAAGAATATGTAATCAAATCTAACAAGGCAAGTCATAACTCAACAAACCGTCTCTGACAAATGGTTTCAAGAGACAAATTAAATCCATACTGAGGCCGGGCGAGGTGGCTCAGGCCTGTAATCCCAGTGCTTTGGGAGGCCAGGGTGGGCGGATCACTTGAGCCCAGGAGTTCGAGACCAGCTTGGGCAACATAGCGAGACCCCCATCTCTACAACGGTGTGGTGGTACCTGCCTTTAGTCTCAGCTACTTGGGAGGCTGGAGTGGGAGGATCACTTAAGCTGAGGAGGTCAAGGCTGCAGTGAGCCATGATAGTGCCACTGCACTCCAGCTTGGGCTATAAAGTGGGACCTCATCTCCATTTAAAGAAAGAAAGAAAAAAAAGAAAAGCCCACACTGAAATGCAGGAAGGTACAAGTTCCAATTCTTGTCAAGGCTACATATTTTGAAAACTTATGGCAGGCAGAAGAGGTGGGAGAGAAGGGTCATCTGTACCAATAAACTGCCTTTTTTTGGCCCAGTGATGTAGAGAATTGTCAGAAGGGAGCCCTGCGCCACCCTACATCTTTGCCTGGATCCCCAGGTGTAATCTCTAAGAAGAGACTTCATCAAATACTGTAAACCTTCAGAGTAAATATATAACCTCCTCACTTTATCACTCTCTTCCAAATAAATGCCTTTCATAGCTCTTTCCTTAACCTGGCCTCAGATTACAAACACCAAATTTTAAGGGCACAATTAAAATAGTGTCCAAAAGAGTAAGACGCAGAATCAGAGAGTATCTAATCATACTATCCACACTGGATCCACTCAAAACAAACACACACAAAGCCTGTACAGACATGGAAGTGGGGGTATACAACATAAAGAAAATATACTTCGAAAGAAATTTCAGGAAACCAAAAACTTTAGATAAAGTCCCCCCAACAAAAAAGAAAAAAAAAAAGAGCTGGAATTTAGAGGAACTTAAGGAAAAAGATGAAATTATTTAAAAATAAAACCACATTAGAAGTAGCAAAAGAATAACATGACTGAAAGCAATGTCAATCATAAGGAAACAGAACAGAGAAATACCATAAAGCACATAAGACAAAAATGTAAAGTACTTAGAGATAAGATGCCCAATATGAAAGATGAAGCCAATATATGCAAAACTGAAGGTCCTGAAAAAAAAAAAAACAGGGAGGACATTCAAGGGGATAATAAAACAAAACTTCCCTGAAATAAAAGAAGATCTGAATCTGCAGATTGAAAAGGACTCACCACATACCAGCAAAAATAAAGAACTGAAAAAAACTGACACATGTCCTCATATCCTGGTGGAGCTGCTGAATTTTACCCATTAACAAAAATTCTAAAAGCATCCCAGCAGAAGCATATCACTTACAAAACAAAAATGGGCTGACCTTGGACTTTTCCACAGTAACACTAAATGCCAGAAGACAATGGAGTAATGTCTTATGGTAAGAGAAAAAAACTGGATGTGACCCAGAAAATTATTTTCCAATCTAAGATGTCATTCATGAGTAAAAGCAATAGGAAGACATTCTCGAATACACTGGGGGAGAGGAAACTACAGAATACAGACAATCATAAGAAAAATCAACATACATTCACAAATGGAGTAGCTGTACTTTGAGGACTGACAGTGTACACCAAATCCAGCTAAACTCACCTGCTTACTGTCTGAGATCAATAGCCACTCTGATTACCATGTGCTTATTTTGACAACTTAATTTGTTTTGTGTCCAAGGACTGACATTATACAGTAAATATTTACTCAAAATATATTCCTCACACTTTTTCTATTTTTTTATAAAAACAGTCAACACTTGCCCCACCCTACTCCCAGCATATGCACACACACACGTGCACACACAATACTCACTTAACAAACATTTAATTTATTGAACATTTATTATATGCCAAAGCTGGTATAAGACACCAAAAGAGTAAGACAGAAAGTATTCTTCCCTGGAGCTTTGTCTGACTTTCCAAGCTTTATTAGGCATCAAACAAAACTGAAGTGCTTTTTAAGATTCAAGTCTCCTACGTCGTCTAAGGCAGAGTAAGTAGCCTTCAGTACTATATTTTACTCTAATTTTTTTTTAACACAATGGCAGTACTATAAGTATGAAACTTTGGTATAAATGTCAGATTCTAGATTGTGCTCCTGCTTTCTGCACACTCTAATATTTTTAAACATCTCGAAAATACAGAGTGGCAGCAAAATTACCTGTAAAAACATACTAGCTCAAGAGTTTGACAGGCTCAAAATAAATTACCTTAAATACATTAAACAAGAAGTGTATTTGTTATACAGTATGTACTGACCAAAATTAAAGTGCAGGTTGTACAGAAAGAGCTGCTTGTGTTATTTTATGAGCAAAATGAAAAGCTAATTTGGTACATTTAAAAATTAGCATCTAGCAAATTCCTTTTAAAAATTCAGGTATTTCCATAATAACCTACAGAAAAATGTAATGAGAAGACAACAGATAAAAACAGTAACAATTTATAATAATATTATTTGATAATTGATGACAATAAGTGAAGATTATTCTGCTTTTAACTGTCACTAGAACATTAAGCAGAGCTGGGTGGGGTGGTGCACACCTGTAGTCCCAGCTACTCCAGAGGCTGAGGCAAGAGGATTGCTTGAGCCCAGGAGTTCCAGGCTGCAGTGAGCTATGATTGAGCCACTGCACTCCAGCCTGGGTGACAGAACAAGACCCTATCTCTTTAAAACAAAAGTAAAAAATGTTAAGCAGCTAACCTACCATATGAATTTTGCAGTTGCACTCTTGGGAATTTATCACAGAGATACAAAAAGTTATGTTCACACAAGAATCTGTACATGAATGTTATAAGAGCTGTACTGCTAACAGCCTTAACCTGGAAACGATCCACATTTCCTTCAATGGCGTATGGTTAAACAAATTGTGGGACATTCAAACCAGCGGTTAAAACAGGAACATATAACAACTTGGATGGTTTTCAAGGCAATTTTGCTGAGTGAAAAAAAGCACATTTCAAAAGGGTAATGCTATACCATTTATACATAACACATTCCTGAAATGACAAAACTAGAGAGGCTGAGAACAGATTAGTAGTTACTAAGGGTTATGGAAGGTTAGGCTGTGCCTTTAAAAGAGTAGCACAAAGAATTCTTGTGATGGAACTGCTCTGTATCTTGACCGTGGCGGTAGTCACCTTAACGTATTCATGCAAAAAACAACAACCAACCCTGCATGGAACAAAATACAGACACACACACTGCATGCAAATCTAGTAAAATCTCAATAGAGACAATGGGGATTATCATTATCAATTTTGAGGCTGTCATAATATACTACAGCTACGCAAGGTGATGCCATTGTGGCAAACTGGATGAAGGGTATACTGAATTTCTCTGCAGTATTATTTCATAATTGCAGGTAAATCTACAATTATCTCAAAATAGATTTTTCTTCCCCTAAAAAACTAGCTAAATATAAACAGGTGAGGTTTAAACCCAAGTATAACCTTTATGTCTATTCTCCTGCCTATTAACAAGCATGAGTAGTGTGGTATTGTTCTCCTTGTCCCTAATGATAAAGACATTGTTGGTGGATGTTCTTTTGTCACTGCTCCTCAGTATCCCCACTAACATTCCTTAATTTCCACTAATGTGTTTTCATCACTCCCACTACTCCTCTAACCACCATGGCCTTCTCTGTCTTCTCTTCTTCCATCTCTATGACTTCAGTCAGCATCAAAACTTAATCCAAAAACTCATTTTTGCCTTCTAGCTACAACAACAGTATCTGACCACAGGACATTTTCCCTTCCCATTGTTCTTGTTCCTAGGGTTTTTGTTTTGTTTGGTTTTGTTTTTTTGAGACAAGGTCTGGCTCTATCGTGCAGTGGCACAATCTTGGCTCATTGCAACCTCCACCTCCTAGGCTTAAGCCTTCCTCCCACCTCAGCCTCCAGAGTTGCTGGGACTACAGGTGTACACCACCATGCCTGGCTCATTTTTGTATTTTTTGGTAAAGATGGAGTTGCCCAGCCTGGTCTCAAACTGAGCTCAAGGGATCCGCCCGCCTCAGCTTCCCAAAGTGCTGGGGTTACAGGCATGAGCCACCACACCCAGCCTTTTTCTTCTACTTTCAGATTGGATGGTGTTTCAGAAAACAAGCCTCTATTCAAATAATATTTTACTATAATTCTTGTTAAAAATACTGTATACTAAGCTGGGCACAGTGGCTCACGCTTTTAATTCCAGCACTTTGGGAGACCAAGGCAGCGGATCACGAGGTCAGGAGATCACGACCATCCTGGCCAACATGTTGAAACCCCGTCTCTACTAAAAATACAAAAAAAAAAAAAAAAAAAAAAAAAAAAAGCTGGGTGTAGGCAGCATGCACTTGTAGTCCCAGCTACTCAGGAGGCTGAGGCAGGAGAATTGCTTGAACCCAGGAGGCGGAGGCTGCAGTGAGCGGAGATCGCGCCACTGCACTCCAGCCTGGGTGACAGAGCAAAACTCCGTCTCAAAAAAACAAAAACAAAAAACAAACAAACCCACTGTATACTAAATCTCTTGTGTTGCTATCATTAAACTGCCACAAATCTAAAACATGTTGAAGAACCAAAAAGACTAAAGATACCTTATGTCAAAATATACTATAAAAATTCCCAAACTTAACTGATTACTGTTACAAAATATAGCATTTTAAGAATTCTAACAAATATTTCCTAAAATAGAGAACTATTAACTCTTTTGTTTTTCCTCTAAAACCTCACTTGTTCTACCTCCTAGAACATAATCACTAAGGTTGGCCATTAAGTGAAAATTAAGAAAAGATAGGAACACTGGGTATTACTAATCTTCCCAACTAGAAGGAAAAGAATCAAATTACTTGAAAAGAGTAATGCTAAAATGCTCGGCCACATGCGGTGACTCACACCTGTAATCCCAGCACTTTGGGAGGCCAAGGCAGGCAGATCACTTGAGGTCAGGAGTTCGAGACCACCCTGGCCAACATGGTGAAACCCTATCTCTACAAAAAATAAAATTGAATAAAAGAGTCATGCTGAAAGAGTAATATAGTTCTTTGTACCTAACTCCAAAGAGTTTTACTCAAACATAAAACACAAAAGAAAATAAAATTTTTGATCACCCGCTGCACACTAGTAATTGTTACAGATTTCACCGTTATTTATTTTTCAAGAAAATCTTTGCAGAAGGTAGTAAAAAATACATTTTTCACAGTTTGAAAAACAGCATTAAAGAAAAAAAAAGCCCAAAGCCACAAACTGGGAAGACAACCACAGGCTAGAGGTTTTGCCCTAATGCTAACTTTGTTATTTTCATTCTATCACTGTCATTAATGCACTACAATTTATACAACATCTGATATTTGGTTACAGTATAGCCATAATGTAATTAGTTTAACCTCTTCAAATAAGCACAGAATGAAATGCCTAAATGTTTTCAGCTTTATTAATGTTTACTACCTTTCTTATCTCATAAAAATATGTTCTGAAAATATATTCAAATTCAGAAACATTAATAACACTTACTAAATCACCATATCATTCAGCATCTCCTATGTGCAAAGACAATACATACCAGACCAAAAATCATGTTGTAAAATACCAGATCAATCACTATATCAGACCAAAAAATCATGGTTGTAAAATGATCAATCATTATATTTGCAACAAATTTTCAAATATTGTCACTGCTCTTAAGAAACTGGAAAAAAACACATAGAAAATCTACTAGAAAATTGGCTGGGCCTGGTGGCTGATGCCTGTAATCCCAACACTTTGGGAGGCTGAGGTGGGCGGATTACTTGAGGTCAGAGTTCGAGACCAGCCTGGCTAACATGGTGAAACCCCGTCTCTACTAAAAATATAAAAATTAGCCAGATGTGGTTGCGCACACCTACAATCCCAGCTACTCAGGAAGTTGAGGCAGGAGAATCACTTGAACTCAGGAGGCAAAGTTGCAGTGAACCAAGATGGCGCCACTGCACTCCAACCTGGGTGACAGAGCACGTGACTCCATCTCAAAAAGAAAATCTATTAGAAAACAGAACTAATCTCAGCTGTCTGTAGCATATCACAGATCATACTCAGCTCCTAGTCTCTGCACCCTACCTGCTTCTCATCCTTACCCTTCTTCCCAACAATTCCAATTCAATGAGGGTAGAGGGTGGTTGGGAAGGTGTTGATGGTTTTGGGGTGAAACGATTCCACCTCAGATAAGGCATTAGTTAGATTCTCATAAGGAGTACATAACCTAGATTCCTCGCATGCACAGTTCACAATAGGGTTCTCATGCTCCTATGAGAATCTAATGCCGTGGCTGATCTGACAGGAGGCGGAACTCCGGCTCCAATGCTTGCTCAACTGCCGCTCACCTCCTGCTGTGAAGCCTGATTGCTAACAGGCCACAGAAAGGTACTGGTCTGTGGCCCAGGGGTTAAAGACGCCGGGGTTTCAAAAAACCTGTATTATTTCACCCATTATCCCACCTAGCGAAAAAACTTAAAAGTTCCATAATCCTTTTTTCCCACAGGGTCAAATTCCATTAAATACACACGTGCTCTAATGTAAATCGTTTATGCCATCTTTAAAAAAAAAACATTTAAAAGTGAACTTTTCATTTTGGATTAAATTCTTGTCAAAGGAAAATCTGTAAAACTGCATTTTGGATAAATCCAAACTAGAAACAAGATAGTCAAATTATGGGAATGACAAAATCAGGACAATTCTGGGAAGAGAAGGGTTAGAGAATAAAATGACTGAGAACAGGTAGTACATGGGGGCTTCCTTTATGTGTAATTGAGTGGCGAGTACCCAGTTCTGGAGAGCTGTAGCTGATCATCACCTTGTATTACTGTTTGTGTAACTTGGCCATCAATATTTCATGTTAAAAGATAGAACATAAGCTAAAATATTTTGAAATATTCCCAAGTCCACTGATAACTGCTCTCCAGCAATGTCAATGCCCTCTAGGTTGCAGATTTTCAGTTATTACAGTATCTGATCTACTGGCAGACCTAGACACAGTATACACTCACATATCCTTGAGACATCCTCTTCATCTGGCATTCAGTAGACATTCTCTTCATCTGGCATTCAGTAGACATTCTCTAGGTTCTCTTCCTACCTCACATGCCACTCCTTCTCGGTCTCATTTGCTAGTCTCTCCTCATATCCTTGCCTCCTCAACATAGTAACACAGGGATCCCCCCAAAGCCTTAACTTCCTGTCTACAGCAGGAGTGTACAAATTAGGAAAATCTGCCTACTGGTCAAAGCTGGCAACACCCCTTCACTTCCATCTTGCCTGTGGCTGCTTTTACACTATATAGGCAGACTTGAATACTACTACGTTTGCAAGAGACTCTATAGCAGCAAAGCCAAAAATATTTACATGTGTCCTTTACAGAGTCTGCAGGTTCCTGGTCTTTACTCAATTTCTTTAAGAGTCTGGGTGGAATATACTAGTTTCACGGTTTTAAATTCCATGTACATGCAGATAACCTCAGCCCAAATCTGTGCCTTCGACTCTAGACTCTACCTACTTATTTGCCTACTCAACATCTGTTTGGTGTCTAAACCAGAATCTCAGGCATAAGACGACACAAAAAAACAAAATTCCCGATTCTCTTCACACCACAAACATTTTGCTCTATAGTCTTCCTCATCTCAATAAGCAATTCCAGCTAATGCCTGCTTCGGCTTAAAATCGTGCCCCCCACACACACTCCTAACTCCCGACAGGATCTCGCTTTGTTGCCCAGGCTGGAATACAGTGGCATCAGGACGGCTCGCTAGACCTCCTAGTCTCAAGCTATCTGTGATTGCCCCCTCAGGTGCCTCCCATCCCCTAGCAGCTGGTACTACAGGTGCCTACCACCATGCCTGGCTAATTTTTAAATTTTTTATTTTATTTTTTGCAGAAACAGAGTCTCACTATGTTGCCTAGCCTGGTCTCGAACTCCTGGGCTCAAGCAATCCTCCCATGTCAGCCTCCCAAAGTGCTGGGATTACAAGCATGAGCCACCACGCCTGGCCTTATTCTTCGTTCTTAACTTCCAGTTCATCAGTCAGTTGATTCTTTCAAAATTATCCAGAATCACATTACATCTATTGTCATTACCCTAATCCAAGTCATTCTATTCAGAGGAAAAACCAAAATCCTTTCCAAAAGCCTGCAAGACCTTACATGATCTAGCCCTTGTGAGAAAGAAAAGAAACATCTATCTGAGGAATGTGAACCCTTTCATCAGGCCCAGAGAGGCAATGAAATGTGACACGAAGTCATGTCTCACTCCCCGCTCAAGCTAACTAATCACCTCTTGAAGTTTCTTGCTATGTGGGTTCTAGACTGACACCAAGTAGCCGTAAATTAACCTAACAATGATATGCTGGACACCTTAACTTATCCCTTATCATTAACGATAACAATAATCAGTGTTATTTCTGTAAACCAGTGGGAACTGCCATCAAACATCCTTGTATCAGCCCACTCCTTGTTTCCTTGTCTTTACAAACTTGCTTGTCACAAATGCTAAACAGAACACCTCCCAGTGTTTTTGGGGCTGCAGTGCTCAACCTTGGTCCAAAGGAAATCTCTATATTAATTTTGCCTCCGTTTCCTTCTTAGGTCAACTCGTTACTCCTTCCCTGAACTCATCTTGCATTACTTTCCCACCAGAAACACACTGGTAGCTAACTTGTTTAAACAAACACTCTCACCATAAGGCCTGGACATTTACTGTTCTCTGCCTAGAACACACTTCCCTCACTCCCAAAGCCACAGGCTTAGCTTCCTCATTGTTACATAAAAAAGCAACTCCTACTTCCCAAGCATATCTTACTACTTCCTCCTTTACCTAGCTTTATTTTTCTACAAGACAGCACTATCACCAACTCATATACTATCGCACCCAAGAGAACATCAGACTTACACACACACACACACACACACACACACATCAGGTTTCTCGAGAGCAGAGATTTAACTAATCTGTTGTCTACCATACCCACAGTACTTGACACACTAGGCTGCCTGATATATTTACGTACTACGTTAAGTGTCTCATGGAAAATATTACACCCACCTCCAAAGCTTTATTTTACACATTCTATTTGTTATATTAACAAATTGAGCTGGGTTGATTTGCACCAAATGAACTACCCGTATTCGTCATTCTAGGATTTTCTGATATTTTCCAACATTCCAATAACATCAAAAGCAATACTTGACCTCTAAGGGCCAGCCAACTGTATCAAGTAAAAAGCCCACAGTGCACAAAAATTATATTCTACTCTTTGCAACTTATCTTTACCACAGGACAGCACCACCTTTGGATTCCTTGAATTTCTTGAGTGCACCAGACTTTATTGATTCACTGTAAAGCAAACTCACTATTATTTTACTTGCTTTCATTAATACCCATGATTTTAGTCTCTGATACAATGAAGGCAATGAGGAACAACATAAAAAATAGAAAATTTTGGAACATAACACAGGTGGTTCACTTACATAATTTTTTTTTACAATTTATATTTATACAAATAGATTGCTACACATAACTCAAAAGAATTAAAATTAAACAAACCCGGCTTCCTAATGAAAATGAAACACACTCAGCCAATCACAGGTGGCCAAATAGGTATTAGTTACAATGTCTTGAACTTCCCACTTAGTCCAAATAAGGCAACTGCTCAAACATTAAGAAATCAAATAATTTCTTTGCGCTGCTTCTGCATTTACCCTATATTAGCTTTCCCCTCAAACACCGCAGGCTGAGCTCCCTAACTGCTTAAGGTCTGATTGTAAATCACTCTCCTCAATAAAATCTTTAAATTTTAAACACTAGAGAACAAAGTGGCAACAGAAAAAAAAAGGAGAAAAATAATTTCACAAAGTTTTCTCTCTAAAGATTGAGTTTTCTTGTAGATATTTTATAAGGAAAGAGATAGGCCAAAAGATGACCCACAAGGAGTTTCTCAAAGTGTTTCAAGTGACTCTAAGAGTATTTTCTTTTTTTTTCCGAGACAGAATCTCGCTCTGTTGCCCAGGCTGGAATGCAATGGCACAATCTAGGCTCACTGCAACTTCCGCCTCCTGGGTTCAAGCAATTCTCTTGCCTCAGCCTCCCAAGTAGCTGGGACTACAGGCGCCTGCCACCACACCCGGCTAATTTTTTGTATTTTTAGTAGAGACGAGGTTTCACAATGTTAGCCAGGACAGTCTCAATCTCCTGACCTCATGATCCACCCACCTCGGCCTCTGAAAGCGCTGGGATTACAGGCGTGAGCCACTGAGCCTGACCCCTAAGAGTATTTTCTTAACATCTATCAAAATCTATCCAAAGACATTTTTTCCACATTCCAGGACCATTTTAATAAAGCTATTCCTTTTTCTCTTTAAAGACACAATGTCTCATTCTGTCTCCCAGGCTGGAGTGCAGTGGAACAATGATGGCTCACTGCAGCCTCAACCTCCTAGGCTCAAGCAATCCTCCTGCCTCAGCCTCTCAAACAGCTGAGACCATAGGGGCACACCACCACACCCAGCTGATTTTTAAAAATTTTTGTAGAGACAAGGTCTCACTATGTTCAGGTGGGTCTTGAACACCTGACTTCAGGTGATCCTCCCACCTTGGCCTCCCCATGTGCTAGGATTATAGGTGTGATCCACCACACCCAGCCTACAACTATTCCTTTATTTTCCAATTTTGACTGTTTATACAAAAGAAAATCTCATATCCTTTATATAGCTAATGACACTGTATAATATTGACAGTTTTATAATATTATCACATTGCTTCAATAAGGTGATTTTTATTGGCACTGAAAATGCATTAAATTATGCCTAACAGTTTATTAGTCAATATTACAAGGCACTCAAATTTATCTTTAAAAATCTGGCACAGGAACCTGAGTCAGGATATAAACACCTATATTACCAGTTGTTATTAGAAAAAGGCTGTTCAACTTAAATAACCGTGACTTATACCTATCAAAATTCCAATGAAATTTTCAACACAAAAAAAAAAACTCCCAAAATTTGTAGGGAACATAAAAAGACCACAAATAGCTAAGCATTTTGAGAAAGAACAAAGCTGGAGGTATCACAATTCTTGATTTAAAAGCATCTTACAAAGCTATGGTAATAATAAAAAAAGTATGGTTCTGGTATAAAAACAGAAACACACACCAATGCAACAGAACACCCAAAAATAAACCCATGCTTCCACGGTCAAATAAGCTTTGACAACAATACACAATGAGAAACGGAAATGGAAAGCCTCTTCAAAAAATGTTGCTGGGAAAACTGGATAGCCGCACGCAGAAGAATGAAATTGGATCCTTGTTGTACACCATATACAATCAGTAACTCAAAATGAATAACAACTGAAAATATAAGGTCTGAGACTGTAGAACTCCCACAAGAAAACATAGGGGACAAAACAGCTCTTTGACTTTGGTCTTGGCAATAATTTTTTGAATACTACACCAAAGGCACAGGCAACAAAAGCAAAAATACGTGTGACTATATCACACTAAAAAGCTTCTTGCACGAAAAAAAGAAAAAAATCAACAAAACGAAAAAACAACCTACAAAATAGTAGAAAATATTTGCAAACCATATTTGTGATAAGGGGTTAAGTATCCAAAATCTATAAGGAACTCACCAGCTTAATGGCAAAAAAAAAAAAAAAAAAAAAAAAAAATTTAATGGGCAACGAAATTGAATCTACCATTTTTAAAACATACAAATGGTTGACAGGTATATTAAAAAGTGCTTAGTATCACTAATCAGAGAAATGCAAATCAAACTGCAATGATCTATTAGCTCACACCTCTTAGGATGGCTATTATGGAAAAAACAAGAGGTTAAGTGTTGGTGAGGGTGCAGAGGAGGGAACCTTTGTACACTATTGGTGGAAATAATGGAAACCAGAATAGAGGCTTCTTTAAAAATTAACAATAGAACTACCATATGATCCAGCAAACCTACAACTGGATATCTATCCAAAGGAAAGGAAATCAGTATCTCAAACAGATATGCTCGATATCTGATCAGGGTTCTCATCCTCCACTATCTCCCAGGTGATGTCTAATCACCCTGGCCAATATTCAGCAGGAATCCTGCTTGGCTGGTGTCCTAGTTTTCTGTTGCTATAACTGAATACCAGACTGTGTAATTTATAAAGAATAGAAGCTCATTTAGTTCGTGGTTCTGGAAGCTGGAAAGTTGTACAGCATGGTGCCAGTCATCACATGGCAAGAGGTCAAGTGCACACAAGCTCAGGTCTCTTTTCCTCTTCTTACAAAGCCACCAATGCCATCATGGGGGCCCTACACTGGTGACTTATCTAATCTTAATTACTTGCCAAAGGCCCAACCTCCAAATACGATCAATATATGAATCTGGGAATTAAGTTTCCAAGAAATAAAAATTTAGGGAACGCACTCAAACCATAGCAGTTGGTTTAGCCAAATCCCCCTCACCACTGTATGTTTCCTTAGTAATTTTCCACCCACTGACTCCTACACTACTCCTTGCTATGAATTCCCACTTGCTCATGCTGCATTCAGAGTTGAGCCCAACACTCCCACCAACCCCAAGACCTGGTTGCAGTGGTTCTTGTATCTACTGCAATAGTCCCAGAAAAAAAAAATCTTCCTTACTGTGCTTTAAACAAGTATCACTGAATAACATTTTCTCTAATGTAAGGCAGGAATGTGCCTGGAATGCTCAAGGAACTACAATGTTCATGTGACTGAGTAAACCTAAGTGAAGAGCATAACTCAGAGATATAAGGTTGGAGAGGTAAGGGGGCTAGGCAGGAGTTAACAACGTGTAGGGCCTCATGAGCCACTTGCAAGGACATCTGAGAGGGTTTTGAGCAGAAGAGTAACTGGAGCTCATTGCTACATAAAGATACTGAAGAGTAGAAGGTTGGAAAGCAGAAAGACCGGTTAAGGAGGAGGCTCAAGATTACTGGCCTGGCAATTGGGAAACTGTAGTTTCCACTTAACAAAATGCCCAAGACCTGAGAAAAGCAGGTTTGGGAGGGGAAAACACACAATTCTGTTTCAGACACTAAAATACTATCATCATAAACTATTATATGTGATAACGGATATGCTAAGTAACCTAGACTTGGGGGTTGAGAGGACAGAGGAAGTAACTTTTAAGTTGAAGCCTGAAAAATAAGGAATTAACTAGGCAAAAGGAGCTGATGGAAAGAGAGTATTCTAGAAAGAAAAAGCATGTGTGAGGTACCCAAGATAAGTCAGAACTCTTACCTCAAAGAACATCTTCAATGAAAGAGCAAAGCGGAGGGGTGGAAAAGTAGAAAGACATAGGAGTTGGCCACTGTAATGTCTGTGCTTCATTTTAAGGGCAATAAAAGATTTTTACAAAAAGAACAAGCAAGTGTGCTTTTCTTAAAAGGTGATTCTGACTGCAATGTGGAGAATGAACTGGGAGGGAATGGTGGGGTAGTATGACTCTTAGAGCAAGAAACAATCATGGCCCAACCTAGAAAAAGTGAACAAATTCACGAGCTATTCGTGGATATTGGGGATAAGGGAGAACAATGAGCTAAGCAAAATAAGGGAAACCAAGATACAAAAATGAACTTAAGTTAATACAACTCTTAAGTTTTATTAAACCTCAGTAGTTCCTTCCATTCCACAGCAACAGAAGCAAACAACTTTACAAATATTAACTGATTCTAGATATCTGCATTTTGAAAAAATCCATTTTCACAAAAAATAAATCATCACATTTAGGTACAGTCATGTCTCAGTATCCATGGGAGACTGGTTCTAAGATGCTCCAGCTGATACCAAATTCCACAGATGCTCAATTCCCTTATATGAAGTAGTGTAGTATTTGCATATAACCTATGCACATCCTGTGTACTTAAAATCACCTCTAAGGCTGGGTGCGGCAGTTCATGCCTATAAATCCCAGCACTGTGGGAGGAAGAGGCGGGCAGATCACTTGAGGTCAGGAGTTCGAGACCAGCCTGACCAACATGGCGAAACCCCATCTCTTACTAAAAATACAAAAATTAGCCAGGCGTGGTGGTATGCGCCTGTAGTCCTGGACACTTGGGAGACAGGCAGGAGAATCACCTGAACCTGGGAGGTGGAGGCTGCAGTGAGCCAAAATAGCACCACTGCACTCCAGCATGGTTAACAGAGCAAGACTCTGCCTCAAAAGAGAAAAAAAATCTCTAGATTACTTATGATACCTATTACAATGTAAACATTTCTTATACCCTATTCCTTAGGGAATAAAAAAGAAGTCTGTACATGTTCAGTAAAGACACAACCATCCTTTTATTCCCCCAAATATTTTCTATCTGTGGTTGGGGAAACCACAGATGTGGAATCCATGGATATATAAGGCTGACTGTATTAATATTTACACTCTACTTATATACCTTAACAACCTTAAAACTTTAACTTAAAACAGTAACAACCCTTCCCTCAATCTTAAACGGCACTATAAAACCATATAATGCCTTTGTTCTTCAACACCATGAGTGCCTTAAGGGAAAAAGAAAAAGCCATACATTTAAAATACAAATACACAAGAATTTCTGAAATATGAAATTCATTTTTCATTAAAAAAATTAAACCCACCAGAAATAAAAATTGTATTTGCCCAGTGGATTAAGTTTAAAATGCTTAGTATCTACTATTTCAAGAGTCAAAATGAGTATTTCCTGACTTAAGCAGAAAATGAATACTGTATCTGGCAAGCAGCTTAAGATTTACTAAATTGAAAGCTGTATTAACAAGGCTACAAAGTAAATCACTTTTTACATAAACAAAATTTGTAAACAAATAGTACATACAGTACATACAGCAAAAACTATAAAAGATTTGTTTATAATAGTTGTGAAAATTTTCAACCTTGTTTCTCAATTTAAACCTAATAAATCCAGAGATAACTATTTTCCTGTTCCATCCTTCTCTATATACTGATGAAAATATTAAATGAACATTGGGGGAAAATATTCCATTCGTCTCCACACAAACAAATGAAGCCATAAATACTACCTCGGGCAGGGAAAGTTACCATGAGCTGGCAGGACACAGAACAAATATTTGAAAGCAGAAATTAAAGTACAAAAATCGAAAGGCTCTCCTGTACAGGTCTCAAATCATTTATTCTGAAAAGGACCTTGGAGATTATCAAATTCAACCTTGTTCTTTACCCAAGAAGACAAAAAAAAAAAAAAAAAAAAAAAGCAGCCAAGTGGATTTGCTCACTGTCAAAACACTAAAAACCAAAATAAAAACGACAACATCCAGATCCCAAGACTGTTCTAATACTCTTTTTTTCTCATTTTAATTCTTGTTATCGAGTTAACAATACTCTCTACCAGCATACAATCCTAAATGATACATAATATCCAAACCCAAAAAGGAAATTCCTCATACACATTAGAATCCAGTCAATATTCAAAGAGTTCTGACTATATGATTCAAAATTTTCAGTTTTAAATTTTATTTGGTGTAATTCCTTAACATGATGCTTTCTCAAAAACCCAAAGGCCAACCAATTAAGGGTCTTCTAAAGTAAAACTACACAAAACACAAGCCCTCTATATGCTTCCTTGCATTCCTCCACTGACAGCAACATTAATGATATTGAAAGAATTACAATAGAAAGAGGAGTAGTATCTAATGTCATAAGGAAGAAACAGCGCTAACAAACCAAAATATAAACTACCACTCTGACCAACAGGCCTGATTTTAACCACCTGATTCTGATAAATTCTGAGCCTAGGCAGAAGAAAAACCATAACGATACATCACTGCAGCATCCACAAAATTAGTGCTTTTTAAAGTCAGAAGATGGCTTTTCAAAAACCACACATATACCTAAGAATAAATACTAAGAGGAAAAAAAACTGAAAAGTAACAAATAATGTATTGATTTTTAAAAAGTAAACATTATTACAATACACATACAAGGGCTGGGCGTGGTGGTGGCTCACGCCTAAAATCCCAGCACTTTGGGAGGCCAAGGCAAGTGGATCACCTGAGGTCAGGAGTTTGAGACCAGCGAAACCCTGTCTCTACTAAAAATACAAATATTAGTTGGGCGTCGTGGCGCATGCCTGGAATCCCAGCTCCTTGGGAGGCTGAGCGGCAGGAGAATCATTTGAACTCAGGAGGCAAAGGTTGCAGTGAGCCGAGATCGTGCCACTGCACTCCAGCCTAGGCAACAGAGCGAGACTCCATCTCAGGAAAAAAAAAAAAAAAAAGAAACACACACACACACACACACACACACACACACACAAGTAGACAGGAAACATAAAAGCATTTAAGTCTAAAATGACATCAATTCTCAAAACATTAACTGTTTCTGAAAAACAATTTCAGATCCTACAGCATTCGCTCCAATATCTTAAGCTAATTAATTATTGGGGATGGGTTTAACCATTAAAAACAATTCAGTGAAAATAACAGTAAATAAGATAAAAGGCAAGCTGGTTTATATTGTTTCAGATAAAAAATAAGATAGGACTGAAGAGAAACCAAGACTGATCTGCTATGTGGCCCCTGGCTTTTCCACAAGATGTGAATTCAACCCCAAGAAGACTTTTTACAACTGAGCCACTGCTCGATTATAATAGCTTATATGCTTTCAATCGGTTTACTTGTAAAAGTCATAGTTTTACTGTCAAAATGCACAAGCTCAAGAGCTAAAGTATGCCCATGTAATAGCTGCATTCTTTTTTTTCCCTGATACAAAGTGATGAAAAGTCACTTTACATCATTATAGTCAGTTTAGGAATAAAATCACAACATAATGAATCACCAGTTCAAAACAATTAGCCATTCTCAAGGATGCAGGAAATAGAACACTAAATCTGAGAAGTTTTACGGATGTGTAAGTAGCTTCAAAAAGCTTACTGAATATTCAGATACAGGATATCTGGAAAACAGACCACCACTAACACCACCCCAAAATATCCCCCCTATTATTCTACCTAATTTACTACAGAAAGGAAAACCATAAAAATCTCCTTAGCTAGTGAGATATGAATTTAAGAGGGTTTGAGAAACAATGATTTGGAAAAGGAACAATAAAATTAGTGAAGAGCCTGAACTGCAAAATTTAAAATGTCACTTCAGTATTCAAATCACATACAGCTTTCTATAGGATTATACTAATGCAACGGACACTAGTCTAACCAGCCGGGCTACTTAAGAGATTGATAATGGTTTGGAATTAGCACATCAATTATGTACACAATTTTTTTTAAAGTTTATATGCTTACAGTTCACACATTTTCCTGAAAGCCTGAATAGACTATTTGCTTCCTCCACAAATAATACAAGAGCAACTTCAATTCAAACACTATAGGAACTCTGTAGTAGTAAATTCTTATGATTTTACTCTTAAATGCACTTAAAAGTTTGAGGGACATCAGTTCTCTGAAGATTTCTGCCACTCACCTGTTCCTGAATATGTCAAATGACATAAGACATTTAACATTTACTGAGCACATATATATACACCAGACCCCCCTCCACACACACATACAAATCGCTGCCTATTAGGAGCTCAAAGTGTAGCAGGCAAACAACATATGTAAATAATTACAAATCTCTACAAAAGAGCTATAATAAAGATAGGCTCAAGGAAGGCTTCATAAAATAAAGTGGGACCTTGAAGGAGTAAGAGGTTTGGCAAAGGAAAAAAAAAAAAGGTGAGGTAGGAGTGGAGAGAGGACAATTTTGGCTATGAAAACACATACAATGGGACAACAGCATAAAAAAAAAAAAGATGCCTAGGACTGGGTAAGTGCTTTTACATGACTAGATTATAGAGAAGGCAGAGAGTGGCTGAGAAAAGAGTAATGTGAACTTTGGGTAATGGTGGCTCATAAAACAAACTTTTTTTTTTTTTTGAGACTGAGTCTTGCATTATCACCCACTGGAGTGCAGTGGTGTGATCTCCGCTCACCGCGACCTCCATCTCCCAAGTTCAAGCGATTCTCCTGCCTCATCAGCCTCCCGAGTAGCTGGGATTACAGGTGCTGGCCACCACACCCAGCTAACTTTTTGTATTTTTAGTAGAGATAGGGTTTCAACCATGTTTGGCCTGGCTGGTCTTGAATTTCTGACCTCGTGATCCATCCACCTCGGGACCTCAAACTGCTGGGAGTACAGGTGTGAGCCACTGCGCCTGGCCAAAACTTAAAACTCTTTAAACTTCAAGTTATATTTATACAAGCCAGAAACCTAGTCTGAGATGCTAACTTTCAGGCATGGACATAACAGTTCATTTCAGTGGCCTCTTATGTACATTAGATAAGAAAATGTATCTGATAAGTATATGTGGAAGCGGAGAGAAAAACTCATTTTTGGACAACTGTCATCAATACAACATAATTAAGACCTATAAAATTCAGGCTTTCAGGGTTAATGAAAAGAGTATGTTTAAATTTGTAGTTAATTTTTACTCAGCTGCGGGTAAAGAATGAGACAACAGGTCTGTAAACAAGATATTGCAATATTTTAAAACAGGGCAATGAGTTCTGGAAGTTGCCCATAAACACAGGAAAAAAGAATCAGGGACAACTTCCCAGGCATTAATCAGGACAGGGAATAGCCAAATTAGAAAAAGATTTAGGAAGATTATCTATAGAACATTAGGTGGTGGCTGTCCAATAAGCAAAGAGATATGTAGGCCTGAAAATCAAAGGATTAAAAGAAGCATGAGATACCCACAGCTATACCCAGGTAGGGTATGAAAACTGAGAAAGCAGCAAAGACAGAACACCTCAGAAAAAGTAACTTTTGAGTCACGGCTCAAGCATGAGATTAAAACAGCAGCACAGAAAGGAAAGCCAACACCATAAAAAATCAAAAACTTGTCTGGATGTGGTGGCTCACACCCATTATCCCAGCACTTTGGGAGGCTGAAGCAGGAGGATTACTTAAAGCCAGGAGTTCAAGACCAGCCTGGGTAACATGGTAAAACTCTGTCTCTATAAAAAATGCAAAAATTAGCCAGAAGTGGCAGCATATGCCTGCAGGCTCAACTACTTGGGAGGTTGTGGCAAGAGGATCACTTGAGCCCAGGAGTTTTTTTGAGGCTGCAGTGAGCCATGACCATACCAGTGCACTCCATTCAGCCTGGGTGACAGGACAAGACTCTGCCTCAAAAACAAAACCAAACCAAAAAAAAACTACAAAAATTGAGTTTCTTAGCTGCACTAGCCACATTTCAAATGCTCAATATACACGTAGCTGGTGGCTACCACACTGGACAGCTCAGACAGCAAACATTTTCAACCATATATTCTATTTGATAGAGTTGACCTAGTCTCGTATTCCCAAACATGAATAGACAACTATGAACAGCAAGCATCTGAGGAACCCAGTAACACGGGTATGATGCACCAAACTCAACCAGAAAAACATATATTTAACATGAAAAAAACTAAAAAATAACCCAAATTCTCAAGAGTATTTCTAGTAAATCAGTTATAAAATCACAAAAAGCTATGAAAAAAGCACAGCACCCAAAATAAAACTTGGAATAGGTGGATGAAATGAACACAGCTTTAATTATCAGGGGGTTGAAAGAAGATGCCAAGAGATTCTCCCCAGAGTGGAGTGTACACTTAAAAATTATCTAACTACTGTACTTACTATTTACCAGGCAAAAGAGAAGTAGAATAGAACCAAAAAACATCTAACAGGAGTTCTAAAAGGAGAAAAGTTAGAAACAAGTAAAAGAGAAGAAAAAAAGAGTGTGGAAGATGACTCTCTAACGGATAGGGTTAGACAAAAAGGCACTAAGCATTCAGGGTATTGTCCAGGGTCTTTAGAAAATTAAAATGTTGGCCGGGCGTGGTGGCTCACTCCTGTAAATCCCAGCACTTTGGGAGGCAGAGGCAGGTGGATCACCTGAGGTAAGGAGTTCAAGACCAGCCTGGCTAACATGGTAAAACCCTGTTTCTACTAAAAATAAAAAAAAATTAGCCAGGCATGGTGGCACGCACCTGTAATCCCAGCTACTCGGGAGGCTGAGGCAGGAGAATCCCTTGAACCCGGGAGGCGGAGATTGCAGTGAGCCAAGATTGCGCCACTACACTCCAGGTTCAGCAACAAGAGCGAAACTCTCTCTCAAAGAAGAAAAAAAAAAAAAAAGAAAAAGAGAAAGAAAATTAAAATGTAATTAAAAAATTAAAATGCACTAATTAGAAGTAACGAAAAAAGGCCTACACTTACAAAGTGAGATTTGTGAAGTTTTAGATCCAAGGATAAAGAAGGAAAAACTCTAAATTTTCAAGCTGGGTAGGAGAGTAAATTAGGAGTCATACATCCCAATGGGTATCTATCCATGAAAAAGAACCAGGTTTGATTTTTAGAAATATCTTCAGGGAAAAAAAAATTAAAGGATAAATGATTTTTTAATATAGCCAAAAGATAATTTATTCAGACATGAAAACAAAATGAAGACATTTCCCAATGTGCAAAGTCTTAGATTACGATTCACAAAAAAAGTTACAAGTCTTTTTTTTTTTTTGGAGATGGAGTCTCACTCTTGTTGCCCAGGCTGGAGTGCAGTGGCATGACCCAGGCTCACTGCATCTTCTGCCTCCAGGGCTCAAGTGATTCTCCTGCCTCAGCCTCCCAGGTAGCTGGGATTACAGGCACATGCCACCACGCCCAGCTAATTTTTGTATTTTTAGTAGAGACGGGGTTTCACCATGTTGGCCAGGCTGGTCTCTAACTCCTGACCTCAGGTGATCCGCCCACCTTGCCCTCCCAAAGCGCTGGGATTACAGGGGTGAGCCACCGCACCTGGCCAAAAGTCCGAAATCTTTAAGCAAACATATGTAACACACAAAGCAAAAAGTGCTTTTAAAAATGAGAAATGAAATGAACTATGCTATAAAATAATCCCATCTGCCAGAAAATGCTAAATCAAATAAAGATACAAAAGACATACTACATAATTATTCATTAAATAATTTAAAAGCTTATCTACTGACAGAGATCTTTGTACCCAACAGGAAATACATTATTTTCAAATATCCCAAAAATATCGACAAAGTATCCAGAGATAATAAAAATTCTAATTCCAAAAAGCCAAGAAAATTAGAAACAAAAAGAAAGCCTAACAGTGATTTACAAAACTGATTCATTTAGATTTTTAAAATACCCTTAATAGATTTGGGTTAAAAAAAAAAAAGACAAATCAAAACTGAAATTACATTTAGGCTTGAATAAAAAACGAGATAACTCTTCAACTTTCCATCAAAACCTATGCAATATGAACAAAGCAGCAAAGTTCACAAAATTTACATGTTTAAATAAATAAAATTGGTCAAACTCAAAGGGGAGAGTTCATTCTGTTTTTCCAAAATAATTAACACTGGCATTTATTTAACAGCTATATAAAAAAGGAACTCTCATAATTACACAAAAATATAAAATTATTTTAGTTTTAGAAAGTACTACTTTGGGACTTAACTCATTATTCTTTAAAAAAAAATCAAAGTATCATAACTGCGATTCAGGTATCCGTGCATATTAAATATGAATGCTTAGAAGACTGACAAGGAGCCAGCAGGCAGCAGAACAGAAACCAGCCCCAATAACCACAGAAAAGGCTGAAGGCAGCAGAGAACAGTACTTCTAGCAGCTTGTCACTCTGTACCCCAACTTCTCCAGCTTTCTTCCATTACAATGAATCTTTTCACAATCAACAGGCACACAATTCTATGAAGTTAGAACAAATTATTAAATGCAGAAATATTTCATCATGATCCTCTCTTCATCGTAACCAAAGTACTCCAATGTAACATAATTCACTAGCATTGCTTTTTTAGCTACCAGAAAAGATTAGTTCTATGAATACAGAACAGGTCAGAACCTTTAGGAAGACGCCAATAGTAGGTCATGCTCTTTTGGCACTGTCATACAAAGTCAGAAGTAATTAAAGCCTACACAGAAAGACTAACACTATCTAAATATATCAACCACATACATTCTAAATTTCCTTTAAAATGCAAATACTCCTAAGAGTAAACTTTAGGAAATCTTTTGTTAACACCTAAGATCAGCCTAAGTATACTCTACTAACTTGGAGAAAGGCTATTTTTCCAACTGAGATAAAAGCTAAATGAAATTTACCACTGAAGTGTCTCAGGACAGCTTAATGCTAGAGACGAGGTGTTATGGTGGAAATGTAGTACCTAAGTAGGTATTATCTAAAGTAACACCAGTGGCTCCAGATACTACCCAATGTATCTCACTGGCCTGTCCAATTAGAAACTTCTCTACTGCTGGGCATTAGATGCCCTTGCACAGGATATTAAGTTAGCTATTTAATAGCAATTACTTACAAATCCTATCTGTGAATCTAGATGATAGAGAATTCTTTAAAACAAGAACACATTACACAATTTGCCAAATAACCACTCTAATAATCAGACTGTTAATGATAAAACTCACATTCCTTAATGTCCACTTCAGAGTTCCTCTTCCCTTCTGTGTACTCTCCCTAAATCTGCAGTTTATAAATACTTAAATTAACCCAGTGTTTATTTTAAAATTCAGTTTTCTTTTTCTTCTTTTAGACGGAGTTTCGCTCTTGTTGCCCAGGGTGGAATGTAATGGCGTGATCTCAGCTCACCACAACCTCTGCCTCACGGGTTCAAGCAATTCTCCTGCCTCAGCCTCCCAAGTAGCTGGGATTACAGGTATGCACCATGCCTAATTTTGTATTTTTAGTAGAGATGGGGTTTCTCCACATTGGTCAGGCTGGTCTCTCCCGAACTTAGGTGATCCGCCCTCCTCGGCCTCCCAAAATGCTGGGATTACGTGCATGACCCACTGTGCCCGGCCTAAAAATTCAGTTTTCTAGGCTCCATCAACTATTGCTTTGATTCTGGGTAATGGGGAGGGAGTCAAGGAAGCTGTAACTTTAAAAGCTTCTCAGGGGAGCCTAATAAGCAGCCTAATTTGGGAACCATTACTCTAAACTTGCACTACCATTTTTTTTTTTTTTTTTTTTGAGACAGAGTCTCACTCTGTCACCCAGGCTGGAGTGCAGTGGTGCAATCCTGGGTTTAAGCGATTCTCCTGCTTCGGCCTCTCGAGTAGCTGGGATTACAGGTATGCACCACCACGCCCCAGCTAATTTTTGTATTTTTAGTAGAGACAGGGTTTTACTATGTTGCACAGGCTGGTCTCAAACTCCTGAGCTCAGGTGATCTGCCCGCCTTGGCCTCCCAAAGTGCTGGCATTACAGGCGTGAGCCACCGCGCCTGGCCGTTTTCTGTTTTTTTAACCCTTACATCTATCCCCAAAAATCTCTGAACCACAAAGTCCTGGAAATGGGCAAGTTCCAAGTTAGAATGTTCCCACAAGCCACATCATGTAACTCTCATTTGGCAAACTGTCCAGCATGTTTCTTCCTAACCCTAAACAAAGAAAGCAGCAGCAGCTTTAGAAGTAGCTATAGGTTGCTAATCTGACACTAAATTTAATCACAGAAATAAGAGCAAGCCTAATAATCTACTCTGTCACAGTCTGGGCACTGAGGTAAATGCTTTACAAATATACACAATTTCATTTAACCCCGCAACAATCCTACAGGGATGGACACAAACACTCAGAAATTAAGTAGCATGTTAGGTCATCTAGCTAGCGAGTGCCTGAACCAAAACACCAACCTAACTGAAAAATGACTTTCCTAATTAGCTAGAAATATAAAGTAGGTATTTCCTGAGCCCCAAATGAAAACTACTTCTAGTCAGTCCTCTAAGACTGACAGTCAACACCAAGTATTTGTTTAATCCACTACGCAAATATTAATACAAGCGAATAAAGGGAACACAATGCGAAACAATTTTACAAAAAATCTGGAAAGAAGTGGGCTCAGTGACTCATGCCTATAATCCCAGCACTTTGGGAGGCTGAGGCGAATGGATCACATGAGGCCAAGAGTTCAAGACCAGCCTGGCCAACATGACAAAACCCTGTCTCTACTAAAAATACAAAAATTAGCTGGGCGTGGCAGTGCGCACCTGTAATCCCAGCTATTTGGGTGGCGGGAAAATCACTTGACCTGCAGAGGCGAGCTTGCTGTGAGCAAAGATTGCGCCACTGCACTCCAGCCTGGGATGACAGAGTAAGACCCTGCCTCAAACAACAAGTACAACAACAGCAACAACAAAAAACAAAACAAAGGAAACCAATTCTGGAAAGATTACAGAATACTAATTATTTTATGGCATGAGAATGTTTTCTATGAAAACTAGTGATTAACTCTTAAATGAGAAGATACAAGGTGACTTTCTTTTTCCCCTTTTCTCTGCATTTCCTAATTTTTCTACAATGAGCGTGTACTAACAAAATTTTAGTACAAGAAGCACTATATAGCTCAAGGACCCATTAACTCCAATCTTGCTTTGCATAAATATGGCATTTCAGAAGTCAAGCATACAAAATACTTTCCTTAGAGAAATAAAAATATATGTAAAAGCCAGACAGGCCAACAGGGCGATCACATTCCTCAGAACCGCATTGTCCAATTCAATAACCATCATTCACATGTGGCAATTAAACACATGAAATGTGGCTTGTCCAAACTGAAATGTGCTGTAAATGTTAAATAGACACTAGGTTTCAAAGATCTTGTACCAAAAAGGGAATGTAAAGTATGTCATTATAGTTTTTAAGGTATCAATTACAAGTTGAAATATTTTTGATATATTAGGTCAAATAAAATATACTAAAATTGAATCATTTTTAGTTTTTAAGCAAAGCTACTAGAAAAGTACACATATGGTTTGCATTTGTGGCCAACATATTTCCACTGGACGGTGCTGCTATAGAACCTTGTTACTCTAGTGAAGTGTAGGTATCACCCGAGATCTTGTTAAAAGGCAGATCTTTGGGACCCACCCCAGAATTACTGACTATAGTATCTCCAGGTGCTTAGTATACACATTCAAGTTTGAGGAATGCTAATCCAAAATACTATAATTTCATTCCCCTTAAATTATAACAATCCAAATTTTTTTTATCTATCCATTTAGTTAAATGCTATAAAGTTTCAGGCACTATTCAAGGTAACAGGAATACAAGGTGGATAAAAACATTAAAACTCTCACTTCCTCTTCTGGTGGAGCTTATATTCCACAAAAGGCAAGCAAACAAAAACTAAAATACAGTCAGTTCTGCTATAACATTTGTTTCCAAATAGACAAATTTGTTTGAAGGCTACTGATCTATCAGAAACCAGCAAATTTCCCACTTATGTGTATTTTCACCTGTGAGAAACACTAGCTACATCAAGCTGCACAGGAATTTACAAGGCAGACACAGCTCAAACATCTAATAGCTATCTTAGTTCATCATGAATTATGAGTCAGGTCCATCCACATTTGATGTTACAAGTTTTTGTCTCGTATCAGGTATCTTCCATCCATCACTTTACAGTAATTCATGAACTGCAACCCTTCCAATGAGTGGCCACTTTCACAAGAAGTCAGGTTTTGGTCAAGGTAAAGTGCCATTTATTGCGGTGTTATTCTTTAACCATTTTATACGTGTAAAACTAAGTTACAATTTTTATTAGGTTCCTATCTTTTTAAAATGTGTCACTGACAATGTTTTTGGTTACTGTGCTCCTAACTCCATTTTCCCCATAAATTGGTCTGGTGCAATGTTGCACAGCACCGTGACTTTCAGAAATGCCCATGTCATGTTATAGCAGAATGACTATAAGTAAATCATAACAGGTCACCTTCATACAAGGAAGGAACACGCAGGGGCAAGGAAAGACAATGATGAGAATGACTGTTTCAGAGTGTTCAGCAAGGGCAGAGAAGGCCCTGTGAGAGGGTGACACTTAAGCAGACACATTACTGAAGTGAGTGAGCACAGTAGGAGAAACATAAAGGCACATAATGTGCAGAGCCCCTGAGACAGGAACAAACTTCTGCCTGCAGGGCCAGTATGGAGAGAGTAGCACAAACAAGGGGAAGATAGTAGAAGAGGCTGAAAAAATACCCAGACACCAGATTACACAGGATCTATTATAAGATTTGCTAAGAAACAGGGAGTCACTGGAGGGCCGTGAGCTTGAGAGAGATGTGAGGTGACTGGCATTTTAACTGGATCACTCTGGCTACTGTGTGGGGAAACAATCATACAAAGCAAAATGGACTCGGGAACACTAGGGGGCTCTTGCAGAATTCAAGCTAAGAAAAGGTGGTAGCCAGAACTAAAATGATAAAATAGTGAGAATTAGTTATACTTGGAGTATAATTTGAAGGCAGAGATAAAATTTTATGTGAAGAGACTTCCTTTCCAGTTTCAACAACAGTAGGCTAAATACTTTATAATTTCATCAGTACAACAGGAATAATACTGATCAGCCTATTTCAAAGAGCTACTGTGGAGTCAGATGAGAAACAATATAGAAACCCTTTGAAAATTATAAAGCATCATACAAATCCTGAAAAGGACTGTTCATAGAATATATTTGCAAGCCCCAAATAACCAAATAACTGATTTTGCCAGGGGGTGGAGGTTGCAATGAGGTGAGATCGAGATCGTGCCACTGCACTCCAGCCTAGGTACAGAGTGAGACTGTCTTAAAAAAAAAAAAAAAAAAAAAAAAAACAAAACACACACACACACAACCCCACAAAAATTGGTTTTGTAATTATCAAATTGACAATGAGTTATATCTAGTGCCTGGTATAGCATCCCAAATGCCCAGCTTATTTCCATCTTCACTCTTTCCAGCATCATAACAAAATGATGCACTACCCCCCAAACAATTCTGCACAACAGAATAAGGTAACAGATGCTTAATAGACACAAATTAGAATATATAAATTTTCTGTGAATTACAGACCAAAACCCCAAGTATGTTACACCAAAAATTTTAAATACTTCCTGCACAACTAGAAAACAGTTCAATTAAGACTGTCTTAAGGATCTAAGGATCTAAGTGAACTCATTCCAAAATACTGATTGTAAAATAGAAATACCATTAAATTATAAACAATACATAATAACCATCTCTCTAAAAATATAAAAAGTTAAAATGTGATTATGAGAAGCGTAAGACAAATGACTTGGTACTAGTGTTCAAATTTAACAATTTACATGCACAGATGCTTACATCACAGACACTGTTTTCTAAAATTAAAAAAAAAACAATGAAGAGTTGAAACATTAAGACTGCTACTCCTTCAATCTTATTCCACTTCTCTTGAAACAGAGTATGTTTCCTGTGTTTTCTAAATTGACCAATGGAAATCCAATGCAAACATTTCTGCATAGTATTATCACAAAGCATAAATCAATGAAAAAAGGTCATGTGTCACTATTTTTACTAGACAAAAAATACTTAACATCAGTCAAACGTATTATTAAAATCCAAACGTTAGTGTATTATATTCTATGCAATGTTTCCACTTCGTAAACAAGTCTTTAAATATGAGGGATTAAGAGAAAATGGACTTTTCCTAGTGAAATCTGTGTCATGCTTCCATGTCAAAACTTATTTTTGAAAATAAAACACTGATGTGATAACTGCGCCTAGAACTACACAAATACATCTTATCAAGGTACTATAATTTGGCAAGTTGTAACCACTGAGGGAAGAAGGGTGAAGATATTAGCAGGATAAAAGCAAAAATGCCTTCAAACTAATTCATGCCATAGTAACCACCACCAAATAAGCTTTCAATACCCAAGTGTTTAATCTCTGACAGCATACAAGTTACCGAAGTTAGAGAACTAGTTTCTAGACTGAGCTGTTGCTCTCTGTTCAATTTTATTAAATTTTCCCTCATTTGTAAAACTGGAAATAAGGATACTATCTGTTGTCTTCCAAAGTTAACATGAGTATCAAAAGCGACTGTTAATTTGTATACTTACTTTCTATACAACATTTCTAATGTTAGTAATTTGTAACATTACTAACTCAAAGCATATTTCAAAGTCATCTAAACAACGGTAAGACCATGTTGCTCAACTGCCAGTCTATTATTCAATGTGAAAGACTCAAACGTTACTAAATTATATTAAAAAAAGACATTATCACCAAATAATCCCTACTAATTCCTTCAAAATGTTAATAGTAACTTTTATTTGAAAGTTAGGGAGATGAAAATACATTTCCAAATTTTTCCAAAGATATAGCTAAATGACAAAATAAAAACTTCACTATGGGCCAGGCGCGGTGACTCACGCCTGTAATCCTAGCACTTTGGGAGGCCGAGGCAGGTGGATCACTTGAGAGCAGGAGATTGAGACCAGCCTGGCCAACTTGGTGAAACCCTATTTCTACTAAAAATACAAAAATTAGCCGGGCATGATGGCGTATGTTTGTAATCCCAGCTACTTGGGACATTAAGGCAGAAGGATCGCTTGAACTCAGGAGGCAGAGGTTACAGCGAGCCAGGATCACACCACTGCACTCCAGCCTGGGCAACTCTGTCTCCAGAAAAAAAAAAACCAAAAAACAAACCCTAACGATTGTACCTTAAGGTTTTTGCTTTTGGTTACTTTAAACAAGATTGTATGTTTTCAGACAGATCACAGACTATATAAAAATAACTCATTTCACAAAAAAATATTTTAATTATACTCTCACATAACCTATCTTAAATTTACAATAGACATTATTTCCTTTAATAAATCCTAATGGATAAAATCTCTAACTCTAAACTATACACGCTATGTTACAGCAAGTCTTATTTTAACTAGCAAGGTTTTTGGGAATAAAAACCTTCACAATCCCTGATTTCTCACTTTTTATATTGTATCTGCAAGTCCTTTCATACATTACTTCTGAACGAGCATTTTTCAATGAAATCCAAGATGCTAAGAAATCTAGTAATTACTGAAAAATGCTGTGATGCCAGTAAAGCCTAATCCTAAGGTAAACAAACGCACAAGTTCCACATTTAACTTGCTTTGTAAAATGCAAGTTACAAATCATAGCATATAGGTTATTATTAGTAAAGAAAATCATTAAATCTTAAAATGAAAAACTGGGAAATTTGAATTCAGTAGTTCAATGCATATAGTAAGTAACCTGCTGTAATCTTAAGTTTTTTACATGCTTAGAGCTTAGATAATCCAACTCACTTGCATTTGATTTTTGATAATGGTCTTGAATTTATATACATTAATTTTTTTCTTTTTTTTTTTTTTTTTTAAACAGACGGGTCTCACTCTATCAACCCAGGTTAGAGTGTGGTGGCACAACCACAGCTCACTGTTAACCTCAAACTCCTGGGCTCAAGCAATCATCCCACCACACCCAGCTAATCAAAAAAAAAATTTTTTTTTTTTTTAGTAGACACAGGGTCTTGCTATGTTGCCAAGGCTAGTCTCAAACTCCTGGCTTCAAAGGACCTTCCCATCTCAACCTCCCAAGCAACCAGCATTACAGAGATGAGCAGCTGTGCCTGGCTGAATTCTTTTTTTTTTTTTTTTTTTTGAGACAGGGTCTCAATCCGTCTCCCAGGCTGGAGTGCAATGGCACAATCTCAGCTCACTGCAACCTCCACCTCCTGGGTTCAAGTGATTTTCCTGCCTCAGCCTCCCTAGTAGTTGGGATTACAGGCACTCGCCACCGCAACCAGCTAACTTTTGTATTTGTAGTAGAGACAGGGTTTCACCACGTTGGCCAGGCTGGTCTCAAACTCCTGACCTCAGGTGATCTGCCTGCCTCGGCCTCCCAAAGTGCTGAGATTCCGGCGTGAGCCACTGACCCGGCCTGAATTCATTTTTGGATAAAAATCCAAAGGAGTTTATAATGCCTGCAATAAAAATCATACATATACACTTTTAACATCTTAGTGCCAAACACATCATTAGCAATAAAAAATAAACACCAGAAAACAAATTATAATGACTAAATATCTCACTATAAAATGAGGAAAAATCACCATTTTACGTTTTTTGAAGAGAGAATATCAAAGATGTACTCTCAATTCCAGAATGGAGATATACCTCATATTATTATTTCCATATAATATAAAGGAATATGGCAGCCAGGTATGTTAGAGATGGTAGAGACAGGAATGGAATCACAGTATTAGCTGGAAGACTCCAGAAGACGACAATCAGCTAGAAAGAAAATTGGAAAGTGGGGCCTAACTTAGCAAGTGATTAGATCAGAAAAACATCAAGTTTCTTGCAAATGAAGCTAAAGAAACATCAGGAAAGATGCAAATTTTTAAAAACGAAAAGCTAACAAGTACCTGGAGTTCATACAGGTAGAAAAATGAAAAAATCAAAGTGAAGAAAAAATGGGTACAGAAAAAGTAAGTGGCTAAAACACCACTAGCTCTCAAGAGTCAAAGCATTTAAGAATAGCTTCAAGGCCAGGATCACATCTTGACTCCCAGGAGTATCACACAAATGTTGGCACACAGTAGATGCCCCAGGTTTGTTGAATGAATAAGCAACAGAATGTTCTTGGGATTACTTCACCTGTAAAAGAATTGGCTGAGCAAGGTTTGCTGGAAATGATTGAAAGCATTTATAACTGAAAAACTGACTTCTTGCATTTGGGGATAAACTGGATCATAGTCACTAAAATAAGAGCCTATTTGTAAGAAGATGAGGTGCCATATCCTATTTTGTTACAATCACCAAATTTTTCAAAATAAATACAGTATAGTACAACCAGTACCTGCTCTCCAAGAGCTAACATTAGAAATGAAATCCACTATAGAAGAGTGGTTGATAGAGAGTACCATCTCAGGCTTTACATAATACTATGGAAAACTTACCCACAAAACTGATAACTCTAAAAGCTTAATTTTGCAACCCAATAACTTGTAACACTTTAATAATCAAATACACCTGCTACTACTGTTACAAAAATGTGGTTTATCTGCATAAATAGCACTAAGCTATAACTACATTCAATAGAGAACTACTTTCTTCTCATCCAAATTATTCAATCCCAGTGCAATCTTCTGACTGTATTTTCTCAAACCAGTAATTATGTAGAGGAAGCCAATGTTTCTCAGTATATGATCACACTGAATAAAGCTGATTTCTATCCTAGGTGGACAAAAGGGGCAAGATGCAAGGTATTTTTTTTAAAGTAAGCCAAGTATTGAAGAACTAGCTGCCAATAGGGGCAAAAAGTCACATGGTACTTTACTGAGTTTCCTTGGAAGCTTTTAATATTGTAAATCTGCTTAAGATATGTTATCTACTTAAGCAACATGTAGGAGAGAATATAGGTGTCTTTACTGAAATTGCTTTGTTCCTTAATGCATGCTTTTGACATGAAATGTAATTCGGGCAAATTAAGTCTGAAAATAGTTACTGAGAATTGGTTTTGTTTACTTATTCTCAGACTCCTACCACAAAGAGCTTGAGGCAAACTTATAATTGAAGGTACAGGACTGTGCAAAAGAAATCAGACTAACTTTTAAAAAGAATATTTCAATGAACCAGGTATAAAAATCACATCACCAAAACTGGAGAATACTGAAAATGTTTACAACAAAAAGCAAGAATGTATTTTCTAAGTCATAAATAATTTTTTAAATCTGGGAACTATCCTGAAAAAACATAATGAGTTTTTAAATTCATAGTTTATCATTGTAATTAGAAAACAGATTTGAACACCTTAAAAAGTAACAAACTGAAGCAACAATAAGGATCTCAAACTGAAATCTTTAAAAGGTCAAAGTTCCTTTCTTGGAAAAAAGTCCTGCATTTTTCCCATCCTTAAGAAAGCATGTTTTAAACTATATTCATAAATGCATTCCCTTATTATTAAACACTAAAGTCCGCTTTTTTTTTTTTTTTAATGGAGTCTCACTCTAGCACCCAGGCTGGAGTGCAGTGGCACCATCTCAGGCTGACTGCAACCTCCACCAACCAGGTTCAAGTGATTCTCCTACCTTAGCTTCCTGAAGAGCTGGCACTACAGGCGCCTGCCACCACCACCATGCCCAACTAACTTTTGTATTTTTAGTAGAGATGGGTTTTCACCTGCTGGCCAGGCTGGTCTTGAACTCCTGACCTCAGGTGATCTGCCCGCCTCGGCCTCCCAAGTGCTGAGATTACAGGCGTGAGCCACCGCGCCTGGCCTTAAGAGTCCACTTTTTAGATGCTCACATCAGCATCTTGTTTCTACAGTAACTTGTTCAGAGTAAAAAAAAAATGATAGGATTAAAATATTTTAATGACATAACTGAACAGTAACTTCTTCAAGCTAGAAATACTACTGCCGCCTTTTATATAGAGCTATTGTTAAAACTGTATGTCAAAGTTTCAACAAGAAAGATACTCACCACCATCCCTCTCTCTAACTCTGTGAGTATGCACATTTTTGGCCTTACTGTGACCTGTGCTGTCACTGTATTTGTTTTCAGGACTATCAGATCTCCGCAACATTTTATTTGGTGGTGAAGGATCTCCGGCGTCTCGCATCTTTTCATGTCTGTGATCACCGCTACTGGGGTGACTCTTCGATGAATACTTAAGTGCCTGTAAAACATCACCCCCCCAAAAAAAGAGAGAAAGAATTGAAACCTTAAACTCCCTAATTTAAACATAAACTTTGGTGTATTATCATTAAATTTTATGAACTTACAAAATTAAAATTTCCACTTTCAATTCTGCTTTACTCTTTAAAGTTTCTCAGACAAAAAACCTAATGCTTAAGCGTTACAATAAGACTCCTGATAACAAATCACACTAAACACAAAAAAAACCCACTCCATTATCTTATAAACCACCTTGCACACTGATTCTGCAAAAAATAAAAAAATTTGGCTGAGAATATTTAGAATCATTTTTTGATAGTCAAAAGAAAACTAGAAATTCAGTACTACTATAATCAATTTCTGCTCTACAGCTGATATACACAAACACATGTATAAATAAGCACATGCATATTTTTGCAAACCTACCAAAAAAAAAAAAAAAAACCCACACACCAGTTTCTCCAATTCTTTGATTCAAATAAAGCATTTCAGACCTAACTTCCTTACTCTCCCAGGTGTGGGAAACAATTTTAAGGTATAAAAATACTAACCAAAATAAACTAATGTGAGTACTATTTCTAACTAAGCATAATGCGCTCAAAATAATCGTTTAGCTTTATTCTAACACATATCTTAAGACAATCATGATGTACTAATCTGTTGCAATGTGTAATCAGCTATGCTTTGGAGGACAGATTCAGTAAAGTTTAATTTTTGACATATCCAATGTTTTACATATCAGAAGACAGTGTTTTCAAATTCAGCTGTATAACACAACCATCAGGTTAGAAACCTGCTCTCTAGTCCTTTAAGATGTAGAAAGTGTTTTCTGCAGTCATCTGATGGTTAACAATCATTATGAGGTTTCCCTCCTGAAAATTGGGGCCACTTTCATCATAATCCTTAGAACTTCACACACAATGACTGCAGTAACAAAAAGGAACCCACCTACCTAGAACCACCTACATCAGAATGATTATCCAAGTACCCAAAGACCTCAATTCTTACAGAAACAAAAGCACACATATCTTTTACTTGTAAGGCAATTAAGTATACCAAAAATATTAAAAGGGGAAAGGGTAGTACTTTATAACCGACTTGAAAGTTGTAAGTCATTTAGCTATTTACCCAAGTTCTTCACTTAATTTTAATACCTTTACATTAACTTTTCAGTTCCCCCAACACAATAAATAAATAAATAAGCCTCGTAAGTCACCTATCATCTCATCCCATCGATTCCTTCACTCGCAAATAATCAAATAATCGAGTCAGGTCTTTCTGGCTGCAAATGATTCTTTTTTCCTAAATCAGCGAACTCCCTCCAGTCACCTGTCAAAATAAGTCACTAAACCTTGCTGGAGAGCGCTAAAGGAACCAAACCTGGAATTTTAAGGGGATCCGCGGTGCTAGTTTCAGATGTGTTGCACCGAAGGGCCTGTATCGACTTCTGAGGCCTGCGCTCGAGTAGCAGTCCCTCCCTTCCCCCTCCGGCCCCTTCCAATCCCTCCACCCCGGCCTCGGCTGGTACCTGGTAAGGCTGCGAGTCCCCCCTCCGGTCGTGACAGCTGAAAAACAGGAAGAGAAGGCAGCGACATAAGACACGGCGCGGGTGGGGGGCCGGGGAGGAAGAAAACGGGGCCCCCGCCGCCCCTCCCCGCGGGAGACCTACCGAGCGCCCCAGCGCCGAGCCCCGCACGCACACGGCACAAACCCGGAGCCTCCGGAAGGGCCGGAGAGGGCGAAATGCCGCGAAGCCGGGCCCCCGCTCCCCGCCACACTGCGTTCCCGCCCGCCCGCCCGCGCGGCCGCTCCTCCTCCCCAACCCGATCCGGATCAGGGTTAACAACAAAAATGGCGGCCCGGCCAGCTCCAGATAAGGAGGAACAGCCCCCCCGCCGCCGCCCCCCGCCGCCGCCCGGCCCGAAACGAAAAGACAATTTACCCATCACTGAGTCTCTGCTGTTTCCTCGCATACATTACCATCAATGCCCGGCCTGTGAGTGTGTGTCGGGGAGGGGGGAGAGCGGCCGCGAAAGGCGGGCGGGCGCGCAGGCGGCGGCGGCGGCGGGCGGCGGGCAGCCCCGGCACCTGGGCCCGGCGCGCCCTCGGCGACTCTCATCAGCTCCCAGTTACTGGCGCCGGCGCTCCCGGGCCATCTCCCTCCGTCGACACCACGCTCACTCTCAGCCGGGGCAGCGGCGCCAACTACACGGCGGCACCGCGAACCGGGGGGAGGGGGGCAAGACGACGCGTCCGGCTCAGCCCCGCGGAGAGCGACTGCCTCCTCCGCCTTCTCCTCCTCCTGCTCCGCCGCCTCCTCCCCTCCTCCCCCCGCCGCCGCCGCTGCTGCCGCCGCCTGGTCCTTCTTCTCCTCCTCCTCCTCCCGCCGCCGCCGCCGCCGCTGGTGCCGCCGCTGCCGCTCCACCAACTACATCCGGGCAACTCGGACGCTGCCGCCTTCGGGAAACCTCGGCAGTTTCCGCCGGGCCCCTCCTCTCCCACCCTCGGCCTTCCTCCCCGCACCGCGCGGGTCCGGAACACCGCCCTCGGCAAACCTCGGCTGGCTCCGGCCTTTCTCCTCCTCTGAGGCCTGGATCTTCTCTTCGCGACCAGTCTGCCCTTTCCTTCTTTTCCTCACTCGCGAGTCGGCCACCGCCGTTCCCGTTTAGGGATAGTCTCGCTCGGGCGCCTGCTCGAGGCTGATCTCAGGGGCTCCGGGCTGCGCAGGGAGGGAGCCGCCTTCCGGAAGAGGACGGTGGGGCGCGAGGGAAGCCATCGCGGACTAAATAAGGGAGGCTGCAGCGGCTGCGCGTGCGCCCAGAGGCGCAGCGGGAGGGGGTGCTCTCGGGCGAGCTCTCCGGCCGCGGCCCCCGCCCCTGCGCTGTCGGGCGGGGAGGTCGGAAACCCCCTGGCGAGACCACGGGCGGACGCTTCCCGAAGAGCTGCCTGGGCTGCAGCCGCGGAAGCTGCGTTCTGGGGAGCGGGGAGCGTGCTCCGGCGCCTTCGGGCCGCTGCTGGAAGCCGGAACCGAGCCCGGGCCGCTGCCCCTCACCGGACGCCGCGCGCCACCGGCCCTCCGCGGGGCAGGGGCTGCTGCGAGCTCGCCGGGCGCCCTTTAGACGTAAGTCTCACCCTGCGCCCCGAGGCAGGAAGGAGCGCGTGCAGTCCCGGCCAGAAACGGCTAATAGGAAGGGCTGAGGGGTTCTGTGTTCAAGGCAGAAGGCCGTGCGTCAGGGCGGCCCTCAGCGGAGATGCGTGCACGGAGCGGGGAGCGCCGCTCGGGGCAGGGAATGAAAGCGGCGCTTGAGACTGGAAATTTAGGGAGATGAGTTCCTTGGGAACAACGCTGAACCATCTCACTGCCCCACCCTACCCCTTGTTATTTTTTTTTGAGACAGGTCTCGCGCTGTCGTCCAGTCTGAGTGCAGTGACGCGATCACGGCTCACTGCAGCCTCGACCTCCGGGGCTTACGGGTCATCCCACCTCAGCCCTCTAAGTAGCTGGCACCACGGGCATGCACCACCACACCCGGCTAATTTTTTAAAAAAAGTTTTTCCGGAGATAGGGTCTCGCTGTGTTACCCAGGCTGGTCTCGAACCCCTGGCCTGAAGCGATCCTCCCGCCTCGGCCTCCCAAAGTGCTGGGATTACAGGCGTGAGCCACTGCGCTCGGCTTTTCACCCCTTTCTAACGTTTTCCATCCCTTTCTAACGTTTTCCATACCCAGCGGTGCCCTGCCCACCCTCTCTTTATCTCTCACTTTTCCCTCCTCTGTTTCTTCCTCGCTGAAGTCCATTGGTGAAAGAAAATTCATGTGAAAGTTCTCAGGTGTGTTAAGTGAAATTGCTACAAATTTGATTTTATGTACTGCTGCAGGTACATTGAGAGAAGAAACGTGAAGTATACCAAACAACCGTTAGTTGAGAGTGGTGGTATTCGGGTGATTGGTTGACTTTTTTTTTTTTTTTTGCACTATTTGTAAGGCAACATAGTTTAATGAAAAGAATTGTGGTAAACATAATTAGGTGATTAACACAGAAGAGGCAAATAGTAAACAAGTCAGAAGAAACAACCCCCTCCAAAAAATAAAAAGTAACTGATTTACTTGGTATCCAAGAAGTTACGTTATTGCTAGACCTAATAGAATGGAGAGATGGAATGATGTAGGGAGAAAGGCTCTGAAATCACAACTGGTTGGAAAAAAAATTTTAATTACATAATCTTATTTGTCACATCCATCTGCCAGATGTAGAGCTTATTGCTGTTTGTGGAGATGTGCAGACCAATAAAAAGCCTATTTAATGCTCTCTTAAACTACCAGTAACTAAAAAAAAAAATTGACAGTGACTGAAATTATGAAAACAAAAAAATTCGGTAGCATCTTAACATGTAATTTCTGACATATTTGTAGTGAATCCATTGAAGACAAACATCAGAGGAGTACAACAAATAACATTTCATAGAAACTTTGAAAACTGGCAGCAAAATTACTACTAATTTGTTTGATAACTAGATGTCTGCTGAAATTGGTATAAACCATTTGCTCAAAAGTAGCCAGGCATGGTGATGCATGCCTGTATTCCTAGCTACTCCCAGAGGCTGAAGCTGAACAATCACTTTAGTCCAGGAGTTCGAGACTGCAGTGAGTCATGATCACACCAGTGCACTCCAGCCTGGACGACAGAGGGAGACCCTGTCTCAAAAAGTAAATAGGCCGGATGCAGTGGGTCATGCCTGTAATCCCAGCACCTTGGGAGGCCAAGTCAGGTGGATCATTTTGAGGTCTGGAGTTTGAGACTAGCCTGGCCAACATTTTGAAACCCCATCTGTACTAAAAATATAAAAGTTAGCCAGGTGTGGTGGTGTGCGCCTGTAATCCCAGTTATTCGGGAGACTGAGGCAGGAGAATCACTTGGGCCTGGGAGGCGGAGGTTGTGGTGAGCCAAGATCTTGCCACTGCACTCCAGTCTGGGTGACAGTGAGACACTGTCTCTAAATAAAACCACATTATCAAAAGTCTGATCTGCTCTCCTTTACAGAAATACTTTATCTTTACTTCTCTCTCGAACCCACAGACTTCATTCCCACACTTCTGGACCTGTTCAAGATCATCTGTAGCATCCATGTTTTCAAGTCTGATTTTTATTTCTCAGTCTTCATCTCCACTTGTCAGCAGCATTTGACACAGCTGATAACTTTCTTCTCCTTAAAGTTCCTTATCTTGCCTACCAGGATTTCATTTTCTTTCTTGCTTCTCTTCCTTCCCAAATGGCTGTTCCTTAGACTCCTTACTGGTTTCTCCTTCTTTTCCAGCCTCTAAATGCTGGAGTGGCGTGAGATTCAAATCTTACAACCCGCACTCCTCTGTTCTCTCTCCCTAGGCAATCTCATTCAGATCTCTGGCTGGATGAAACCCACATTTGAATTTCCAGTCCACACCTTTCCTCTGAACACAAGACTCACACTTAACTGCCTACTGTATAGCACTGCTTGAGTTTCTAACAGGCATCACAAACTTAATGTATTCAAAACGAAACTCTTAATCTCCCCCCACCCCAAACAAGTCCTGCTGAGATCTTCCCAATCTCTTGAAATGACAACTCCATTCTTCTAGTGGAGGCTAAAAACTTTGGAGTCATCTTTGATTGTTTTATATCTCACATTGACTCCATCAACAAATTTTGCCAGCATTACCTTCAAAATGTATCCACAATCTGATCTCTGTAACCCACCTCCAGCAAGTTCACTCTGGTCCAAGCCACCATCATTAAACCTGGACCGTGGCAAAGGCTTTCTAACTGATCTTGCCCTTCTATGCCTGCTTCCACATTGTTTGCTGTCTCATACAGTGCAGTAATCCCTTAAAAAGTCAGATAATATTCCAATCTTGAATAAAAGCCAAAGTTATAGCCATGATCCACTAGGCCATATGTAAACTGCCTGTTACTTCTGGCTTCTTATCCACTGACTTCTTTATTTGCTCTTTTTTTGTTTTTGTTTTTGTTTTTGTTTGAGACTGATTCTCACTGTCGCCAGGCTGGAGTGCAGTGGGATGATCTTGGCTCACTGCAACCTCTGCCTCCCAGGTTCAAGCAATGCTCCTGCCTCAGCCTCCTGAGTAGCTGGGACTACAGGCACGTGCCACCACACCCAGCTAATTTTTGTATTTTTAGTAGAGACGGGGTTTCACCATGTTGGCCAGGATGGTCTCCATCTCTTGACCTCGTGATCCACCCACCTCAGCCTCCCAAAGTGCTGGGATTACAGGCGTGAGCCACCGCGCTCAGCCCTGCTTTCTCATTCTTTTCCCACCATTCTACCCTCCCTCCCTGTTTTCTCCAGTATACCAAGCATGCCTCTGCCTCAGGACCTTTGCACTGCTGTCCCTTTGCCTGGAATCCTCTTCCCCCTTAGTACTTGCTTGGCTCACACCCTCACTTCTTCAGGTCTCTGCTTAAGTCTTGTCTTGTTTAATTGAGAACTCTACATGATGGCGCCCTACCACCATGTTGCTCCCTTAACCCTGATCTATTTTTCCTAAACCATTTGCCATATATTTTGTTTATTGGTTGTTTCCCACTAGAATGAATGCTTCATGTGGCATACCATAAATATTTGTTGAATTAAAGGATATTTGCCTGCAGAAACGTATACGATAAAAATAGCAAAATTGAATTCTCAAGAGGAAAAAGCTTGGGTTCTATTTCTGTTTGCTTTGTGAAAGAATAAAAGAATTACAAATCCAGTCCTGTTCTCACAAATAAGATGGAGGATAAAGCTAGATTATTCCTAATACAGGCAAAATATTGTAATAGATATTAAAAAATGTACATGAATTTGCATGTATAGCAAATCTTAAAGCAGATTATTTACACTGCTATCTAATGAGAAATATCAAGTTTGCAAATGAGTAAAAGACCCATATTTCAACCTGTAGACTGAATACATACCAACCAATAGAGGGGAAAAACTATCAACTCATAGGTTATATATAGGTTGACCAAGATTTTAATGTGATTCTATTGAAGGAAGAACTGAAGGAAGAACCAAAAAGTGAAATCCTCAAGCCTCTAGTTGTGAAAGGGATTTTTTTTTTTTTTTTGAGACAGAGTCTGACTCTATAGCCAGGCTGGAGTGCAGTGGTGTGATCTCAGCTCCCTGCAGCCTCCACCTCCCGGGTTCAAGCGATTCTCCTGCCTCAGCCTCCCAAGTAGCTGGGACTATGGGTGCGTGCCACCACACCCAGCTAATCTTTGTGTTTTTAGTAGATGGGGTTTCACCATGTTGGCCAGGATGGTCTCGATCTCTTGACCTTGTGACCTGCCACCTCCGCCTCCCAAAGTGCTGGGATTACAGGCGTGAACCACCACGCCTGGCCAAAAGGGACTTTAAAAAGCTTTGTTGCAATTTCTAAAACATCATAAGGATATATTTCCAAAAATTTTCACATACTTCATTTCTATCTCTTTTTTCTCTGTCCTTGCCTTCCTCACAAACTCAGCCTAGTATAGTGATTAAAAGCGTGGGTTTTAGAATCAGTATGACATTGCGTAGAGCTCAGGCTACATTATTGACTACCAACATCACCTTGGGCAAATTACTAGTCTTGAGGATTATCCTGCTTTGTCTCTAAACTTCACTTAATAGGGTATAGTACTGTTTGTGAAAAGTAATTGAAATTGTGTAAATAATTTAGCAGTACCTGGCACATACATGTTTCGCTACTGGTGGTTATTCATTTTGAAAAAATAGTATTGAAGTTCTGCGTATCAAGTCTTAGGAACATAGTGTTAAGCAAAGTCACTTGGGTTTTGCTCTTATGGAGTTTGTATTTTAAGAATAATACATAACTAAAAGGAGATGCTTTGGGATCTCAGATTTGTGATATGAAGCTTTCATTCAATTATGACGAAAAATAAGAAACTGCAACAAAAATTACTATCTAGGAAAGGGGAGTAAACACCAGGACGTCACCATATCAACATATGGTACTAGGCAGGGATGATGTAAATAATGCAATCAACAGATCTTGGGAGAATTACTTACTGACTCAAGATTGGCCATTTTTTAAAGTTCTTCCAAGTAATAGATACTAAAGTTCAGCTAATATTGAGAAGCATACCCTAAACCCTTTACCTGTGTCTGGCGAAACTTCAACCTGAGTTAATCCAACCATTCATTTTCTGAGCACCTCTGAGCAGTTGCATGCTGCTGAAGATTATAAAATAATAGAATATACTGATTCCACTTAAGCCTCATCATCACCAAAATCAAATGACATAGTAATTTAGAAAGTAATAAGTGCTACAGAGAACAGTAGGTAAAGTGTTGGATGGAGGAGTAATGTTTTCAAGTAGAGTGGTTATTGAGCACATGGCGTTTGAGCAAAGATTTGAAGGTGATGAGGTAGCAAGCTATACAGGTGTCTGGAAAGGAATGTTTCTGGCAAAGGGGACAGCAAGAGCAAAGGTCCTGAGGAAAGACTGCCTAATGTGTTCAGAAATAATAAGGAAAGCTCTGTGATTGAAGGGCAGTGACTGAGAGGGAAAATATTAGGAAATGAGGTGAGGTTAAAGAAGTGGGTGGAGGAACAGACTGTGAAGAATCTTATAGGCCATTATAAGAAGATTGGCTTTTATTCTGAGTTAATTGGGAAGCCATTGAAAAGTTATGAGCAGAAAATGACATGGCTACTGTGTTGAAAATATCTGTATTGCAAGGCAAGGAGCAGGGAAACCAGTTAGGATCCTACAGCATTGCCTAAGTGCTTCAGGTTACTGTTTCAAAGCGGAAAGTAAGCTTCTCATCTAAGGCCATTTTCTCTATCTGTCCTTTCTTGCCACCCCCCCTTCAGTTCACCTTATATTATCAATTATCCCTTCCTTTGTATATTCAAACTCTCTTTCATCTGGATTATTTCCACTGATCTTTAAACATAATAAATCCTACCACCAGAAAACCCTTTCTTGACCGTATACTCTTAACTGCTCACTTCAGCCAAACATCTGCTAAGTCTTATTTGTGGTACCTCACTTGTTTCATTCTTTACTCTCGTATTGACATTTTAGGTCACTATTGTTTGACATCTGCCCCCGTAATATTAGCAAAATAGATTTCCCTGAGGCAGTAGTTCTTAAAGAGGCAGTGCTGAGTCTCCAGGGGGCATTTGGAAATGTGTGGCAGTATTTTTTTTTTTTATCACTGCTATATTTTCAGTATGACTTAAGGGTGAAGGGTGCTACAGATATTTAGTTACCAGAAGTCAAAGATGCTAAACATGTAGCAATGCGTAGGACAGTTCTTTATATTTAAGACTTGTCCTGCTCAAAATACCAATGTTGTCTCATTTAGAAATAGTGTTAAGGTCACAGGTCACAAACAACTTCTTTGCACCTATGTTTAATGAACATTTTTTTCACTCTTTCTTAATCTCAGAATATTTGACATTGATAGTGCCTCCCTTTGCGTTGCCCTTCTCTCTCGCCTTCTATGGCACAACACATTTTGTATTTTCTTCTTCCTTCTCTGACTGCTCCTCTCATTACTTTTCACAGAGTCGTCCTTGTCTACTCCACTACCAAATGTTGAAGTTCTTCAAGAATCAGTCCTTTGGAGGTGATGTCATTGAAAATGATGAGTAGGAAACTCCAAGAGCGCATTTCTCCACAAAACCAGTGAATACATTGGCACAAATTGTCAGAATCAATTTTATATAAATTCTGGAAATTAGTCAAAGGTTTATAGTAACCAAGGAAACATCTTTTTAAAAAGATGGCTGAGGCTGGATGCTGTGGCTTATACCTGTAATCCCAGCACTTTGAGAGGCCAAGGCGAGCAGAGCATTTGAGTCAGGAGTTAGAGACCAGCAAAAAAATTAGCTGGGTGTGTTTGCGGGCACCTGTAATCCCTCAGGGAGGCTGAGGCAGGAGAATCGCTTGAACCTGGAAGATGGAGGTTGCAGTGAGCCAAGATCGTGCCACCTCACTCCAGCCTGGGTGATAGAGTGAGACTCTGTCTCAAAAAAAAAAAAAAAAAAAAGTCTGAATCCTGAATCTCAGGAGCGCTTTCTATCATTTAAACTTACCCTGGTGCCACCTCCCTGTCCAGCTTTGAAAACAACGACATGCATTTCTGATATCTGTTCCTGGTGCCAAAGGGAGCAGGATGGCCTTGTTTTCTTTTCTTCTTTCTTTTTTTTTTTTGAGATGGAGTTTTGCCCGTGTTGCCCAGGCTGGAGTGCAGTGGCGCAATCTCGGCTCACAGCAACCTCCGCCTCCCGGCTTCAAGCGATTCTCCTGCCTCAACCTCCCGAGTAGCTGGGATTACAGGCACTTGCCACCATGCCTGACCAATTTTTGTATTTTTAGTTGAGACGGGATTTTGCCATGTTGGCTAGGCTGGTCTCGAACTCCTGACCTCAGGTGATCCGCCCACCTCAGCCTCCCAAAGTGCTGGGATTACAGGCATGAGCCACTGTGCCTGGCCGTGGACCTTCTTTTCAAAGAATTATGGAGGCTTATTTTAGTTCCCCTAACTTGGAAATCTCCTGAGGAAGAAAGGTGACTACAGGCATTTGTCAAAAATTTGTAAAGGCAAGTTTATTAGCCTCTGCCATCGGGGGCAAAGAATAATAGCTAAGGCAAACAATAGACACACCAAAAAGCCTGGGAGGAAAAGCTGGAAAGTAAGATATTTTGGAGAATAAAGGCTTTTAAAACTTCCACATATTCTTGGGAATCCAAAAGGCCACATGTACATGCAGGGTGAGCAAATAGAGAAGACTTGAGAAAGCCTTAAACTCTCACCTCTGGCTAACCATCAGGCTTGCTCAAATAGGAAGTGAAAACTAAGGTGAATTTGTTGCTTAGCTGAATGTTGAAGGTGTGCCCCAACACTTACACAGAGCCTACTGGTAAAGACTGAGAGTGTTTTCTTTTTGTCTTGGTTTCAGGCATTTAAGGAAATCTGTTTCTCTTTTGGATCACTAGCTGCAAATTAAGCTAACAGAACAGGAGCTCAGCTGGTCACACACAGCAACGAATACAGACTTTATAAAGTTCAGAAAAGTTACCAAACAGTGGTAACCATAACAAGTACCAACAATGAACTATGGGGAGGGAGGAGAATCTGATTTCCAGAGTTACCACATTATAATACTATTCAAAATGTCACATTTTTAGCAAAGATTACATGACAAGGAAAAACCAGAAAAGTATGGCCCATACACAGGTAAAAAAAGAAATTAATAGAAACTACCCCTGAAGAAGCACAGACTTCGGATGTACAAAACAAAGACTTTTCATCAACTCTTTTAGATATGCTAGAAGAGCTAAAGGAAACCATGGACAGAGAACAAAAAAATTAGGAAAGCAATGTCTCATCCAATACAGAATATCAATAAAGAGATTGAAATTGTAGAAAAGAACCAAATAGAAATTCTGGAGTTGAAAAGTATTATAACTAAAACTGAAAATTCACTAGAGGTATTCAGCAGCAGACTGGAGAAGTCAGAAGAAAGAATCAACAGGCTTCAAGATAGGTCAATTAAGATTATACAGTCTGAGGAGCAGAAAGGAAAAAGAATGAAGAAAAATGAACAGAGCATAAAAGACCTCTGGGACTCTATCAAGCATACCAGTATATGCATGAGGGGAGTCCCAGAAGGAGAAGAAAGAGAGAAAGGGACATAATATTTGAAGAAATAATGGTAGAAAATGTCCCAGCTTTGATGAAATACATGAATCTAGATATTCAAGAGGCTCAAAGAACCCTAAATAGGGTAAACTCAAAAAGACCCACACCGGAATGCAAAAGTGAGCTGGGTGTGGTGGCACGTGCCTGTGGTCCCAGCTACTCGAGAGGCTAAGGCAGGAAAATCGCTTGAACCCAGGAGGCAGAGATTGCGGTGAGCCGGGATTGCGCCAGTGCACTCCAGCTGGGCGACAGAGCGAGATTCCATCTCGAAAAAAAAAAAAAAAAAAAAAAAAAACTATTGCTGCAGTCATTCAGATGGAAATGGGGAAAGAATAATATTAACTGATTTCAAAAAGGACTTGAAGATGTGAATCATCTATTTTGCTGAAGAAATCTTAACTCTTTGAAATTACTTTTTGTTGCTGTTGTCATACTCTTAGGTGCCAAACTGCGGTAAATTTTTTATCAGTGAAGTGGAAGCATGTGTTTTGTTGTTTTGGGAATTTTTATCAAGTATCTTCAGAGAAGATTATTTCCTGCTTTATCTTCAAAAACTGGAAAGGAAGGGTCAAAGAAAAGACAGTAGCTGGCCGGTCATGGTGGCTCATGCCTGTAATCCCAACACTTTGGGAGGCTGAGGTGGGCAGATCACCTGAGGTTGGGAGTTCGAGGCCAGCCTGACCAACGTGGAGAAATGCCATCTCTACTAAAGATGCAAGGATTGGCCGGGCGTGGTGGTGCGTGCCTGTGATCCCAGCTGCTCAGGAGGCTGAGGCAGGAGAATCGCTTGGACCTGGGAGGTGGAGGTTGCGGTGAGCTGAGATCACGCCATTGCACTCCAGCCTGGGCAACAAGCGAAACTCTGTCTCAAAAAAAAAGAAAAGACAGTAGCTTATGTTCATGTCAAGCACCTCTCATCACAGTCTAGTTCCAAGGAAAAAATTCCCAGCGTTTTCTACATTCGGTGCTGCGTCATCTGAAATCGGCACATTCCATGGAGGAAGGAGTCCTGCTTTGTTGCATGTATCCTAGGGTTTAATGTTGGTAAATGAGTCACTCTAGCATTTGTAGAAGGCTCCCTGAGACTCCTGCAGCAGTCGACCAAGCCCAAGGACATAATTGAATCTGGAGAGTCCTGGGGCCTTGTTTTGAAAAAGACTTGAAATACACATAGGAAGAAAGGCATAAAAATAAATGTTCACTTGTCTCTGCTGTGAGTATGTGTTCCAACTTTTCAGTGATGGCTTTGAGAATTCTCAAACTTGACTGGCTCTAAGTGTATCTGGTGGCTTTTGTATCGTAACCTGAAACTGGCTTAGTACTTTTTCCTAAAAGCTCAGGATTTGAGAATGAGGACCCCTTCGCCAGGAAAACATGTATACACTCAAAATTTTGCTTGCAGTTCTAGGGTGTTTAGACCTTTCTCAGATACCTGTGCATCTTATGGGTTTTGTTTTTCTCTTTGAGACAGTCTCACCCTGTTGCCCAGGCTGGAGTGCAGTGGCATGGTCTCAGCTCATTGCAGCCTCCGCCTCCTGGGTTCAGGTGGTTCTGCCTCAGCCCCTTGATCGGCTGGGATTGCATGCATGTGCCACCATGCCCGGCTCATTTTTGTATTTTTAGTGGAGATGGAGACAGAGTTTCACCATGTTGGCCGGGCTGGTCTTGGGCTCCTGACCTCAGGTGATCCGCAAGCCTGGGCCTCCCGGGGTGCTGGGATTACACGCGTGGGCAACTGCGCCCAGCCCTTGTGTACCTTATGTGAGGAAGTCCTGCTCAATCAGGATCGGTCACGCAGGCCCTGATCTTGCTACTCTGGTTCCATGTCCTATGGAAGACCAAAGTTTACCAAGATAGATTTTTCCCTTCATAGTGGCAGATACTGTTAACCCCTGCACCATCTATAACTCAGAAATCCCCACCATTTCTTCCCCTGGGCTTCAGAATAGAATTGCCTGGTTTCTCTGATGATCAGCACACTTCCTTAAAACCCAAATCAGCAAGGAATGAACAATTTTGTTTGGCATGGATGAAATTAGCACTGTTTGGCTCGGTAGGCCCCAGACAGGCAGGCACCTTAATTTTTTCCTTGCATATTCTAGTCTTCAGAAGCATTGCCTTTTGTCCTACTGGTAGTGACATAGATCAATAACAGGGCATCTGGGGATTTTAATCCTGAAAACAGTGAGTCTGATACTGCTTGTGTTTTTCATCAGTGTCCACCCCGAGTGGGTCTTCCTGCTATTCTCTTCACTTAGTTGCCCCTCACTTGCCATCTGAGCAATTGGCAAGGATGTGCCAGGCCTAGGTTAAACTTGGAAACATGCTTGACCATTCTATTCCCTGGTCCTTTAAGATCAGTTTGGCTGCAATTTTGGCTCCTTGGACCCTCAAGCATAGCTGGTAAATCAAGTTAGAGATGTAACTGCCTTAAAACGTGCCAGCTTAGGCTGGGCGCGGTGGCTCACGCCTGTAGTCCCAGCACTTCGGGAGGCTGGGGCAGGCGGATCACCTGAGGTCAGGAGTTCGGGACCGGCCTGACCAACGTGGAGAAATTCTGTCCCTACTAAAAATGCAAAATTGGCCGGGTGTGGTGGTGCATGCCTGTAATCCCAGCTACTTGGGAGGCTGAGGCAAGAGAATTGCTTGAACCCAGGGAGGCGGAGGTTGCAGTGAGCCGAGATCACGCCATTGCATTCCAGCTTGGGCAACAAAAGCAAAACTCTGTCTCAAAAAAAAAAAAAAGTGCCAGCGTATGAGGTAATTAGATTGGTTCTCTCCAGAGGTAACCTGCCAAGAAGAGATGCTATAGATGTTACTCATATACTGTAAAACATTGTGAAATCAGATTACTTTAAAATGATGTATTACAAAGTTTTGCAAAAAAGCAGTTGTGACTGTGGAAGCCCAAGGCTTATATCCCAGCTCTGTCTTACACTAAATATGGGTAGAGTGTTTCCACTCTGTCCATAAAATGGGAGCTAATATTCTCCAACCTGTGTGCCTGACATGATGGTTAAAAGGATTAAACAAAACAATAGTTTGTAATTTATTCTGTCAGAGCACACTGCTGGTAAATAAAAGGGAGTAAGTTGACTAAAACTAAATTTAAAAAAAAATCCTAATAAAACAAGTTTGTAATTTATAATTGTATACAAATAAAAGATGTTACAAAAAAAAAAAAGACCCACACCAAGACACATCATAATTAAACCGTCAAAAGTCAATGACAATCCTGCAAGCAGCAAGAGAGAAGCAATTCCTCACGTACAAAGGATTCTCAATAAGATTAATAGCTGACTTCTCATTAGAAACCACAGAGGCCAGGAGGCAGAGGCAGTGGGATGATATATTCGAAGTGCTGAAAGAAAAAACTGTCAAGAATTCTGTGTCCAGCAAAACTATCCTTCAAAAAAAAAAAAAAAAAGTGAAGGAGAAATTAAGACATTCACAGATAAGCAAAAACAGAAAGAGTATCTCACTAGTAGTCCTGCCTTACAAGAAATACTAAAAGGATCCTTCAGCCTGAAATGAAAAGACACTAGACAGTGATTCAGATCCACATGAGGAAATAAAAAACACTGAAAAAGATTTAAATACATAGGTAGATATAAATGAAAGCAATAATTATATCTGTGTCAAAGCACAATGTATAAAGGTGATTCATGATGAGGAAAAGATGAAGTATAGGAGCAAAAATTTTGTGTACTATTGAAACTAAGTTGGTATTTATTTGAAATAGATTGTTATAAATGAAAGTTAATTGTAATCCCTAGAGCAACTACTAAGAAAATAACTAAAAATTTTGGAAAGGGAATAAAAATGGTATGCTAGAAAATATCTAATACAAAAAAGGCATAAGGGAGGAATTGAGGAAGACATAGGGAAAACAAATAGCAAGGGGCAATGTCCTTCCTACTAATTACATTAAATGTGAATGCCTTAAATTCCATTTAACAGATGGAGAGATTGGCAGAATGGAGTCTTTTAAATGTTCTAACTATATCCTGTTTACAGAAGACTGACTTTAGAACCAAAGACACAAACATGTTGAAAGTGAAAGGGTGTCACCTTAGTTTTCTTTCTTTTTTTTTTTTTTTGAGATGGAGTTTCACTCTTTTTGCCCAGGCTGGAATGCAATGGCGTGCTTGGCTCACCACAACCTCCGCCTCCTGGGTCCAAGCAATTCTCCTGCCTCAGCCTCCTGAGTAGCTGGGATTACAGGCATGCGCCACCACGCCCAGCTAATTTTGTATTTTTTAGTAGAGATGGGGTTTCTCCATGTTGGCCAGGCTGGTCTTGAACTCCCAACCTCAGGTGATCTGCCCGCCTCGGCCTCCCAAAGTGCTGGGGTTACAGGCTGAGCCACCGCGCCCGGCCAGCACCTTAGTTTTCTTGTGCTGCCGTAACAGAATACCTGAGACTGGGTAATTTATATAGAGCAGAAATTTATTTTCTCACAGTTTTGGAATCTGAGAAACTCAAAATTACGACATTGGCAGGTTTGGTTGTCTGGTAAGAGCTGCTTTCTGCTTCCAAGATGACACCTTATTGCTGCATCTTCTATAGGGGAGGAATGTTACATCCTCAACGTGGCAGAAGGTAAAAGGGCAAAAAGGAATGAAATTCCTCATCAGGCCCTAAGTTAAGGGCACCTAATCTCATTCATGAGGGGAGGAGCCCTCAAGACTTAACCACCTCTTACTGGCTGGGCGCAGTGGCTCACGCCTGTAATCCCAGCACTTTGGAAGGCCGAGGCGGGTGGATCACAAGGTCAGGAGATAGAGACCATCCTGGTCCTAGTAGAGACACGGTGAAACGCGGTCTTTACTAAAAATACAAAAACAAGATTAGCCGGCCGTGCTGGCGGGCGCCTGTAGTCCCAGCTACTTGGGAGGCTGAGATGGGAGAATGGCGTGAACCTGGGAGGCGGAGCTTGCAGTAAGCCGAGATTGCGCCACTGCACTCCAGCCTGGGCGACAGAGCAAGACTCCGCCTCAAAAAAAAAAAAAAAAAAAAGACTTAACCACCTCTTAAAAGTCCCACCTCTTAATACCATCATGTTGGCCATTAAGTTTAAATATCTGAATTTTGGAGGGCACACATTCAAACCATAGCAAGTGGAAAAAGACATTCCAAGATATCTCAGGTTCACATGGAACATTCTTCAGAATAAAACATGTTAGTCCACAAGTCTCAGTTTTAAAAGATTGAATTACAAAGTGCCTTCTCTGACTACAATGGAATAAAACTGAAAATAACACACCCTTAAACAACCAATGGATCAAAGAAAGATTAAATCACAAGAGAAATCAGAAAATACTTTGAGATGAATAAAAACAAAAATGCAGCACCCTAAAACGTTTGGAATGCAGCAAAAGCAGTGCTCAAAGGCAATTTTATAGCTGCACATGCCTACATTAAAAAATACCTAGAATCAGCAACCTAACCTTCCACCTTCAGGAACTAGAAAAAGAAGAGGAAATCAAACCCAAAGCTAGCAGAAGGAAGGAAATAGTAAAGACTGGAGTAGAGATAAATGAAATATACAGTAGAAAATAGAATCCACAAAACCAAAATTTGGTTGTTTGAAATAATAATGTTCACAAACCCTTAAAAAGACTGAGCAAGACAAAAAGATTCAGGTTACTAAAATCAGGAATAAAGTGGGGACATTACTGCCAATCTTACAGAAATAAAAAGGATTGTAAGGAAATACTATTAACAATTATATGCTAACAAATTAGATAACCTAGATAAAATGGACAAATTCCTAGCAGCACACAAACTACCAAAACTAACTCAAGAAAAAACTAAACCTATAACAGTACTAGTTAAAAAAAAAAAAAGTAAACCAGTTAAAAACAAAAAACTTCCAAGATAGGAAAGATCAAACCATGTGGCTTTACTGGTGACGTAAAGTATTTTAAGAGTGCCAGTCCTTCTCAAACACTTAAAGTAGGGGAAGAGGGAATATCTTAACTCATTATATGATGCCGGCGTTACCCTGGTACCAAATCCAGACAAAGACATCACAAGAAAATAAAACTACAGTCCAATAGTTCTAATGAATATAGATGCAAAGATCCTCAGCCAAAGTGAATCCTGAAGCACATTACAAGGATATCCACAAACAAAACTGTTAGAGCTAATACCTCAATATCACAGGATGCCCAGGATCAACATACAAAAATTAGTTATATTTCTGTATCCTTGCAATGAACATTTCAAAGTGAAATGAAGAAAACTCATTTACAGTAGTATCAAAAAGAATAAAATACTAATAAACAAGATGTAAGACTTACACACTGAGAACTACAAAACATAGTTGAGAGAAATTTAAAAAGACCTAAATAAATAGGCATTTTATGTTCACGTATTAGAAGACTTTGAAAATGGCAATACTCCCCCAATTAACCAACAGAATCAGTGAAATTCCTATGAAAATTCCAACTGCCATTAATGTAGAAATGGGCAGGTTGATCCTAAAATTCATAAGAAATTGCAAGGATGTGGCCAGGCGCGGTGGTTCAACGTCTGTAATTCCAGCACTTTGGGAGGCTGAGGCGGGCGGATCACGAGGTCAGGAGATAGATACCATTCTGGGTAACACGGTTAAACCCCGTCTCTACTAAAAATAAAAAAAAAAAAAGTGTAGCCGGGCAGGTGGTGGGCGCCTGTAGTCCCAGCTACTGGGGAGGCTGAGGCAGAAGAATGGCATGAACCCAGGAGGCAGAGTTTGCAATGAGCCGAGATCGCGCCACTGCACTCCAGACTGGGTGAGAGAGCTAGACTCCATCTCGAAAGAAAAAAGAAAATGAAAAAAAGAAATTGCAAGGATGCCAAAACAGTCTTGGAAAAGAACAAAGTTAGAAGACCCACATTTTGTGATTTCAAAATTTACCACGAAGCTACAGTAATCAAAAGAGTGTGGTACTGACATAAGGATAGATATGTAGGCCAAGAAAACAGAATTGAGAGCCCAGAAGTAAGCCTATACATCTGTGGTCAATTGATTTTTGACAAAGGTGTCAAGATAGATCACTGGGGAATAGAATAGTATTTTTAAGAAATGCTGAGGATACTGGGTATCCACATGTAATAGAATGGATTTGGACCCTTACCTTACACCACATGCAAACATTAAGTCAAAATAAATCAAATACCTAAATATAAGAATGAAACTATACAACTATTAAAAGAAAATATTGGGGTAAGTCTACATGACCTGGGATTTCCCAGTGGATTCTTAGATATGATACCAAGAACTCAAGTAGCAACATGAAAAATAGATACAACTGGGCTTGATCAAAATTTAAAACTTTACATATCAAATGACACTATCAAGAAAGAGAAAAGAGAACCCACTGAGTGAGAGAAAATATTTGCAAGTCGTATACCTGGTAAAGCTCAAATAACTCTTACAAGTCATCAGTTAAAAGACGACCCAAGTTAAAAATGGGCAAAGGACTTGAATAGACATTTCTCCAAGGGAGATATTCTAATGGCCAAGTACATGAAGAGATGCTTTGCATCATAACCTTCCACCTTAAGGGAAATGCAAATCAAAACCACGATGAGATACCACTTTCTATACTCACTAGGGTGCTATTATTAAAAGACAAGTGTTGGCAAGGATGTGGAGAAATTGGAAAGCTCATAAATTGCTGGCGGAAATATAAAATGGTGCGTTCATTATAAAATAGTTTGATGGTTTATCAAAATTTTAAACGGAATTAACATATAACCCAGCAGCTCTCCTAAATATATACTCAAGAGGATAGAAAACTAATCAAACAAAAACTTCTGCATGAGTGTGTATAGCAGCACTATAATAGCCAATAAGTAGAAACAACCCAAATGTTCATCAATAGATGAATGGACAAATTGTGGTATATTCATATAATGAAAAACTACTCAGCCATAAAAAGAAATTAGGTACTAGTATATGTTGCAACATGGATCAACCTTGAAAGACCTTGCTAACTGAAAGAAAAGGCCACATCTTACATGATTGTATTTATGTGAAACATCTAGAAGAGGCACATCCATAGAGACAGAAAACATTGGTGGATGCTAGGGGTTAGGGAAATGTAGAAGTGGGGAGTTGCTGCTTAATGGGTTTCTTTTTTGAGTGATGAAAATATTCAGATTTAGGTAGTGGTGATACTTGCAAACATTGTGAATGTACTGGAAGGCACTGAATTGTACAGTAAAATGGTTAAAATGGTGAGTTTTATGTCATGTGAATTTTACCCCAATAATACCTCAATAATAATTTTTTAAAAGTAGCCCCTCTCTTAGTCCATTTTGTGCTGCTCTAACAGAATACCCGAAACTTTATAAAGAACAAACGTTGGCCGGGCACTGTGGCTCACGTCTGTAATCCCAGCACTTTGGGAGGCCGAGGTGGGCAGATCACGAGGTCAGGAATTAAGACCAGCCTAGCCAACATGGTGAAACCCCGTCTCTACTAAAAATAACAAAAACTAGCTGGGCGTGGTAGCACATGCCTGTAATCCCAGCTACTTGGGAGGCTGAGGCAGGAGAATTGCTTAAACCCGGGAGGTGGGGGTTGCAGTGAGCTGCGATCACGCCATTGCACTCCAGCCTGGGCAACAGAGCAAGAGATTCTTGTCTAAAAAAAAAAAAAAGGAACTATATTGGCCCACATTTCTGGCAGTTGAGAAGTCCTAGATGAAGGGGCCACATCTAGTGAGGGCCTTCTTACTGCATCGTAACGGTGGAAGGCATCACATGATGAGAGAGAGAGCAAGAAAAGGTGCTTTTGTTACAAGCCCATTCCATTATAATGAACCCACTCCCATGATAACAAGCTATTCATGAGGACAGAGCCATCATGACCTATTCTCTAATTAGGCCCTACCTCCCGACACTGTTGCATTGAAGATTAATTTTCCAACACAAGAACTTTGGGGGACACAATCCATAGCAGTCCCTCTCTTCACTAATTTCTTTCCATGAATTCTTCCACTCCCCTGACTTTTGTGTGTAGTTACCATCTATACACAGATGCTTCACTAGAGGCAGTTTGTATCTCCAACCCACATCTTTTTTTTGAGTTCCAGATGTGAATATCCTGCTGTTTACTTACCTACCACCTCCACACATAGCTTCAAATGCAACTTTGAAATATAAAACTGAGTTCATTACCTTTTCTCCTAAATTTGATTATCTGTGAATGCTTTCTGTCTCACTAAAGATAGCTTCCAGTCATTGAGAGTTTGCTGTATGTTTGGACTAAAGTGTTAATCCATTAATTTACTTAATCCTCACAAGAACCTCAGATAATACTATTTTCCATTTGCAGTGAGAAAGTTGAAAGGTAAAATAACTTATTGAAATCACACACCTTTTAAGGAAAGGCTAGCCCTCAACAAAGGCAGCCTGACTTTTCAGAGCCTATGTTCTTAATGCCATTGCTATACCATCCTCTAACTTTTTCTAGAGACCTAGAAGTCATCTTTGTCACTTCTCTCCTTTACATGCTTTATCAAGTTGATCATGAGGTCCTATTGATTTGACTTCCTAAATAACTCTCACTCCATCCAGTTCATTTCATCTGCTACCACCAGCCTTATTCAAGCAACCATCTTTTGTCTATACAATGGCCTCTTAACTAACCTCCCATATTCACTGACAACAACCTAATAAAAATATTTATAAATATAAATTTGTATCTTACAGGTAGGGAATTTATATTCTTCTCTTATTATGCCCAAGGAATATTTCCAAATATTAATCATAAGATTGATCACCTAGAAAACCTTAGTGAATCATGAAAAGTAGAAATCTTAAGAGCTGCTTTTCAGATGATAGTGCAATAAAACCTAAAGTCAACAAAGGTTGTTTTTGTTTCTTGATGATTTTAACTGTTGGTTTACTATCAGTCTCTCCAACACTCCTGCCTTAATTCTTGGTGATTTTAATATGCACATCAATGATCTTTCCAATATCTTGACCTCCAGCTTCTTGGACACCTCTTTTCATTCCACTTCAGCCACTCCTTTGGTCATTCCCTAGTTAGATCTGCTTATTACCATTAACTGCAAACTCAATTATCTCAACTTCATGCATCCACCTTTCTGGCTGCCACATCCTGTCTTTCCAGCTTTCCCCTCTAGATCCCTAGCTCCTCATAATTATTTATCTTTGTTGGTAATTCTAATCTATTGATTCTATCACTGTTTCACTGCCCCTCACCCTTATTTTCCTCCTCACTTGGCTTAAATTCCATAGCCAGTCATTGATTGGATATTCCTTTTACCCACTGACAAAACCGTAACCCTAATCATTACTTATCTACTCCATTCTTGCTCCCATGTAGCTGAACATGACTGGAAGAAAAATGCAAGAGTTTCACTTTAAATTCTTGAAGACAAACCTCATGTGACCTCAAAATGCTGCCAGTCAATCAAATTATATTTTCTCCAAGTTTATTCACTTGTAGTCAGCTTGGGCTGCTACAATAAAATATCATAAAGTAGGTAGCTTGTAAACAACAGATTGTCTTCCTTCTGGTTCTGGAGGCTGGGAAATTCATGATCAAGGCACCAGCAGATTTAGTGTCTGTTGAAGTCCAGCTTTGTGGTTCATGGATGGTGACTTCTCACTGTGAGAAGATATGGTGGAAGGAAAGAGGGGTCCTTTCTTGAGCCTCTTTTATAAGGACACTAATCTCAATCATGAGGACCACCCCCCATAACCTAATCACCCTCCAAACGTGATTAGGCCTTCCAATACCATCACCTTGTGGGTTAGGATTTCAACATACGAATTTTGAAGGGACACAAACATTCAGAGCATAGCACCCCCTTTTCCTGAAATGATTTTATGTAATGATTTTATGTAATTGTCTCTTCTCGAATATCCAACACTCTATTCCCAGTCTTACCCTCGATGATAACTCTTGTTCCTATTTCCTGGAGAAAATCAGAGCAATCAGAAGAGATCCCCTGCCACTAAATCTATCCTTCTAGCAGCTTGTGAACTCATATAATTTTCTTTCCAGCCTGTTACCATACATATATGCATGATGTCCATGCTCTCATCTAAAATCAGCCTCTGCTTGTGTACTAGATCAGGGTTGACAAAATGCAGCCTGTGGCCCAAATCCTGCATTTTGTTTTGTTTTTGTACAGCCCGTAAGCCAAGAATAGTTTTTACTTTTTTTTTTTTTTTTTTTTTTTTGAGACAGTCTTACTCTGTTACCCAGGCTGGAGTGCAGTGGCACAATCTTGGCTCACTGCAACCTCCACCTCCCGGGTTCAAGCGATTCTTCTGCCTCAGCCTCCCAAGTAGCTGGGACTAGAGGCACCCGCCACCAGGCCTGGCTAATCTTTGTATTTTTTAGTAGAGATGGGGTTTCACTATGTTGGCCAGGCTAGTCTTGAACTCCTGACCTTGTGATCCACCCACCTCAGGCTCCCAAAGTGCTGGGATTGCAGGCATGAGCCACTGCGCCCGGCTAGTTTTTTACAATTTTAAGTGTTGGGGAGAAAAAAGTATATACAGCAGAGACCATGTGTGATCCACAAAGCCTAAAATATTTACTGGCTCTTTCCAAAAAAATTTTACTGATTCCTGTACTAGATCACATTCTCTCACACCTACTTGATAGTAACACAGCAATTCTTCCTTCTCTCTTCTACATTAACCAGTGTTTGCCCTCATTCAAGATTACTTCCACTAGCATTCAAGCATTCTGTTATTTCTCCCATCTTTAAACAAACCGAAAAAATCTCGATACTACTTTTCTTGCCAGTTACTGTCCTGTTTCTTTGCTCCCCTTCGCAACACAGCACCTTGATTTTTATTTTTATTTTATTTTATTTTGAAACAGGACCTTCTAGCATGCTGTATAATTTATGTATTATGTTTATTGTCTAGCTCCTGCCCCCTAATGGAGGCTTCATAAGGATAAAAATCAGAATCTCTTTCGCTCTGTGATATATTCCAAGCACATGGCTCATAGTTGATACTTCATAGATATTTGTAGAATAAATAAAAATGAATTTAAAAACTTCCCAATTCTTTAAAAACACTACAAAATAATTACTGGATTATAGCAGAAGTCAAATTTGAGATTACAAGTTGTATACAAATTGGAAAACTGGAACACTTCATATGAATATGTATGGGAAGTGAATCAAACCTAAGCCCAGAGAAGAATTCATAGCTTTAAAGGAATATAATGCCAAACAAAATAATTCTTACTGTGATCAGAGCTCTTACTAATAATGTTCTCTCTATCATCACTTCCTGCATCAATCTCCTAGCAAAGCTACTGGGCTTTCTCTCCCAAAGTTATTACATTAGAAGACGGTTCTCAATATGTAGTTGCTGGGCTAACACCATCAACTTCACCTGAGAACTTGTTAGAAATGCAAATTGTTTTAATAAGCCCACCAACTGATTTCAATACACACGATTGTTTGAGAATATTGCATTAGACTCAGGAAGCTTATTTCTTAGTGCCTTTTTCTTTTCTCACATAAAAGAATAGAGTCTGCTGTTGATTCAAACACTGTCTTGCTTAGGGAGGCAAATTTAATGGATCAGACAGGGTTAATAGATAATCGTTTCTCCCGTGTTAGCCAATATACAGTTATCTTTAGGGCCAGGCACGGTGGCTCACGCCTGTAATCCCAGTACTTTGGGGGGGCCGAGGCAGGCGGATCAGGAGTTCAAGAACAGCCTGGCCAACATGGTGAGACCCCATCTCTACTAAAAATACAAAAATTAGCTAGGCGTGGTGGTGTGTGCCTGCAGTCCCACCTACTTGGGAGGCTGAGGCAGGAGAATCGCTTGAACCCAGGAGGCGGAGGTTGCAGTGAGCTGAGATTGTACAACTGCACTCTAGCCTGGGCGATAGAGTGAGACTACTTCTCAAAAAAAAAAAAAAATGCATTCTGGATGCATTTTGTTCACCATGTATACCTTGAGTATCATTACCTTAACTTCTATTTTTAAGATGAACCAAAACAAAAATATTGTGTTGAAGTCATAATCATAGGCTTGTATCAGCCTTACAGTTTTTATCCTGAGGTTCATAATCACAAACAAATTTTTGTAGAAAATCCTGTTTAATATCCACGAATATGTTTTAAAAGAAATATCAAGACATATTCAGAACATCTTAAGAATTTACAGAAGGGTGCTCTTGGGCAACCTACTTTCTCAGCATGAGGAAGCTTTCTCTCTCTTCTTTTTTGTCTATTAAACTTTCCACTCCTAAACTAAAAAAAAAAAAAAAAGAATTTACAGAAGAGCGTAAAATAATTTGACTGAGTCAAAAAACCATTTAATTTCCTGGTTAGAATAACTTAATAGTGTAAAGATAACTTCTTTACACTATTAATATATACATGTAATGCAATAATTTCAATCGTAATCACAACTTTGGAGAAATGAGGGTAGTATTTGGTAAGTTGATTCTAAAATTTATCCTGAGAAATTAATTCATGGAAAAATTTAAAATCATGAGGAAGAAGAAGAATGTGGGAATACCATACATTAAAATGTACTGTAAGTCTAGAGTCATTTTAAATGTATGTTATAGCTACTGGAAGAGACAAATACTACATGAATCAAAATACTTCAAAAATACCTCCATATGGCCATGAGAATTGAATGAATTATAAAGGAGGCATTTTCAATCAGTAGCAAATTGATGGAATATTTAAGAAATAATGTTGGAACATGTATCTACTCATTCTGAAGAAAAAGTTAAATCTCTACATTGTACTCCGAAATAAGTTCTTAATGTATTAAATACCTAAATGTTAAAAAATAAAGTATGAAAGCGCTAAAATAATATATAGAATTGTTTTAATCTAGGTATCAACAGAACATGAAACCCAGAAGCCACAGAGAAAAACACTGATAGATTTGACACATACAAATTTATAACTTCTTTATGATGAAAAATATAAATAAAGTTAAAAGTTAGGTTATGGATTTGGAGAAAATAATTACAATACATAAAAGAATCAAGAAGTTAATCCATATACTATACAAAGAACTCCCAAAATTAGTAAAAATACCAACTCAACAAAAAGTAGATAGAATATATTAACATATAGATGAGTCAGAAAAGGAAATACAGATGGCCAGTAATAAATGTTTAATCTCATATATAAAGTAAGAAATACAAATAACATTGAACTTTCAGTGTAAGGCTAGACTGAGCACCCATATGTACCTCTCTTTCAAGGTCTTACTTTATTTTTCTAATTTCACTGTTACATACCCTTATGTGTATCACCTCATTATTACCATCACTCTACAAATAAGGAAACTGGGACATAAAGTAGTTAAATCATTTGGCCAAAGTCAAACAGGTAATAAAAGCGGCAGAGCTGGGGTGTGCACTCAGCATTTGGACTGCAGGATCTACCCTCTAACCCACCATACTATGCTACCTCTAAATGAATTAAAGCAGGTCTGGGAGTGGCCAAGACACTTTCAGAGAAGATCTACGAAGTTAAAACTTTTCGTAATAATAGCAAAACATAATTTGGCTTTTCCACTCCTTCATGAGTGTGGCAGTGTCATTTTCCAGAGGCTTCATGACATGTAATGTTGCAAAAGATTAAATGCAGAAGCAGATACGAGAATTCAGCTGATTTCCATTAAGTCTCATCTTAAAAGAGATTTACAAAAAAGTAAACAAAGCCACTCTTGTTCGGAAATATGTAACTTTTCATGAAAATATTTATAACGTAATTAGTTTATTTTAAATGAATTTATAGTTTTAAATTTCTCACTTTTAATTTCTAATTGGTAAATATAAATAGATAAAACCCACATAAACAAAAGCTCTTTGTATTCCTCAATAATTTTTAAGGATGCAAAGGGATCTTGAGGCCACAAAGTTTGAGAACTACTGAATTAAACAATTACCTCCAGTCAACTGACAGCTGAGCCAGTTAGGCCTCTATCCCCCTTCACTCACAAATACAGAGGGAACCCTCTGGGAATCTGTGGCTTTTCCCCCAGGAATAAAATCTCAAGAGGTCTTATGTAGGCTACAGCAAAGTATGGTAAGGAAAAACATTTGAGATGGTACCATGTCACTATCAGCTGTTCTCTACTTCCTGGGCACAAACTTTTGCACAAGTGCAAACTGTCTATTGAATAGCACCTCTGTTCACTAAATGGCCCCACTGTGGCATGCTAGCAGATGCTCTCTGTTAGGGAAAGGGACGTGCTTATCTAGTATCAACAGTAAGAAATCTCCTAGATGACAAAGGAGTGACTGATGTTTGTAATCTGTTGTGCCTGAAAAGGCACCTGATTCTGGTTTTCCATTTACAATACTGCAGTGGCTCACTTCTGTAATCCCAGCACTTTGGGAGGCCGAGGCAGGCAGATTGCCTGAGGTCAGGAGTTCAAGACCAGCCTTCCCAACATGGTGAAACCCTGTCTCTACTAAAAATACAAACAATTAGCCGGGCGTGGTGCCGGGCGCCTGTAATCCCAGCTACTTGGGAGGCTGGGGCAGGACAATTGCTTGAACCCGGGAGGCAGAGGTTGCAGTGAGCCAAGATCGAGCCACTACACTCCAGACTGGGCGACAAGAGTGAAACTCCGTCTCAAAATAAATAAATAAATAAATAAAAAGTTTCCTTTTAAAATAAATTTAGTGGCCAGGCGTGGTGGCTCATGTCTGTAATCCCAGCACTTTGGGAGGCCGAGGCAGGAGGATCACCTGAGGTCAGGAGTTCGAGACCAGTCTAGCCAACGTGGCGAAACCCCGTCTCTATTAAAAATACAAAAATTAGCCAGGCATGGTGGTTTGCGCCTGTAATCTCAGCTACTCAGGAGGCTGAGGCATGAGAATCACTTGAACCCAGGAGGCGGAGGTTGCAGTGAGCCGAGATCGTGTCACTGCACTCCAGCCTAGGTGACACACTGAGACTCCATCTCAAAAATAAAATAATAAATTTAATTTTCAAAATTGAGTTGATTTAAAGAAAAGTGTTAAGAAAATGTTACATATGTAAAGATGGCAAAAATTGTTAAGTGAAGGAAGTTTGAGAAACATTGCTAGAAAGCAAATCATTAGTCTGTCTCGGGTGGGTCTTTGATGTAGTAGTTAGGGGTCTGAGAAAAATGGGGCAGACACGAGGTAACTCCAGACCCCCACGCTAAGGGAGATAAGAAGCAAAGTGAAAGGGCAACTCTGCCTGAGAGTGAAAGATTGAAACTCTGCACCCTGGCATTCTCTGGTCTGTACTTGTTCCTTCCCCAGTAAATCTGCTTACTGGTATGTTTCACTCACACAAAGCTTGTGTTCACCCCTCTGTGTCTTCTACTGCTACTCAGTCTTCATTGGAGACCTAATTTTCCCTTAAAACTCTTTATGATTGGCCAGGCGCGGTGGCTCACGCCTGTAATCCCAGCACTTTGGGACACCGAGGCGGGTGGATCACGAGGTCAGGGGTTCGAGACCAGCCTAACCAACATGGTGAAATCCCTTCTCTACTAAAAATACAAAAATTAGCTGAGCATGGTGGCAGGCGCCTTAATCCCAGCAACTCAGGAGGCTGAGGCATGAGAATTGCTTGAACCTGGGAGGTGGAGTTTGCAGTGAGTCGAGATCGTGCCACTGCACTCCAGCCTGGGCGACAGAGCGAAACTCCGTCTCAAACGAAACAAAACAAAAAAACACTTTATGATTGGCCAGGCGCGGTGGCTCATGCCTGTAATCCCAGCACTTTGGGAGGCTGAGGCAGGCGGATCACGAGGTCATGAGATCAAGACCATCCTGGCTAACACGGTGAAACCCCATCTCTACTAAAAATACAAAAAAATTAGCTGGGTGTGGTGGTGGGCGCCTGTAGTCCCAGCTACTTGGGAGGCTGATGCAGGAGAATGGCATTAACCCGGGAGGCGGAGCTTGCAGTGCGCCGAGATCACGCCACTGCACTCCAGCCTGGGCGACAGAGCGAGACTGTCTCAAAAAAAAAAAAAAAAAAAAAAAATAGAAAAACACTTTATGATCATCTATCTGATAAGGAATTGCTACCCAGAATATATAAAGAACTCTCTACAACTCAACCACACACACACACAAAAAAAAACAATTAAAAAATGAGCAAAGGACTTGAATAGACATTTTCCCAAAGAAGATATACAAATGGCCAATAATCCCATAAAAAGATGCTCAGTGTCACAAGTGAAATGCAAGTCAAAACCACAGTGAGATACCACCTCACACTCATTAGGATGGCTATTATAAAACAAAAACAAAACAGAAAATAACAAGTGTTGGTGAGGATATGAAGAAACCGGAACACTTGTGCACTGCTGGTTGGAATATAAAATGGTGCAGCTCCTATGAAAAACAGTTTGGCAGTTCCTCAAAAATTTAAAAATATATTTACCATATGATCCAGCATTTCCACTTCTGCGTATAAACCCAAAAGAAAGCAGTAACCCTAACAGATGTTTGTACACCAATGTTCATAGCAAAGTTATTCTCAAAAGCCAAAAGGTGGAAGCAACCCAGGTGTCTGTTGATGGATAAATGGATAAACAAATGTGGTATATACATACAATGGAATATTATTCAGCCTTAAAAGAGAAGTAAATTTTTAAATTTTAAAAGAGAATCGCTTGAACACATGCTACAACATGGATGAAACCTGAAGTTATTATTCTAAGTGAAATAATGTCATCATGAAAGGACAAATATTGTATGATTCCACTTATGTGAGGTGCCTATAGTAGTCAAATTCATAGAGACAGAAAGTAGCATGGTGGTTGCCAGGGGTGCAGGGAGAGGGGAGCAGGAAGTTCTTATTTAATGTGTACAGAGTTTCTGTTTGATATGATTTTGAAAGTTTTGGAGGTGGATGATGGTGATGGTTGCACAACAGCATGGATGTACTTAATGCCACAGAACTGTTCATTAAAAAAATGGTTTTACTGGTAAATTTTATGTTATATATATTCAACCACAATTTTAAAAAAAACCATTAGGAACTATTATCCATGTAACTTAAAATACGATCTGAATCGTAATATAATATGTCTCATGTGAAACAGATAACGAGACATACAGCACAGATGGCCTCAAGGTACTAACCAATCCCTGCTCACAAACCACAATATTTAATGTAATTTGCATGGCATGGTTATCTGTTCTTTTACTCACAGATTAAAAATTTAGACAGATAGAACATTGCATTTAGGTCTCCATTTTAGGCTTTTCTTTTGCAACCCTGGTAATATTACAATACAGCAGGCTGGAGCCAAAAAGGAAGCAGTGGGGCTCTGTTGTGCCAGGAAGTTACCCCAAAACAGAAGCACCTGTTATCCAACTAATGTGTGATGCAACCGTGCTTGGCCAGGGAGTTACAGTGCTACAACAACAGTTGTCCAGGACCTACATATTCAGATCCTTGGTTTATCCAAATCATTTTGCTGTGCAGACTTTCTTTTTACAAAACAGTACATGTGCTGTACAAAACCTTAAGACAATGGTAAGCACTTTTTTAATAGGAAAGGTGATTCATATTTCAAAACATTTTCATAATTTTATCTGTTTGTTACCAAGATACTATAGTCACAGTTTTCTTGTGAGTCAATGGTTGGTTGTTATTTATATATTTATTTTTGCTTATTTATTTATTTAATATTTTTTGAGAGCGTCTCACTCTGTTGCCCAGGTTGGAGTGCAGTGGCACGATCTCGGCTCACTTCAACCTCTACCCCCCGAGTTCAAGCGATTCTCCTGCCTCAGCCTCCCGGGTGACTGGGATTACAGGTGCATGCCGCCACACCCAGCTAATTTTTGTATTTTTAGTAGAGATGGGGTTTCACCATGTTGGCCAGGCTGTGGTTGTTATTTAATATATAATATTAGAAACTGCATAAACTAGCAACATTTCTCCAAGAAAGAGATAGTTTAGAAATGGAAGCACAGCCGGCTGCGGTGGCTCACGCCTATAATCCCAGCACTTTGGGAGGCCGAGGTGGGTGGATCACCTGAGGTCAGGAGTTCAAGCCCAGCCTGCTCAACATGGTGAAACCCCGTCTCTACTAAAAATACAAAAGTTATCCAGGTGTGGTGGCAGATACCTGTAATCCCAGCTACTTGGGAGGCCGAGGCAGGAGAATCCCTTGAACCTGGGAAGCAGAGGTTGCAGTGAGCTGAGATTGTGCCACTGCACTCCAGCCTGGGTAACAGAGTAAGACTCAAAAAAAAAAAAAAAAAAAAAGAAATGGGAGCAGCTCTTTAATCTTTTCCTTCTGCGTGCGCGTTCTCTTGCTCCTTATTCATTGCTGTCCTATATGCTGTTTTTCAGTCCCAAATGCCACCTGTATCTAGGAAGCTTTCATTCTTGACCAAATCCTGGAGCACTATGCAACTTCCGCAGCCCCAGTATAGAAGCAGGAGTATTAATTCTCAGGTCAAACACAAATTAATCAGTGAATACAATGATCTTCTACTTTGGTTTCTTATTCTTGCAATTGTTTTGCCAGTGAATAGTGTCACTAGGTAAGCTACATGTAGCTCTTTGGCTTCTAATGGCTTATCATTGCCTCAGAGGCTTCTGTATTATCCTTCAGCGATTTGTCTTTGAAATGAAGCAGAAGGAAAGCCTGCCAGTGGTTTCTTGGGGCCCTTTATTCTCCTAAATTTTAGAGAAATGGTACCTATCTAGAGGTCTTTGGTAAAGCAAAATTTGCTTAATAATAGAGTGTGTTGTAGAATCCTAGAGGTTTCTAATATTTTCTGTAATTGTCTCTTGTTAATGTAGGGTTTCTCTGGACCCTGCAGCTGGCAATCATTACCCCTGTCAACACTCTCTCTTTACAGACTCTAATGCTCCATCAGCTCAACACAGCATCCACGTCCTCAAAACCTTCCATCATAGTAAACATAAGACTCGGTAAGTGTCCTGAGGCTTGAAAGAATACTCTCACAGAAGTCTCACATAAGTGTTTGAGGCTTGAAAGAATACTCTCACAGAAGTCACATCATCCCAAAGTGATAACAATATTTGATTAATTAGGAAATATTGGACATTTATATGAGTGGAATTATCATATTTCCTCAAATACTGCATGAAAATTGGGTGCCTAGTAATTCGTTGCTACGTTGGATTAATCTGTAGCCTGCATGACTCCATTGATCTATCTTGCAGGAATTCAAATTATGAAGATAGTATCTGAATATGCATGTTTGAAAGATGTTTGTTTGTTTGTGTTTACCGAGTCTTATGTTTAAAACTGTGATGGAAGGTTTTGAGGACATGGATGCTATGTTGAGCTGATGAAGCATTAGTGTCTGTAAAGAGAGAGTGTTGAGGAAATATGATAATTCCACTCATATAAATGTCCAGTATTTCCTAATTAATCAAACCTTGTTATCACTTTGGGATAATGTGACTTCTGTGAGAGTATTCTTTCAAGCCCACCTTTGGCCTGCATTATGTGCCTTTAGGCCACTGCATTAAAAGCACGTAGCAGGGAGCACACTTGGCACATATAGGCAGGTGCTTGTCCTAGCAGCCCAGCCCAGCAGGGGCATATGACTCCATCGGCAGGGTTCCAAATTCATATTAGTGTTGTCTGCTTGCCAGGTGGTATAAAACTGTGCGGTAGTACTGAATTCTTTCCTTTTACAATGCTGTTTTCCATCTGGCTTTGATTCTTTTTTTTTTTTTAATCACAAAGTATACTTCCAGAAAAAGGAATATACATTACCTGTATCAAAAAAGACAGGCCATCTTAAATTAACATTTGAAAAACTAGATTTCATCTGCAAAATTCTAAAATAAATTTTGGATGTTTTTCTATATGCAAGTTACTTTCATATTCGAAAGAAGATTGACCCGTTTATATAAGTGAATAAATTTACCTGTGGAACACTACAAATATAAAAGCTCTGTCAAAAGGAGGCTTTCTCCCAATATTTTTTCTCCATTCTTTCTTTGTAGAATCCCTAGTTTTTAGTGGGCCTCTCTCTGTCCAGAAAAAGATTGTATTTCTCCACTTCCTTTGTAACTTGACGTGGCCATGTCTGTCCAGCTGGATATAAGCAGGAGTGGTGCGTGGAATTTTCAGGAACTATCCTTAAAGGGAAAAGGTTCTTCTGCTTTTCTCCTTTTTTTTTTTTTTTTTTTTTTTTTTCTGAGACGGAGACTCGCTCTGTCGCCCAGGCTGGAGTGCAGTGGCACGATCTCGGCTCACTGCAAGCTCCGCCTCCCGGGTTCACGCCATTCTCCTGCCTCAGGCTCGCGAGTAGCTGGGACTACAGGCTCCAGCCACCACGCCTGGCTAATTTTTTGTATTTTTAGTAGAGACGGGGTTTCACCGTGTTAGCCAGGATGGTCTCTATCTCCTGACCTCATGATCCACCCGCCTCGGCCTCCTAAAGTGCTGGGATTACAGGCGTGAGCCACGGCGCCCCGCCTGCTTTTCTCCTTTCTGGCTACATTGTGAATGTGAGAGCTGGAGCGTGAATACGCACCTTAGACTATGAGTGGAAACCATGTGCTAAGGATGATAGAGCCAAAGATAAGAGCCCGGTTTCCTGGCATCGTGGGACGGCGCGTCACCTCTAGAGAGACTACTACCTCCCTAGAGAGATTTTTAACGTGAGTGAGAAAGTAATCTGCTTTTTTGATAAACCACTGTAATTTTGCATTTACTGTTATTCGTAGCTAAACTAATTTAAATGGGTAAACCCTCAGATATGGGAAGAAATTATCTCCTTTTGAAAATACACCATACTGGCAGGGCGTGGTGGCTCACGCCTGTAATCTCAGCACTTTGGGAGGCCGAGGCAGGCGGATCACGAGGTCAGGAGATCGAGACCATCCTGGCTAACACGGTGAAACCCCATCTCTACTAAAAATATTAAAAAAAAATTAGCTGGGCGTGGTGGCGGGCGCCTGTAGTCCCAGCTACTCAGGAGGCTGAGGCAGGAGAATGGCGTGAACCCGGGAGGCGGAGCTTGCAGTGAGCCGAGATCGTGCCACTGCACTCCAGCCTGGGCAACAGAGCAAGACTTCGTCTCAGAAAAAAAAAAAGTTGCTGTACCAACTTTTTTGTACTGTTTATCTATATAACAAGTTTACCTATATAACAAAACCTGCACATGTACCCCTGAACCTAAAAAAAAAAGTTAAAAGAAAAAAAAAGTTGCGGTAACGTTCTAAGAAACCTTCCATAAGAAATATAACTAATATAAACTCCTACTCATAGCTTGATTAAATAAATAATGAAAAAAGGCCGGGCGCGGTGGCTCACGCCTACAATCCCAGCACTTTAGGAGGCCAAGGTCGGCGGATCACGAGGTCAGGAGACAGAGACCATCCTGGCTAACACGGTGAAACCCTGTCTCTACTAAAAAAAAATACAAAAATATTAGCCGGGCTTGGTGGCAGACGCCTGTAGTCCCAGCTACTCGGGAGGCTGAGGCAGGACAATGTCATGAACATGGAAGGCGGAGCTTGCAGTGAGCCGATATCGTGCCACTGCACTCCAGCCTGGGCAACAGAGCGAGACTCCGTCTCAAAAAAAAAAAAAAGAAAGTTATTAGCTATCACAAAACAATGATCTGAAGAAGTTAGCTGATTTTGGATACTCATTTCATAAATGGCTCATATAAATAACAAAAGTAACTAATGAAAGTGTAAAATTAAAATATATTAACTCTGAATTGAGTCTAAATGAATCCACGATGATTAAGAATTCTTACCCACCCACTTCAAAATGGAAGCATCAGTTTCCAGCAAACACATTTTACTTCTCTTTATATGAGTAGCAGTTGCTAGATCTTTTTTTTTTGTTTTTTTAATTGAGATGGAGTCTTGCTCTGTCGCCCAGGCTGGAGTGCAGTGGCACGATCTCAGCTCACTGCAACCTCCACCTCCTGGGTTCAAGCTATTCTCCTGCCTCAGCCTCCCGAATAGTTGGGACTACAGGTGCGCACCACCACACCCAGCTAATTTTTGTATTTTTAGTAGAGACGGGGTTTCACCATGTTGGCCAGGATGGTCTCGATCTTTTGACCTTGTGATCTCCCTGCCTTGGCCTCCCAAAGTGCTGGGATTACAGGCATAAGCCACTGAACCCGGCTGTGCTCTTTTAATGTACTCACAGTTCTGCACTATTCTCATCAGCCTAGCTCTCAGTGGAAATACTGAGCAGAGATGCTAGCTGGGCTTCCTGGGTCGTAGGGGCTGAGAAAGCTGTGAAACTCACTCATTTCCTGCATCAGGACTTACTTTGGTCCTGGATGAATAATATTGAAGATATATGCTTAAAATATTCCTAACATCAGAATTTGTGCATGTGTTTTCTTCCCCAGGAAAGCTATGAACACTAAAAATTTTGCTGTAAGCTTCCCTGTGTCCTCTCTCCCTCTCTCCCTTCCTCCTCCCCTGAAACTAAAAGGAATGTTAAAAAACCCGTTTTTCTGTGACCAGCAGACCTTATCTATGCTCCCAATTCCAATTCCCTGTAAATACAATTTGTAAGGTCTTGTGAGATCCTGTCTCCTTTGCCATGCTGCTGCAAGGTTATAAAGTAGATAAAACTTAAGTTACAATTCCGGTTCGCAAGATCTGAGACATATTAATTGTCTTTGTTTCTCGCTCTGGTAACATCTTCCCATCCCACGTATTTCCGGCCTTAAAGAGTTTAAAAGGTGATGAAAAATCTAACACTGGCTACCCACTCGGGACCCCTTCCACGCTGTGGAAGCTTTGTACTGTCACTCTGCTCAATAAAGTCTACAGCTCTTTTTCTCTCGGTCCGATCCCTGTCTCTCTCGTCACAGGCTACCGCCACACCAATCCTTTGGCATGGCTAAGGCAAGAACCTTTGGCATTACAATGTCAAACTCTAACAAACACCTGCCTTACTCATAAAGGACACCTATTACATCTAGAGACAAAAATTTAAAACTGAATGATACTTAGTCCAATATCTTCATTTTAATAAACAGGAAACTGAAGCACAAGGAATAAATGATTTGTCACAGATAACACAGCTAGAAACAGGGTTTCTTGATCCCTACCTCATTAAAATACAATTCATTGTCTTAACCATCAGTGAGATTTGTGATTGGAGGCAGTAAGAGGGGACCCTAGAAACAGGCCAGACTTAGCAGAAAAGAAAATGCTTGTGCACAGAGCTGCTTCTCAGTAAATCACACCAAAATGATCACCTGCAAGACTATAGAGGCCAAACTATTATAGACGCCAAGAGTTGGACTCACGAAGGCAGTAAGTAGGGAAAGAGATGTGGTGTAGTAAAATGTTACTAAGAAAGGACTTCAGGCAACGATAGACACGTATAAATAAAATCCACCTGGAGGGTGGCCACAGTGGCTTACACCTGTAATCCCAGCACTTTGGGAGGCCGAGGCAGGAGGATCACTTGAAGTCAGGAGTTCAAGACCAGCCTGGCCAACATGGTGAAACCTCGTCTCTACTAAAAATACAAAAATTAGCCGGGCGTGGTGGTGGGTGCCCGTAATCCCAGCTACTCGGGAGGCTGAGGCAGGAGAATCGCTTGAACCTGGGAGGCAGAGGCTGCAGCGAGCCAAGACTGCGCCACTGCACTGCAGCCTGGGTGACAGAGTGAGACTCCATCTAAAAAAAAAAAAGAAAATCCACCTGGAATGTGGCCTCAGAATCCTTCCGTCAAAGCCATGCCTTGTTGACTCACTTGTCTCTCAAAACTTCTTTCTCTTCTCCATCTTGTTTGCCCATCAATGCTTCCTTCAGTTGCTTATTTTAGCCAGATTATTCTGCACATAATTTTTTTTTTTACATGGCAGGGAGAAAGGTATAAAGTACGGAACACATAGGCAGTGTAATTCTCCTAAGTCCTGAATTCCCTTGACTTAGTCTTAGCTACAATTGTTTAATAATTTCCCCTATGTATTTAAGGGAAATAAAAGGTTATGTTTCCCTTCAGAAGAACCATGGGATTGCTGCATGATGCACCTAATTGTCCACACTTTTGGAAAACAAACTTGAAGAAAAATAAAGACAGCATTAAACTTATATATTTATGTGACTAGAATACCTCCTGCCTATGAAACTTGTTAGAGGATTAAATACATTTAAAGAAATAATCCAGAAATGCTTCTATGAAATTTACCAAATAGAGTGTTAAGTACCTGAAAAGAAATAAGACTGGGAGGCTGAGGCAGGTGGATCACTTGAGCCTAGGACTTTGAGACCAGCCTGGGCAACACGGCGAAACCCCATCTCTACAAAACAAAAACAAAAGCAAAAACAAAGTAAAAACTAGCCAGGCATGGGGGTGCACCCGTATTCCCAGCTACTGGAGGGGCTGAGGTGGGAGGATTGTTTGAGCCTGGGAGGCTGAGGCCACAGTGAGCTGTAATCACACCACTGTACATCAGACTGGGCGACAGAGTGAGATCATGTCTCAAAACAAAACAAAACAAAACATGATGGGTGCGGTGGCTCACGCCTGTAATCTCAGCACTTGGGGAGGCTGAGGCGGGTGGATCACCTGAGGTCGGGAGTTCGAGACCAGCCTGACCAACATGGAGAAATCCTGTCTCTACTAAAAATACAAAATTAGCCAGGTGTGGTGGCACATGCCTGTCACCCCAGCTACTCGGGAGGCTGAGGCAGGAGAATCACTTGAACCTAGGAGGCAGAGGTTGCAGTGAGCTGAGATCACGCCATTGCACTTCAGCCTGGGCAACAAGAGTGAAACTCCCTCTATTAAAAAAAAGAAAAAGAAATAAGATAGCAGAATCTTACTCTCCAAATCTGCTTTCTTTTTCTAATATGTACTTTAAAAAAATATGCAGTATTCCTCTTGGTAAAGCATTAACTTAGTGATTAGATTGTGCATGGCAGTGGCAGCCAGTGCATCATTAATCTTAGAGGACTGTTCACTCTCATCAGTTGTCAAAAGGTAATGAAGACTGAGAATTTCTCAGCCCTATTGATAACACATGAGTACAGGCTGATTTGTATTTATTCCATGATCCTATTTTAGTCCCTTTTGGATAATGGAATCCCAATGTGTTATCTGTCTTTTTCTTCCTTCCTTCCTTCCTTCCTTCCTTCCTTCCTTCCTTCCTTCCTTCCCTTCCTCCTTCCTTCCCTCCTTCCTTCTTTCCTTCCCTTCCTCCCTCTCTTTCTCTCTCTCTCCTTCTTCCTTCCTTTTCTATCTCTTTCTTCTTTCTTTCTTTCTTTTCTTTCTTTTTATTTCTCTTTCTTTCTTTCTTTCGTTCTTTCTTTCTTTCTCTCTCTCTTTCTCTCTCTCTGTCTCTCTTTCTCTCTCTCTCTTTCTCTTTCTTTCTTTCATCAGGATCTCACTCTATTGCCCAAGCTGGAGTGCAGTGATGCAATCATAGCTTACTGCAGCCTCAAACTCCAGGGCTCAAGCGAGCCTCCTATCTCAGCCTCCTGAGTAGCTGGTACTACAGGTGTGCACCACTACACCTAGCTATTTTTTAAAAAATTTTTGTAGAGACGGGGGTCTCACTATGTTGCCCAGGATGATCTTGAACTTCTGTCCTCAAGCAATCCACTTGCTTCGACCTGTCAAAGTGCTGGGATTATAGGCGTAAGCCACCACACCCAGCCCTGATTGGATTATTTCTTTTTAAAATATCTCTTATACTTTCAAGTAAATTGACATTTGTGAACTTTCTATTTCTATCATTTATTGTTATTATAGAAATTATCATCTTAAAGTTTGAACATGTAAACATCCAGCTTCTGGAGATTGTGGTCTACCTAATTCTGAACCCTGGGAGTTTGCATCTAGGGTTGCTTAACCCTATCTGTAAAGTAGGAAAGTTCCAGCTCAGACTCTGGAATAATTCACATCCTCTGTATGTGGTGGATAAGAAACAAGATCTTCAGCCCAACACTGGGTCATCTGATCCTGTTTCCCCAGTATATCCAGGAAGTTGATTCCTTATTTAGACTTCTGTGCCTGAGTCCTTGCCTTCCACCTTGGTACATCAGAAACCTGACTGTGGCTTTTCTTCCTATGCCTCACTGACCCCGTTCCCTGCAAATTGGACTCTCCTCTATCTCCCCAATTCCATCTAGCCTAGTGAATGAGTTGCTCCTCTGCACGTCACTTTCTGTGACCAAATTCCAACAGCTACTTTTAGACCTTTCTGGCATTATCTCCCCTTTCTTCTGGAGCTCTTCCAAAGGTCTGACATTTGGACATCTACCAGTCACCTGCCTTTGTTGACAAAAATGTGGTAGAGCTAGAATGCAAGACCAGATTTCATCACCTCCAAAGACTGCTTGTCTGCACCAGATCCAACCACTGTTTATATGGACATTTTGAAAAGGTTCCCCAGATGAAGGGCCAAGATAGTGGCTCACCCCTATAATCCCAGCACTTTGGGAGGCTGAGGCAAAAGGATCGCTTGAGGCCAGAAGTTCAAGATCACCCTGGACAACAAAGTGAGACCCTGCCTCTAAAAATAAAAGTAAATAATAAATGTTTACAAATGTTCCCCAAATGAGAGATTTAGCAGAGCAAGTTCTGCAAAGAAGGCCTCTTGCAAACACTGGCTTCCTAAACAGTCAACTCACTGGGGCAAGAGCCAACTCTCTTAATCTAGTTGATGTCAGCGTAACTGAACGCCTGTTAGTCGAGGTGAGACACTGTCCCCTAGCAGGGCTAGGGCATGGAGGTAAAGATGACCCATGATAAGGTGGCCTCATTTGGTAGCAAAGGCAAATTGAAGATTTCTTGATCCATAAATCAGTCTATAAAAAAAAAGTAAGACTTTGGACTAACAGTCACTAGATTTTGGATACCTGGGGGGTTTTTTGTTTTGTTTTTTGTTTTGTTTTGTTTTTGCCTGTTTGCAGGCATCCAACACTCCTCTCGAATCGGTGTCTTGCAGAAGCAGAAGAAAAGTAATACATCTATTGTTTTTGAAATGAAAGCAGGAATTATTTTGCTGCAGAGCTATAGCTTAACATTTTTAGCAAAATGTGGATCCTTCTTCTCAATCTTCATTTAGGATGCTGTGACTACAACCCTCTGTTTAGTTAGTGGAATTGAGAACAAGGCCCAGGTGGATGATTGAGGACTAAACCCCAAACTTGCCTTGGATCACTCCACTGTTTCAGGTAAGATCAGAGAGTAGTTAACTCTGAGTTATACAAATTGTTGTCTGCAGTAGCATGAGAATACAACTTTCAGATCTCCTACTGCAGGAAGCATAATTTATTTCCAGCCCTAGCTGCTGGTGTGCCCAGGATTGAGGCCACACTTCCTGTGGGCTGCTCCCAGTCAGTGACTGAGTATGGCAGGGATATCAAGGAGGCCCCTTCCTGGGAGGCAGGGGCTCCTCTAATGGGCAACTTAGGTTCACTGACTCCCTTTTGACCTTGCTGAAACTTTCTGAGAACTACAAGGCAGTCTATGGCCTGTCTTTCCTCCTTCCTCCCTCCCTCCCTCCCTTCCTTCCTTCCTTTCTTTCTCCCTCCCTCTTTTTCTCTTTTCCTCTTTCCGTCTCCAGTTTCTTCCATTCTTCCTTCCTTCCCTTCTCCTCCCTCCTCTCCCTTCTCTCTTCCTTCCTCCCTCCCTCACTTCCTTCCTTCCTTCCTTCCTTCTTTCCCTCCTTCCCTCTGTCTTCCCAGGGGGCAGACGTGTGTCATGATCTGATGGCTCTCCTATCACCCTCTTGTTTCCTTCTCATTATCCCTCCCCAGTGCCCCAGTATTTTCGCCAATTAATCTCTTATCCAGCTAATCCTTTTTTGGCATTTGCTTGTCAGAGAACCTGGACTAAATCATTATTTAACTAATTTGTTTTGCATGTGTAATTTAGGATCAAACATCACTTCTGAGTTCGGGGGCACATATCATTCTTTAGAAGGGGGAAGACCTAATGCTGAAAAACAAAAACAAAAACAAAAACAAAAACCCAATATGTGCATTCTATGGATCAACTGACTCTGTTGACCTAAACATGTAGAACAGTATTCCAGTTCTTAATACTTTAAAATCTCTAGAGCAAGGCCTTATAGCTTGGAAGAAAACCATTGGAAAGCCAAAAGGAAAGAAGTGGCACCAGCCAATTCTCCTCATTCTAGGCCCAGGGCAATGAACTTAGGGAGGAGGTCGTGCAAACTGGAAACCATAGCCTTGTTTCATGGCTTAACTGGGGGTGGTTAAGGCTCTGAGAGGCAGGTTGTCACCTCATTATCTATCCACCCATGCACACAATGAAGTCCATGGAGAGCTCACTGTATGACCAGCACTGGTGGGCCCTGAAGATAACAGAGGTTATCCTCAAGAAACTCAAGTCTATGGAGAAGATAGGCTTGGAAACAGACTAATGACACAATACAAGCCCTAAAACTGAGATGTGAACTGACTTGGGAAGTATGGTAAGGACACCTCCGACTGCTTGGCAGATGGAAAGGCATTTAAAGTGGAAACTGAAGGACAGAAGAGATGGTCAGACAGTGAAGAGAAGTGACACTAAGGAGCCCCATTCACAGAGAGCAAAATAGATACATCTACAGTCTTTTTCTTCTTTTTCTTTTTTTTCAGCCAGGGTCTCACTCTGTCACCCAGGCTGGAGTGCAGTGGCGCGATCTCAGCTCACTGCTGTCTCAACGTTCCAGGCTCAAGTGATCCTCCCACCTCAGCCTCCCAAGTAGCTGGTACCACAGGTGGATGCCACCATGCCCAGCTAATTTTTATCTTATTTTTGGTAGAGATGAGGTCTCCCTATGTTACCCAGGCTGGTCTCTGACTCCTGGCCCGAAGTGATCCTCCTGCCTCAGCCTCCCAAAGTGCTGAGATTACGGGTATGAGTCACTGTGCCTGGATTTTTTTTTTCTCACACAAAGAGAGAGGAATTAAGTTTCTTCTCTTAAGGGAGGCAGTATCAGAGGATTTGTGGATATATCTTTAAAAACATCATATTGTTTTGAAAGACTACCACTCTGAAACAGACATAATTAGCATAAATGTAGAAAAATGCACAAACTACTTGCTTCAAGTACTTGTCACAAACTACTTCAGTGGATAGACTTCATGCCAAGACTTATCTAGAAGGTAAGGACAGGTTTTTTTGTGTTGTTTTGTTTTGTTTATTTTTTTGAGACAGAGTCTCTGTCGCTCAGGCTGGAGTGCAGCGGCATGATCTTAGCTCACTGCAACCTGTGCCTCCTGGGTTCAAGCCATTCTCCTGCCTCAACCTCCCAAATAGCTGGGATTACAGGCGCCCACCACCTCATCTGGCTAATTTTTGTGTTTTTAGTAGATACGGGGTTTCACCATGCTGGCCAGGCTGCTCTCAAACTCCCGAGCTCAAGTGATCCATCCACCTCAGCCTCCCAGAGTGCTAGGATTACAGGTGTGAGCCACCACGCCCGGCTGACAATGGCAGTATTTATCCTTCCATTGTCATTACTGCTTAGCATTGATCTGCTCACACATGGGGTCTTGAAATCTGAATTGCTTTACTACAGAGAATAAAATATTGATAAAGAGATTGGTATCCATGCAACATATTCTTTAAAAACAGGATTCTATCTTTAATAATTCAAAATAAAAAATAAGTCCCTAAAGGGCTGTATTTGAAATTGTAGCCCCACAACATACAGAGCTGGTGACACAATTTGCAACCTGCATATTTGCTGAATTGCTTGAGCGTGTATAGAGAGCATTAGAACGTGTATATAGAGCGTGTATAGAGAGATTACAGAGGCTTCTTATTTATTTATGTATTTATTTTAGAGATAGATTCTTGCTCTGTCACCCAGGCTGGAGTGCAGTGACACAATCCTAGCTCACTGCAGCCTCAAACTCCTGGGCTCAAGCAATCCTCCCACCTGAACCTCCCAAGTAGCTGGGACTGCAGATTCAGGCCACCACATGCCTAGCTAATTTTTAAAATTGTTTGTAGAGATGGGGTCTCGCTGTGTTGCCCAGGCTGGTCTCGAACTCCTGGCCTCAAGTGATTCTCCTGCCTCAGCCTTACAATGTGTTGAGATTACAGGCGTGAGCCACTGGGCCCTGCCTCCAGAGGCTTCTGTATGGATTCCGCTGTGATCGCTATGCACTAACACCCTGGGCCTCTCAGTCACAGAATGGAATGGGACGGGTTATAGAGCTGGTCAGAGCGGGTGTGGCAGATAATAAGCATCTACTTGTTGTTTTACAATGCCCTCAAAATTCTATGCAAGATCATAATCAAGTAGAGAATGCTCAAAAGAGCATTTTCCACTTCCTCCCAAAGCAATTTGCTAACATACGCACTGTTAATAATTCTCTTAAGTAGCTTAATTTTTCCTGTGTATAATGATAATTGAATTTTTTTCCTCTCAGATGTATTCATCTGTTTCTTCCTGTGTTTCTTTTTCCTTTCTGATGAGAGAATGAACCCTCAAACCGCTTCTAATTTAAGCTAACACCGCACAGGCTTTTTTGTAATATTGTATTTGCTTTCCTTCCTCTTCTCTTTCCCCAGAGTGTATTACAGAAGAGTTGTAACTATTTCTCAATTTTAAACAGCTGCTTTCTGGGGAAACAAACCAGCCGGAGAATAAACTTAAAAAAAAAAAAAAAAAAAGATCAGCACCTTCTCTCTTGCTTTTTATTTGTTTTATTTGTTATTCGTCATGTCTGTGGTTATGGCTCCTCCAGGAGACCACAGAATTTTATCAAAAGAATTGCACATAAATCACAGCCTATTTTTACCAAAACTGGGATTTCTCTTTTTTTTGAGACGTAGTCTTGCTCTGTCACCCAGGCTGGAGTGCAGTGGCGCGATCTCGGCTCACTGCAAGCTCTGACTCCCAGGTTCACGCCATTCTCCGCCTCAGCCTCCGCAGTAGCTGGGACTACAGGTGCCCACCACCACACCCGACTAAATTTTGTATTTTTTTTTTAGTAGAGACAGGGTTTCACCATGTTAGCCAGGATGGTCTCGATTTCCTGACCTCGTGATCCACCCCCCTCAGCCTCCCAAAGTGCTGGGATTATAGGCGTGAGCCACCGCGCCCGGCCTCAAAACTGGGATTTCTGTGTATCAGGGGCTTCCTAGTATTACATACTTTTCTCAGGTCATTTTTCTTTCTTTCTTCTCTTTTTCTTTTTTTGTTTGAGACTGAATCTGGCTCTGTCACCCAGGCTGGAGTACAGTGGCGTGATCTCGGCTCACTGCAACCTCCACCTCCCAGGTTCAAGCGATTCTCCTGCCTCAGCCTCCTCAGTAGCTGGGATTACAGGCACCCACCACCATGCCTAGTTAATTTTTGTATTTTTAGTAGAGATGGGGTTTCACTATGTTGGCCAGGCTGGTCTTCAATTCCTGACCTCAAGTGATCCACCTGCCTTGGCCTCCTAAAGTGCTGGGGTTACAGGTGTGAGCCACTGCACCTGGCCAATTCATTTTTCTTTCAGAATCTCTTCATTCTCCCTCCCCTTTCCTCTCCCTGCCTCCCTCCCTCTCTCTATTGAGGCTGAGGGAGTTGACATTCTTCTTTGCATTTCTGGTGGTCACTAGCAGTTCCACCATCAACATTACCTTCACTGCTGAGTAACTGCACAATTTCTCCTCCTCCCTTCCAGTCCTACACAAACACAAGTGCCTATGAGTTGGGAGGTTTTTCCTTTTGTCTTTGTGGGAGGGGTGGGGCAGTTGTAGTTTCATTTGAGTTTGCTCATGTGTATTTTCCCACTCTAGTGTAGGAGCAAATAGGAGCTAAACTAAGTACCAACAAAATATTTAACATTTACCAGCAGTGAACTGGCGCTGAAAGGACCAGGGTTGTTCCCTGACATCGCTTCTTGCTTGGCCAGTGAGAGGCTTGTGCTGTGTAACTGACATAGCCCCTTGGACTCCAAGTTCACTTTCCTGTATATCTAAGTCTTCCATTTTTTAAAGATTGTCATTTTCAAAATGAAAGTCAACAATAATTACCAGTTTAATTATTTATTTTATCACACTAGCTCCTTATTAACAGTCAACAATCAGAAGTCTCTCAAGAAATTGTACCATATCGAAGACAGTTTTCTGAAAGTGGATGCAATTGTTGTCAGCATAGTAAGGCAAATATGAATATTAAGGTTGGGTTGCCCCAGGAAGCAGTATCTGAGATGGAAACTAGTGGGCAGGATCTTTATTAAGGAGTGTTCCTGACCACTATGGAGAACAGTTTGGAGGTTCCTCAAAAAATTAAAAATAGAGCTACCATATGACTCAGCAATCCCACTGCTGTTATATACCCCAAAGAAACGAAATTAGTATATTGAAGAGGTATCTGCACTCTCTTGTTTGTTGCAGCACTGCTCACAATAGCCAGGATTTGAAAGCAACCTAAGTGTCCATAAACATATGAATGGATAAAGAAAACATGGCACATATACACAATGGAGTACTATTCAGCTATAAAAAAGCATGAGATCCTGTCATTTGCAACAACATGGATGGAACTGAAGATCATTATGTTAAGTGAAATAAGCCAGGCACAGAAAGACAAACATGACATGTTCTCACTCATTTGTGGGATCTAAAAATCAAAACAATTGAACTCATGGACATAGAGAGTAGAAGGATAGTTACTAGAGGCTGGGAAGGTTAGTGAGGGGGCCGGGGGGAGGTGGAGATGTTTAATGAGTTCAAAAAATAGTTAGCAACAATGAATAAGACCTATAATTTGATAGCACAACAGGGTGACTATAGTCAATAACAACTTAATTGTACATTTTAAAATAACTAAAAGAGGCCGGGCGTGGTGGCTCACGCCTGTAATCCCAGCACTTTGGGAGGCCGAGGCGGGCAGATCACAAGGTCAGGAGATCGAGACCATCCTGGCTAACACAGTGAAACCCGGTCTCTACTAAAAAAATACAAAAAAAAAAAAAAAAATTAGCCGGGCCTGGTGGCGGGCGCCTGTAGTCCCAGCCACTCGGGAGGCTGAGGCAGGAGAATGGCGTGAACCCGGGAGGCGGAGTTTGCAGTGAGCCGAGATTGCACCACTGCACTCCAGCCTGGGCTACAGAGCGAGACTCTGTCTCCAAAAAAAATAAATAAATAAACTAAAAGAGTATAACTGTATTATTTGTAACACAAAGGATAAATGCTTGAGGGGACCGATTCCCCATTCTCCATGATATGATTACTATGCATTTCACGCCTGTATCAATACAGCTCATATACCCCATAAATATATGCACCTGTACACCTGCTATGTACCCATACAATTTTTTTTAAAATATTTTTTTAAAGGAGTGTTCCTGGGAGCTTACCTTGAGAAGGAAGGAGAGAGGACAGGGAGGATTAGGCAAAGGGAGAAGTTGGGCTCGGATGGAGTTTTGACAAATGCTGTAATCACAGAGAGCTCTGAACCCAGGAAGGCCTTCCAGAGCTGTCGCAGTTGAGTGAGAGGCTGTGTCAATTAGTCACTGGACATGGGCCACCCTGGGAAGGGCGAATGACCGTGGGTAAGGTTTTTCAGCTGAGGCAATTCCGAAAATGACAGCTGTCTCCTGGCAGAACCTCCCACAGCTCTGGGACTGAGGCCTTCATTCCTGAAGGGGAACCTGGGTGGTACATTACAGTGTTCACTACAGCCGGCATGCCCTTTTGCAAGAAGAGCACACCAAATTCTGTGTCTGAAAGTGGAGAACGCACATGACCTGTGGCAAGGTCATCTCTGTGGTGCAGGCAAAGCCTCTGCACCCTGAGACTGGTCCATGGTCACCAGGCAAGCTCTGATCATAGCAGTCAGAGAAAGAAGAGTAGAGAAAGAAGTTCATAATCCCCTGCACCACCTCTGAGTCTCTTCCATTATTCTAACTTTCCAATGACAACTCAGCTGACACTCGACCTCTCACGCTTGAGCAGGGGAAGAGTTGGCTTTCCAGCTGGAACGAAGACCCAGCCACATGCCTGCATTCACACCTCTTCCAGTCTCTCTCTCTTTCTTTCTTTCCTTCTTTCTTTCTTTCTTTCTTTCTTTCTTTCTTTCTTTCTTTCTTTCTTTCTTTCTTTCTTTCTTTCTTTCTTTCTCTTTCTTTCCTTCTTTCTTTCTTCCTCCCTCTCTCTTTCTTTCTTTCTTTTTTCTTTCTCTCTCTCTTTCTTTCTTTCTGACAGAGTCTTGCTCTGTCACCCAGGCTGGAGTGCAGTGGCACGATCTCAGCTCACTGCAACCTCCACCTCCTGGGTTCAAGCAATTCTCTGCCTCAGCCTCCTGAGTAGCTGGGATTACAGGCGGCCACAACCACACCCAGCTAATTTTTGTATTTTTGGTAGAGACAGGGTTTCACCATCTTGGCCAGGCTGGTCTTGAATTCCTGACCTCATGATCCACCTGCCTCGGCCTCCCAAAGTGCTGGGATTACAGGCGTGAACCACCACACCCAGCCCCAGTCTTTTTCTTTTTTAATATATATTTTAAAATATGGGGTCTCACTACATTGCCCAGGCTGGTCCAAAACTCCTGGGCCAAAGCAATCCTCTGGCCTCAACCTCCCAAGTACCCAGGACTACAGGCGCAGCCATCACACCCAGCTCTCCCAGTCTTACACCTTCCCTCAGATGTCACCCAAACAAATCTTTTCCCTTTCTCACACTTAAGTCCTATTTACTTTCCTTTTGTGATAACCCAAAAATATGGGCCAATGTGAGGAAGGGGTGACTTTTCTGGAACTATAATTCCCCCTGGCCTTTTTTTTTTCTCTCCCCTTGTAGCCAATTGACCCTGATAATGGAATACTCTTATCAACACCCTTTTAATGGAATATGGCTGTCAAGAATCCCCACCTACACCATGTTTTTCTAATGTCATTTTGGAGAAGCAATATCAAAAATAGATACCACCTTCTGACATTCTGGAATGATTTGCATTAAACTCACAAAGGTAAATAGAAGAATAAGGCAGAACTACCTAAAAACCATGATCAATCCTTTATGTCAGGACAAGAGAATGTATTCATATTTCCCTTTGAAGTTTTCTTTCAGAGTTGAGCTTTGTAAACACGCGTATTGGAATATGTTACAGGTTCTGCTACGGAAGCACCAGGGATTCTCTCTAGGTCCTGCTGGTCACACAGAAAGCCAATCACTGACACAATGAATATTGCCAAGGGAGAAAGGTTTTTTAAAAAAAATTTTGTTTATTTATTTATTTATTTATTTTTTGAGACAGAGTCTCGCTCTCTCTCCCAGTCTGGAGTGCAGTGGTGCGATCTCAGCTCACTGCAAGCTCCACCTCCTGGGTTCACACTATTCTCCTGCCTCAGCCTCCCCAGTAGCTGGGACCACAGGCGCCCGCCACCACGCCCGGCTAATTTTTTGTATTTTTAGTAGAGACGGGGTTTCAACATGTTAGCCAGGATGGTCTCAATCTCCTGACCTCATGATCCGCTTGCCTCAGCCTCCCAAAGTGCTGGGATTACAGGTGTGAGCCACCGCGCTGGGCCAAGAAAGGCTTTAATCGGGTGCTGCAGTCAAGGAGATGGGAGCTCATTCTCAAATCCATCTCCCTGATGACTAAAAGTAGGGGTTTATATAGCAGAGAGGAAATGTAACAATGTGTAAGAAAACAGGAAGTAGGGAGGGGCTAGGAAACAATCACGACAAATTAGGGGTCCACATGTCATTGGATGTGGTTGTCTGGTGAGTTTAATTTCTTTTTCTTTTTTTTTTTTTTGAGAGGCCTGAAGTTGATTTCTTAAGGAAGGAACTCACATAAAACAAATGTAAGTTTCAACGTTTAAGACCAGAAGGGTCAATTTTTGTTTATCAAAAAAAAAAAAGAAAACAAAACAAAAAACCCAAAACTCTCTATGGGATTATTGGGTCAGTTTAGTTCTGTGACTTGTTTGTATTTACAGAAGAATCTTCTAACTTTATATTTTATTTGAAATCTTTGGCTTTGAGCATTGAATAATGACAGATCACTACCAGTCATTTTAGTCTGACTAGAATGAAGTAGGGCTTTCTGTGTATACAGTGGGAAAGTAGTTGGACTGAGTCAGTGAGGAAGAGCCGAATGGGAGTTGAGATTCTTTTCTATTTTCTTAGACAGATAAGAAATTGAGAGGACCTGAAAGACCTTTGATGAGATAAATGATATAGTGTTGAAGTCAGAAGGTTTTCTTCTATTTATTTATTTAAGACAGGGCCTCGGCTGGGCGCGGTGGCTCACACCTGTAATCCCAGCACTTTAGGAGGCCGAGGCAGATAGATCTCGAGGTCAAGAGATCAAGACCATCCTGGCCAACATGGTGAAACCCCGTCTCTACTAAAAATACAAAAATTAGCTGGGCATGGTGGCATACATCTGTAGTCCCAGCTACTTGGGAGGCTGAGGCAGGAGAATCGCTTGAACCCAGGAGGTGGAGGTTGCAGTGAGCCGAGATCACACCACTGCACTCCAGCCTGGTGACAGAACCAGATTCTGTCTCAAAACAAACAAACAAACAAACAAACAAACAAAAAACTAGACAGGGTCTCCCTGCATCTCCCAGACTGGAGTGCGGTGGCGCAATCATAGCTCACTGCAGTCTCCACCTCCCAGGCTCAAGTGTTCCTTCCACCTGAGCCTCCTGAGTAGCTGGGTGGACAGGTGTGTGCCACCACATCTGGCTACTTTAGAACAATTTTTTTTTTTTTTTTTGTAGAGGCAGGGTCCCTATGTTGCTTAGGCTGGTCTTGAACCCCCAGCCTCAAGTGATGCTTCCATCTCGCCCTCTCAAAGGGCTGGGATTACAGGCTTGAGCCATCATGTCTGGCCAGTTTTCTTCTATTTTAAAAGGAATTTTAAAGTAATGAGAGAGAAAGGAAAGCATAGAGAGCAAGTACTGCAATGATAGGAAGAAATAAAAATATGCACAAAAAAAATCAGTAAGCCGTGTAAACGGATCTCTCAAAAGAAAAAGATGGAAAAGAAGAAGTAATCCTTTGGAGGCATCAGTTCAATCTCCTAACGCTAATTCATAATATTTATGATTTGAATTTCTGTTTTGCTTATGAGATAATACTAATTTTTAAATTTTTGGTTGTCTTGGAGTTCCATCAAGTTTTATACTGGTGACATCGAGTGCTAAAAGCTTATCCATTCTAAAAAGACTGCTGGATACAGCCACAGGCCAAAACTGCTAGTCTTAACATCCTTCCTCTATTTCTTACTTGTCCGTAGAAGAGAAGCAATTAATTGAGGAGGCAATAGACGCTTAATAGATTTTATCTGTCTTTGTCACATAGCTAATAAGCATTAAAGCCAGTACGTCTTTAATCCAAGTATGGGTTATCCCAAAGTCCATGCTCTTTCCACCACCTTAGCCTCATATTTAATAAAGATTTCTGAGTCAACATCAAGAACCTGTTATTGAAAAGACCTAAAAAAAATGCCAGAGTCAGATTTTTAAGGGGCGACTGAATTTCAGAGGAATACATCAGGGAAAGTGAACTGAAGACTTTTAGTTGAGGAAAGAATATCTGATTCTTAAAGAAATTACTTAATTTGAAATTCTAAGTATAGTATAGCTGTGATTTTCCAAGGAGAGTGTTCTTAAATTGAATCAGATTCTGAAATATATCGACAACACAGAAAAATGTGTGATTTATATGCTAAATGATTAGACAAACAAGGCATAGACAAACAGAAAATAGAAACCAGAGGTTATGCTTCCATAAATAAAGTAAAGGAGACAAATTGAAATAAAAATAAGATAAAAAAAAGAAAAGGAACAGAATAGAGCAAAGCAGTTCTTGCTACCTCTTTTTAAAATCTTTTCCCTACTTTTCGTGGCCCAACACTTGTGTTTGCTGCAGAGAAACAAATGCTGGCCTTGAGACTCAAATAACTACAGTTGACCCTTGAAAAACATGGGTTTGAACTGCAAGATCCACTTATACATGGACTTTTTCCACCTCTGCCACCCCTGAGACAGCAAGACCAACCCCTCCTCTTCCCCATCCTCCCTAGCCTACTCAACATGAAGATGACGAGGATGAAGACTTTTATGATGATCCACTTCCATTTAATGAATAGTAACTATATTTTCTCTTCCTTATGACTTTCTTAATAACATTTATTTTATCTAGCTTACTTTATTGTAAGAATACTGTCTATAATATGCAGAACCAACATACAAAATATATATTAATAATTGCCTGTTTATGTTATTGATAAGACTCCTGGTTAACAGCAGGCTATTAGTAGCTAAGTTTGGAGGAGTCAAAAGTTATATATGGATTTTCAACTGCGTGGGGTTCAGCACCCCTGATATGGTTTAGCTGTGTCCCCACCCAAATCTCATTTTGAATTGTACTTCCCATAATCCCCAGTGTCATGGGAGGGACCTGGTGGGAGGTAATTGAATCATGGGGGCCGGTGCTGTTCTCGTGATAGTGAATACGTCTCAGGAGATCTGATGGTTTTATAAGGGCAGTTTCCCTGCACATGCTCTCTTGCCTGTGGCCATGTAAGACAGGCCTTTGCTCTTCCTTTGCCTTCTTCCACGATTGTGAGGCCTCCCTAGCCATGTGGAACTGAATCTGTTAAACCCCTTTTCCTTTATAGATTACCTAGTCTCAGGTATTTCTTCACAGCAGTGTGAAAATGAACTAATACAGCCCCTGACAAAGGTCAGCTCTAATACCAAGGGGTGTAGAGGGAGCTTAGTCCTTCTTTCTTCTGCTCTTGGTCCTTCTTTCTTTCTTCTGTTAAAGACCTGATTGTGAACCTGAGACATCCTGGTTGATACAACCAGAAAGATCAGGAGAGGATTGTAAAGGGAATAACTTTTTCTTGGTGTGAATCTACGTTATTTGATCCTCATCCAAAAGGCAATTGTGTCTCAACTGTTGGGTAATGCTGCCCCACAGCAATCAGTAGCAAGTAGTTACTGACTCAGTTAATACCCTCAAATTATGTCTTTGATATTAATCTCAAGGATCATAGAAGATACTAGATAATTCTAGAAGACACTAGAAGATAATTCTTGCATAAGGAAACATAATATCTACTCATGTACTAGCATGAAACAATTAGCACTTTCTCAACAACAACAACAACAACACTAACAACAACAAAGTCACTTTGGAAGGCTGAGGAAGGATGATCACTTGAGTTCAGGAGTTTGAGACCAGCCTGGACAACATAATGAGACCTCCAAAATTAAAAAATTTGACTGGGTGCAATAGCTGACACCTGTAATCCCAGCACTTTGGGAGGCCAAGGCAGGAGGATTGCTTGAGCCCAGGAGTTTGAGACCAGCCTTGGCGACATAGTGAGACCTTGTTGCTAAAAAAACAACACACACACACACACACACACACACACACACACATATAGTTTTTGTTTTTTAAACAGAGCCTCACTGTGTGGCCCAGGCTGGAGTGAAGTGGCATGATCTCGGCTCACTGCAACCTCTGCCTCTCTGGTTCAAGCAATTCTCATGCCTCAGCCTCCCGAGTAGCTGGAACTGCAGGTGCCCACCACCACACCTAGTTAATTTTTGTATTTTTTAGTGGAGATGGGGTTTCACCATGTTGGTCAAGCTGGTCCCAATCTCCTGACCTCATGTGATCCGCCCATCTCAGCCTCCAAAGTGCTGGAATTACAGGCGTAAGCCACCGCACCCAGCCAAAAATACATACACCTTTTACTTCCAAGAGAAGTTGGTCTTTGCTAATACTCTTCACAAGGCAAACTGGAATTGTCCTTGGAATTGGAGACTGGGTTGGGAGAGGAGGAAAGGCACTTCTACTGTCAGAAGGCGGAAGTGCTGGCACCATGTTTAAGATGAGCCCTGTGTTCAATATCAGCATATATGGCAGAACTGAGCCACAACCAGAGGTGTGTGAGATCCTTAGGAATTAAAAATGAGATTCTGACTCAACAATAAATAATGTAGAAACCTGCATTGTTTAAAGTACATATGTATTTTGGATTTAAGAGAAATTTGAGGTTTCCTGTCATGGTTAATGGTAGGGATATGAATTTTTAAAAAGTGAATTCTTGTCAGAAGATGTAGCAGAGCAAGTTCTGGATTTTTTCTCTGGTCAACCACTAAATGATTCACTTTTTGTCTTGGTTACTTTTTTCCAAGTGTTTTCCCAAGGGTTTTGTAGTACTCTTCTTTCACCTACAGAAAGTTTTGTCTCTCTTTTTTCTTTTCTTTTTCTTCCTTCTCAATCTGTCACCCAGGCTGGAATACAGTGGCATGATCTCAGCTCATTGCAACCTCTGCCTCCTGGGTTCAAGCAATTCTCCTGCCTCAGCCTCCCAAGTAGCTGAGATTACAGGCACCCACCACCATGCCCAGCTAATTTTTGTATTTTTAGTAGAGACCAGGTTTCACCATGTTGGCTAGGCTGGTCTTGAACTCCTGGGCTCAAGTGATCCATCTGCCTCACTTCCCAAAGTACTGGGATTATAGGTGTGAGCCACCTCACCTGGCTTCTTTTTTGCACAATTTCAAATGTGGCAAAATTAGTTGCAAAGATAGGAGTTAATTTTAGGAGCCGATATTCTAATAAAGCTCAGATTATAGAACTGTACACTTACCATTACTTAATGTTAAATTAATCTAAGACACTCAAGTACACTGATGCATGAACAAGAAATAGGGGTTTCAATTGATTAGTTAGAATAAGACTAGGTTATGCTGCAATGACAAATAAAATTTCCATGACATATTTACTGGCTCACATCCACTTTAGTGGCTATACATCCACTGAAGGTTGACAGGGGCTTTGATCCTCAGACCATAAGAGACTGAAGCTGACATTGGCTCACTATCTTGTTACACTACCATCTCAGCACACATCTCAAAGGACACTACAAAGGGCATGGTGTGGAGGACTCACAAACCAAATCCTCCTCACAGCCTGGTGGCCAGACCTAGTCACATGGCTCCAACTTAACGGCAAGAGCTACAAAAAGAGAGGAGTACCAGAGATGGTGATTCTTCTCATTGCTACCACACCATGTTATTTGAAAAATAATCTGTGTTATATGTAGACTGTATGAGTATTGCTATCATTTTAGAAACATGCTTAATGGACTTTTTATTAAAAAGTCATGAGGGAGCTGGGCGTGGTTGCTCATGCTTGTAATCCCAGCACTTGGGAGGCCAAGGTGGGTGGGTCATTTGAGGTCAGGAGTTCGAGACCAACCTGGCCAACATGGTGAAACCCCACCTCTACTAAGAATACAAAAAATTAGCCGGGCATGGTGGCACGTGCCTATAATCCCAGCTACTTGGGAGGTTAAATCACAAGAATCACTTGAACCTGGGATGCAGAAGTCCCAGTCAGCTGAGATTGCACCATGGCACTCCAGCCTGGGTGACACAGCAAGATTTCGTCTTAAAAAAAAAAAAAGTCATCATGGGAAGAGAGTCACAGTTTCAACTTACACAGAGTTGAGCTTTGATATAAGAATTCTTGCCTGGTGCAGTGGCTCACACATGTAATCCCAGCACTTTGGGAGGCTGAAGTAGGAGGATTGCTTGAGCTCAGGGGTTCGAGGCTGCAGTGAGCTATGAGTGGCACGGTACCCCAGCCTGGGTGACAGAACAAGACCGTGTCTCTAAAAGAAAACAAATAACTCTTGTAATTACAGAAGTCTGTACATTTTCATAAGTAGTGGAATCATTGGAGAGCTGGTCCCTATCCCTTAAGATTTTAGCACAGTGAGTCTGAGGTGCAGTCCGGGAATTTAAATTTTAACAAGCACTTCTGGGGCTTTTCATGCAAGTGGTCTTCAGGGTTTGATAAACACATGAGCACTGGTTTCTGCTTTCTGACAGTGAAGTGTCAAGGCTTCAGCTTGTGTGTGCGCATGATATTTTATTTTGACGAGTGGGGTGCTAAGAAGCAGATGGCTGTTTCTTCTAGCACATTGATCTTCACAAGTTGAAAGCCTCAGTGGACATGGATCCCAAGGCTTCAAAGGTGTGTGGACAAAAGCAGCTGAAAGTGAGAGAAAGTAGAAAGCACAGTGCAAGAAGCTGCGGAGGATGCAAAAGCCATGAGCAGGTGCGGAGGAAGAATGGAAATGAGGGTGAAAAACATCCCAGTGGACAAACCATGTCGCTGGAGAGAGGGATTAACTTATCTGGGTCAACATATGGTCTGGTGGAAAGAGAACATGCTGAAAGCATTCCACAATATGGCAAAGGATTTTGTGATGGTTTTATTTAGAACCACTTGACTGAGAAGCAAAGATGGGTCTGAGAAGGGGCAAAGTCCTGCTGAACTCCCTGTCATTGGAAATGTGATCATTTGCTAAAGAATTAATCAGAGACGTACATGAGTATTTATGTTCAAAGTTTTTGCAGCATCTTTGTAATTATGAAAAATTGGAAATCACCTAAGTGTATGCCACTTGGAAATTGGTTAAGAACATTAGGCTTCATCCATGTGATGGGATGTTATGTAATCATTAAAAGGGTTGTTGGCTCACGCCTATAGACTCTGTATTTTGGGAGGCTGAGGCGGGAGGATTACTTAAGGTCAGGAGTTCAAGACCAGCCTGGACAACATAGGCAGACTCTGTTTTTCCAAAAAAAAAAAAGCCAGGTGTGGTGGTGCATTCCTGTAGTCTCAACTATTTGGGAGGCTGAGGTGGGAGGATCACCTGGGCCCGGGAGGTTGAGGCTTCAGTGAGCTATGATCATGCCACTGCACTCCAGCCTGTGTGACAGAGCAAGAACATGTCTCAAAAAAATAAATAAATAAATAAATAAATAAATAAATAAACAAAACAAAAAAACAACAAGTGGTATTGGAACATCCAGTAAAGGCAGTAAAATTAACAGATTTACAAAATTTCCTTCTAACACTGACTGGAATGAAGAAAACAAGATATACCAAAAGAAACATCCTCCAACACTGAATCTAGGAAATTTTTCCAACCTCATACCACAGACTTCAAGACATCTAAATCCAAATACAAGACACCCAATGCATCCAAATAAAAAACAATTAGGTCTGAATTGAAATAAAATTCTGGGAACCAACCCACAACTCCCTTTTTGGAGTGAGCTGCAGCACGTGGTGAGAGAAGGCTGCATTTCTAAAAAATCCCACTAGTACTTCTCACTTCGGAGGAACAGGAAATAGGGGCCTGAGCTGGCAAGAGAAAAGATCTGGAATGTTCTGCTTGGGGGCCCTTTTCCCCTGCTGTACAGCTAAACATCAATCCAAGGCCACAGTGGTGGGAGAGAGTACAGAAATAGGCTTCTAGCAGCAATTGTCCCTGAGGGCCAGGCAGCTGTGACATAGCAAGCTGGCTGGAGAAAATTACTTGTGGCCACAACAGACAAGGCGTTCACACGCTGCTGGGCTGGGATCCAGCTTCATATCTGATCCGCCAGAGTGGGGAGACAAACCCAACCCTCCAGACCCACTGCCCAGCTATGGGACAGGGTCTGTCCCTTAGGGACTGGGGACCCTAGTCAAGGGTTTCATCAAAATCAGAAATAAGATGAATGGAAAAATAGGCCAGGCATGGCGGCTCACACCTGTAATCCCAGCACTTTGGGAGGCCGAGGTGGGCGGATCACTAGATGTCAGGAGTTTGAGACCAGCCTGGCCAACATGATGAAACCTCATCTCTACCAAAAAATACAAAAATTAACTGGGTGTGGTGGAACACGCCTGTAATTCCAGCTACTCAGGAGGCTGAGGCACGAGAATTGCTTGAACCCGGGAGGCAGATATTGCAGTGAGTTGAAGTTGCACTCTAGCCTGGGCAATAGAGAGAGATTCAAAAAGGAAAAAGAGTTCCCAGCTTTGACTGCACATAGACCCACTTTCCTCCCCACCCTTCTCAGACAGCTTTGGGACCAACAAATAAAAGTGATTTTGATCCAAGCCCCAGCTCATATTCCATAGAGAAGATGCAAATTGCATGCAGGTAAACAGAGAGATAAGCAAAAGAGACCACAGCAGTATTATTTAGGGGGAATAGTGGGCCCATGGAGAACTGCCACTATTTCAAAATGACTAAGCAACAAGAAACACAGTGTGGTGTCTGTGCAAGAATTCTGCCTCTCATCTAAAAAAGAAGGAAGAGGAAGAAAGGAGCTTAAAACGTGCAAGACAAAGAATTCTCTCTGGAATAAAATTTCAGAAAATTGTTTCTACTCCTAAGCAAATTAAGAAGACACATAAAATCAAAATAATGGAATGGAGAGGATCTCTGAAATACCTGGGACTTAAATATACACAGTAGTTTGAAGAGATGGAAGAGACTCCTCATTGTCTCCCATTAGGAAGGGCCACATACATTTTATGAAGCCATGACTTTTTTTTTTTCCGCTTTAGAGGTAGGGTCTTGCTCTGTCACCCAGGCTGGAGTGCAGTGGTGCAGTCATAGCTCTCTGCAGCCTCCAACTCCTGGGAAGTCCTGTGCTTTATAGGATATTTAGCTCCACCCTGGCCTCTACCCCTAGACATCAGCGGCATTCTCCTCTTCCCACACACAGTTGGGAGAAATAAAAATGTCTCTAGATATTGCCAAATATTCCCTGGTTGTTGGGGGGTGGGGGGCAGGTAAAATCACCCCCAGTTGAGAACCACTGTTTTAGAGATTAAGTAGCTTGCCCAGGTCTCATAAGAGAGAAGGGGTCGGATTGTTCGTTTGTTTGTTTTAGTACTTTATTGTTGCTGTATTTTTTTTCTTTTTTCTCTTTAGAGATGAAGTCTCACTTTGTCACCTGGAATGGAGTGCAGTGACATGATCTCGGGTCATTGCAGCCTTGACCTCCCAGGCTCAAGCAATCCTTCCACCTCAGCCTCCTGAGTAGCTGGAACTACAAGCACATGCCACCACAACTGGCTATTTTTGTATTTTTTTGTAGAGATAGGGTTTTGTCTTGTTGCATAGGCTGGTCTCGAATTCCTGAGCTGAGGCAATCCTCCCATCTTGTTCTCCCAAAGTGCTGGGATTACAGGCGCAAGCCATCACGCCAGGACTGTATTTTGTATTTCTTTGATAACAAGGCCATTATTTTATTGTAGGCTCATTAATCATTTGAGTTCCTTTATTTCAGATAATTTTCTTTTTTTATTTTTATTTTTTTGAGACAGAGTCTCCCTCTGTCCCCAAGGCTGGAGTGCAGTGGCATGATATCGGCTCACTGCAAGCTCTGCCTCCCGGGTTCACGCCATTCTCCTGCCTCAGCCTCCCGAACAGCTGGAACTACAGGCGCCCACCACCATGCCCAGCTAATTTTTTGTATATTTCGTAGAGCCAAGGTTTCACCATGTTAGCCAGGATGGTCTCGATCTCCTGACCTCATGATCTGCCTGCCTTGGCCTCCCAGAGTGCTGGGATTACAGGCGTGAGCCACCGTGCCTGGCTTCTTTTTGTTTTTTTGAAACAGGGTCTCACTCTGTCACCCAGACTGGAGTGCAGTGGTGCAATCATAGCTTGGTGTAATCTTGACCCCCTGGGCTCAAGGAATCCTCTTGCCTTGGCCTCCTGAGTATCTGGGACTACAGGCATGAGCCACCATGCTATGCAAATTTAAAAAAAAAAATTTGTAGAGATGGGGGTCTCGCTTTTTATTGCCCAGGCTGGTTTTTTTTTTTTTTTTCTTTTAGATTCAGGGGGTGCATATGCGGGTTTGTTACATGGATATGTTGTGTGATGCTAGGGTTTGGGCTTCTGTTGAGCCCATCACCTGAATAGTGAGCATAGTATCCCATAGGTAGTTTTTCAACCCTTGCCTCCCTCCCTTGCCCATTTTGGAGATGCCAGTGTCTGTTGTTCCCCATCTTTATGTCCATGTGTACCCAATGTTTATCTCCCACTTATAAGAACATGCGGTATTTGGTTTTCTGTTTCTGTTTTGCTGCAAAAGACATGATTTCATTCTTTCTGATGGTTGCAGGAGTCAGATTTTGAATCCAGGTCTGAATCAAAGCTTATGCCTTTTGACCGGGCACAGTGGCTCATGCCTGTAATCCCAACACTTTGGGAGGCTGAGGCAGGCTGATCACTTGAGACCAGAAGTTCGAGACCAACCTAGGCAACATGGTGAAACCCTGTCTCTACTAAAAATACAAAAATTAGCCAGGCATGGTGGCACATACCTGTAATTCCAGGTGCTTGAGAGGCTGACACACTAGGATTGCTTGAACCTGGGAGGCAGAGGTTGCAGTGAGCCCAGATTGTGCCACTGCACTCCAGGCTGGGTGACAGAGCAAGACTCTGTCTCAAAAAAAAAAATTAAAAAGCTTATGCCTTTTGCCGTCATGCACTTCCCTGTCTTTTCCAACTTCACCTCCTGCACGTCTTCCCCCTGCCTTCAGGTATGCTATACTCTTCCTCCTGCCATGGTTTCTGCCCTAACCTCAGCCTGGAACTTTCTTCCTTTCCCGACCTGACTTGGACAATTCTGATCATTTATCAACAGATAGCCAGAGTTGTCACCTAGGGCAGCCCCAACTCCAAATCCTAAATTCAACGACATCAGCCTCTGACCACAGCCTCTGTGCCCTCCACTGCCTGCCTCTCACCCAGGCTCTGCAGGGTTAAGACTGAATGTGCTTGTGTGCTATGATTTGCCTAGAGCCTAGGGTATAGAAGACCGGCTCTTGTTTGCTGAGTCGAATTAAGTTGAAGCCCACTACACTTCCTTCTCTATCTCATTGAGATATCTAGGACCTCAACCCTTCTTTTCTTCCCTCAGTTATTCATTGGAAAGTTATTTGCCAAATACCCTTGCCACATAGTCCCCATCGCAGTCAGGGTTCTCCAGAGAGACAGAACCAACAGGCTTCATATATGAGAGAGGATTTATTAGGGAAATTGGTTCATGTGATTATGGAGACTGAGAAGTCCCCACAACCAGCAATCTATAAGCTGGAAACCCTGAGATGCTGGTAGCATGGCTTAGTCCAAGTCTGAAGGCCTCCAAGCCAGGGAAGCTGATGGGGTGTAACTCTCAGTCCAAGGCCAAAGGCTGGAGACCCTGAGGGACTGCTGGTGTTAAGTATTCAGGCCAGGGAGCCTGAAGTTGTTGTCCAAGGACAGGAGATGAAGAGTGTGTCCCAGCTCCAGCAGATAGATGGACATATTGGTCTTTTCTCTGTTTCTATTCTCTCTGGGCCCCCATCAGATTGGATGGTGACCACGCTGAGGGCAGATCTTCCCTACCTCGTTTACAAAGACTCAGATGCTATCACCTCTGGAAACACCCTCACAGACACACCAAAAATAATGCTTTACCAGGTTTCTAGGCATTCTTTAATCCAGTCAAGTTGACATCAAAAATTAACCATCACACGAGGCAGGCAGATCACTTGAGGCCAGGAGTTTGAGACCAGCCTGGCCAACATGGTGAAATCTCGTCTCTACTAAAAATAAAGAAAATTAGTCAGGTGTGGTGGCATGTGCTCCACTTATAATCCCAGCTACTCAGGAGGCTGAGGCACGAGAATCACTTGAACCCCAGAGGTGGATGTTGCAGTGAGTCAAGATCGTGCCACGGCACTCCAGCCTGGGCGACAGAGGGAGACTCTGTCTCCAAATACAAATAAACAGACCAGGTGTGGTGGCTCATGCCTGTAATCCCAGCACTTTGGAGGGCCAAGGCAGGCAGACCACCTGAAGTCAGGAATTCAAGACCAGCCTGGCCAATATGGTGAAACCCCGTCCAAAAAAAAAAAAAAAAAGGAAGAAAGAAAGAAAGAAAACAAAAAATAAAAAAATAAATACCATAAAATAGATTTAACCATCACAGTCCCCACTCTCAGGAAGCGAGTCAGTGATAGAAGATGGAGATGAATTTTTTTTTTTTTTTTTTTTTGAGACGGAGTCTCGCTCTGTCGCCCAGGCTGTAGTGCAGTGGCGCAATCTCGGCTCACTGCAAGCTCCGCCTCCCGGGTTCACGCCATTCTCCTGCCTCAGCCTCCCAAGTAGCTGGGACTACAGGCGCCCACCACCACGCCCGGCTAATTTTTTTGTATTTTTAGTAGAGAAGGGGTTTCACCGTGGTCTCGATCTCCTGACCTCGTGATCCGCCGCCTCGGCCTCCCAAAGTGCTGGGATTACAAGCGTGAGCCACCGCGCCCGGCCTGCACATGAATCTTTATACTTTAATGGGGGCGAGTGGCAGAAAATAAATAGGCAGTTATTGCAATTTTATGGGATGTGCTATATGGGAGGTGGTGGTTTTGTTTGTTTGTTTTTCTATCCAGACTAGACTCCAATTGAATCACTTTCTTCCAAAGGTTCTTGAGTCCCACAACTTCTCTCCTCATCTTAACAGTTGCCTTGCAAACCACCAGACTGAGACGAACGTGCGCTAACCTTATGGCTTCACGTAGCTTCTCAGAAACTCCTCCAAAACTTGACCTCTCTCCTCAAATTTCCCCCACCTCTTGATGGGGAGGGGACTTTGCTTCCAAAAGGCCTGGCCAGAAACCGTCTTTCTTTCTCACCCATGCACTTCCCACCCGTTTCAGAGGCCAAGCTTTCCCTGAACCTGTCTCTCCTGAAACCTTGCTCCCGAATTACCTTCCCTCTGCCTCTGTGTTGTCATCTTCTCACGTCTCTCCATTCATGAAAATCTGTCCAGAACCCTTGGCTTCCCTCAAGCTACTATCTCACGTTTTCTTTCCTTTTCTATAGCCCATTTATTTGAAAACGCCATGTTCACTCATCATCTGCATTTCCTCACCTCAAAAAAGCTAGACTATCTTTGTTGGTGTCTGTAAGAACCTCCTCAGGCTGGGTACCGTGGCTCACACCTGTAATCCAAGCACTTTGGGAGGCCAAGGCGCGTGGATCACCTGAGGTCAGAAGTTCGAGACCAGCCTGGCCAACATGGCGAAACCCTGTCTCTACTAAAAATACAAAAAATTAGCCAGGCGTGGTGGTGGGCGCCTGTAGTCCCAGCTACTTGGGAGGCTGAGGCAGGAGAATGGCATGAACCTGGGAGGCGGAGCTTGCAGTGAGCAGAGATTGAGCCACTGCACTCCAGCCTGGGTGACAGAGCGAGACTCTGTCTCAAAAAAAAAAAAAAAAAAATTCCTTCTCCTGGCTCAGAAGCTCCTCCACTGAGCACCTTGTGACCCCCCGCCCCTGCCAGCAAGAGAAAAACCCGCTTTGACTGTAACTTTCCACTACCCACCCAAATCCTATAAAACTGCCCCACCCCTATCTTCCTTGCTGACTCTTTTTGGACTCAGCCTGCCTGCATCCAGGTGACTAAAAAGCTTTATTGCTCACACAAAGCCTGTTTGGTGGTCTCTTCACACAGATGCGCGTGACATGAATATATTCTTGCTAGAAAAAAATTGAACAATATGCGTGATGTGAAAAAAAGCTGCCCTATCCTTCAATCTCCCAACTGTAATCCCCGTCTCAGAGGTAGCTATTGTTTTCAATTTGGTGAATATCTTCCCAGATCTTTACTTCTTATATTTACTTACAAAGATGAGTGTATACACAAATACAGCTTTTTATGTATATGTGTGTTGGGTATGTATATATATGTGTTTATATAAGTAAGTGTCACATTATATGAGTTGTTCCATACCTTGCTTTTAAAAATTTATGTCTTGAGGGATTTTCACTTCAGAACAACATATATTTAACACATTTTTTAAAACGGGCTGGTTAGTATTCCTCACGGTGGAGACACAATCTTTGATTTAACCCCTCCCCTGTTGGCTGAAATTTAGGGTCTTTCCAATTATTTGGTATCATAAACAACATAACTCTGAAAATCCTTGTACTTCCCTTTTAATCCACATGGGCAATTATTTCTCTAAGGCAGATGGTGAGAAATAAAAGACAGGGGCTGAATTTTAAGTGCATTTTTGTTTCTTGTGTTTGTACATACTGTCCAAATGCCTCCCCTGAAGTCCTGACCATTTTTTTCCTTTGAGACCGAGTTTTGCTCCTGTTGCCCAGGTGGGAGTGCAATGGTGCGATCTCGGCTCACTGCAACCTCCGCCTCCCAGGTTCAAGCGATTCTCCTGCCTCAGCCTCCCAAGCAGCTGGGATTACAGGCATGCACCACCACGCCCAGCTAATTTTGTATTTTTAGTAGAGATGGGGTTTCTCCATATTGGTCAGTCTGGTCTCGAACTCCCGACCTCAGGTGATCTGCCCTCCTTGGCCTCCCAAAGTGCTGGGATTACAGGCATGAGCCACTGCGCCCAGCCAGTCGTGACCTTTTCTTGTGTATGTTGTGGGCTTCCCTAGAAGACAAGATCATTTTTTTTTTTTTTTTTTTTTGAGACGGAGTCTCACTCTGTCTCCCAGGCTGGAGTGCAGTGGTGCCATCTCGGCTTATTGCAACCTCTGCCTCCCAGGTTCAAGTGATTCTCCTGGCTCAGCCTCCTGAGTAGCTGGGATTAAAGGTGTGTGCCACCATGCCTGGCTAATTTTTTTTTTGTATTTTTAGTAGTGATGGGGTTTCGCCATGTTGGCCAGCTTGGTCTCAAACTCCTGACCTCAGGTGATCCACCCTCCTTGGCCTCCCAAAGTGCTGGGATTACAGGTGTGAGCCAAGACAAGGCAATATTTTTAAAGGAGTGACTTTTATTTAAAAATGACAAGCAGAATTTTGCCTCTGGAAGTTGAAACTCTAACTTTGGGGTCCTCTATTTCATTGTAACGTGGGTGTGAATCTCATGTCACCAGCTCAGATGTGCCAGACATATCACCATACTCCCAACCATTTCATTTGCACCTGAAATGAAGCCTCAGTCAAATTAGGGGCTATTAGTGAATTCCTGTGCCACTTAGTGTGGGGTTCGTTTGCATCCCCTAGGCCTGGTTGCTTGGTTGTGGCAGAAGACAGAGAGCCACTGGTGAGGAGTGGGGTGAGGATGGGTTTGGTGTTTTTTTTCTTGCTGTTAGCTACTCTCAGAGGCCACTGCAGGGGTGCATGCTCTCCCATCTGGTCCTTGTTGGACTGTGCGTGTCTCAGCTGCATGGACGCACCAGACCTGGCTCTTTCTCTGCTATTTCTCACCTCTTGGAGGCAGAGAAAATGCTTGGCTGTACTTCCTTGACAGGTTGGTGTGCAGGGAATTGTATCCGACTCTCTCCATCCCCACTGTGCGGCTGTGCTTTATAGCCACACCGCTGACCCTGAGCTGGTGGGGTGGAAACTGGGAGCTTTGACACACCCTGGACTTTACATAAGCACAGAGGGACGGGACCTCTTCTCTTAGATTCCCCAAGCAGATCTATGATTTCTAGAAATCCTTGCCTCCACTTGGCCCCAGGCCAGTTGTAGGGAGAATGGAGGGGGACCCATAGGTAGGGTGAAGATACATTAGTGCCGGTCGGCCTGGACCAGTCCTGGTTCGTGTCTGTGTCCAAGGCAGAGTCATTAACAACACTCCCTTTCACTTTCGGAAGGGTCCTGGTATAGACAGTAAACTGTGTCATCACCCTACTCACACAGAATCTAGTTTATCTGGTTCTTTTTTCATTCTCCCCTCTTCCAACCTTGAGAATCGATATCTCATTTTGATTTAGAAAACCTGGTTTTTAACAAGCTCCTCATATTCTAATTGAGTGTTTATGGTGTAAGATTCATGCTGTGACTCTTTCAAGGCCAGGCATTTGACACTGAAAACCCAGATGTTTGCAACTCCAAAAGCCATTTCCCCTGATTTCCTGATGTAATAACCCTTTCCTGGGTTGTACAATGGACGTCGCACAGTCTACTCTGTCTGGCAAAAGGGCCACGGAGTAGAAAGAAATTATCACTAATGAAAAACACATTGCTTAGGATTCTAAAAACTTATCTTACCACATCTCCCTCCTGTAATCCCTCCTGCCTTTACAAAGAAAGTTTACTTCTCATAGAGGTGTCCACTGCTACCCGACTCGCCAGGAAGTGGGATCAGAATCTTGGCTCTAAGCTGGGGGATCTGGAGAGTTTCCATGCAAGATCCGTGTGGTTTGCTGACCTAGGACCATCTGGGGTGACTTTGGCCAATCACAGGCCAGATGCGCATCCTGAACACAAGTACCCCTGAAGGTCGAGGAGTTAGACACAACCTTGGAGAGTCTGAATTGAGTGAAATTACCCTGAATTCACTAAAGTGAAGTTTCTGCCACCCATAGGAATGGGCACACAAAATAGAAACTAAATAAAGTCATGGAAAAATAAAGCAAGTTCTACTTTTTGCATATCTGAGTTGTGGCCTCGGACTCACCCCAGCTACATTCAGGGACTCCTGTGTGACTTATATTAATAATAACAATGATGACAGCAATGATGATGGCTAATATTTATTGACTGCTTGCTCTGTGCCAGGCTGTGTTCTAAGGGCTCTCCGTGTCATTCTATTGTAGCTACTATTATGTGTCCCATTTTACAGAAGAAAACTGAGTCACAGAGAGATGAAATGATTGTCCAAGGTCAGAGTACACATTGGCCCCACAGACTGAAGACAAATCCCAGAATGGTATTGGCAGCAGGTCACTCCAAGACATGAGAACACTGGTGTGCAGAGATGAGGCAAATGTCTTAGAAATTCTTGTTGATTTAGAAATATTAATGGGCTGTGATGAGACTGCACTGGGGAGAAAAAACCCAAAACTATAGTTTTTGAGTATATGCAGGATAGCCAGCAAAACGAAGACATTTAGGGGCAAGGAAATGATAATTTTTTTTTTAAGGCGGAGTTTTGCACTGTCGCCCGGGCTGGAGTGCAATGGCGTGATCTCGGCTCACTGCAACCTCCACCTCCCTACTTCAGCCTCCCAAGTAGCTGGGATACAGGCATGTGCCACCATGCCCGGCTAATTTTTTGTATTTTTAGTAGAGATGGGGTTTCACTATGTTGGCCAGGCTGGTCTTGAACTCCTGACCTTGTGATCCATCCATCTCGGCCTCCCAAAGTGCTGGGATTACAGGCGTGAGCCACTGTGCCCAACCAGAAAGGATAATTTAAAGCTCTTCTGTGCCTGGGTGCGGTGGCTCATGCCTGTAATCCCGACACTTTGGGAAGTTAAGACGGGTGGAGAGCTTGAGCCCAGGAATTCAAGACCAGCCTGGATGACACAGTGAGACCTCCGTCTCTCTCTGCAAAAAATACAAAAATTAGCCAGGTCTGGTGTCACATGCCTGTAGTCCCAGCTACTCAGAAGGCTGAGGCAGGAGGATCACTGGAGCCAGGGAGGTCGAGGCTGCAGTGAGCCATGATCACACCACTGTACTCTAGCCTGGGGGACAGAGAGAGACCCTGTCTCCAAAATAAATAAATAAATAAAAATAAAAGCTCTTCTGGGAATTTCAAAGTGAACTAAGATTTGTCCTAGAAGGAGAGAAGCCTTGTAGCTTGTTGCTCCACAACAGCGACCCCAGCCCTGACCACCCAGGTAGAGGGATCCCAGGCTTTAACCTGCCACGAATTCCTCGAGCCACTTGCAGAGCTGCTGTGCTTTGGAGGTGCCTCCCAGATTCATGGCCAGAGTGAAAATGCACTCATCCTAAAGGGGATGAGGTTTTTACTTTGTTTTGTTTTGGAGACAACTTCTAAGAGTTTCCGGAAGAGCAGCTTCTCCTGATTTTGTCAGTGGGAAGTGGAACATTTGACAGTAGACCGGTAGACCGTCACACACATGCTAAAGTGGGTGCGTGGGGCACTTCTGCAAACTGCAAGAGCCTAGGCTAAGCCTGTCCCCTGTTCTCCATCTTGCTAGACAGCCAAGGCCTAGAAGAAACGAGGAGGAGAAGAGGCAGGGCTGGGCATGCAGGTTGAGGAATTAACTCCCATCACCTGGTCCCCTGAAGGAGAGGTACTTGTAGTTCCACACTCCAAACTGGCTAATAATAACCCCCAGATAGGTGAGGAGATTGGAGAGAGAGGGGTGTGGCTGGGGAGGCGGCAGGTCTTCAGAACCTCCCATACAGCAGGGCTTGGGAGCAGGAGAGGAGAGACGACCTCAAAGGATGTCTGGGCCTAAGGGCCTGGGGCCACCTTGAGGTCCCTGTGCACCCCATGAGGCACAGGCTGTAGCTGAGCATTTCCTGGTGTGGCTGAGTACAGTGTGGATGCAGCACAGAAAGCCAGAGCTTGGCTAAAGGGAGCTGTAACCAAGCCAGAGGCAGTCTCAGAGGATGCGGGGCCTCAGAGGAGGCCTGTGGAGACAGAAGAGCCTGAGGGACCAGGCATCTTCTCCCACAGATGTTGCAAGTCCCACACTCTCCATTCCCAGAGTTTAGACGCAGCTCTAGGAAGCGAAGAGGGAAAAACCGGAACTGCTGAAAGAAGTTATAAAACTGGCTGAGAATGGCCTGAATTGGCTAAGATTTAATTTTCACTCCAACTTAAGGTTTGGTGGTGAGTAGTGATGATATTTCTTAATATAAATAATTTATTTATTTATTACAAAAAATCAAAGTTCCAATTCTTGTATATCAGACTTTAAGTTCTAAGTAATTCGTACCCATGCTGTTTGTTTTGGGAAGTTTGCTTGAATAGGCCCTATTGTACTCAAAAAGTAGCATCTGAAATTCTTTTTTTTTTTTTTTTTTTTTTTGGTAGAGGTCTTGCTTTGTTGCTCGGGCTGGTCTTGAACTCCTGGGCTCAAGCAGTCCTCCTGCCTCGGCCTCTCAAAGCGCTGGGATTACAGGTGTGAACCACTGTGCTGGTCTTAACACCTGAGATTCTTAAAGAAACCGGGAAATCACAATTAACTCGAAGGCAGATGAAAAGAATTCTGGTTTGTGCATTCCAATGACTGGTGATTCTCTTGATTTGTGATGTGAGAGGTGGGAGCTGTGGCTCTGTCTGAATGAAGACAATGCCAGTTCCTGTGGAAGAAGGTTTTTGTTCACGTTTTGATTGTTGCTTACAGGCAAGAAACAAAGGAAAGAAATGGAAGTGTCTGTTTTTGAGAGAGACTTTGAGAGACCTGCAGGAACCCATAGATTTGCAGTGGGCTCAGATGATAGTGGGAGGGTGGATCCCCGGACTCTCTGGTGCTGAGGGCATTGTATTAAAGGGCTGTTGGCAGAGACACTGGTGACTTTGTGCCAGGGCAGCAGATACCCTTCTTCGAGCAGCCTCATGGCCAGTAGAGGTCAAACAGGAGGGAGGAGCTGGGCAGGAAGAGCCTGGCAGCAGGATGGCTGGGCCCTGGGAGTCACAGAAGGTAATGCCTGGAAGACTTGGATATAACACAAAGACGCTGAGACTCGGACATGTGGGTTACGTATGATGGGTGTGAAGAGCTCCATAATGATTAGGTGCAAGAATATCACATTTCTTTACTTTTCTGAGTAAAAGCAAATCTGGCACAATGTTCACTGGCCTGGCTAACAGGATATTCCAGTCCGTCATTAAAAAAAATTGATAATTTACGCCTAATAATTATATGTATGTATTGAAGCAATGTGATATTTCAATGCATGTAGACATAGTATAATGATCAAATTGGGGTAATTACTGTATCCATCACTTTAAACATTTATCATTTCTTTGTAGTGACAACATTCCAAACTTTCTAGCTATCGTCAAAGGTAGAATACATGGTTATTTGTGATAGTCACCCTACTGTGTAACTGATATGGTTTGGCTGTGTCCCTACCCAAATCTCATCTTGAATTGTAGTTCCCATAATCCCCATGTGCTGTGGGAGGGACCCTATGGGAGGTCATGGAATCATGGGGACTGTTACTTCCATGGTGTTCTCATGATAGTGAGTTCTCACGAGATCTGATGGTTTTATAAAGGGTGGTTCCCCTGCATACACTCTGTCTTGCCTGTCATCATGTACGACATGCCGTTGCTCCTACTTCATCTTCCACCATGATTGTGAGGCCTCCCCAGCCATGTGAAACTGTGAGTCCATTAAACTTCTTTTTCTTTATAAATTACCCAGTCTTGGATATGTCCTTATAGCAGAGTGAGAATGGACTAATATAGTAATATAACAAAAAAACTTACTTTTCCTATCTAATTGTAACTTTGTACCCATTGACCAACCTCTCCTGGTCTCTCCCTCTCTCCTTCCCTGTCCTCTCCCCAGCCTCTAGTAATTACTAATCTACTCTCTACTTCTACAAAATCAATTTTTTTTTTTTTTTGAGACAGAGTCTTGCTCTGTCTCCTGGGCTGGAGTGCAGTGGCGTGATCTCTGCTCACTTCAAGCTCCGCCTCCCCGGTTTTACGCCATTTTCCTGCCTCAGCCTCCTGAGTAGCCGGGACTGCAGGCGTGCACCACCTACGCCTGGCTAATTTTTGTGTGTGTGTGTGTGTTTTGAGTAGAGACGGGGTTTCACCGTGTTAGCCAGGATGGCCTCGATCTTCCTGACGTCGTGATCCGACCGCCTCGGCCTCCCAAAGTGCTGGGATTACAGGCGTGAGCCACCGCGCCCGGCCTACAAAATCAATTTTTAAAGATTCTGCATATGAGTGAGATCATGTGGTCTTTGTCTTCCTGTGCCTGGTTTATTTCATGCAACATAATGCCTGCCAGGTTCATCCATGTTATTGCAAATGGCAGGATTTTATTGTGTTTTATGGCTGAATAATATTCCATTGCGTGCATGTGTGTGTGTGTGTGTGTGTGTGTGTGTATTTATATCATATTTTCTTTCTTTCTTTTTTCTTTGAGACAGAATCTTGCTCTGTTGCCTAGGCTGGAGTGCAGTGGCATGATCTCAGCTCACTGCAATCTCTACCTTCGGGTTCAAGTGAGTCTTCTGAGTCAGCCTCCCAAGTAGCTGGGACTACAGGCATGCGCCACCACACCCGGACCATTTTTTTATTTTTAGTAGAGAAAGAGTTTCACCATCTTGGCCAGGCTGGTCTTGAACTCCTGACCTCAGGTGATCCACCCGCCTTGACCTCCCAAAGTGCTGGCATGATTACAGGCATGAGCCATGGTGTCCAGCCTATATCACATTTTCTTTACTCATTCATCATTAGATGGGCTACTATCAAAAAGACAAAAAATGACCAGGTGCAGTGACTCATGCCTGTAACCCCAGCACTATGGGAGATTAAGGCAGGAGGATCACTTGAGCCCAGGAGTTCAAGACCAGCCTGAGCAACATAGCAAGACCTTGTCTCTCTGAAAATTTTAAAAATTAGCCAGGTGTCATGGCACATGCCTGTAGTTCCAGCTACTTGAGGGGTTGAGGTGGGAGGATTGCTTCAGCCTAGGCTGCCAAAGCTGCAGTGAGCTGTGATTGTGCCACTGCACTCCAGCCTGGGTGACAGAATGAGACCCTGTCTCAAAAAAAAAAAAAAAAAAAAATGCTAGCATGTATGTGGAGAAAGGGGAATAATTTTTTTTTTTTTTTGAGACAGAGTCTCTCTCTGTTGCCCAGGTTGGAGTGCAACAGCGTGATCTCGGCTCACTGCAACCTCCGCCTCCCAGGTTCAAGCGATTCTCCTGCCTCAGCCTCCCAAGTAGCTGAGATTACAGGCGCCCACCACTACACCTGGCTAAGTTTTTTTGTATTTTTAGTAGAGATGGGGTTTCACCATGTTAGTCAGACTGGTCTCGAACTCCTAACCTCAGGTGGTCCACCCACCTCGGCCTCCCAAACTGCTGGGATTACAGGTGTGGGCCACCACGCCCAGCAAGAAAGTGGAATACTTATACACTATTGGTGGGAATGTCGATTAGCACAGCCATAAGGAAAACAGTATAGAGGTTCCTCAAAAAATTAAAAATAGAACTACCATGGGGGCCAGGCACGGTGGTTCATGCCTGTAATCCCAGCACTTTGGGAGGCTGAGGCAGGTGGATCACAAGATCACGAGTTCGAGACCAGCCTGACCAACATGGTGAGACCCCTTCTCTACTAAAAATACAAAAATTAGCAGGCTTGGTGGCACATGCCTGTAATCACAGCCACTGAGGAGGCTGAGGCAGGAGAATGGCTTGAACCTGGGAGGCAGAGGTTGCAGTGAGCCGAGATCACACCACTGCACTCCAGCCTAGGCAACAGAGCAAGACTCCGTCTCAATAAAAAAAAAAAAAAAAAAAAAAAGGCCGGGCGCAGTGGCTCACGCCTGTAATCCCAGCACTTTGGGAGGCCGAGGCGGGTGGATCAAGAGGTCAGGAGATCGAGACCATCCTGGTTAACATGGTGAAACCCCGTCTCTACCAAAAATACAAAATAATTAGCCGGGCGTGGTGGTGGGCACCTGTGGTCCCAGCTACTGGGGAGGCTGAGGCAGAAGAATGGCGTGAACCCGGGAGGCAGAGCTTGCAGTGAGCAGAGATCGCGCCATTGCACTCCAGGCTGGGCGACAGAGAAAGACTCCGTCTCAAAAAAGAAAAAAAAAAACAGGACTGCCATGGGATTCAGCAATCCCAATACTGGTTATCTATCCAAAGGAAATGAAATCAGTGTGTTGAAGAAACATCTGCATTCCCATGTTTATTGCCTCACCATTCACAATAGTTATGATATGGAGTCAATCAGGAAGTCATTTTTGGAAGGCTATGTCTCCAAATGAAGGCATTTATCCTCTGGGTACCAAAATCTCCCAAACAGAATCTTGGGTAAAGGAGGCAAATGGTTTGGGGTAGGTCAGTGATGGTATATACCATTGCTTCCATTGCTTGGATTCCCCAGCCAAGTGGATCCTGGCTCCAGGAGAAACAGCAGCACTGGCCAGAAAATATGCTGTGTCCCTATAAGGTATCTCTCCAGCTGGCACAGGAACCGGCTGCCAATAGACCATTCCTCTGTTCTCCTGAGCCACCTGCTTTTGGAGATGGGACACCGTGACAAGATCAGTGAGTCCCGTGGGCATTAGCCTCTTGGCTTACTTTGTCTCTGCAAAATGTTTCTTCATCAGAAGTAATATTGTGTGGGAGACTATGACAGGCTACAAGCCATCTAGCACGAGCATAGAGAGAGTGCTGGCAGCAGCATGACAACGGCCAAGGAAACCAAATCCAAATCCGGAAAAGTGCCTGTTCCAAAGGGAACAAATCGCTGCCCCCTCCCTGATGGAAGAGGTCCAATGTAATCAACCTGCCACCTGGTAGCTGCCTTCTCCCCCAGCTTCCTCATTCCACTCAATGGCACAGTCAGTCATGCAGCTGAGCGGGCCAAAATCCCAGGAGTTTGCTGTCATTTGTCCTTTTCCCTCACACTCAATATCCAATCTGTCAGCGGGTCCTATTATCTCTACTTTTAAAACAGACCCCAGATCTGATCTCTTCTCAACCACCTCCACCTCTATCACCCTAATCCAAGCCACTGTCATCTCACCCGGAGCACTGCAATAGCCTTCCAGCTGGTCAGCCTGCTTCTACTCTACACACCAGCCAGAGTGATGTTTTAAAATTTTAAAAATTGTGATAAAATATATATAGCATAAAATTTACTATCTAAACCATTTTTAAGTAGGCAGTTCAGTACTGTTAAGAACATTCATATTATTGTGCAACCAATCTTCAAAACCCTTTTATATTGCAAAACTGAGACTCTATATTCATTAAACACTAACTCCCCATTCCTCCTCCCCTGGTTCCTGGCAACCATTATTCTACCTTCTGTGTCTATGAATTTGACTACTCCAGGTATCTCACGTGAATAAGAGGAATCGCACAATATTTGTCTTTTGTGACTTGTCTATTTCATTTAGCATAATGCCCTCAAGACTCATCTCTGTTGTAGCATATGTCAGAATTTCCTTCCTTTTGAAAGTGGGATAATTTTCCATTGTATGTAGGTACCATGTTCTGTTTATCCAGAGTGAATTTTAAAGACATGTATTAGGCTCAGTTTACTCCACAAAAAAATGACATAGGAAAGAAGCAAATGGATAAACTGTAATGTGATTATACAGTGATTTGAACAAACCAACTGGAAAAAGATGTATTTGAGACAATGGAGCAATTCGAACTAGAATTGGAGATTTGTTAAGGAAATATTTTAAGAAATAGTCATTTTTTGCTTTTGTGATAAGACTATTGTGGCTAGGTTTTTAAAAAACTTTTTATCTTCTAGGGATACCTGCTGAAGTATTAATGAATAAGTCACTACCTGGAATTTGATTACTCTAGAAAATCTACGTGCATGTAGGGAGAAATCAGGTGAAATAAGATGGGCAAAATGGCAATCATTGTTGAAGCTGGTGATGTATAAATGAGGGTTTATTATATTTTCCTCTCTACTTTTATATATATTTAAAGATGTCCGTTAAAAATTCTTTCTCTTTTTTTAAGACAGTTTCGCTCTTGTTGCCCAGGCTGGAATGCCATGGCACGTTCTCAGCTCACTGCAACCTCCGCCTCCCAGGTTCAAGCAATTCTCCTGCCTCAGCCTCCCAAGTAGCTGGGATTACAGGCATGCACCACCACGTCCGGATAATTTTGTATTTTTAGTAGAGATGGGGTTTCTCCATGTTGAGGCTGGTCTTAAACTCCTGACCTCAGGTGATCTGCCCACCTTGGCCTCCCAAAGTGCTGGGATTACAGGCGTGAGCCACCGTGCCCGGCCTAAAAATTCTTAAAGATACTTACTAGACCTATTCCATTACTCTTCTAAAAATTTTCCAATAACTTTTACCACTCATAGAATAAAACGCACCAGTATAATATTATAGTATTATTGTAGTGTGATAGCATGATATTCCTGTATAGAATTGTGAGGGTTACATGAATTTACAGATGTAAAGCGTTGGGAGGAGTGCCTTGTGCATCTTAAGTGCTATACAACTGTTTGATATTAGTACTAGTTTAACTTATTAACAATCAAAAGGGGAATTCACTATGCTTAAAATTTAAAAACCCCACTTTTTGAAGACTTTAAAATAGGACTTTTATAAGTCATGTTCATAGAAAGATAAAAATTATGAATAGTAAATAAAATTAGAAAAATCAGTGGAGGAAGATAGCCTTTTAAAATGGTGCTAGAGTAATTGGACACCCCAAAGCAAAAAATATGACCTGTGTCCTAGTTTTATACCACATACAAAATTTAACTCAAAATAGATCATGCACATAAATGAAAATGTAAAAGTGTAAACGTTTTAGAGAAAAATGGAAGAAAAAAATCTTCATCATCTAGGGATAAGCAAATCGTTCTTAAGTCTTGCCATCAGAAGCAAGATTCAAAAAGGGAAATGTTGATAAATTAGACTTCACCAAAATATTTACATTTTTACTTTGTAAAATACTGTCATGTACCACACAAAGACATTTCAGTCAATGATAGACTACATATACTATGGTGGTGCCATAAGATTATAATACCGTATTTTGTCTGTACCTTTTCTATGTTTAGACATAGATACACAAATTCCACTGTGTTACAACTGCCTACACTATTTAGTACAGTAACATGCTATACAGCATTGTAGCCTAGGAACAGTAGGCTATATCATGTAGCCCAGGAGTGTCATAGACTATATCATCTGGATTTGTGTAAGTACACTCTATGATCTTTGCACAATGAGGAAATCACCCAACAACACATTTCTCAGAACATATCCCCATCGTTAAGTGATGCATGAGTGTGCCCAGTTAAAAGGAAGAAAAGAAAGCCACATACTGGAGAAAATATTTGCAAATCGCATACCCAGCAAAGGACTAGTATGTAGAATATATAAAGAACTCTCAAAACTCAACAGTAAAATAGCAAACAATCCAATTAAAACATGGGTAAAGGACATGAAAGACATTTCGCACATATATACGTACATATTTACACACACATATACATACATATTGATGGCAAAGAAGCACATGAAAAGCTGTTCGACATCATTAGACATTGGGGAAATGCAAATTAAAATCACAATGAGATTTTGGCAGGGTGTAATGGCTCACACCTGTAATCCCAGCACTTTTTGAGGCCGAGGTGGAGCAGATCATTTGAGGTCAGGAGTTCCAGATCAGCCTGACCAACATGGTGAAACCCCCTCTCTACCAAAAAATACAAAAATTAGCTGGGCATAGTGTTGCATGCCTGTAATTCCAGCTACTCAGGAGGCTGAGGTGGGAGGATTGCTTGAGCCTGGTGGGCAGAGGTTGCAGTGAGCTGAAATTGCACCAGTGCACTCCAGCCTGGGTGACAAAGTCTTAAAAAAACCAAAAAACAAACAACACACACACACACACACACACACACACACACACACAGAGAGAGAGAGAGAGAGAGATTTATATGTCAGCAGATTACAGACTAGGAAACCCCAGACCCTCTACCCCCATGGAGACACCAATTCAACAGCATTACAGGGACCAATTCCTTTGTGAGAAATCTAGAAACTAATTAAGAGGCTTCTGAACCCCAGGTGAGCACAAAAACAGCCTCATGGAAGCCAACTGGAAAATATGCGGCAGTTGCTCTCCATAGTCCCATCCCCGGCTTAGCATGGCATGATCAGAAGAAAAGTTGCAGCTCCTGGCTTCTCCCTGGGAAGCGACAGAGAAGACTGAAATATATGTCAATGTTTAGACTTTTCAGGGGTCTGTCCAAACAACTGGTTTCTGTTGTGTCTGAATTTAAGAAGTGATAGGAGCCGGGCGCGGTGGCTCACCCCTGTAATCCCAGCACTTTGCGAGGCCGAGGCGGGCGGATCACGAGGTCAGGAGATCGAGACCATACTGGCTAACATGGTGAAACCCCGTCTCTACTAAAAATACAAAAAATTAGCCGGGCGTGATGGCGGGCGCCTGTAGTCCCAGCTACTCGGGAGGCTGAGGCAGGAGAATGGCGTGAACCCGGGAGGTGGAGGTTGCAGTGAGCCAAGATTGCGCCACTGCACTCCAGCCTGGGCGACAGCGCAAGACTCTATCTCAAAAAAAAAAAAAAAAAAAAAAAGGAAGTGATAGGAAAAGGTACCAGGTTGGGAGCCACTGAGAACAAAGCTAAGGTTTGGGCTAGTATGCACTCACTCACCATAGCCCCTCCCCTGGCTCAGTGTGGTGTGATCAGAAGAAAATCTCCAACTCTCAGCTTCTTCGTTGGTAGAGAGAGAGAAGAATGGAGTTTGAATTCAACATCCTGGCTTTTCAGGGGGCTGCCCAAGGGACTGGTTTTTGTTTCACCTGTCTTGGAATGCTGATATGACTTTAGGTATACTTTAGGTACCCAGGGGTTACTGAGAACAAAAGAGAGCTAAGTAGTTTGCTGCTGCTCCAGAAGACCTGCAGTGCAGCAGACAGAGGCTGATACAGCTCAGTGGCCTCTCTCTTGGTGAAGGGGGAAGGAATAGGAAGAAGAGTGGAGTATGCATCCAACATTCTGGCTTTTGAGGGGGCTGCTTGAGGAACAAGTTTCTGTCTCATTGACTTGACATGCTGATGAGATTCAGCATACTCTAGAAGCCTAGGGCTGCTGAGAACAAAAGAGAGCTGGGCAGCTTAAGGGAGCTCAAGAAAACCTGCAGTGCTACAGAAAGACACCAGAGAAAGCAAGAGATTACTAGCTTCTGAAAAAAGAAACTGTGAAATCACTCTAATTGGGATTTTACATGCACAAGTCCAGAGAATAGACACCCAGAAAAGGTTTGAAAGGCCCACAGGATCTCTAGTTGGGCTGATTTTGTTTTACCCGTACAAAGTTAGTCTGCAAATACAGAGAGGGGGCTATATTTATTTATTTTTCTCAAATGTGTAGATCTCACCACAGATTACAAGGCACATAAAGAAACAAGGAAATTTGGCAAGTGCAAAAGAGTAAAATAAATATTCAGAAACCAACCTTAAAGAAACATAGATATATGAACTACCTGAGAAAGAATTCAAAATAACCATCATAAAGAAGTTCAATGAGCTCAGGAAAAGGATGAGAATGTTAACAAAGAGAAAATATAAAAAGAACCAAACAGAAATTTTGGAGCCAAAGAATATAATAACTGAATTGAAAAATTCACTGGAAGGGTCAAACATTCACTAAACGGGCTAGGTGCAGTGGCTCACACCTGTAATCCCAGCATTTTGAGAGGCTGAGGCAGGAGGATCACTTGAGCCCAGGACTTCGAAATCAGCCTGGGAAACATAGTGAGATGCCATCTCTACAAAAAATTAATAAAAAATTAGCCAGACATGGTGGCACATGCCTATAGTCTCAGCTACTTGAGAGGCTGAGGCAGGAGGATCACTTGAGCCCAGAAGCTTGAGGCTGCAATTAGCTAAGATCACACCACTGCACTCCAGCCTGAGCAACAGAGTGTGACTCTGTCCCAAAAAAAAAAAAAATTGCTAAAGGGGTTAAGCTTCAGACTTGATCAGTCAGTAAACTCAAAGACAGGACATTTGAAATTATCCAGTCAGAGCGGGAAAAAAAAAGATGAATGAAAAAGAATGGGCTGGGCACAGTGGCTCACACCTGTAATCCCAGCACTTTGAGAGACCAAGGTGGGTGGATCACTTGAGGTCAGGAGTTCGAGACCAGCCTGGCCAACATGTTTGAAACTCTGTTACCAAATACAAAAATTAGCTAGGTGTGGTGGCATGCATCTATAGTCCCAGCTACTTGGGAGGCTGAGGTGGAAGAATTGCTTGAACCTGGGAGGTAGAGGTAGCAGTGAGCTGAGATCATGTCACTGCACTCCAGCCTGGGTGACAGAGTCAGACTCTGTCTCAAAACAAAACAAAACAAAACAAAACAAAAAAAAGAAAAGAAAAGAAAAAAAGAGTGAAGAATGTTAAGGGATTTACAGGACACTATCAAGCAAGCCTATATATACATTATGGAAGTTGCAGAAGGAGTACAGATAAGGGAGGAGACCACCCCTCATATTGTCTTATGCCCAATTTCTGCCTCCAAAGAAAGAAGTAAAAACTAAAAGGCAGAAATGAAATCTGCAGGCAGACAGTCAGACACCACACCCTGGGACCGGCAGTTAAAGATAGACCCCTGACCTAATCGGTTATGTTATCTATAGATTACAGACATTGTACAGAAAAGCACTGTGAAAATCCCTGTCCTGTTCTGTTCCATTCTAATTACTGGAGCATGCAGCCCGCAGTCATGTACCCCTGCTTGCTCAATTGATCACAACCCTCTCACGTGGACCCCCTTAGAGTTGTGAGCTCTTAAAAGGGACAGGAATTGCTCACTCGGGGAGCTCAGTTGTTGGAGACGTGAGTCTTGCCAAAGCTCCCGGCCGAATAAAACCCTTCCTTCTTTAACTTGGTGTCTGAAGGGTTTTGTCTGCGGCTTGTCCTGCTACACAGAGAGAAATGAACAGAAAGCTTATTTGAAAAAAAATGGCTTAAAATTTCTCATATCTAGGGAAACATATGGATAAGATTTAAGAACCCCAGGAGACTCCAACTATGATAAATCCAAAGAAGTCTACACCAAGACACATTACAATTAAATTGTTGCATGTCTAAGACAAAGAGAAAATCGTAAAAGCAGCAAGAAAAAAAATGACTTGTATGGACAAGATAGCCCTCATAAGAGTATCGGGGGATTTCTTGGTAGAAACCTTGCAGGCCGGAAAAGAGTGGGATGTTATATTCAAAGTGCTGAAATAAAATGAAATTAAAAAGCCCTGCCAACTAAGTGTTCTGTCTCTGGTAAAACTGCCTTTCATAGGTAAAGAAGAAAGACTTTCCCAAGTAAACAGCTCAGGAAATTCATTCCCACTAAACCTGCCTTACAAGAAATGCTAAAGAGAGTCCCTTAAGTTAGAACAACAGGATGCTAGACAGCAGCACAAAAGGATATGAAAGTATAAAGTTTACTTGTAGAGGTTAATATATAGAAAAATACAGAATACTGCAATACTGTAACTGTGGTATGTAAGTCACTTACAATTCTGGTGTAGAAGTTGAAAATCAAGTACAAAAAAGAAATATAACTATAAAAATATGTTAATGAAGGCACTATATAAAAAGATGTAATTTGTGACAGCAATAACAAAGTGTGGGGAGGAAAGAAGTAAAAAAGTTATTTTGGTATGCGACTGAAGTTAAGTTGTCAGCTTAAAATAAAGTGTTTCAACTATGAGATGTTTTGTTTTATTTTATTTTATTTTATTTTATTATTTTTTTAGACAGTCTCGCTCTGTCACCCAGGCTGGAGTGCAGTGGCACAATCTCGGCTCACTGAAACCTTTGTCTCCTAGGTTCAAGCAATTTTCCTGTCTCAGCCTCCCAGGTAGCTGGGATTACAGGCACACACCACCATGCTCAGATAATTTTTGTATTTCTAGTAGAGGCAGGGTTTCACCATGTTAGCCAGGCTTGTCTTGAACTCCTGACCTCAAGTGATCTACCCGCCTCAGCCTCCCAAAGTGCTGGGATTACAGGGATGAGCCACCATGCCCAGCCTACAAGATGTTTTATGTAAGCCTCATTGTAACCAAAAAGAAAATACTTATAAGATGACACACAAAAGGAAATGAGAAAGGAATCAAACATGCCACTGCAATAAAAAATAAATAAATAATCAATAGAACAAAAAGGCTGATAGCAAGAGAGGAAAAGGGATGAAATTCTATAAGAAAACAATTAACAAAATGGCAATAGTAAATCCTTCCCTTCAGTAATTACTTTAAATGTAAATGGATTAGACTCCTCAATTAAGACACAGAGTGGATGAACAGATAAAAGAACTAAGATTCAACCATGTGCTGTTGATAAGAGACTCACTTTATTTATTTATTATTTTTGAGATGGCGTCTTGCTCTGTCACCCAGGCTGGAGTGCAGTGGCACAATCTCGGCTCACTGCAACCTCCGCCTCCCAGGTTCAAGTGATTCTTGTGCCTCAGCCTCCTGAGTAGCTGGGATTACATGCGTGAGCCACCACACCCAGCTAATTTTTGTATTTTTTAGTAGAGATGGGGTTTTACCATGTTGGCCTGGCTGGTTTCGAACTCCTGACCTCAGGTGATCTGCCCACCTCAGCCTCCCAGAGTGCTAGGATTACAGGCGTGAACCACCGTGCGTGGCCAAGAGACTCACTTTAGATTAAGGACACACATAGGCTGAATATAAAAGAACGGAAGAAAAAATGCATGCAAATGTTAAACAAAAGGGAGCAGGGGTGGCCATATTTATGTCAGACAAAAGAGACTTTAAGTCAAAAGTTGTCACAAGAGGTAAAGAAGAACATTATATAATGACAAATGGGTCAGTTCACTAGAAACATATAAACTTTTAAAATATATATGCACCCAGTTTCAGAGCACCCAAGTATAAGAAGCAAATATTGACCAAACTGAAGGGAGAAATAGATAGCAACACATTAATAGTAGGAGATTTCAAATGCCACTATCAACAACTGATAGACTATCAAGGCAGAAAATTAATATGTAAACAAAAGACTTGAACAACACTGTAGGCAAATAGTTCTAAGAGACATATATGCAATGTTCCATCCAATAGCAGCAAAGTACACATTCTTCTCGAGAATATACAGATCATTCTCCAGGATAGATCACTTGTTAGGTGATAAAATAAGTCTTAACAAATTTAAAAAGATCGAAATAATACCAAGTATCTTGTCTGATGACAATGGGATGAAACTAGAAATAGTAGCAGAAGGAAAACTGAAAAATTCACAAATATGAAAAAATTAAACAACACACTCTCAATCAATGGGTCAAAGAAGAAATCAAAAGGATAATTAGAAAATATCTTTAGACAAATGAAAACAAATATACCCAAACTTATTTGATACTGCAAGAATAGTACTAGGAGGGAAATTTATAGCAGTGAAGGGCTACATTGAAAAAGAAGAAAGATATCAGTAAACAACCCAACTTTAAACCTCAAGGAACTAGAAAAAGCAAAGCAAAGTGAGCATAAACTTAGCAGAAGAAGAAAATAATAAAAATTATGGAAGAAATATGTGAACTAGAGAAGAGAAAAATAATTGCTGACATTATCTGATAGATAGAAAACCCTAAAGCTTCCACCAAAAAATCTGTTAGAACTAATAAATGAATTCAGCAAAGTTACAGAATACAAAATCAACATACAAAAATTAGTTGTGTTTCTATATGCTAAAAACAAAAAATCCAAAATGGAAATGAAGAAAACAGTTCCAGGGCTGGGCACGGTGGCTCATGCCTGTAATCCCAGCACTTTGGGAGGCTGAGGTGGGTAGATCACAAGGAGTTTGAGACCAGAATGACCAACATGGTGAAACACCATATCTACTAAAAATACAAAAATTAGCCGGGCGTGGTGGCACGCACCTGTAATCCCAGCTACTCCAGAGGCTGAGGCAGGAGAATCGCTTGAACCCGGGAGGCGGAGGTTGCAGTGAGCTGAGATTGTGCCACTGCACTCCAGCCTGGGTGACAGAGTGAGACTCTGTCTCAAAAAAGAAAGAAAGAAAGAAAGAAAGAAAGAAAGAAAGAAAGAAAGAAAGAAAGAAAGAAAGAAAACAGTTCCATTTACAATAGCATCAAAAATAATAAATATAAGATTGAGGAATAAATATAAGGAGGTGAAAGACTTGTACAGTGGAAACTACAAAACATTGTTGAAAGAAATTTAAGATGATACAAATAAATTGAAATGTTTCATTTTCATGGATTGAAAGACTTAATATTGCTAAAATGTTCATACTACTCAAAATGATCTACAGACTAAATGCAATCCCTGACAAAATCTCAATGGCATTTTTTTTTTTCAGAAATAGAAAAAAAAATCCTAAAATTCTTATGGAACCACAAAGGACTCTGAACACAATCAGGGTCCTTTGACAAAAAGACCTGGATTCTTGAAACTATCTTAAAAAAACAAATCTGGAGGGCTCACACGTTCTGACTTGAAAAGCTATTGCAAAGCTACAGTAATCAAAACAGTATGGTACTAGCATAAAGACAGACATATAGATCAATGGAATAGAATAGAGACCCCAGACATAAATCCACACATATATGGTCAAATGACCTTCAACAAGGTGCCAAGACCACACAATAGGGAAACTAGTTTCTTCAGCAAATGGTGCTGGGAAAGCTGAATATTCACAGGAAAATAATAAATTTGGACCCTTTTCTGACACCATACACAAAAGTCAACTCAAAATGTTAAAGATTTAAACATAAGACCTGAAACTACGAAACTTCTAGAAAAAGACATAGGGGGAAACCTTCATAACATTGTTTTGACAATGATGTCTTGGACATGACACTAAAAGCACAAACAACAAAAGCAAAAATAAACAAGTGGGACTACATGAAACTAAAAAGCTGTGTGCTCAAAAGAAACAATTATAGAGTGAAAAGGCAACCTACAGAATGGGAGAAAATATCTGTAAACCATAAATTTCATGTGGGGTTAATACCCAAAGTATATAAGGACCCCCTACAAAAAATAATAAATAATCTGATTTTAAAACGGACAAAAGATTTGAATAGACATTTTCCCAAAGAAGATGCTCAAACGGCCAACAGATATATAAAAAGATGCTAATCACTAATCATCAACGAAATGCAAATCAAAACCACAATGAGCTATCACCTCACATCTGTTAGAAGGGCCATTATAAAATAAACACACACACACACACACACACACAAACACACAGAAAATAAGTGTTGGTGAGAATGCAGAGAAACTGCAACCCTTTGCATTATTGGTGGGAATGTAAAATGATGCAGCTGCTATGATAAACAGTATGGAGATTCTGTAATAAATTAAGAATAGAGCTACCTATGATCCAGCAATCCCACTTTTGGGTATATAACCAAAAGAATTGAAATCAGAGGCTGGGCATGGTGGCTCACGTCTGTAATCCCAGCACTTTGGGAGGCCGAGGCGGGCGGATCACAAGGTCAGGAGATCAAGACCATCTTGGCTAACACGGTGAAACCCCGTCTCTACTAAAAATACAAAAAATAAGCCAGGAGTGATGGCAGGCACCTGTAGTCCCAGCTACTCGGGAGGCTGAGGCAGGAGAATGGCGTGAACCCAGGAGGCAGAGCTTGCAGTGAGCCAGGACCGTGCCACTGCATTCCAGCCTGGGCGACAGAGCGAGACTCTGTCTCAAAAAACAAACAAACAAAAAAAGAATCGAAATCAGAATATTCTTCATTGCAGCTTATTTTTGTGAAGAAGATTGAAGAAGATTCTGTTTTCAATTCAAGATTTACAATGAATCTTCATTGCAGCTTATTCACAATAGCCAAGAGGTAGAAACAACCTAATGGATGAATGGATAAACAAAATGTACATACATACAAAATGGACATATACATGGTATACATATACAAAGACATATTATTCAGCCTTAAAAAAGAAAGAAATCCTGCCATACACAACCACATGAGTAAAACTTATAGATATTGTGCTAAGTGACATAAGCTAACCATAGGACAAATGTTGCATGATTCTCTTTATATGAGGTATCTACAATATTCAGTCTCATAGAAGGAGAAAGGAGAATGGGGGTTGCCAGGAGTTTCAGGAAGAAGGAAATGGGATATTGCTATTCAATGGGTTTAGAGTTTCAGTCATGCAAGATGAAAAAATCCTAGAAATCTGTTGTGCAACAATGTGCTTACAGTTAACTATGCTATGCTATGCTATTGTTAACTATAATACTATACTAACTATAATACTATACTAACTATAATCTGTAATAACTATGGTTATTATAGTTATATTATATTGGTGCAAAAGTAATTGTGGTTTTTGCCATTGATGCTGCAATTACTTTTGCACCAACCTATTAGTTAACTATATTATACTAACAATATTATACTATAGTATCTATATACTTAGAAAGTTAAGAGGGTCGATCTTGTATCATGTGTTTATTAACACATTAAGAAACACTCATTCGGCCAATCTGTTGGAAAAAAAAGAGAAAACCACAAAGATATATCAACACCTGTGAAAAGAATAAAGTATAGATAAAAAATAAAGATCATCAACACCTGTGAAAAGAAGGAAAAAGAAAAAAAAAGAAAAGAAAAAAGCAGAGACAACACCAAATGCTCTTGAGGATGCAGAACTGGTGGGCCATTCACACATGGTCATAAGATATAAGATTAATAGACAAAAAAACATTTACTCCCTTATACTAGCAACAAGTATGTATAAACTGAAATTAAAAATAGAATACTATTTACAATTGCTCAAAAAATGAGGTGATTAGGTATAAATTTAATAAAACATGTATATGCTGAAAACTATAAAATGATGATGAAATTAACTGAAGATATAAATTAAATGAAGAGATATATATTGAGTTCTTAGAGGAAGGTCTCAATTCTTTTCCAAATTGATCTATGGGTTTAACCCAATGACAGTCAAAATTGTAGTAAGCATTTTTATAGATATAGACAAGAGTATTCTAAAACTTACATGCAAAGTCAAAGGAACTAGAACAACTAAAATAATTTTGGAAAAGAAGAATAAAGTAGGAGTAATAACTCTAAAACAAAAATAAGCAAAGCCAAAAAAGTTTGCACTGTCCATCAGAGAGCCCAGAGTTTTTGCTTACCCCTCCCTAGCCTACCTTCATTAAAAACTATTGGCCGGTTTATTATTTTTTTTACTGTATTCAGCTTAGTGATATTTTGCGATAGTTATATTTTAAACACAAAGAGCGAAATTGTGAACGGAAGTTTTTATTTAACATTTGGAGTGTGGCTAACTCAAATTGAGTCACATCTTTTGAGATCAAGTTCCATTTTCTTGCTATTGCTGCATAAATATTACCTATTTGAACTGACTGAAGAAAGTGTGTACCATCATGCATCTCTTAAAGACAGAGATATGTTCTGAGAAATGCATCCTTAGGCGACTTCATCATTGTGTGAACATTATAGAGTGTACTTATGCGAACCTAGATGGTAGAGCCTACTACAAACTTAGGCTATGTGGTACAGCCCCTTGTTCCTAGGCTGCAGATCTGTACAGCCTGTTGCTTTACTGAATACTGTAGGCATTTGTAACGCAATGGTAAGCATTTTTGTATCTAAATATATCCAAACATAGAAAAGGTACACAAAAATAAGGTATTATAATCTTGAGGGACAATCATCATGTGGTCCATCATTGACTGAAACATTATATGGTGCACGACTGTCTGCATTTTTTTTTTTTGAGTCCGAGTCTTGCTCTGTCACACAGGCTAGAGTGCAGTGGTGCGATCTCCCCTCACTGCAACCTCTGCCTCCCAGCTCCAAGTGATTCTCATGCCTCAGTCTCCCAAGTAGCTGGGATTACAGATGTGTACCACCACACCCAGCTAATTTTTTTGTATTTTTAGTAGAGACGGTGTTTCACCATGTTGGCCAAGCTGGTCTCGAACTCCCAACCTCAGGTGATCTGCCCGCCTCGGCCTCCCAAAATGCTGGGATTATAGGCATGAGCCACCTTGCCCGGCTCCACTTTCAACCTAGAGCACTTTGTGCTTTTGAGTTCAAAAAGCCAATTTTACACTGACAGGGTGAGCTATGTAGTATCAAACCACAGTTTTCAAAACAGGTATAAGTTTTATTTCTCTATGATATTTCAGTATAGGCTAAATATACATCTTCTTGCCCATTTCTGAATTATTCTTTGTGTAAAATGTGAATGTTTTTTAAAAAGCAGACTGTTTTGTTGAATAACTACATGTATACATAGTTCTGCTAGAATGGAGCTAATTCATTCCATGTTGTAAAATGGGTTGAATACAAATTTTTTTAAATGTTCATTTCCAGATCCTAAATTCTTTGTTTTCATGAATGAGCCTTCCACATTTCTTTGATTTAAAAAATGGCATATATTCCTCGGTTTTCCAAAGCTGGTAAATACAGCACTCCATACAGTCTGGAAATCTCTTCCCTGGCTGCACTTGCAGAGAGAACTGATCAAAAGCTCAAAATGAGCCTTCTGGCCATTCTCATCACACTCTGTTCCCTGGAGAGTGAAATCTTTTTTCAGATTAAAGTAGATTGTTCAAACAGATATTTTTGTGATTCCTTCTGTCTTCTAATCCAATGTGTGATTATTTTATGTTTTAAGCATAATTACCTCCCAATATAAGACAGATTTTTCTTACTTATTTGCATGTCAACATTTTCATTATGCAAAACAATTTTAAATATTTAACTGACCACCTTGTTTTGCTAAGTAGAATATAAAGAGAATTATGTAGAATCAGTCTCTGCTTTAGAGATGTCTGTAGTTTAAAACAGACACCCAGACAGTGGTACATTGATATCAGAATAAAAATATTAAACCAATGTATGATAGGAAGGTGAAATACTAACATTATCCCTTCCCCACTATGACTGGCTTCCAAATTGAGATTTTTTTCAGAGATAAAATGACTCCATATGTTAAATTGGTCTGTGTTTTTACATCTATCTGGTCCTATTGGGAGGAGAGAGGAAAGATGCTCTCTGATAAAAAGATCTGAAATGGAAAGGAGGTGAGAATGTTGAACTTGGACAATAAGACAATGAGTGTCCACTATAAAGCACGGACCAAAGGCAGCTTGGGGTAATTGAAAAAGGACCCATTGTTAAAGTAGACAATAAATTATCCATACTCCAGCTCTGCCATTTCCTTGCTGTGTGGTGTTTGGGAACATGATTTAACCTCTTTGAGTATGTTTTCACATTTAGAGAAGCAGAAAAATCGTGCCCACCGTTTCGGATTGTTGGAAACATTAAATGTTGGGAAGATTAAACACTCACGCAGTTGGAGTGATTAGGGTTCTTTGGGAGCTGGGACCGTGTGCTAGGACAGAAAGGTTGGCCTGTGGTTTGGGGTGTGGATCAAGGGAAATGCCTGCATCATGGGTCAGAGCAGATTGGGAGACAAAGGAAAGCTAAAGCATCGAGGCCACTGCATGGAATTGGCCTTCTTGCCTCTTTGTACCTTCCTCTTATTTCCTCTTCCTCTTAATCGACATTTATTTATTTATTTATACTTAATTGTTTTGAACCGGAGTCTCCCTCTGTCACCCAGGCTGAGGTGCGGTGGTGCCATCTGGGCTTACTGCAACCTCTGCCTCCCGGGTTCAAGTGATTCTCCTGTCTCAGCCTCTCTAGTAGCTGGGATTACGGGTGGGCACCACCACGCCTGGCTAATTTTTGTATTTTTAGTAGAGTCGGGATTTCACCATGTTGGCCAGGCTGGTCTTGAACTCCTGACCTCAAGCGATCCACCTGCCTCAGCCTCCCAAAGTGCTGGGATTACAGGCGTGAGCCACCGTGCCCGGGCAATTGACTTCTTTTTAAATAGTTAATTTTTTTTCTTGTAAGCATTCTTGCTATAAAATGCATGCTTACTGTGTAAGAAATTTGAAAAATATACAGACTAGTATGCAAAAAAGAAAGATAGAGAATTACTAAATGCTGAGGACACATGACCTTTTCCAGAACATTAAGTATTGGGAGTAGTATCATTGGGTCAAAAGGTCGTAACAATTTTTTTCTATTTTTTTAGAGACAGGGTCTGGCTTTATTGCTCAGGCTGGAGTGCAGTGACAGAATCATGGCTCACTGCAGCCTCCAACTCCCAGGTTCAAGTGATCCTCCTGCCTCAGCCTCCCGAATAGCTGGGACTACAGGCACACACCACCACATTAGGCTAATTTCTAAATTTTTTGTAGAGATAGTGTCTTGCTATGTTGCCAATGCTGGTCTTGAGCTCTGGGCTCAACTGATTATCCTGGCTCAGCCTCCTAAAGTACTAGGATCAACATTTTTAATGCCTAAAGTACTAGGTTTTAACATTTTTAATGCCCACGTGCCCACTTACAAATTGCTTCTAGGGTGTTTGCAGCAATTTATGCTCCCATCAGCACGGGCTGGGTGCACTTATGTACAGGGACATTTCTAGGTCTTCATAAGCTGAGACAATCTTTTGGAAGCCTTAGCCCATCTCATATATTAGAGTGAGGTGGTGCTTGCCATTATCTGCACTTGTTTTTTTTTTTTTTTCTTACTATGCAGATTTCTGGAGAATCATTGTGTATGCTTGAGAATCCTTGCAAAGCAAAAAGATCTACAAAAATTGCATTTAAGATAATGTGATTATTCTGAATCCTAAATTTAGCAATTAAGAAGTTCAGGGCCAGGTGCAGTGGCTCATGCCTGTAATCCCAGCACTTTGGGAGGACGAGGCGGGCAGATCACTTGAGCTCAGGAGTTCGAGACCAGCCTGGCCAACATGGTGAAACCCCGTCTCTACTAACAACAACAACAAAATACAAAAATTAGCCGGGCATGGTGGCACGCACTCATAGTCTCAGCTATTTGGAGGCTGAGGCAGGAGAAACATTTGAACCCAGGAAGCAGAGGTTGCAAGTAGCCGAGATCGCACCACTGCATTCCAGCCTGTGTGACAGAGAAACTCCATTTCAAAAAAGAAAGAAAGAAATTCGGGATGTTATGGTTTTCAACATTTATTAATTTTTAATATTATTGTCATATCTTTGATTTTTTGTCCTATCTCTAGCAATAAAGAAACGGGATGTTATGGTTTTCAATATTTATTAATTTTAATTTAATTGTCGTATCTTGTAGCCAATATATTTTTTTCAGATTTCAACATATTTGCAGTCTCTGAAAAAAAATTTCATCAGCCTTGAACCCTGAATTAGAGTGGCTGATCGATAAAATGTCACCTCCTATGTCATCTTTTCTAATTGACCAGCAAAATGACATTATTCTTTCTTTTTTCTTGTTTTTGTTTTGTTTTGTGTTGTTTTGTTTTTTTGAGACAGAGTCTTACTGTCACCCAGGCTGGAGTTCGGTGGCATTATTTCAGCTCACTGCAGCCTCCACCTCCTGGGTTTAAGCAATTCTTGTGCCTCAGTCTCCCAAGTAGCTGGGATTACAGGTGTGCACCACTGCACCCAGCTAATTTATGTATTTTTAGTAGAGATGGGGTTTTGCCATGTTGGTCAGGCTGGTCTTGAACTCCTGGCCTCAAGCAATTCTCCTGCCTTGGCCTCCCAAAGTGCTGGGATTACCGACGTGAGCCATGGTGCCCAGCCTTTCTTTTGTATTTTGAACCGTATGATCTATTTCTGGATATTTATTGGGTATTTTTTATGGAAAGTCCTGTACTCAAGGAAACTGAGTCTAGTAAGAGAGAACATATGTCTGATGATGATTACCAGAAACAGGTGTAAAGAATTCAGCTGTGGGAAATCCAGAGAATTCAGAAAGCAACTATGGGAATTCAGAGAACAAAGAGATTATTTCTGTCTCTAGTTGTCAGGGACATCTGGATGAGGCATTCTTGTTTGAGCTAGGCCTTGAGGCAAGGGTAGAATTTTAACAGGGAGAGGGATGGAATGGGTTAACTCATGATATGCAAGATACATAAATTAAAAGATATTTTATCTAGGCTGGGTGCGGTGGCTTGCACCTATAATCCCAGCACTTTGGGAGGCTGAAGCAGGAGGACTGCTTGAAGCCAGGAGTTCAAGACCAGCCTTGGCAACATAGTGAGACCTCATCCCTTAAAAAAAAGATATTTTTATCTTGTAAAATATAAGAAAAATACATGTATATGGCTGGGCACAGTGACTCATGCCTGTAATCTCAGTACTTTGGGAGGCCGAGGCTGATGGATCACTTGAGATCAGGAGTTCAAGACCAGCCTGGCCAACATGGTGAAATCCTGTCTCTACTAAAGAAAAAAAAAAGTTACCAGGGCGTGGTGCTGCACACCAGTACACCTGTAGTCCCAGCTACTGGGGAGGCTGAGCCAGGAGAATCACTTGAACCCAGAAGGTAGAGGTTGCAGTGAGCCGAGATTGCACCACTGCACTCCAGCCTGGGTGACAGAGTGAGACTCTGTCTCAAAAAAAATTAGTCAAGTGTGGGGGTGCATGCCTGTAATCTCAGCTACTCGGGAGGCTGAGGCAGGAGAATTGCATGAACCCAAGTGGCAGAGGTTGCAGCAAGCCGAGATCATGCCACTGCACTCCAGCCTGGGCGACACAGCAAGACTCCATCTTAGAAAAAAAAAAGGAAAGAAAAATACATGTATATGAACCATCCAAGGATCTTGTTAAAATGCAGGTTCTGATGCAGTAGGTTTTGGCCGTGCCGTTTCTAAGAAGCTCTCATGTGATGCTGATATGACTGGTCAGGCATTTCAGGTTGGTGGAACAACAGGAACAAAGGCAGAGGTGGGAAAACATCAGAGGAGCTGCCATGCGGAGAGAAACAAGAACAGTGCAGTCAACCAGAGTGTGGTCGCTAGATGGTGAAGCCGTGGGAATGAACTGCCATGGCAGATCGGATCCAAACTGCAGAATGTTTTGAATGTCGAGTTTCAAAATGTGAACTTTATACCACAAACAATAGGGAAGCATGGAAAACCATTGAGCAAGTGAATGACATGATCAGAATGTGTGTTAGTGACATTAATCTGGCCATGGTATGCAGGAGCCAGGGAGACCAGTGCGGAAGCTAACTCTAACAGTCCAAGTGGGAGGTATTAAGGGCTTAAGTTAGAGAGATGCCTGCAAAGTCGGAAAGGAAAAAAAAATTCTTTTATGTAGCAAATGGATGCTCAAAACTGTAAATCGGATAAATAAGTGAATCAGTGAATAAAGTAAAAGGCTTAGCAAAGAAAGAGTGAACAGGACATAATGGTCAACAGGTGACTTTACTTTTTTTTTTTGAGACAGAGTTTCAGTCTTGTTGCCCAGCCTGGAGTGCAATGGCGCGATCTTGGCTCACTACAACCTCCGCCCCCTGGGTTCAAGCGATTCTCCTGCCTCAGCCTCCTGAGTAGCTGGGATTACAGACATGCGCCACAACGCCTGGCTAATTTTTGTATTTTTAGTAGAGACGGGGTTTCTCCATGTTGGTCAGGCTGGTCTTGAACTCCTGACTTCAGGTGATCCGCCCGCCTTGACTTCCCAAAGTCCTGGGATTACAGGCGTGAGACACTGCGCCTGGCTGACTTTACTTTTTATATATGGGAGAATGATGACACCACTAACAGAAAACTGAGGAAGAGCTGCTTGTTTTTTGGCAAAACATAACAGCAATACTTACTGAATACTCACTGTGTGCTATTTATAGTTTTGAGTGCTTTTAATACCTTGTCTCATTTATTTATTTATTTCATTATTATTATTTTTTGAGACAGAGTTTTGCTCTTGTTGCCCAGGCTGGAGTGCAATGGCGCGATCTCTCCTCACTGCAGCCTTTGCCTCCCGGGTGCAAGCGATTCTCCTGCCTCAGCCTCCCAAGTAGCTGGGACTACTTGCCGTACACCACCACACCCGGCTAATTTTTTTGTATTTTTAGTAGAGACGGGGTTTTGCCATGTTGGCCAGGCTGGTCTTGAACTCCTGGCCCCAGGTGATCTGCCCACTTTGGCCTCCCAAAGTTCTGGGCATGAGCCACCGGCCCCTTGTCTCATTTAATCTTTATCACAATCCTGTGAGAAGGTACCATTTATTTGCCCCATCTTAAGAAAAGAAACTGAAAAAAAGAGAGGTTAGGTAACCTGGGCAAGGTCACACAGCTAGTAAGGGCTGGAGCCAACACTGGAAGCAGCGAGTGCAGGTCCAGAATGCAACTCTTAATTGCTGACCTAAGTCTCATAATGTATTAGATACTTTTTGCGGTAGTTCCCTCACCCATTCTCCTTCTGGGGCAGGGGCCATCCGGATCCCATGCCCCTGGCCACAGCTAAGTATCTAGGGGAGGAGACTTGTCAGGATAGGCCACCCACTGGCTGGCCTGACACCTAAAATCTGGTGCCCTGGTGGGAAAAGTGAATTGGGCCAATCCATTTCCTCTTCTGAAAACCTGGAATGCGGAAACACTGATTTTGGAAGATAAGGGAAGAGAAAAGAAGCCCTTGTCCCTGCCCTGCCTGAGAACATTTTTTTTTTTTTTGTGCTCCTGTGATCAGTGGCCTTTCATTAAGTCCTTCTTTTCCCAAAATACCTTAGTCTCTGTTCTTTGTACCCAAATGATCCTGATTTCATCTCATTTATTTCCTTATAAGAATTTATCCAGATTCTAGGCTGGACGCAGTGGCTCACACCTGTAACCTCAGCACCTTGGGGGGTCAAGGAAGGAGAATCACTTGAGGCCAGAAGTTCAAGATCAGCCTGGACAACATAGCAAGACCTCATCTCTTAAAAATAAATAAATAAATAAATAAATAAATAATTAGCCAGGTATGGTGGCGTGCCTGTGGTTTCAGCTACTCAGAAGGCTGAGGCAGAGGGATCACTTGAGCCCTCCAGGAATTCAAGGCTGCAGTAAGCCATGATTGTGCCACTGCACTCCAGCCTGGGTGATAGAGTAAGGCCCTGTCTCTTAAAAAAATTTTTATCCAGAATCATTGAAAGATGAATAAAATACTTAGGTATTGCTGGGTAAACGCTAACCCTCCAGTTTCTCCTCTTTCTGCTAAAAAATACATAGACATTTGTGAAGTAATGTGCGTTTACAGCATTCACAAGTGAAAGCTTGGAAGTCAAACTTCAGCCTACACTAGCAAGAGAGAATGTTTGGGTGAAAAATGTATTTCTGGCAAAGAGTGCCCACTGTCCTCCATCTGCAGGTTCTTCTTTCTTTCAAAAAAGCCATTCTCCCTGCTGTAGCAGGATTAAGGGCAGAGATATGGGTGAAAGTCTTGCATTGAGAGCTGTAGGCAACTCAATGTGAGACACACACAGGCCTTACCAAACAACAGGCTTTTTTTTTTTTTTTTTGAGACAAGGTCTCACTGTGTCACCCAGGTTAGTTGGAGTACAGTGGCAAGATCATGGCTCCCTGTCCCCTCAAAATTCTGGGCTCAAGTGATCTTCCTGTCTTAGCCTCCCAAGTAGCTGGGACTACAAGCATGCACCATCATACCTAGATTAAAAAAAAATTTTTTTTTTGTAGAGGTGGGGTCTTGCTATGTTGCCCAGGCTAGTCTGGAACTCCTGAGCTCAAGTGATCCTCCCTCCTTGGCCTCACAGAGTATTGGGATTATAGGTGTGAGCCACCACACTGGGGCAAACAACAGGCAGTTTTCACTCTATTCTGGAAGAGACACCTCCTCAACTTTTGTGCTATTAAGAGTGAAGACACCTAAAGCCAAAGAAGAATGCTGGATGGAAGGGTGATGTGGCTGCAACGCTGATCACCCCATTGATGGCCAGGGTAGATTCTGCCCATCTGGGTAGCATCCTATCCAAGTCACTGCTGCACATGCCTCCTTCCTTGAACGGCCCACTGGCGGAGCAGGCTGCCTTCCCAGACAGAGGAGCACATTTCTTCAGTCCAGGGTGCGTAAGTGTCTGTGCCTCTTGCTAGAACATTCTAGTAAACTCTAGAGGCAACTGTGTGGAAGAGTGTAGTAAGGAAAGCTTCCAAGATTCCAGACAGAACCAAAGCAGATGCAGGAGCAGCCTGCCTGTCAAAAAGATAATTTATGTTCACTCACTACTTAAAACTTGAGTTCTGGAAATTGGCAAGAGAGAGATTAAAGTTGTCTGTAATTAGCTGTTACTACTTTCTACAGAGTGTTTATTGAGAGTGGAAAATCCTTTGGCCTTGTGGCCTCCTGGAAAACCCCAATTCAGTTTTCAAGCTTAACTCCAATGAGAATCTTCTCTGACCTTCTCAGGCACTTGTTTTTCCTCCCTGGAGCTCCCGCTCAGCCTGGCACATGGTTTAGTAGAACAATTTTCATTCTTCCATGATGATTGAACATTGAGATGTGTTTTTGGATCCCTCAAGGTCTGGCACTGTGTTTTACTTTTGTGCCCAGTGCTTGGGAAAGGAGGGAGGAGCGATGACTTAAATTGTAGTTCATAGATCACTGGACTGCAAAGGTCTCTTTCCAAACCTGAGGATGAGAACTGTGAATCAGAGCAAGGTTCTGGAGTATGAGCTGCAGGCAGTAGAGGAATGGGTGTGTTCTCTGCTGTAGGAAGAAAGCTGCAAACAAGAACAGATGCTCCTCCACTTATGATGGGGCTACATCCCAATAAACCCACTGTGAGTGGAAAACATCGCAAGTTGAAAATGCATCGAATAGAACTAATCTACTGAAATCATAGCTCAGCCTAGCCTACCTTAAACATGCTCAGAGCACTTATGTTTGTCCGCAGTTGGACAAAATCATCTAACGCAAAGCTGATTTTATATGAAAGTGTTAAATATCTTATGTAATTTATTGAGTACTGTATGGAAAATGAACAACAGAATGGCTGTGTGAATACCTGAAGTACTGTTTCTACTGAATTCATGTTGCTTTTGCACCATCATAAAGTCAAAAAATAATTAGTTGAAAAATTATAAGTAAGGACTGTCTGCATTTGGTGCCAAAAGAGTAGAAGGTGGCAGAAATAGAAATAGAAATAGTACTTACCAAAATTCACATTCTCTTCTTCCTGGGCACAGAGTCATATCACATTTCCCAGCCTACCTGGCAATGAGGTATGGCCGTGGGAGTGACTCCTGCCAATAGGATATGGTGGAAGTCCCACGAGGATCTCACATGAGGATCCTCCAGGCATTTCCCTCTTCTGCTGGCTGGATGCCAGTGTCTAGAGAGACCAAAATCAGAGCTGCTCCCCATCACTTTCCCCACCCAACAGGGAGCACAGGTTTGAACTCTTAAGCAAGTAAGAAATAACCTTGTGTTGTATGGGGGGTTAATTGTTACAGCAGCTGGCAATCCCTAGCTCATGCAGAGCGTTTGGCTGTTTTTCACCTGAGGCAGTGGTAGCCCAGACTCATCTCTTACCTGAAGCATTCTTGGGGTTCTTCAAGTTATAATGAGAGAGAAGACCCTTGAAGAGGAGAAAAAAATTACTCGACTGGCAAGATGAGGTTTCAGAGAAGCTTGATTTGACTATTAAGAGATATTTGATGGCCAGGCACAATGGCTCATGCCTGTAATCCCAGCACTTTGGGAGGCCGAGGTGGATAGATCACTTGAGGTCAGGAGTTCGAGACCAGCCTGGCCAACATAGTGAAACCCCATCTCTACTAAAAATACAAAAATTAGCCAGGCATACTGGTGCGCGCCTGTTATCCCATCTACTCAGGAGACTGAGGCAGGAGAATCGCTTGAACCCGGGAGGCGGAGGTTGCAGTGAGCCAAGATTGTGCCACTGCCCTCCAGCCTGGGTGACAGAGTGAGAGACTCTGTCTCAAAAAAACAAAACAAAACAAAAAACCAAAAAACAAGAGATATTTGACTTCATCTTGTACTTGAAGCTGGTGAAATGGGATGTAGCTCAGTTAACATGAGCCTTATGGTTAATATTAAACATTTATTTCTTCATTTCCTCCACTGATTCATTATTTTAATATTAGAGAAGGTTACTTAATAACATAAGAAAATACTCAAAACAAGCTGTTAAGCGAAAAAGCCTACTAGAAAATAGTAGATTCAGCATAATCCCACTTTTAAAAAGCAAGCCAAGAACCTAAAAATATATTCACATACACATTGACCTAGGAAGGTGACATCAAACTATCAAGTGGTCATTTGTAAGTAGTAATAATAAGTGTGATTTTTTATTTGTCTTTATTCTATTCAATGTTTTTCAGCCTCTTCCCAGTACACATGCATCACTTAGAGATTAACAACAGCAAAAGCAATAGAAGTTATTTTTAAGTAAAATATAGAGAAAAATGTTGTCTTGCAATTAAAAAAAAAAAGATCCAGTCTCTTCACTCATTATTACTGGGAGTTCTCGGTCAAACTCATATCCCAAGCAGAGACTTGGGGATCCACCAGTACTTCAATAATCCTAAAGTGGCAAGCAACAATCCTTGTTTCTGTTGAATGAGCAATCTTGTTTCTTTTTTTTTTTTTTTTTGAGACGGAGTCTAGCTCTGTCACCCAGGGTGGAGTGCAGTGGTGCTATCTCGGCTCACTGCAAGTTCTGCTTCCCGGGTTCACGCCATTCTCCTGCCTCAGCCTCTCGAGTAGCTGGGACTACAGGCGCCCGCCACCATGCCCAGCTAATTTTTGTATTTTTAGTAGAGACGGGGTTTCACCGTGGTCTCGATCTCCTGACCTCGTGATCCGCCCGCCTCAGCCTCCCAAAGTGCTGGGATTACAGGCGTGAGCCACCGCGCCTGGCCACAATCTTGTTTCTTTTGCTTTTGTTGAATTATGCTGGGTGTTTAATCTAGAACTTGAAAAATAGGAAGATCAGGCTAGGCATAGTGGCTTATACCTGTAATCCCAGCACTTTAGGAGGCTGAGGTGGGGTGGGAGGATCATTTGAACCCAGGAGTTGGAGACCAGCCTGGGCAACATAGTAAGATGGAGACCTCATCTCTACAAAAAGTAAAAATAAATAAAAATTGGCTGCGAGTGGTAGCACGTGCCTGTGGTTCCAGCTACTTCGTAGGCTGAGGTGGGAGGATCGCTTGAGCCTGGGAGGTCAAGGCTGCAGTGAGCCGAGATCGTGCCACTGCACTCCAGCCTAGATGACAGAGTGAGACTCTGTCTCAAAGAAAAGCAAGCAAGCAAGCAAGCAAGAAAGAAAGAAAGAAAGAAAAGTAGGGTAGGGGCCTGGCATGCTTGCTCACACCTATAATTCCAAGACTTTGGGAGGCCTAGGAGTTCACTTGAGCTCAGGAGCTTAAGGCCAGCCTGGGCGACGTGGTGAAACCCCTTCTCTACCAAAAATACAAAAAAAATCTGGGCGTGGTGGTACACACCAGTAGTCCCAACTACTTGGGAGGCCGAATTGGGAGAATTGCTTGAGCCTGGGAGTTGGAGGTTGCAGTGAGCTGAGATCATGCCACTGCGCTCCAGCCTGGATGACAGAGTGAGATCCCATCTCAAGGAAAAAAAAAAAAAAGGTAAGAGAAAGTAGGAAGATCTCACAGAGAGTTTTGCATTGTTAAAGTCTCTTAAAGACTTTATTGCTTTCCAACAAGCATGTCTCTATACTCTTATTAAATTTGGGAAATATATCAGTTTTCTTGGCTAAACTCAGGCAAATCTAGCCGTGGGAGTATTCCAGTGCTGTCAGCATCAGAAGAGTTCTTTTCTTCTCCTTTGATTTACTTGTTTATTTATTTAAGAGACCGAGTCTTGCTCTGTCACCCAGGCTGGACTGCAGTGGCACGATCATAGCTAGCAGTCTCCAACTCCTGGGCTCAAGTGATCCTCCCACTTCAGCCTCCATAGTAGATGGAACTACAGACATGTGCTACCAAGCCCAGCTAATTTTTTTTTAAGAAACAGAGTCTCACTATGTTGCCCAGTCTCGTGTCTCCTGGGCTCAAGTGATCCTCCCACTTCAGCCTCCATAGTAGATGGAACTACAGACATGTGCTACCAAGCCCAGCTAATTTTTTTTTAAGAAACAGAGTCTCACTATGTTGCCCAGTCTCGTGTCTCCTGGGCTCAAGTGATCCTCCTGCTTTGGCCTCCCAAAGTGCTGAGATTACCTGCATGAACCACCACATTCGGTCTTTCTTCTGCTTTTATTATCACATCCTAGCTAAGAGTGTGATGAATCTTCATTTCGTGAGATGAACAGAATTCCACCAGCAGGTTAAAAATACTTCACATTCTAAAGAAATGGAAGGCTGACCAAAGCGAAGGTTTCAGGAACATCAGGCACCACTCAGGCAACTGAGATTTCAGCACCCCTCCCGCCTCTTCTTTTGGCTATCTCTGGTCATCCTGTAACATAAATGCTCTTTTTACTGGAACAGAATAAATGTGGTCTTTATATTAGGGAAATCCACATGTTTGGAAAACTTCACAGCTTGTTGTTTGAACGCTAAACACAAATCGAGGAAAAGGCAATGAAATTAGAGCAACATTTGTATACCAGACTTCATTGCTCTCTAAATTCTAAGCATTTACTATGAAAAGATCCGGATGGAGATGATACAGACATGAGAAATATAAATACATGTTTGGAGGAAGTGTGGATTATTGGAAAGGATGTAGACTTTGGAGCTTGACAGACACAGAGTCAAGCTCCAGCTCTGTCACTTACAAGTGGCACGACCTGAAGCTAGTTTTTAACTTCTCCAAATCTGTTCTTTCAGTGGGAATATGAGGATTATAGCACCTATTTGCAGGGTTGTTGGGAGAATTAAGGAACAAAAGGTACGAAAAGCACTGCACACAGTACCTGGTACACAGTGGATGCCCATTCATCATGTTGACTCGGGTGCTAAGGCAAAAGAAAACCAGATTGGAGTGAAAATCGGAAAATGTTGAGTGAAAATAAACTTTTTTTTTGAGATTGAGTCTCATTCTGTTGCCCAGGCCGGAGTGCAGTGGTGCAATCTCTGCTCACTGCAACCTCTGCCTCTTGGGTTCAAGCGATTCTCCTGCCTCAGCCTCCGGAGTAGCTGGGATTACAGGCATGTGCCACCACGCCCAGCTAATTTCTGTATTTTTAGTAGCGATGGGGTTTTGTCATGTTACCCAGGCTGGCCTTGAACTCCTGAGCTCAAGCAATCCGCCTACCTCAGCTTCCCAAGGTGCTGGGATTACAGGCGTGAGCCACTGCACCTGGCTAAAAAAAAATTTTTTTTTTAAATTAGCTGTGCGTGGTAGCACATGCCTGTAGTCCCAGCTATTTGGGAAGCTGAGGCAGGAGAATCACTTGAGCCGAGGAGTTTGAGGCTGCAATGAGCTATGATCGTGCCACTGCACCCCAGCCTGGGCAATGGAATGAGACCCTTTCTGTACAAAAAATTTAAGAAGTCTTTATATAAGGTATTTATGCTTGTAATGAGTTAAAAATACATATTCTTGCATGTGGTAAAAAGTGAACATGCTTCTCTTCTTCTCTATCAATCTCTCTTCCCAGGGGAAACCACCTCTTCTGTTTTTTGTGTGTTTTTTAAAATTTTTTTTAGGAACTGATGTTTATTTTCCATCAACGTTGTTTCCATGTTGCTTAATAGCCGGTACAAGAGCAGCTTAAGACCATTCAGTGGTTGCCCCTACCCATTCAGTGGCTTGAGCAGTGAGAGCTGCAGACCAGTCTTCCACGGCAGGCTGAGCGCTCCAGTCTTCAGTAGGGAACAGCTGAATAGGCACAGAGGGCACCCGCACGCCGTCAGACCAGTCTGCAACCTCAGGCTGAGTAGCAGTCAACTCAGGAGCTGGAGCAGTCTGTTCACCCTGAAATTCCTGCTTGGTCACAGGCTTTTCAGCAGCAGCCTGCTCTTCTTTTTCAGTCTCTTCAGGATCCCTGTAGAAGTAGAGATCAGGCATGACCTCCCACGGGTGTTCGTGGGAAATGGTACCACACATGTGCAGAACTTCCCGGGGCAGCAACTGCATCAAACCCACTGAGCGAGCTTCCGTGTTGTTGCATGGGATGGCAATGTTCACACAGCGCAGAGGAGAAGCTGTGTGACACAGAGCAATGGTGGGAAAGTTAACATAAGATGCCTCTGTGAGAGGCTGTTGGTCAACCCTGGGGACAGTAACCACAAGAAGCCGTGGCTCCCGGAAGGCTCCCTGGATCTGGTTAGTAAAGTTTCCAGGAGTGAAGTGGCCAGCAATTGCTCTGACTCCAGTGGCAGCAGCAAACTTCAGCACAGTCCTCTGGCCAGTATTCCTGGAGGTTATGACGCTGACATCAGCAGGGTTTTCAGTGGCAACAATGGCGTGAGCTGCAGCAGAAGCTTCTCCCAGGTCCTTTCAGATTTAGGATGTAGATGCCATCACTTTTCCTTTCGTAGATGTACTGTTCCATTTGGAAGTCAAGGTTGGTGCTACCTAAGTGGATTTCTGCTGCATAACTTAAGGACATCCTCCTCCTTCATTTGCAGGACATCAAGGGCTCCAGACATTGAGAAATTTTCCCTTTAAGTTGCGATGGGAATCCAGAAAACGCCATATGGACCCCTCTGTGAGTAGCATGGAAAGAGGAAACCACTTATTTATTTATTTATTTTTAAAGAGTCTCACCTTGTTGCCCAGGCTGGAGTGGAGTGATGGATCTGCAACTTCCATCTCCCGGATTCAAGTGATTCTCCTGCCTTGGCCTCCCGAGTAGCTGGGATTACAGGCACCTGTCATCACGCCTGGCTAATTTTTGTATTTTTAGTAAAGACAGAGTCTCACCATGTTGGGCAGGCTGGTCTGGAGCTCCTGACGTCAAATGATCCACCCGCCTTGGCCTCCCAAAGTGTTGGGATTATAGACGTGAGCCATCACACCCAGCTGGAAACCACTTCTAATAATGTAACAGGTTATATATTGACACATAGACAGTTTTTATGAGATTATACTATCTCTCTACATTTTTTTCTTTTTATTGAGATGGAATCTCACTCTGTCACCCTGGCTGAAGTGCAGTGACATGATTTCAGCTCACTGCAACCTCTGCCTCCCGAGTTCAAGCGATTCTTGTGCCTTAGCCTCCAGAGTAGCTGGGATTACAGGCGCGTGCCACCATGCCCAGCTAATTTTTCTATTTTTAGTAGAGATGGGGTTTCACTATGTTGCCTAGGCTGGTCTCCAACTCCTGACCTGAAGTGATCTGCCCATCTCAGCCTCCCAAAGTGCTGGGATTACAGGCATGAGCCACTACGCCCGACCTATTTACACATATTTTTTAAACTGCTTTTTAAATCTTAACATTATACCATGGACATCTTTTCACATAGTAAATACAAATTTTCCTCATGTTTCCAACAGTACAGTAAGAGGCACAGTAGAACCTAGGAATTAAGAGCATGGACTACAAAAAAAAAAAAAAGTTATAGGCCGGGCATGGTGGCTCACGTCTGTAATCCCAGCACTTTGGGAGGCCGAGGCGGGTGGATCACCTGAAGTCAGGAATTCGAGGCCAGCCTGGCCAACATGGTGAAACCCCGTCTCTACTAAAAATACAAAAAAAAAAAAAAAAAAAATTAGCCGAGTGTGGTGGCAGGCGCCTGTAATCCCAGTTAATCTGGAGGCTGAGGCAGGAGAATTGCTTGAACCTGGGAGGTGGAGGTTGCAGTTAGCTGAGATCACACCATTGCACTCCAGCCTGGGGGACAAAAGCGAGACTGTGTCTCAAAAAAAAAAAAAAAAAAAAAAAAGCATGGACACTACTCGGGTTGGATACTAACTTGTGCCCCTTAGGTTGTGTGTGAACTTGGACAAATGACTTCCCCTCTCTGCGTCTTAATTTCTCTATGCATAAAATGTGTTCTGATAAAATGCTTGTAGTGGCATATGAAAAATGCTCAATATCAGTAATCCTCAAAGAAATGCAAATTAAAATCACAGTGAGATATCATCTTATACCAATCAGATTGGCTAGTATTAAGAAGTAAGACGATAACAGATGTTGTTGAGGATATAAAGAAAAAGGAATGCTTATACACTGTTGGGGGGAATGTAAATTAGTACAACTTTTATGAAAAACAGTATGGAGATTTCTCAAAGAACTAAAAATAGAACTATCATTTGATCCAGCAACCCCACTACTGGGTATCTACCCAAAGGAAAGAAATCATTATAGCAAAAAGATACCTGCATTCGTATGTTTATCCCAGCACTATTCAAAATAGCAAAGATATGGAATCAACCTAAGTATCCACCAATGGCTGACTCGATAAGGAAAATGTGGTGTATATATACAATGAAATACTATTCAGTCATAAAAAAGAATAAAATGTTTTTTGCAGCAACATGGATGGAACTGGAGGCCATTATCTTAAGGGAAACAACTCAGAAAGTCAAATACCGCATGTTCTCACTTATAAGTGGGAGATGAGTCATGTGTACACATAGACATAGAGTGTGCAATGGTAAACACGGGGGACTGGGAAAAGTGGGAGGGTGGAGGAGGGTGGGTGATGAGAAGTTACTTGGGTCCAGTCCACAGTCTTTAGGTGATGGATGCACTAAAAACCCAGACCTCACCACTGTGTAATATATCCATGTAATAAAACTACACTTGTACCCCTGAAATGTATACAAATAGGCCGGGTGTAGTGGCTCATGCCTGAAATCCCAGCATTTTGGGAGGCTGAGGTGGGCCGATCACCTGAGGTCAGGAGTTTGAGACCAGCCTGGCCAACATGGTGAAACCCTGTCTCTGCTAAAAAATACAAAAATTTTTTGTGCACCAGGCATGGTGGTGCATGCCTGTGGTCCCAGCTACTGGGGAGGCTGAGGTAGGAGAATCGCTTGAACCTGGGAGGCGAAGGTTGCAGGTGAGCTGAGATCACACCCCTGCACTCCAGTCTGGGTGACAGAGCAAGACTCTGTCTCAAAAAAAAAAAAAAAAAAAAAGAGTATACAAATAAAAGAAAAGGAAAAAAATGCTTGTTGTGGGGATGAAATAATTAATGCGGATAAAGCCTCTAGAATAGTGCTAGGGCATGTAACAAGCCATAACGATTCTGTCTATCCTTAGTGAAGTTTTAAGTTCTTTTTAAACTTTATTACAAACAATGCTACAATGAAGGTTTTATCACATCTTTTTGAACACTTTACTAGTGTTTTTACAGGACAGAAGTCAGAATGAGGGATCATGTAGGATGTTCACACAAAATTAGAATGGACATTGCCTAACTGCCTTCCAAAGTTGTACCCATTTACCCTCCAGCCAAGAGTGTACAAAATGGTTCATATTCCCAGACTTTTGCCCAAACTGGATTCTATCATTTTGAAAAAAGTCTGCCCATCTAATAACAACTGATCTTTGACACATTGAATTACAGTATAAAGAGGGCTTTACCCAAATGGCCCACAAGGCTACCTAACTGGGCAGAGGCCATACATACGTATTTTAAAATTGCAATAGAAAATTCTTTATTCAACATCGAGGCTTATAAAATTCTTATCTTTTCCTCCATAAGGCTTCTATGTGTCTTTATTCTGAACTAAGGGTATATGAAAATAAATTTTCCTTTCCTTGATTTCCTTCCTTTTAAATTCTGCAGATGCTGTGAAATACTTCAGTACTCAGGAGAAGTCACGTTCTGGTTGCTGCAAGCGTGTGATACCCTGTCATTAAAATAAGAAATAGATTGTTATCCTCTGCCCTCCTCTGTGCATATATATATGTGTGTATGTGTGTGTGTGTGTGTGTGTGTGTGTGTATAGATAGATTTTTTTCTTTTTTTTGAGACAGAGTCTCACTCTGTCATCCAGGCTGGAGTGCAGTGGTGCGATCATGGCTCACTGCAGCCTTAATCTCCTGGACTCAAGTGATCCTCCCACCACAGCCCCCCAGTAGCTGGGATTACAGGCACATGCCACCACACCTGGGGTAATAATTACACATATGATTATATATATATATATATATGTATTTTTTTTTTTTGTAGAGACTGGGTCTAGGTATGTTGCCCAGGCTGGTCTTGAACTCCTCAGTGCAAGGGATCCTCCCACCTCAGCCTCCCAAAATGCTAAGATTGCAGGTGTGAGCCACCAGGCCCCACCCTTTGTGCATTTTCTGAGACCTATCTTTCCAAAACTGGTCTCTAGGAGATGAGCAGGCAGGTTGTAAAGGATTTAGTCTCTATCACAGACCCAAATCGGAGAGAAACAACTTGGAAACGCCAGGGTTAAATCAAATTAGTGTTCAAGGCCATATTTCCGCTTTTTCATGTTCCTGAGTTCGGAATCCACATTTGGCCGCTGGGCAGTGGGAATTAAGGAAGTTCTCTGGGCTGCCCTGTCGGCTCCAGGGGTTTTATCTGCCATCTTGTTCGCCCTCTACTGGTGTTTCAAGAGAAGAACATGAATGGGAAGAATGGCTTTCTCTGACCCTGGGAGATTTTTTCTTGCTTATTTTCGTTCTGGGAAATCAAAATTCCAGTTGAATTCCGTAACTATAAAAATGTTAAGAGAAGACATGTGGGTTTCAATGGAATAGACTAATTTGAATTACCATAGGTTTTCGGAGATGGGGTATGGAGATAGGAAAAAACTCTGGCTTTACTTCTTTTTATATATGTCTTACTGTTTAGTTCTTCAACTATGCATTTTCTGGTATGTATAATGGTCCTAAATCATAAATTTAAAGAATAGAATGCATGTGAATCTATATCAATATCTATCTCTGTCTACATGAGCTATCTACATCTATTCATATAGCTGTATATATTCTGGAACCTTGCCAATCTGGGGAACTCAGAGCTGAAAGCATCCTAAGAGACTGAAAAAGAACACAGGGGTTGACACCTTCCACTTATAACCAGACCCCTCAATCCAACAAAATATAATCGAATGTTTTCAGAGCCCTAAAAGGCTTTTTTTTTTTTTTTAACTTGAGATGGAATCTTGCTCTGTCGCCCAGGCTGGAGTGCAGTGGTGTGCTCTTGGCTCACTGCAACCTCTGTCTCCCAGGTTCAAATGATCAAGCAATTCTCATGCCTCAGCCTCCCGAGTAGCTGGGATTACAGGCACGCAACACCATGCCTGGCTAATTTTTGTATTTGTAGTAGAGATAGAGTTTTGCCATGTTGGCCAGGCTGGTCTTGAACTCCTGACCTCAGGGGATCTGCCCTCCTCAGCCTCCCAAGGGATTACAGGCATGAGCCACTGCGCCCAGCCAAAAGGCTTTCTTTAATTTACAAGTTCTGTATAAGATCTATTCTAGGAAATTCTCAAAGCTTCTAGGCATTATAATGATAAAGATTCATTGAAGAGCCCATTATTTCAAGAGTTCTGGTTTGCATGTGAAGTGCATGCAAGACAGCAAACCCCACACAGGGAGGTGACGTCACACAGGGAGGTGAGGGCCCCAGTCACCAGCCTCCATTCTGAGCAGGTGGTGGTGTTTTTCTTAGTCTGGCATTCTTTACATCCCTCTGGTCAAAATAATTGGCAGATGAGCCAAACCTGGCCGCTTCTTCGCTGGGATTTTACGTTAATGCTGGAAGAGAGAAGCTGTCTGTTTTCTCTAGGGTAACACCTCTGGGTTATAAAGGTCTAAACCTGTCTGTGATACTCATCTATTCCCACCGACTTTATGGTGGACACCCAGGAGAGTGGACATGCAGAGAAGTAGACACAACTGAAATGTGTTTTGAGGTAGAATCTGCTGGAGGATTGAATTAGAGGCAAGAGACATGCAAAAGGTAAGAGTCAAGAATAACTTCTAGATTTCTAAATGAGGTCCTGGATGAATGTGTTGCTATTTCTTAATATGGGGGAGAACCAGGAGTGGGATGGGAGATGAAACCAAAGCTTGGCAGTGACAATTGGGAGTTCTGTTTTGGACATATGGACTTTGAGATGCTGTGAGATAGCCGAGTGGAAATGTCAAGTACGTAGTTATATATGTGACTTTTGAGAAAGGGAAAAAGATTTGAGCTGGACGTATTAATTTAGAAGCTGTGACATAAACTGTATGTAAAGATATTGGAGTGGATGAGAATATTTAGGTATAGAAGATATTAAAAAGAGGGCCCAGGACCAAGTTTTGAGGAGAATCAAATTTTGCTGATTGAGTAGAGAAGGAGAACTTAACACAGGAGATGCTGGTAAGGTGGGGAAAAGTAGAATGGGAATAGGTTGCCACAGAATTGGAGAGAAGAGGGTGTCAAAAAGGGGAGAGTGGTCAACTCAGTCAAAAGCTGATGAGAATTAGAGAAAGTTGAGGTCAGAGACACATTCATTGGGCGTGGCAATATACACAGCATTGGTGAAGTTGACAACAGCATTTTCGGTAGAGTAATGGGCATGAAAAGTAGTTTTGAGGCAGGGAGAATAGGGTCTGGAGGCAGGGAACCTAAGGCCGATTCACGCTGACTTCCTAGAACTAAATCAAAAGGAAAACCCCACCTTTCCACACCCAAGTAACAAAAGGACAGGAGGCTACTTTGTTTGCAACCGCCTGCCCCTTTTTCTGCCTGGCAGATGGAAAATTGAAAGTACCTCTGATTGGTTGCTTTCCTCAACCAATAAGACGTTTGCATAGGAGTGTAACTTTGTAACTTCACTTCAGCCTCTGAGCCTCTGATTGGTTGCTTTCTACAACCAATCAGACTGATTGTAGGCCAACTCTTCCTTTGCATAGAAGTGTAACTTTGTAAGTTTACTTTAGCCTCTGATTGGTTGCTTTTCACAGCCAATCAGATGTTTGCATAGGGTGTAACCTTTGTGACTTCACTTCAGCCTCTGTTGGTTGCAGCAGCCAATCAGACTGATTGCAGGCTACTACTTCATTTGCATGGGGGGGTACACCAAGTGGCCAATGGGAAACCTCTAGAGGGTATTTAAACCCCCAGAAAAAATTCTGTAACAAGGCTCTTGAGCCACTATGCTTGGCCTGCTCCCACCCTGTGGAGTGTACTTTCGTTTTCAATAGATCTCTGCTTTCATTGCTTCATTCTTCCCTTGCTTTGTTTGTGTGCTTTGCCCAATTGTTTGTTCAAAATGCCAAGAACCTGGACACCCTCCACTGGTAACAGTTTGAAGAAGGTTAAAAAGGAATGGTGGTGACCAGCAGTGCAGATGGCATTGTGGGTTCAAGGGAAACTGATGACCACCCCCCCACACACACATGCACGCACACACAGAGTACAAATAAGTAGTGCAATCAACAGAGTATTTAAAAAATATTTTAGAGACTGTCATTGTGTCCTCTGGTGTAAAAATTCATTCCATATGTCTTTGACTCCTAAACAATCAGAGCCCAAAATCATGAAGACTACAACATAAATATTGAGGGGTCCTTAGGTATAAAAGTGGAGGAGCTACTCTCACTTCCACTCCTTGCTTCCCCATTCATATACAGTTTATTCAAATTATTCATGGTAGTTACATCCTATAAAGTTTCTTCTAATGCTGAATTGGCAAATAATGAACTGTTGCTCCAAGAGGAAAGACTAGGTTATGTTCCTGTGAGCCTCTGGTCATAAAATTTTTGCCAAACAAAATGCCACCCTAGGCATTATATAGGTTTGTTTGCCAATGTCCTTGTAAAACAAGCCAGTCTCATCAGCATTGAAAGCCTACTCTTGTACATAACCCTTTCCTGTATAACAGTTGGCAGATATTTAAAAAAATTCATCTGCAGCCTCCTGATCTGCAGAACCTGCCTCACATGCAAGTTTAATGTTTCTCAAGCTCTGTTGCCTTTTGAAATGTGAAAGCCAGCCAGCACTAGCTCAGAAGAGTTTCACATTTTCATACCCCTGGGTGTGATGGTTAATTTTATGTGTCAACTTGACTGGGCCTTGGGGTGCCCAGATATTTGGTTAAGCATTATTTCTGGGAGTGTATGCGAGGGTCTCTCTGGATGAGATTAACGTTTGAAACAGTAGACTGAGTAAAGCAGATTGTCCTATCTAATCAGTCAAAAGCCCGAATAGAATAAAAAGCTGAGTAAGAAGGAACTGTCTATCTCTGCCTCACTGTCTTCAAGCTTGATCATTGGTAGTCTCTTGCCCTTGGGCTTGGACTAGAATTTAAGCCATTAAATTTTTTAAAAAGAGCTTAGGTCATTGCTAATTCCTTATAATAAATTACTCTCTCTCCATATATATATTTATATATGTATATATACACTATATATGCTATATATGAGATACATATATTATGTATATGCTACATTATATATATATAGCAAGGATATATATATATATATATATATATATATATATATATATATATATCTTATTGGTTCTGTTTTTCTAGAGAACCCTAATCCACTAGGTAATGTGTCTATAAATTTATTACTGGAGCGGCCTGACTTATAGGTCAGTGCATTTCTTTCTCCTTTTCCTGGATGTATTGTGTTGTTGATTCATTCACATTGAACTCACAGCCAACAGCACTATAACTTATGCCTGAATGAAGCTTATCTAACACATACATTTTCTCCATAAGGCACATCACAGTCTTCCTGTTTTTAGGAATACTAGACAGCACTTTAGCATTATGCTTAGGGGCCATTTCAAACAGCAGAATCACCAACAAAAAGCATAGAAAGTGGGAAATATGGCACTAAATAGACACTGAAAATAATGCTTATTTATAGTATGGGATCTGAAACAAGAAACATTGCCTTGTTCAGCCTGAGCTGGCAACATGCAGAGGGCAACTGACATTTCTTGCCACCTCTGCACATGTCCTCAAATAACCATGAAAGTGCCATTGGTATTGATTTTAGGGTTATAAATAAATTTTAGCAAGTAGGCAAATTTGCAAGCACAGAAGTTATGAATGATGAGGATTGACTATATGTTGGTTTTGGAAAAACCAATACCATATATTGATGATCAGTTCAGAGTCTATACCAAAATTCTATAGCAGGGCTGCAACATGACATGTCTTTCCAGCTGGTGCTAGCATGTTATTTAGACCCGTCTGTAATCCAGGTTCAAATTTTTCTCATCAGCTAACAGGATATAATAAACTCCCTGTGAGGCCTTACGTCTTTTGAGATTGATTGAAGTAGCAGTGGACAGGAATAGCCCGGTTGGGAAGATAAGTCACCTGTTTATGCAATTCGTTTGTGTCTTCAGGACCTGCTCAGTCCGGATTAGGTGTCTGACACTTCCACTTGATAATGGACTGCTTCTGGGCATCTCAACTGTATAGAGAAGTGAATCAGAAAACAACCATTTTGTCATGGCCAGCTCAATCACATTGTCCCCTCATGTCCCATAGCCAGGCACTCAATTTCTACCAGGGTTCAGTAGCAAGCCAAGAGCTGTTTCCCAAAATGGAAATTGTTACTAATGCAATACAGCATAGCCTTGCTTTAAAATCCTATTCTCCAGTCAAGGTTAGCTTCAGCCTCCATACAGACTTATCTTGCTCTGGGCCCTACTCAAAGGTGGCAAAAGAAAATATTTTAGTTTACTTAGTATATGAGCTGTAGAAAGAGACCTAAAATGCAATATGGGTAGCTTCCAAAATCCACAACATTCCATCAAGTATTGTGCTTCTTTCTTTTTTAAATTTAAATTTAAATTTTTTTGAGACAGGGTCTCACTCTGTTGCCCAGGATGGAGTGCAGCAGTGTGATTATAGCTCACTGCAGCCTCAAACTACTGGGCTCAAGTAATCCTCCCCCTTCAGCCTCCCCAGTAGTTAGGACTACAGGCATATTACCACACCCAGATAATTTTTTAATTTTTTTTGTAGAGATGGGGTCTTGCTATGTTGCCCAGGCTGCTCTCAAACTTCTGGCCTCAAGCAATCCTCCTGCCTTGGCCTCCCAAAGCACTAGGACTTCAGCTATGAGCCACCACACCTGGCCTTGAGCTTCTTTTGTAAGGGTAGGAGGTCCATATTTTCATGAGATTTTCCTCCCATACTTTAGCAGGCATATATCTTGGTTGGGCATCCAAGGAACTTCCTAATTCCAGTCCACCCATATAAATGTCATCAAAATAGTGAATAACCAGGATGTATAGTTGGTAGGAATATCAAGTTTTCAAAAAATTCCCTTGGGTAAGGCAAGGGAGGAAAGGAGACTGATCATGAAGGTGTCCTGCTGTCCTTTCCAGGCAAAAGCACAGTGTTTCTGGTTTTCTCTGTTTATTGATTGGAGAAGGGGAAGCATTTTCTAAATTCATAGCAGCACATACCACATACCTGTGCCTGTGCTGCCTTGCTACCATAAGGAAATCATATCCAGAAAAGCAGCTGTAATTAAAGTCAGTTATTAATTAGGCTTGGGTTAATCCACTGTCTTTTTCCAAGATAAGTTTCTCTTCTGCAAAGACTCTACAACTGAGTGTAATGGGGGATATCATAGGTATAACCATGTCTTTATTGTTCAAAACTTTGAAGGAGACACCAATTACTACAATTCTTCAGGAATGTGTTATTGCTTTTTGTTTACTCTCTCTGTAGGGAGGAAGAACTCAAAGGGCTTCCACTTGGCCCTTACCACCATAACTATCCTTTTTCTACAGGTCAGAAGACAATGTGAGGATTTAGCCAGTTGATGAAGGCAAGAAGAAAGGAGATTAGTTATTAGCTGTGTCTGTCTCTTTTATTCAGAAAGCAAAAACTCACCCAGACACTTCACATGAAGTTTTCACTTCATGTCTAATTGACAAAATCTTGCCACTGACTCTAGTGGCAGAGGAAACTAGAAAATTAAGTATGAATTTAACATTTCCAGTCTTGATAGTAGAGAACAAAGGAGAAAGCTTTGGGGAATGAAATGTGGGTTTACCACAACTCCTTATAAGCCAGGGCCTTATCATAGCTTTGATACCCTGACCTTTGCTATCTCTTATCCCAGGGATCTGTTATTTTCTGGCTGCCACATGCATTCCAGCTCTATGTGGCACTGCCATCAGAGAGCTTAGGGTTTTGTGGGGAATACAAGCAGTGCTGTAGGGAAAGGTTTTGCTGTTAACTTGCATTTTCTATTCTTTTGCTTTACCATCCCCCAGCCACCAATAAAAAAGCAGCAATGCCTTCCTATGATGCATTGTCCCCAGGGGAAGGGTGGATACAGCCTAGCAAAAAGCAATCATTATTTAGCTTTGAGCTTCAAAATATGATTTTGTTTTTAGAGACAGGGTCTCACTCTGTCAACCAGGCTGGAATACAGTGATGCAATCATAGCTTGCTTCAGCTTCGAACTCCTGGGTTCAAGCAATCCTCCCACTTCAGCCTCCTGAGTAGCTAGGACTACGGGCGTGCACCATCACACATGGCTGAATTTTTTTTTTTTTTGTAGAGATGAGATCTCACTATATTGTCCAGACTGATCTTCAATTCCTGGCCTCAAACGATCCCCTCAAAGTGCTGAGATTACAAGCGTGACCCACTTAGCCCAGCCTCAAAATATGATTTTTGAACTCCTTAGCTACCGTATCAGTCTGAAAGCTGAACACGTTTGATTTTTGATTGAGAGATAATACGCATGCCTTAGAAAAATCAAAGATTCAGAGCCTAGAAGATGGGAACACAGATTTTATTAACAATCAACTCTAATGTGGGTAAAAAATAGCAGTTCTTCCTGAGCTGAATGGAATAAACTTGTTGGATTAAACAAGTTGAGAGTAAGTTAGGTGCCCAAGAAGCACCCTCCCACCCTCCAGAGAAACGCGCCTGGGCTTTGCATTCCAGGGGGTTGGCAAGCCTGTAGGAGAGACCCACATGAACCATGGTTCGAGGCATTGTCCAGGTAGATGGACCTGACTGCAGTGCTGTAGAGTTCTGCACCCTGCACAATGATGTGAAACAACAGGTCAGAGTTCCCGAGCCCAGGGAGAAACTAGAGGCATAAATGCTCAGAGGAAGGGTATAAGGGTGGGAAGGGAGCAGCCTGGATGAAGGTGAAGAACGAGTGGACCCAGTGATTTCACCAGAGGCCATGTCACGGGCCTTGGATATCAGCAAGTGATGACAGCCCTCAATACCTAAAACCAGGTGGTATGTCCCTTCCTCTTCAGAGGCCAGAAAGACTTGGAGAAAGACTCATGGTCCAGATACTCCATTCTTTAATGTCAAGATGTTACCAAAGTCACCCAGAAACTTAGATTATGTGCAGAAAGAAGTCAGCTGAAAGGAAAACTGACAGGATCTTAAAATTGCCTGCATATTTACTCAAAAGAGACTGTTTCACTCCAGAAGGGATTCCTAGGTGGCCAGAATATGTGTTTTCTGTCATGTATGGCTACGTGGCTCAACAGTTAGTTGAGTTTTACTACAGAAAATAAAGAAAGCTACCTTTCCTACACATCCAATTTGTGGCTATCAATTTCATACCACCTTCACCGGGGAAATTGATAATTATAATGCAATGTGATATGTGGTAAATAAATCATTTGAAAGCAGTAGGAACTGAGAAAGGAAGCATCTCTCTCCTCAGGAAAAAATAAAATAATTCAAATAGGAAATTATATTTGAGATGAGTTTTGAAGGGTGAGAAAGTACTTGCTAAACAGACAAGTGAGGGAAAATTGTTCAAGCAAAGAAAACAGCCTGAAGACACAGGGCCACAAAAGGGTAAGGTGTGTTTTGGGAAATGGCAAGAAGTCAGGGTGGGTAGAACTTGAGTTTTGCAGGGCAGAGTAGAGGAGGCCAGGGCCAGGCGTGGGGGTGTGCACCTGTAGTCCTACCCCCTCGGAAGGCTGAGACAGGAAGATCTCTTGAGCCCAGGAGTTCAGGGCTGCAGTGAGCTATGATCATGCCACTGCACTCCAGACTGGGTGACAGAGCAAGACCCTATACCTGCAAACACTAGCCAGGCATGGTGGTGCACGCCTGTAGTCCCAGCTACTTGGGAGGTGGGGGCGAGAGGATCGCTTGAGCCCCAAAGTTGGAGGCTGTGGTGAGCTAATGGCACCATTGCACTCCAGCCTGGGCAACAGAGTGAGACCTTGTCTCTAAGTAAAAAAAAGAAGCAATAAGAAAAATAATCAAAGTGTACATTGGATTTGGTTACAAGAAGATCATTAGTAACTCTACCAAAAGCATATTTTTAGGAGTGGTGGGGGCAGATGCCAGATTGGAGTGGGTTGAAGAATGAATAGGAGGTGAGAACTGAAGCCAGTAGAAGTAGGCAATTCAAGGAGATTGGCTGTGAAGGGGTAAGATTTCCATTTTGGACATATTTTGCTAGAGATGCCCTTGTGATGTTAAAGTGTAGCTGTCCAGAAAGTCACACATAAAAAACTATAGCTAGGGAGCATGTCTTGGATGCAAAAATAGATTTGGTTTGCAACAATGTGTAAGTGGTTGCTGAAACCTGGGATTAGATGAACTCCCCAAGCAACAGTGGGAACAACAGCAGAAGACAGAATCAAAGGCAGAGCCTGGAAGATAAAAACATTTAAGGGGCGGCCAAAGGTATCAGAGCCCTAAGAAGAGACTGATGACTAATTGTCAGAGATGTAGGAAGAAAACCAGGAGAGCATGGGCTGGAAGCTGAGAAAGAGGAGAGTTTCAAGAAGTGCAAAATGCTACTGATAAATCAGATGAAGATTTAAACCGAATCACTGGTTGGCTTTAACTTTTTTTTTTTTTTTGAGACAGGGTGTCACTCTGTTGCCCAGGCTGGAGTGCAATGGTGCAATCTCGGCTCACTGCAGACTCTGCCTACCAGGTTCAAGTGATTCTCGTGCCTTGGCCTCCCAAGTAGCTGGGACTACGGGTGCACACCACCACGCCTGGCTAATTTTTGTATTTTCAGGAGAGACAGAATTTCACCATGTTGGCCAGGCTGGTCTAGAACTCCTGACCTTAGGTGATCCACCTGCCTCAGCCTCCCAAAGTGCTGGGATTACAGGCATGAGCCACCGTTCCTGGCCTAGCTTTAACTTTTGAAGATCATTTAAGACTTTTGTTAGAGAAATATCAGGAGGGTAGTGGATCAAAAGCCAGATGATAAAGAGTTTATTCAAACATTGAGAAGTTAGGTAAACAAAGTTGATGAATATTGACTCCTATTGAAAGGCGTTTAGCAACATATATAACAAGAATCAATTAATATTCTTTATATTATTATATTAATAATAGATCAATGTGATAATATTAGTTAACATAAATTATTATATTAATGTGATATTACTTATATTAATCCAGATATAATTATATTTATAAATTATCAATTTCTATTTATACCAATACATTATAATTAATATAATCATAATGTTATACATAATTGTTACATAACCCATGCATTATAGATTAGTGATATATGCATAACATGCATTATTTTATATACATTATAATGAATTATATATCAATATAAAAGGCACAATTGATATATTAGTATAACTATATTTACATTATTCTAATTATTCTAATAATTATAATGATTAATATACTTAATACTAACATTACTAAATTAATAAGAAAAAGGAATATAACCCATTAAAAATGGCAAAGGATAAGTGTATGTAGTTCACAGAAAAGGAAGTATAAAAGGCCAATAATTATGTCAAAACAACATCAAACTTACCGTCAGGAAATGCAAACAAAACAAAAGAGATCCAATTTTTCCTCCAGAGACTGACAAAATTTTTTACTAATATCAAGTGTGGTGACATCTAGGAAAAAAATTTAGCTCCATTATTTTCTATAATGCTCTTTTTATCTTAGGGGAACTTCCCTTTTATCTGATAACTGCAGGGGGCTGGTATGGAATAAACTAAAATCAGTCCCATTTGGTAAACTGAATCCTAGCTGATATTTTAAATACATTTATTAGATAACTCACGATATAATCAGAAGAGATCTGGATTAGGCCAGGCATGGTGGCTCATGCCTGTGATCCCAGCACTTTGGGAGGCCAAGGTTGGCAGATCACCTGAGGTCAGGAGTTCGAGACCAGCCTGGCCAACATGGTGAAACCCCATCTCTACTAAAATACAAAAATTAGCTGGAAGTGGTGGTGTGTGCCTATAATCCTAGCTACTTGGGAGGCTGAGGCAGGAGAATTGCTTGAACCCAAGAGGCAGAAGTTGCAGTGAGCTGAGATCATACCACTGCACTTCAGCCTGAGCAATAGAGCAAGACTCCATCTCAAAAAAATAAAAAACATAAAAAAGAGGAAGAAGAGATCTGGATTACCTAGTTATCCTGTAGAACACAAAATGGATCTGTTACACTGAGGACATGTGTTGATTGGACAGGACGAGCAAGAGGTGCTAACAGCAGGAGGCCTTGGCAGGACACATGTGCTCCATAGGGCAGGAGATCATCTTTATGAATATTCATGGAACTGCCACTTAGGTAAAGATTTTGGGTGTCCAGATTAAAAGACAAATTGCTGCATCTTGCATCTCACAAGAAGAAAGTACTAGCCCTGAAGGCCTCTTCCCATTCCACACCTGGGCACACAGCTCTAGTTCACATACTGAGTTACCTGAAAGGCTGGCAGCTTTGAGTGAATCCTGCAGCAAAAAGGGCTCTGCAGTGAGTCCAGGTGGCACTACAGGCAGTCCTGCCACTTGGCCCATTCAATATGGAAGACCTTGGAAAGGTCAGTGCTGGAAAGTTATGTCATGTGGAGCTTATGGCAAGCTCCAGAGGAAGAGTGCTTTTGTCTTTCTAGAATAATTCCTGGTGTGCTATGGGCCCCAGTCAAGGCAGCACTTTACCGTGGAGCATTACATGGCCATGAACACGAATATGCTCATTATGAGCTGGGTTCTCCTTCTTTTTTTTTTTTTTTTTTGAGATCAAGTCTTGCTCTGTCATCCAGGGTGCGATCTTGGCTCACTGCAATCTCTGCCTCCCAGATTCAGGTGGTTCTCATGCCTCAACCTCCTGAGTAGCTGGGATTACAGACGCCCGCACCACGCCCAGCTAAGTTTTATATTTTTAGTAGAGAAGGGGTTTCACCATGTTGGCGAGGCTGGTCTCAAACTCCTGACCTCAAGTGATCCTCCCTGCTCGGCCTCCCAAAGTGCTGAGATTACAGCTGTGAGCCATCATGCCCAGCCTGAGCTGGGTTCTCTTGAACCCACCAATCAGAGTCAGGGAGTCCCAGCCGCTGTCTATATGAAGACGGAAATGCAATGTCAGTGACTGAGCCTGAGCAGCACAGTAAGATGTGTGAGAAGCTAGCCCAGACTCCCCTTTTCTTTAGAGCTGTACCATCATCTCCCCCTCCAACTCACACATTTGGCCATAGAGGGCAAAGGAAGAGATGCTGAAAGAGGAGAAAAAGCCTGAACTCGGTTTATGGATAGATTAGCTTAGATTGTTTTGTGGGTGAAAGTTTAAAATGAATAGCAGATGCATTACAGTCACACTCAGGCGGAAATTTAAAAGACAGTGCTGAGTAATCCCAGCACTTTGGGAGGCTGAGGCTGAAGGATCACTTGACCCTGGGAGTTCAAGGCTGCAGTGAGCTATGACTGCACTGCTGCACTCCAGTGTGGGCAACAGATTGAGACCCTGTCTCAAGAAAAACAAACAAAAAATGAAAAAAGTGTTGAGAGAAAAATCTTTCCAATGGGTAGAACTTTGAGTATCACCTGATCATCCACTTTATGCAGAAAGAAAAGTAGCCCAAGGTGAGAATTTACGAGAGCTCGCGGGAATGGTGAATAGCCTGGTTGGTTTGCCAGCAGACTGAAACAGAAGGACTGAAAGATTGGAGACATGGAGGTCTAGGGTAGAGGCATGTGAAATGACATTCCCGGTGGGTGTGACAATTTTTGTATGCATCTTTGCTGCTCCTCCTGTCATAGATGAGGGTCTGTCTGCCCAACCCTTAAATCTAGGCTGAGCCATGTGACTTTGGCCAATGGAGCTACAGACAAAGGATACAAGCATAGGCTTCAAAAGTGCCTGAGCCTTGAGACTTGCCCTTCTTTGCTTCTAAGAATGCTTTGTCACTATGTGAAGAGCATAGCCTAGCCTCTTGGAGGATGTCAGCAGGTGGAGAGGGCCTCTGCCATCCCGCCTTTCCCAGTGGAAATCTCAGTGCATGAGTGAGCCCCACTGGTACAACACAGAACAGAAGCAAGTCTTCCTAGCTATGGCCCATCTCAATCACCGGTCCATAGAATCAAGATCAAATCAATGGTTGTTCAAAGCCATTATGTTTTGGGGTAGTTTATCATGCAGCAAAAGCAAACTGATAATGTAACTCTCTAGGCTTGGCTCTTAAAATATCAATAGGATGTGAAAAAACTCTCTTGACAAAGACAGGTTTCAGAAATTTGCTTCTGATTCAGAAATATCAGGTGTGAGCTTCTGAATTGATGAGCCTTTCTTCCATCAGACCTGCTCTCCCTTTCCTAGGATATTAAGCCCCATGTATATCAGCCTTAGGGATGGAAGTCTGCAAGGAAATACGGTTTAAGGAAGAAATTTAGGGAAAAACACATTTGCTTAATGTTTTTCGAAATATTATTATTCTCATTATTGAAATTGGCAGAAGACCAGGGAAACAGGTACTCTTATACACAGCTGATGGTAGAATAAATCATACAGACATTTTGGAACACAAATTGGCAGTATCAGCAACAATTGAGCATGAACCTACTGTTTGTTCAAGTGATTCCATTTCTTTATATCTGCTTTAGATGTGAAGAAACAACTATATAAAGAGGTCTAGACAGAGGTATTATTTGCAACATTTTAATAGCAAAAAGTTGGAAACAGGAAAATAGTAATGTAAATGATGGTATGTCTATATTGTGGAACATTGTGTTGCAATTAAGAGGAATGAGGTACTGGATAGAAAAGATATCCAAGATAAATTCTGAAATGAATATACCGGCTGGGCATGGTGGCTCAAGCCTGTAATCACAGCACTTTGGGCAGGCGGATCACTTGAGATTCAGGAGTTTGAGACCATCCTGGCCAACATGGCAAAACGTTGTCTCTATTAAAAATACAATAATTAGCTGGGCGTGGTGGCACACGCCTGTAATCCTAGCTACCTGGGAGACTGAGGCAGGAGAATCGCTTGAACCTGGGAGGCAGAGGTTGCAGTGAGCCGAGATCGCGCCATTGCACTCCAGCCTGGGTGACAGAGGGAGACTCTGTCTCAAAAAAATAAATAAATTAATTAAATGAATACAGTTCCTAGTTAAGGAAATACTAACCTCTATTATAGGTAAACATCAAAATCTCAAGGGCTTAACAATGGAAGTTTATTTTTTACTCATAAAATACAGTCTGCAGTAAAGGAGAGGGTAGATCCATTCCTTGCAGTCACTCAGGGCCTTGGGCTGTCATCTTCCAGTCACATTTTCTAAGGTCTTCCTGAGCATCTGCCTCTGGCCAGCAGATAGAGAAGAATGGAAGAATTCCTTGAGGGAGACTGTTAGGGGCCAATCCTAGAAGTGGCACTCATCATTTCTGCCTGTATTTCTTTGGCCCAAATCAGTCACATGAACATGTCTAATTTCAGGGTAGCTGGGAAATGTAGTCGAATTGTAAAGAAGCTGAAAGAGAAATGAATTTGATGAACAGCCACAAACACTGTTAGAACTCATTCCCACACATATACTGCAGGTTTCCATTGATACATACATGAACACCTCACAGATATTGCAGATGAGTTTCCCGACCACTCTAATAAAGCAAATATCACAATAAAGTGAATCACATGAATTTTTTGGTTTCTCAGTGCATATAAAAGTTATGTTTACACTATACTGTAGTCACTAAATGTGCAATAGCATTATGTCTAAAAAAGGTACACACTTTAATTAAAAATACTTTATTGCTAAAAAAAATGCCAATGATCATCTGAGCCTTCAGTGAGCTGTAATCTTTTTGCTGGTGGAGGGTCTTGCCAGGATGCTGATGGCTTCTGACTGATCAGGATGGTGGTTGTTGAAAGTTTGGGTGACTGTTTCTTAAAATAAAACAACAATAAAGTTTGTCACATTGATGGACTCTTCCTTTCATGAAAGATTTCTCTGTAGCATGTGATACTGTTTGATAGCATTTTACCCAGAGTAGAACTTCTTTTAAAATCAGAGTCAAGGCATCACATTACCTGATTTCAAATTAACAAAAACAGCCTGGTACTGGAATAAAAATAGACATATAGAACAATGGAACAGAATAGAGAACCCAGAAATAAAGGCATCTGTCTGTAACAAACTGATCTTCAACAAAGTCAACAAAAACATACGCTAGGGAAATGACACCCTATTGAATAAATAGTGCCAGGAAATTGGATAGCCACATGCAGAAGAATGAAACTGGACCTCTTCCTCTTACCATATACAAAAATTAACTCAAGGTAGGCTAAAGACCTAAATCAAGTTTGTCTAACCCCCAGCCTGTGGGCTTCATGTGGCCCAGGACAGCCTTGAATGTGGCCCAACACAAATTTGTAAACTTTCTTAAAACATTATAAGACTTTTTTTAGATTTTTTTTTTAACTCATCAACTATCGTTAGCGTTAGTGTATTTTATATGTGGCCCAAGACAATTCTTCTTCTTCTAACATGACCCAGGGAAACCAAAATATTGGATACCCCTGACCTGCATGTAAAACCTGAAACTATGAAAATCCTAGAAGAAAACCTAGGAAAGTCCCTCCTGAACACTGACCTGGGCAAAGAGTTTATGACCAAGTCTTCCAAAGGAAATGCAACAAAAACAAAAATAGACAAATGAAACTTAATTAAACTAAAGAGCTTCTGCAAAAGAAACAATCAACAGAGTAAACAGACAACCTATAGAATGGGAGAAAATATTTGCAAACTATGCATCTGAGAAAGAATCTACAAGAAATTCAGCTCAACAAGAAACAAGTAAATAACTCCATTAAAAAGTGGGCAAAGGACATGAACAGCCATTTTTCAAAAGACATACAAGTGGCCAATAAATATATGAAAAAATGCTCAGGATAACTAATCATCAGAGAAATGCAAATTAAAAACATAGTGAGATATCATCTTACACTAGTCATAATGGCTATTATTAAAAAGTCTAAGTCCGGGCGCAGTGGCTCACGCCTGTAATCCCAGCACTTTGGGAGGCCGAGGCAGGTGGATCACAAGGTCAGGAGATCGAGACTATCCTGGCTAACATGGTGAAACCCTGGCTTTACTAAAAATACAAAAAAAAAAAAAAAAATTAGCCGGGTGTGGTGGTGGGCGCCTGTAGTCCCAGCTACTTGGGAGGCTGAGGCAGGAGAATGGCGTGAACCTGAGAGGCGGAGCTTGCAGTGAGCCGAGATTGCGCCACTGCTCTCTAGTCTGGGCGACACAGCAAGACTCCGTCTGAAAAAAAGAAAAGTCTAAAAACAAGCCAGGAACAGTGGCTCCTGCCTGTAATCCCAGCATTTTGGGAGGCTGAAGCAGCAGGCTTTCTCTTGAAGCCAGGAGTTTGAGACCAGCCTGACCAACATTGCGAGATCCTGTCTCTACAAAAATAAAAAGATTAGCTGGGAGTGATGGTGTACTGGAGAGGCCAAGGCAGGATTGCTTAAGCCCAGGAGTTCAAGGCTGCAGTGAGTTATAATGGCACCATTGCACTCCAGCCTGGGTGATGGAGGAAGACCTTATTTCTTAAAAACAGATTAAAAAAAAAAAGGCTAAAAACAACAGATGTTAGTGAGGATATGAAGAAGGGGAAACACTTATACACTGTTCGTGGGAATGTAAATTAGAATGACCACTATGGAAGACAGCATGGTGATTTCTCAATAAAGTAAAAATGGAACTACTATTTGATCCAGTAATCCCACTTCTGGGTATCTACCCAAAGGAAAAGAAATTATTGTATAAAAAGACACCTACACTCATATGTTTATTGCAGTACTGTTCAAAATAGCAAAGATATGGAATCAACGTAAGTGTCCATCAATGGAGGATTGGATAAAGAGAATGTGGTATGCAGACACCATGGAATGCTACTCAGTCATAAAAAGGAATAAAATCATGTCTTTTGCGGAACATGGATGGACCTGAAGGCCATTATCCTAAGTAAAATCACTCAGAAACAGAAAGTCAAATACTGTCTGTCACTTATAAGTGGGGGCTGAACAATGGGTATCCATGGACGTCGAGTGGAAAAATGTACACTGGATACTACAAAGGTGGAAGGATGGGTAGGGAGAGGGTTGGAAACTACCTACTGGGTACGGTGTTCGCTATTCATGTGATGGGTTCAGTAAGAGCCAGATATGCCTTCCTCACTAAGATTAATCATTTCTAGTTTTTGGTTTCAAGTGAAGGCCATACAACTCTTCCTTTTACTTGCACAAACAGAAGCCATTGTAAGGTTATTAATTGGCATAATTTCAATATTGTTGTGTCTCAGGGAATAGGGAGGCCAAGAGACGGAGAGAGGTTGGGGAGGTACTGGTCAGTGGAGCAGTCAGAACACACACATTTATTGGTTAAGTTTGCTGTCTTATATGGTATTGATTCATGGCCTCTCAAAACAATTAGAATAGTAACATCAAAAATTACTGATCCTACACCACCATAACAGATGTAATTATAATTTAAAAAATGTGCAAGATTGTGAGAATTACCAAAATGGGACACAGAGACGCAAAATGAGCACTTGCTGTTTGGAAAAATGGCTCGATAGACTTGCTCAATGCAGGGTTACCACAAACCTGCAGTTTATTGGAAAAGAACATATCTGTGAAGCACAGTAAAATGCAATAAAATGAAGTATGCCTGTACCGTCAAAAATCTTGTGCATTCTTTCCTTGTTCCTTCTGTCTTCTCCACGGTTAGTGTCTATACTTGACCTCCAAAGTTGGCTGGGATCTGACTCTAGTTATGGGTCTGGAGGTCTTGAGATGGGGAAGGGTGGGTCTCAAGGATAGTGTGGCATCTCCTTGTATAAAAACTATGTCAGGTCCGGGCGTGGGGGCTCACGCCTGTAATCCTAGCACTTTGGGAGGCCGAGGTGGGCTGATCACTTGAGTTCAGGAGTTTGAGACCAACCTGGCCAGCACGACCAAACCCCATCTCTACTAAAAATACAAAATTAGCTGGCGTGGTGGTGGGCGCCTGTAATCCCAGCTACTAGGGAAGCTGAGGCAGGAGAATCACTTGAACCCAGGACGCGGAGGTTGCAGTGAGCTGAGATTGTACCACTGCACTCCAGCCTGGGCGACAGAGCGGGACGCCATCTCAAAATAAATAAATAAATAAAAATAAAAATAAAAACTATGTCAGATGAGGACCCTACAAGGGTCTTCAAGCAAGAGGGAGCTTCTTTTCAGACAGAGGAAAGTGAGGTTCCTCCTATTCTAACTCACTGTAATCACTAGGATGCCGTACTTTCCAAATCAGTCCCTAACTAGCATAAAAAGACCTTGAGAAGCAGTGAATTCACCTTAGGTTGTAATTTTGCAACTCCTAGGATCAAACCTTGGATCTCGTTTTTACATGTGCTAGCCTGACAGCCACAAGAGACCAGCTCCTTTAGGGCAGTCATAGATGCTCTCTGGTCCTCTGTCCGGGAAGTCAGCTGACAATGTCAAGTGCTGAGCTCGCTGTTTCCTTTCTTTTTCTTTTTTCCTTTTTGGAGACAGAGTCTTGCTCTGTCACCTAGGCTAGAGTGCAGTGGCACGATCTCAGCTCATTGCAACCTCCGCCTCCCAGGTTCAAGCAATTCTTCTGCCTCAGCCTCCCAGGTAGCTGGGATTACAGGCACGTGCCACCATGCCTGGCTAATTTTTGTATTTTTAGTAGAGACGGGGTTTCACCATCTTGGCCAGGCTGGTCTGGAACCCCTGACCTTGTGCTCCACCTGCCTGAGCCTCCCAAAGTGCTGGGATTACAGGTATGAGCCACTGAGCCCGGCCTCCTTTCTTTTATTCTACAGGGTGATCAAAGCAACCAACCCATGCACCATGCTTTTAGTCTTTCATAACATTATATTGCAGCAGCCACTTGGTCTCTCAAAGCACTTTAATTTTTTTTTTTTTTTTTGAGACAGAGCCTTGTTCTGTTGCCCAGTTTTGTGAGAAACTGCTAACTGGTCTTCTGAACTGTCTGTCATTTTGCATTCCCAGCAATGCATGAGAGTTCCTGTTGCTCCACATCCTCGTCAGCATTTGATGTTGTCAGTGTTCTAGATTTTGGCCATTCTAATAGGTGTGTTGTAGTAGCTCATTATTGTTTTGATTTGCATTTCCCTGATCATATATGAGGTGGAGCATCTTTTCATATGTTTATTTGTCATTTACATATCTTCTTTGGTGAAGTTTCTGTTAAGGTCTTTAGCCCATTTTAAAAATATTTTTTAAACATTTATTTATATGTTACTTATTTTTATTTTATTTTTATTTTTAGACATAGGTTCTTGCTATGCTGTCCAGGCTGGTCTCAAACTCTTAGCCTCAAGTGATCCTCCAGCTCAGCTTCCTGATTAGCTGAGACTATAGGAGCATGCCACCATGCCTGGCTCTTTGGCCCTTTTAAAAATCCTGTTTGTGTTTCTTATTCCTGAGGTTAACAGCTCTTTGTATATTTTAGATAACAATCTTTTATCTGAAATGTCTTTTGCATATATTTTCTTCCAATCTATGGCTAGTCTTTTTATCCTCTTGACAGCAGACATTTTCTCTTTCTCTCTCTCTCTTTTTTTTTAATTTTTTTATTTTTATTTATTTATTTATTTTTTTTTGAGACAGTTTTGCTCTTGTTGCCCAGGATGGAGTGCAATGGCACGATCTTGGCTCACTGCAACCTCTGCCTCCCGAGTTTGAGCAATTCTCCTGCCTCAGCCTCCCAAGTAGGGGATTACAGGGATTACAGGCATGCGCCACCACGCCCAGCTAAGTTTTTGTAGTTTTAGTAGAGATGGGGTTTCTCCATGTTGGTCAGGCTGGTCTCGAACTCCTGATCTCAGGTGATCCACCCGCCTTGACCTCCCAAAGTGCTGGGATTACGGGCGTGAGCCACCGTGCCTGGCCCTAGACATTCTCTTTGACAAAAGAGCAAAGGCAATAGAATGGAGAAAGATAGTCTTTTAAACAAAGAATGTTGAAACATTCTTTGTCATGCAGAAAATGAATCTAGACACAGACCTTACACCCTTCAAAAAATAACTCAAAAAGAGTCACAGACGTAAGTGTAAAACACAAAACTGTAAAGCTCTTAGAAGATAACACAGGATAAAATCTAGATGACTCTAGACATTTTAGATGCAACACCAAAAGGTACAGTCCATGTAAAGAAGAATTGATAAGCTAGACTCCATTAACATTAAAATGTTCTACTCTTTAATACTATTTTTTTAGAGATGGGGTCTCACTATGCTGCCCAGGCTGGTCTCAATCTCCTGGGCTCAAGGGATCTTCCCGCCTTGGTCTCTTGAGTAGTTGGGATTACAGGTGAGAAACACTATGCCCAGCCATTTCTTTTTAAAGGATGCAGTCTAATCCCTATTTATAGACTAAGGGAAGGAGCCAAAGATTCTGAAGAAGTTGGACATAAAAAGACTTGAAAGTGGTAGAGCAAGATCTTGGAGGAGTCCAGAGAGGATGGGTTCTAGTTCAAGTGGAGATCTCAGACATGGAGACTGAAGATACAGAGGTGAGAGCAGATGCCAGTGCAGGTGAACAGGAAAAAAGAAAGAAAGATAAGAGACATGCCAATAATTTCTCAATAGAGCATAAGGCAAGGCCTCCACATGAGAGTAAGTAAACGGGGAAACTGGGAGGTGATGACCACTGTGACTATTTGGAGTGGTTGCATCACCTGACCCAGAATCTGCTGAGGTTGCTTAAGGATGCTTCAGGGTGTGTCGATCCCAACTCACTGGGTGGGGCATTTTAGAGCTGAAAGTTTCTGTCATGCTGTTTCTGAGAATGAGTAACATCTCCCATGACATCATTTAGAGCAGGGTTTCTCAGTCTTGGTATTATTAACATTTGGGGCCAGATCATTATTTGGGAAAGGGAGAGGGGGCTGTCCCATGCACCGTAGGATGTTTAGCAGCATCTCTGACCTGCACCTGCTAGATGCTAGTAGCAACTCCCCACACACTGGTTATAACACCGCCAAATATCTTCAGACATCTCCAAATATCCCTTGGGGGAAGAAGCGAAATCTTCTCCGGGTGAGAACAACCAATGTATTTATTTATCAATTGAGATGGAGTTTCACTCTGTCACCCAAGCTGCAGTGCAGTAGCGTGATCTCGGCTCACTGCAGCCTCCACTTCCCAGGTTCAAGTGATTTTCTTGTCTCAGCCTCCCATGTAGCTGGGATTACAGGCGCCTGTCACCACGTCTGGCTAATTTTTCATATTTTTAGTGGAGATGGGGTTTCTCCATGTTGGCCAGACTGGTCTTTAACTCCTGACCTCAGATGATCCGCCTGCCTCAGCCTCCCAGTGTGCTGAGATTACAGGCGTGAGCCACCACACCCATCCAAGAGCCACCAATTTCAAGCTAGAGTTAGTGACGACGTGCCAGGGCTACTTCTCAGGAATGTGCAAGCTGCTCTGATTCCTGGGAATGGTCTGCCCTGCCAGTCTTTGGGAAGGGTGGGGAAGCCTTTGGCATTTGAGCAAGGTATTCACAGAGATGCTTCACCCAGACTCTTAGTGCTGTTTGTATTAAAACTGCCAACAGTGGAGGTGTCTTCATGGCTGATCAGCCAATTCTTCTCTTATGGAACTTCTCACTATCACCACCTTGTGGAAGAGGACACAGTTTCTCCCCCTGGATATGGGACCACTGCAATTCAAAGCCAAATGCCCCCTCTTCTTCTTCAGATTTCTTTCCAAGCATTTTGACTTTTACTATATCAAAATATAAGAATATACCCAGGACTCTCTGAGCATCAACTACACAGAATTAAATGAAAGGTATGTATCATAATTTTCATCAGATCAAATCAACAAAACATCCCCCCTTCTCTTCTGGGATGTTCCTGTTCTTTTCTTCTCCTTATTTATGGAGAATTTGTTGACATTCACTGATTTCTAGGCATTATGCCAGGGGCTGGATACTCCAAGATAAAATACGTGTGCTCCTTGCTGTCAAGGAGCTTACATCAAATAAACCAAGTAAACAATGTAATAAAGAGTGCTAAATATTAATAGACCTACACACCCAGTATTTTGAAAGCACAGCAGAAATAGAATGCCCGGAGGAGAGGAGTCGTCACAGGTCAGGGAGGCATCTCAGGGGCAGGGAGGGATATTTTGGTTAACTCTTAAAGGATGCTCAGGAGTTCAGAGAGCCAGCCCAAGGACAGCATTTCAGGCAGGAGAATGGATTACACAAAGACCACGAGTTGTGCTTGGAAGCCTTTGAAAAAGTAGCTGTGGGCCAGATGCGGTGGCTCATGCCTGTAATCCCAGCACTTTAGGAGCCTGAGGAGGGAGGATCGTTTGAAGCCAGGTGTTCAAGACTAGCCTGGGCGACATAGTGAGACTCTGTTTCAGCAAAATAATTTAAAAAATAGCCAGGCATGGTCGCATGTACCTGTAGTCCCAGCTACTCAGGAGGCTGAGGTGGAGGATGGCTTGAACTTGAGGGTTCAAGGCTGCAGTGAGCTATGACTGAGCCGCTGCTCTTCAGCCTGGGCTACATTAAGACCCTGCCTCTGAAAAGGAAAAGAAAAAAAAACATAGGTGTGGCTGAAGTGCACCGAGTGGAGAGAGAAAATAAACTAGGAGCAAACGATGAAGGCCCTCGCAAGCTGTTCTTAGGCATGGAAGTTTTCCAATGACTGGGTCCTGCGCTGACTCTGATCTCTTGGGTGGTGGTTCACCCCCCTTCCTCCTCTCTCTCTCTCTCTCTTTTTTTTTTTTTTTTTTTTTTTTTTTTGAGACAGAGTCTCCCTCTGATGCCCAGGCTGGAGTGCAGTTGTGTGGTATTGGCTCACTGCAACTTCCACCTCCCAGGTTCAAGCAATTCTCATGCCTCAGCCTCCCGAGTAGCTGGGATTACAGGTATGTGTGAACAAGCTCAGCTAACTTTAAATTTTTTTTTTTTTTGGTAGAGATGGGGTTTTGCCATGTTGGCCAGGCTGGTCTTGAACTCCTGACCTCAATTGATCTGCCTGCCTTGGCCTCTCAAAGTGCCGGGATTACAGGCGTAAGCCACTGTGCCAAGCTCCTCCTCTCTTTTTGTCCAAGATCTAACATTTTGGATTCAGGCAAATACAATCTAGCCATCATCTGAAGTCTTCCCAGAGAAATCACTTCATAATCTTATTTATTTATTCATTCATTTGTTCATTCATTCATTCGTTCTTCTGTTTCCTCCTCTGCAAGGCAGACCCCATAATTTCTATCACTGCACGTCCTAGGCTCTTCCCAGCTCTGTTATCTCCTACTTTCTGCTTTGCAGAATCCACCAGCTCCCATAACTGCTAGTTTTTACCCAAATTCATTTCCCTCTCCCCATCAAAATAACCAGGAAGACACTCTTGCTCCTACTGGGACATCATATTCAGATGGCATTAAATAGCTGAGCCCAATTTCTAGGCATGATTCTTTAAGAAGAATTTGCATGTCTGACATTTAATAAGATGAATCCTCCTTGCACCAACCAGACCGGGCATAAAAACATACACAGTAATTTTTTGAGGTGTTTTTCTCCTTGAAGAAGGTAGCTGTCAAGGTGGGTGATGCTCTGGGCAGGAAGCAGTGTCTTTCACTAACGGGTTCTGACAGGTATATAGAAAATCCTGAAAGTACCTCTGAAGAGAGAATAGTTTCTTAAGCCTTTACCATGGAGAGTCTTAAGAGTTGTTTTATAGCAGTTAGCTGAGAGCAAGATACTGCAGGAGGTGGGCAGGTTTGGAGATGCCAGAGTGCAGAGAGACGGAGACAGAGAGAGAGACAGAGAGAGAGGAGAGAGGGAGGCAGAGACACAGAGAGAAAGAAACAGAGGGAGAGAAAGAAGGAGAGAGACAGAGACAGAGAGAGAAACAGACAAAGAGAGGGAGAGAAAAAGGAGAGGGATAGACAGAGAGATACAGAAAGAGACAGACAGAGAGAAAGAGAAACAGAGAGAGGGAGAGAAATAGAAATAGAGAGAAAGAGAGACAAAGAGAAAGGGAGAGACAGGGAGAGACAGAGAGAGACAGGTAAGAGATGAGAGTAAGAGACAGAGAGAGACATCGACAGAAAGAGAGAAAGAAAGAGAAAGAGAAGAGAGAAAGAGAAAGAGGAGAGACACACATATCAACAGAGACAGAGACAGAGAGAGAAACAGAGAGATAAAGAGAAGGAGAGAAAAAGGAGAGAGAGACAGAGAGAAACAGAGAGAGGGAGAGAAAGAGAGAGAGACGGAGAAAGGGAGAGAGAGACAAACAGAGAAAGAGACAGGGAGAGAGAGACAGATAAAGAGAAAGAGAGAGAGAGAGACAGAGAGAAAGGAGGCCACGAAGGCCAACTTTCTGCACATCATAATCAGCCCAGACATGGCTGTTTCCCTGAGAGCACGCATGTGTGAGGACTGTGCTTTCAGAGTTCATGTCCACAGCTCATTGCGGGGGCAGTTTCTCTGATCGTGTGGAGCTGGATGCCAGGAGCAGGACACACTGTGTTCTTTCCTGAGCATGAAGCCAGCTCTCGGAGTTGTTTTGTTGCACCTGCCATTAGGCGTTGATGATGTTCTTTCTTTCCTCCGGTAGGGTAAGAAGGAGAGGACGCAGTCCAAGTGGTTTCCCTTCTTAAAAAAACAAACAACAAACAACAAAACAAGAACACTAACATGGGACCAGGCACAGATGCAAATTCTCGTTTTGAACTTTGAACCCTGCCCAGGAAGCCCTTCTCATGCATCTTCAGTATCATATACATACATCTGGGCCAGGCACGGTGGCTCACACCTGTAATCCCAACACTTTGGGAGGCTGAGGCAGGTGGATCACTTGAGGTCAGGCGTTCCAGACCAGCCTGGCCAACAGGGTGAAAATACAGGCCTGGCTCAGTGCCTCATGCTTGTAATCCCAGCACTTTGGGAGGCCAAGGCGGGCAGATCACTTGAGGTCAGGAGTTTGAGACCAGCCTGGCCAACATAGCAAAAACCTGTCTCTACTAAAAGTACAAAAAAAAAAAAAAATTAGCTGGGCCTGGTGGTGCACACTTGTAATCCCAGCTACTCAGGAGACTGAGGCACGAGAATCACTTGAACCTGGGAGGCAGAAGTTGTAGTGAGCTGAAATTGAGCCACTGCACTCTAGCTTGGGTGACAAAGCCAAAAAAAAAAGAAAGAAAGAAAGAAAGAAAACATAGAGTTGAGGTTGAAAGCATCACATAATATCCAGAAGTCCAAGAAAAATGATGGATGTGTTTGTCTGCATAACATCTTTAATATGGAAAAAAACACAGATAAAATTTTAAAATAGGAAAATGAGAAAAAAATCTGCAACAGATATGAGAGACAATGGGTGGATTATCTTTTCTATACAAAGAGCATTTACAAAATAATAAGACAGACAAGAGAAACATGGGCAAAAGACATGAATAGGAAATTTACCAGTAAGATATGAGACTACATTCAATCTCCCTGAAAAGCAAAGAAATGCAAATAAATCAGAAGAGCATTTCCCACATCAGATTTGCCATGATGAATACTTTGGATAAAACACATTGTTGGCAAATATATGGTAAAATGAACAGTACCATAAAATATTGGTGATACTACACATTGTTATGCTTTTATAGGGTAGTTTGGCAATATCTATCCAAATATAATATATGCATATCATTATCACTTTTAGGAACTTATCCCTAGAAGATAATTCCACCATTATGCAAAGATGATTGTATAAGAATGTTCAGAGCAGTGTTGCTTGTAATAACTTAAAAAAAAAAAAGCAGTTTTTGCCAGGTGCAGTGGCTTATGCCTGTAATCCCCGCACTTTGGGAGCCTGAGGCAGGCGGATCACTTGAGGTCAGGAGTTCGAGACCAGCGTGGCCAATATGGCAAAACTCCGTCTCTATTAAAAATACAAAAATTAGCCAGGTGTCACTGCAGGTGCCTGTAGTCACAGCTACTCGGGAGGCTGAGGCAGGAGAATCACTTGAACCTGGGAGGTGGAGGTGGCAGTGAGCAGAGCACTCAGCATCGGTGACAGAGCAAGACTCCATCTCAAAAAAAAAAAAAAAAGGCCGGGCGTGGTGGCTCACGCCTGTAATCCCAGCACTTTGAGAGGCCGAGACGGGCGTATCACGAGGTCAGGAGGTCAAGACCATCCTGGCTAACGCGGTGAAACCCTGTTCTCTACTAAAAATACAAAAAAATTAGCCAGGCGTGGTGGGGGGCGCCTGTGGTCCCAGCTACTCGGGAGGCTGAGGCAGGAGAATGGCGTGAACCCGGGAGGCGGAGCTTGCAGTGAGCCGAGATCGCGCCACTGCACTCCAGCCTGGGCGACAGAGCAAGACTCTGTCTCAAAAAAAAAAAAAAAAAAAAAAAAAAAGCGTATTGTACTTACATTTTAAAAAGAAGCTATTTCAAAGAAAACTTTTTTAATTTTGAAAACTAAAAACAAAACATGTACTGGTTGAGATCAGTTTTCTGGAGAACCAGCCCACTCTCCAGAGGCCAGAGAGCTGTGATGCTTCCATAGCAGAAATGCCCAGTGAGTAACGAGGGCTAGTCTCAGGAAGCACACAGCCCCATCAGAATAAGCTGTATTCGCAGGAAATAAAAGGTGAATTGACTGAAGTGTAAAATGATTCAATTGGATTTTACTTTGTTTTTAAGAAGAGCATATCCATTGAGACCAGCCTGGGTGACAGAGCAGGACCCTGTGTCCAGAAAAAAAAAAAAAAAAAGCCAGGTATAGTGGCACATGCCTGTTGTCCCAGCTATTCAGGAGGCTGAGATGGGGGGACTGCTTGAGCCCAGGAGTTCAAGGCTGCAGTGAACGATGATTGCACTGTTGCACGCCAGCCTACTTGACATAGTAAGACTCTGTCTGGAAAAAAAAAAAAAAAAAGAAAAGCATATTCATAGAACGGAAATTGTTTGCACAGTCTTCATAGGGGATCCCCAAAAGTAAATAGTTGGTAGAGTTTAATCTGATATTTTCTGTATTATTTAGGGTGAGTTAACTGCTATAACAAACAATCTTGAAATATGCATGACTAAACACAACAGAATTAGTTCCCTCTCACATTGCTGTCCACTGGGAGTGAGGGGTGGGTCCCCACAAACTCATTCAAGGAGCCAGGCTTTCCAAAACTGGTTCCACTATGGGATCTCTGTGTCTCATCAATGGACAGGGAAGAGAGAGAGTGAGCCAGTGCAGAGGGCAGGAGTGGGAAGTCCAGGGGCCAGGCCTAGATATGATAGGCATCGCTTTTGCTTCCATCCCATTTGCCAGCACTGGTCACATGGCCCCACCTAGATGCAAGAACACCAAGAAATGTAGCCTTCCTGTGTGTCCAAGAGGAAGATGAACTGGTTTAGGAAACTGGTTCTGCTAATTGTTCACGGAAGAAAGTTCTTGAATCTGACAGATGCCCATATTTTAGTTACTCTCATATGGTTAAAAGTAAATCTTTAGCGTCACCATGCCTGGATAAAATATCCCTTAAGAAAATACTATCTCATGTTGCTCTAAGCAACTTTCTCTTTTCTTTTTTTCTTTCTTTCTTTCTCTCTTTCTTTCTTTCTTTCTTTCTTTCTTTCTTTCTTTCTTTCTTTTCTTTTTCTTTCTTCTTCCTTCCTTTTCTTCCTTTCTTGTTCTTTCTTTCTCTTTCTCTCTCTTTCTTTCTTTTCTTTCTCTTTCTTTCCTCTCTCTCTCTCTCCCCCCGCCCCACCCCCCCGCCTTCCTTCTTTTTTTTTTTTCTTCAAGCTCTCACTTTGTCACCCAGGCTGGAGTGCAGTGGCACGATCTTGGCTTACTGCAACCTCTGCCTCTTGGACTAAGGTGATCCTCCCACCTCAGCCTCCACAGTAGCTGGGATCACAGGTGTGAGCCACCACACCTGGCTAATTTTTAAAAAATAATTATTTGTAGAGACAAAGTCTCACTATATCGCCCAGGCTGATCTCAAGCTCCTGGGCTCAAGCAATCCTCCTGCCTCACCTCCCAAAGTGCTGGGATTACAGGTATGAGCCACCACGTCCAGATTTCTAAGCAACTGTTTTTTTTTGTTGTTGTTGTTTGTTTTTTGTTTTAGACAGAGTCTCGCTCTGTAGCCCAGGCTGGAGTGCAGTGGCATGATCTTGGCTCACTGCCACCTCTGCCTCCCAGGTTCAAGAGATTTTCCTACTTCAACCTCCAGAGTAGCTGGGATTACAGGCACACACCACTACGCCTGGTTAATGTTTGTATTTTTAGTTGAGATGGAGTTTCACCATGTGGGCCAGGCTGGTCTCAAACTTCTGGCCTCAAGTGACTGCCCACGTTGGCCTCCCAAGGGATTATAGGTGTGAGCCACCCTGCCCGGCCCTAAGCAACTTTCTAAAAAATAGTTTAGTGTCCTACGTATCCTGATATCCAGAAGAAGTCAGATGAGGCCAGAATCCCAGTGTTTAGAAAATAATTTGTTTCTTTCTCTCTCTCTCTACTGTTTCGGTAAATTCTCTTTCTGTTTTATGTATCTGTGAATTTTGAGTTTGAGTTCACTCTGTAGCATTTCTGGACCTGGAAGGCTAGAGTGGGACCTGAAGCTCGGTGGCCACAAGAACATTCTGTGGTCTCATGGGTCCCTTATGTTTCCATCCCTTGGCATCATCTCACTCAAACTGCAAACTGGAGCATCCAGTGGGGCTGGCTGGAGCACGTGCAGAAGGCAGAAGATCAAGTCCAGAAAATTAATTAAGGCTGGATCAGAACCAAAACCATGAGCCCATAATTTCAAAGCTGGAAAAGAGTCTGAAATGTATTTAATTAAATTAATTAATTAATTTATTTATTTATTTTGAGACGGAGTCTTGCTCTGTTTCCCAGGCTAGAGTGCAGTGGCTTGATCTCAGCTCACTGCAACCTCTGCCTCCCGGGTTCAAGCGATTCTTCGGCCTCAGCCTCCTGAATAGCTGGGATTACAGGCACGCACCACCATGCGCAGCTAATTTTTGTATTTTTAGTATAGACAGGGTTTTGCCCTATTGGCCAGGCTGGTCTCAAACTCCTGACCTCAGGTGATCCGCCCACCTCGGCCTCCCAAACTACTGGGATTACAGGGATGAACCACTGCCCCCGGCCCTGAAATGTATTTTAATATCAAAGTAAAGCAGAAATGGGGCTGGATACTTAGGCATCAACCTTTTTCTTTCGCTTTCTTTTTTTTTTTTCCTCCTAGATACAGGTTCTCATTCTATTGCCAGGCTGGCGTGCAGCTAAGAGCCCTGGTCTTCAAAGAAAGTTTTCCCTTAAGCAGAAACATGGACTCAGCATCTCCTGGTTAGACTATTAGCTGTCTCTTGGGCAGCAGCCCAATCACAGCTCACTGCAGCCTCCCACTCCTGGGATGAAGTGATCCTCCCACTTCAGCCTTGCAAAGCACTGGGATTCCAGGCATGGGCCACTGTGTCAGGCCCATCATTGCCCTTTTAAAGCAGGGGTGCTCATCTGCTAGGACTTACTCTGAGAATGCCAGAAAGCCTGACTTTGCAAAGAAAGGCAAACTTAGTTTACCAACTGCTGTAAGAGTAAGGAGGGCTGAGGAGCCAGCAACCTAGGGTGGAGTAGCTGATTTGGTTTGGCTGCGTCTCCACCTGAATCTCATCTTGAATTGTAGTTCCCATAATCCCCCCGGTGGGAGGTAATTGAATCATGCAGGTGGTTACCCCCGTGCTGTTCTCGTGATAGTGAGTTCTCAGGAGATCTGATGGTTTGAAAAGGGGCTTTCCTCCCCTTTTCTCTACACTTCTCCTTGCTGCAACCATATGAAGAAAGACGTGTTTGCTTCCCCTTCTGCCATGACTGTAAATTTCCTGAGGCCTCCCCAGCTATGCTGAACTGTGAGTCAATTAAACCTCTTTCCTTTATAAATGACCCAGTCTTGGATATGTCTTTATTAGCAGCGTGAGAATGAACTAATACAGTAGGGAACAGAAAAAGTACCTCTTCCCCTTATTCTAGGAACTTTCCAGTTTCACATCAAGATAAATCTAGCGCTCTTCACCTCTGAATGTGAATTTCTGTTCTCCTGTCATCTTGGGAGGTGTTAGTATTCAGTCTAGGGAAATTAACAAGTTCTGTAAGAATTAGCTCCTCTGCACACCAAAGTTACTCACATAAAAAGCCCTCAGACTCAGGTATTTAACTTTTGTTCACATCAGAGCTGAGGCTGCTGGGAAAAAAGCCCAAATCAAGGCCTTTTTTGTTTATTAAATTTTGATCAAGAGCCCTTTAATTCGGGATATGCGGCTTTCTCTTATGGCACATACTGTTGCACTTGAAGTGGTTAATTGAGAAAGCTCTGAGCTGCTGCAGCCCAGGAGAGAGTTAATAGTCTATCCAGGAGGTGCTTAGTCCTCATGTCTGCTTAAGGGAACCTCTGCTGAAAACTTCCTCTGAAGACCGAGGCTCTTGCCTGGATTCTTAGATCACTCACAGGCAGAAACTACTTGATAATTTGTGGGACCAGGTGAACAATAAAAATATGGTGCCCTTTATTCAAAAACTACTAAGACTTTCAAGATGGTGATAGCAGAGCATTAGCTAAGTTGGGGGCCTCTCCTAAGTGTGGGGCCCTGTGTGCCTGCACAAGTCACACACCCACGAAGCCAATCCTGCCCACAAGTAATCTTCAAATTCTACAGACTCAAACTAAATGCCAGTTTTTCCTTCCTTGAGCATATTTTTTTTTTCTCCTGTACTTATTACATTTAATGGGACACTATCTACCCAGGAAAAAAGCTTGGGATCATCCCAGATTTCTCTCTCCCCTTCACCCTACCATCCAATTAGTGATGATTCCTGTTAATTTCACCTGGAGAACTTCTTTTGTTATTTAACACATTTCTCACCTTAATCCCCATCCTGGTTCTGACTCTCATGATCTGTCAGTGGTATCTGCCTGCCTGAATCCCCCACAATGATCCCTCTAAACCACTCAGCTGACCACATCACTGCCCTGCTTACAAACCTTCCAAGACTCCTTGGAACCTATGAAATAAAACCCAGATGATTTAGCATGGAGCATGACACCCTCTGCAGCCTGGTTCATCCCCACCGCCTCATACCTGATGCTCCCACAACTCTAAGCGACACAGATTCTGGATGCTCTGTACTGAGTCATGCCACTGTGCCCTCTTATGCTTTCCCTCCTGTCAGAAATGCTGTGCCTGTCTCCCTCATGTTACCTCCTGGAAAGGCTGACTGATGGTCCCCCAAAAATCCAGGTCTCAATCTCTGGAATCTGTGAATGTTACCGTATATAGCAAAAGAGACTTTGCAGCTGTGAAGTGCTTGAAATGGGGAGATGATCCTGGATTACCTGGGTGGACACTAAATACAAGCAGAAGTGTTCTTATGAGAGGGAGACAGAACTCAGACTCCACAGAAGAGGAGAAGATGATGTGGAGCTGGAACAGAGGGAGATTTGCAGATGCTGGCCTTGGAGATGGAGGAAGGGGCCATCAGCCAAGGAGTGCAGCTCTAGAAGCTGGAAAAGGCAAGAAATGCATTCTCCCCTAAAGCCTCCAGGGATGCACAGCCTTGCCAACACTTTGGTTTTAGCCAGTGGACCCATTTAGGCTCTTGACTTGCAGAACTGTAAGAAAATAAATGTGTGTTGCTTTAAGCTACCAAATTTGTGATTCTTTGTATGACACATAGGGAACTAATATACCTCCCTTCCTTCCCCAGTACAACCAGCTATGACCCTTCCTCTGTGCATACATAGCATCAACAGCATACTTTCACCATATTGTACTAATTGCACATTTCTTATTTCCTCATTAGGTCATATGCGCCTGAAGGCAGGGACCATGTCTTGTTCCTTTTTCTTTTTTTTTTTTTTTGTGACAGAGTTTTGCTTTTGTTGCCCAGGCCGGAGTGCAATGGTGTGATCTTGGCTCACCGCAACCTCTGCCTCCCGGGTTCAAGCGATTCTCCTGTCTCAGCCTCCCGAGTAGCTGGGATTACAGGCATGCGCCACCACACCTGGCTAATTTTGTATTTTTTTAGTAGAGATGGGGTTTCTCCATGTTGGTCAGGCTGGTCTCGAACTCCTGACCTCAGGTGATCCACCCGCCTCGACCTCCCAAAGTGCTGGGATTATAGGCGTGAGCCACCGCACCCGGCCCTGTTCCTCTTTATCTCCCTGGCACCTAGCCAGATGTAACAAGCACCTCATAAATATTTTGCAAGTGAAACTGCCCCACAGTGTGAAAGGCAGGGCAAGAGGCATGTTAATGGGGAGCAATCTACTTTCAGTTCAAGAAGTTACCCTTTCTATGATCATAATGTTCATTGCTCCAGGATGAGCAAAACCCATGAGAGCAGAACAAGTTGTACAGAGCACAGAGCCCTCAAATTGCAACCGGCCGGTGTGTAGCCCTCTCTGATGGAAAGAACAAACTGTCCCAGAGTAAGAGGACTATTGAAATGCATTTCGGAAAGTCATTTTATAGAGAGCAATATGCTTGGGGTAGCATTGGGATATCACTGATACAGTCGATGTCAACTGTGATTTTTGGGAAATTGATAGACACACGCTGAAATTTTTGTGCAAATAGTAGTTAGGACTTCGATGCAAGGCAGCGACACCTCCGCACAGATGCAATAAGGAGCAGGCAGACAAGTATCAGCAGAGCTTGGAAAGAGCAGGGAAAGGATTTTGGTTGAGAAGAAAACTGTTCTCTTAGCCATAATCACTAAGCGTTTCCAGCTGCTTTCTAGGCCCCACTGCCTGCTAGCTGTAGTTAGATATGTGAACTTCTGCTTGCTTCCTCTATAGTAAAAACTCTATTAATTGTAATTATGTAATGTGATGTAGTGATCGGTTGTGATCTACTCATCTTTTGTTGCCTTTGCAAACTTCAGCATTAATGAACACCCTGAGATGTTACTCTAGAAGCATCTGACTTGGAGGATCCTGATTAACGGTTGCCATCAGGAATCTGGTGATCACAGTGAGTAAAATGAAGTAAGGAACTCCACTTCCAGAAAGCTGCTTTGACAAGGCTCCCCTCTGCCTGGGTGGGCCACACATCACCGATGTATAACCCAGAAGAGCTGGATAATTCTCATCTGTGACCTGACCCACATCATCATTTACTCTGTTCAAAGACAAACATGGAAATGATGGAAAAATTTGGAACCTCCTAAAATTGCCCAGACTGTGAAAACTCTGGTCTTAAAAACATGAAAGAAAAAAGCAACATGAATCAGCAAAGCTGATTGCCTTGTCGTGGCAATAAACAGCCCCACAAATTGGTGTCTGTAAAACTGGTGTTGGTTCCTCCTCTCGTCATGTGGCCCAGCCTTGCCTGCCATCCACCACTTCTCTGGTTAACACCAAATCCAAGCGTACCCACTCCAGGAAGTTTACTCCCATCATGTCAGTTAAGGCCATAAAAATCAATTGCAGAAGCAAGGCTGAGAGGAATGCCTCTTGCTGCACAGATTTTTAAAAGTAATTATTCAAATAGATGTGGAAAACCAGTGATAAAAGAAAAACTTTAGCTGAATTAAATTTAAAGCAGTTTAATTGAGCAATGAATGAGTCATGAATCGGGCAGCCCCCAGAATCACAGCAGATTCACAGAGACTCCAGCGCAGCCACATAGTGGAAGAAGATTTATGGACAAAAAAAGGGAAAGGACGTATAGAAATTGGCAGTGAGGTACAGAAACAGCTGGATTGGTTACAGGTTGGCATTTGCCTTATTTGAACACAGTCTGAACACTTAGCAGTGTATGAGTAGTTGAAGTGCGGCCACTGGGATGGGCCAAGACTCAGTTATTGTTAAGGTGCACACGCCTAAGTTAGGTTTTCATTCTTGTCTGATTATTAAGCTAGGTTACAGTTCATCCACAAGGACTCAAATATAGAAGTACAGAGTCCTGGCCAGGCGCGGTGACTCACACCTGTAATCCCGCACTTTGGTAGGGCGAGGCGGGTGGATCACCTAAGGTCAGGAGTTCAAGACCAGCCTGACCAACATGGTGAAACCCAGTCTCTACTAAATACAAAAAATTAGCCAGTCATGGTGGCTCATGCTTGTAATCCCATTGGGAGGCTGAGGCAGGAGAATCACTTGAACCCGGGAGACAGAGGTTGCAGTGAGCCAAGATCACGCCATTGCACTCCAGCCTAGGCAACAAGAGCGAAACCGTCTCAAAAAAAAAAAAAAAAAATGGAGAAATACAGAGTCCTTCTCAGGCCATATTTGGCTTGCTTTAACACCAGGAAGAGAATGATGCTAATCATTTCATTAAGAGTTCATGTTTCCTCAGACAACCTACAGAATGGGAGAAAATATTCACAAACTACAGATTCAACGAAGGTCTGGTATCCAGAATCTATAAGGCCCTTCGGTAGTTTAACAAGCAAAAAACAACCCCATTAAAAAGTGGGCAGGCCAGGCACAGTAACTCATGCCTGTAACCCAGCACTTTGGGAGGCTGAGGCAGGATGATTGCTTGACCCAGAAGTTTGAGATCAACCTGGGAAATATAGGGAGACTCCACTCTTACAAAAAAAAATTAAAAATTAGCCAGATATATAGCCACCTATAGTTCCAGCTACTTAGGAGGCTGAGATGGGAAAATTGCTTGAGCCTGGGAGGTCGAAGCTATGGTGAGCCATGATCATGCCACTGCACTCCAGCCTGGGCAACAGAGTGAGACCTTGCCTCAAAAAAAAAGTGGGTGAAAGACATGAAAAGACACTCTCAAAATAAGACAAAGAAGCAGCCAACAAACATGAAAAAATATTCAACATCACTAATCATCAGAGAAATGCAAGTCAAAACCACTATGAAATACCATCTCATACCAGTCAAAATGGCTATCAGAATGGCTGTTACTAAAAAGTCAAAAAATTACAGATTTTTGTGAGGATACAGAGAAAATGGAACGCATATACACTGTTGGTGGGAATGTAAATTAGTTCAGCTCCTGTGAAAAGCATTTTGGAGATTTCTCAAAGAACTAAGAACTACCATTCTATCCAGCAATCCCATTACTGGGTATATACTCCTCCCCAAAATAAATTGTCCTACCATAAAGACACATGCATTTGTACATTCATTGCAGCACTATTCACAACAGCAAAGACATAGAATCAACCTAGGTGCCCATTAATGGTGGTCTGGATAAAGAAAATGTGGTACATATACACCATGGAATACTATGCAGCCATAAAAAAGAGCGAGACCATGTCCTTTGCAGAAACATAGATACAGCTGGAGGCCGTTATCCGAAGTGAATTAATGCAGGAACAGAAAACCAGATACTACACGTTCTCACTTATAAGTGTGAGCTAAACATTGGGTACACATGGACGTACAGACGGCAATGATAGATACTGAGATCCAATAGAGCAGGAATGGGGAGAAAGGGTACAAACGCTGAAAAACTACCTATTGTGTATTATGCTTACTACCTGGGTGACTGGATCAGTCACACCCCAACTCTCAGCATCACACAATATACGCAGGTAACACATCTGCACATGTACCTCCTGAATCTAAAATAAAAGTGGAAAAAAAATGTTTTTTGAGACAGAGTCTCGCTCTGTCGGCCAGGCTGGAGCGCAGTGGTGTGATCTCAGCTCACTGCAACCTCTGCCTCCCGGATTCAAGTGATTCTCCTGCCTCAGCCTCCCAAGTAGCTGGGATTACAGGCGCCCATCACCACGCCTGGCTAAGTTTTTGTATTTTTAGTAGAGATGGCGTTTCACTGTGTTAGCCAGAATGGTCTTGATCTCCTGATGTCATGATCTGCCCACCTCGGCCTCCCAAAGTGCTGGGATTACAGGTGTGAGCCACTGCGCCCGGCCAAAAGTTGAAGTTTTTTAAAAAAGACTTCACATTCCCAAGTAGGGAACATGACTTGATGAGCTCTCTAAAGTGCCTAACACGCCATAGGCACTCAACAAAAATCTAATTAAAATATCTAGACATTGAAGGGAAAATTCATTTTTTTTTAGACATAAGAGAACACAGCTGTGTTTGTGGTCTGTTGACTGTCTCAAGTTATTTTGAAAGCATTTTGTTTTGGTAACAAACTTGGCAGGTTCTCTTTCCCCTCGTCTTTATATCCATGTGTATTTAAAGGAGAATTTAATCCATATGTTCCTGATTCAATTATACTTGACTCATCCCAGTATTGCTTTGTGCGAGTGATTTGAACGCCAAGAATTTTGCAAATTTCCTAACAAACTCTGAAGTTTTGTTTTTTTGTTTTGTTTTCCAAGAACTAAGAAATTTGGTTTTGTTCACTGAACATTCTGAGAGTTGTTTTAAGGAAGCACGTAGACTTTCACTTATCACTGTGTTAGTATTTAGTTACAACTTGGGATGATGAGTTGTGAAAATGATGACATGAATATAGCTGCATTAAATGTTGATTATTGGCTGGGTGTGGTGGCTCATGCCTGTAATCCCAGCACTTTGGGAGGCCAAGTCAAGTGGATCACCTGAGGCCGGGAGTTTGAGACTAGCCTGGCAAACAAGATGAAACCCCGTCTCTACTAAAAATTCAAAAAATTAGCCAGGCATGGTGGCACACGCCTGTAGTCCCAGCTACTCGAGAAGCTGAGGCAGGAGAATCGCTGGAACCTGGGAGGTGGAGGTTGCAGTGAGCTGAGATCGTGCCACTGAACTCCAGCCTGGGTGACAGAACGCGACAATGTCTCAGAAAAAAAAAAAATGTTGGTTATTTAGTATTCCTATTACATAACTGTTCAAAATGAAATTGACCCCGAAATTAGATCATCGTGGGAATTATTAAACTCTTACAAGCTCTCAACTTGGTTCAAATCAATTGAAAATATCGAGCATCAATCAAGTGCAAGTCACACTGCTCTCATAGCAGACGAATTCTGGAATGTCTGCCTCATTCCCAAATTAAATGCCCTCTGCCACTCCACCTACCCCCCACAATACACAAGGGGGCTTCTGGCATCCTGGTTGATTTTTTGACTAAGTGGGCACTTAACTCAAATGAGGCTTGCCAGAATCACCTGTTGATAATTTAAATTGGGAAAATAGAGAAAGAGAGAGAGGCAGGGAAGGAGAAGTAGTGGAGGAGAAGAAGGAAAAGAAGGAAGAGGAGGAGGAGAAGACAGTGGAAGATAAAAAGAAAAAGAGATTAGTTTGTTTATGTGACTTGTAGCTGTACCATATAAATGTGAGAGCAAAGAGTGGGCATTTTCTGCCATAAAGTGTGTGGCCAGAGTAAGTCATAAGCCAGCACGCAAAGACAGAATGAACCAGAAAAATCAATGCATATATTTAATGCATTATTTTTCTCCAAAATCTGTTATAATCAATGCACTTTAGAATGTGAGAAATTCAACTGGACGTGGTGGCTCACACCTGTAATCCCAGCACTTTGGGAGGTGGAGGTGGGCAGATCACTTGAGGTCAGGAGTTCGAGACCAGCCTGGCCAACATGGTGAAACCCTGTCTTTACTAAAAATACAAAAGTTAGCCAAGCGTGTTGGTGCACACCTATAACCCCAGGTACTTAGGAGGCTGAAACAGGAGAATCACTTGAACCCAGGAGGCAGAGGTTGCAGTGAGCCGAGATTGGGCCACTGTACTCCAGCCTGGGTGACAGAACAAGACTCAAGAACAAAACAAGAAACAAAAAACAACAACAACAAAAAATCCAACAACCCCCCAAAACAAAAGAAAATGTTGCCAGGTGTTACCAGTATTTAACACTGAGAGTTAAAGTTATAAGTTATTTTTACTTCTATTATTATTATTATTTTGTTAGTAGGGTTGGGGTCTTGCTATGTTGCCCAGGCTGATCTTGGACTCCTGGCCTCAAGCAACCCTCTCACCTCGACCACCCAAAGTGCTGGGATTACAGGCGTGAGCCACTACACCCGGCCTTTTTACTTTCTTATTTAGACTTTTTCTATACTTGGTGAATTTTTTTACAATTAGAAAATCACTTGAGTTGTTTCCTTCCGAGCAAAGGAAAAGGATCTATAAATGTGAGCATAAAAAATGTGAACAAATGACTTCTCTATGGGTCACAGGGTGAATTAAATAGGGTTTACATTTTCCCAGAAATTAAAAAAAGATTCGTCAGACTATGATTTTTTAATGAAAAATTTTAATATTATATAACTTTCCCTTTACACCAAGTTAAAAAAAAAAGTCGTTATGTTGAACAAGCAAGATTCCTGGGGTGTGATCTGCAAACACTTTCATTCTCCCATGCCCCACACCATCTGCTCATGCCCATTCTGTGGGGGTAATTTGTGGGTTCTTCAGAGCCCTCTCTCACAAGCTGTTCTCTAGATTCATGCAGAATTGCATCTTATGTCTCTGATTCTGGGAGGACAGATTTAGCCTCCCTCTGATAAGATCTCCTGGCCCCAAAGGATTTAAGAAAACCCCAGGTGGGCTCTGCGTGGCCACATCTGGCCCATAGAATACGCTCCCCTTAGATCTGCCACTAGAGGGCGCACAGGCACTTCCCAAACTTACCTCTTCCCCTGCCAAGGATTTTCAGCTACGCTGTTGCCTGTAGATTACTTTTGAAGCACACATCAAGCTCCATCTGTATGAGACAGTTGTCAAGCTTCCCATGTGGTGGAGAGACGTTCACAGCACATCCGTCATACCCTCCAGAGACACCTTGTTTAATCTCTACCTGCAAGTATTTCATAACTTCCAGGTGGGATCTCGGTAAAGGGTAACAAAACTGTTTTTAAATATCTGCTTTGCAAGTTCTGACTGTGTGTCCTGGCACCTCACTTTGCAAAATGGAAGTAGCTAACATCATCATCTTGGGGGCTCTGTAGAAACAGATTGGTAATGTCTGATCTTAGCATCCTGGCCAGGTGCCGTGGCTCACGTCTGTAATCCCAGCACTTTGGGAAGTGAAGGCGGGTGGATCACTTGAGGTCAGGAGTTCGAGACCAGCCTAGCCAACATGGTGAAACCCCATCTCTACTAAAAATACACAAAAAATTAGCCAGGCGTGGTAGCTCACACCTGTAATTTTAGGCACTTGGGAGGCTGAGGCAGGAGAATCACTTGAACCTGGGAGGCGGAGGTTGAAGTGAGCTGAGATCACTCCACTGCTTTCCAGCCTGGGTAACAGAATAAGACTCCATCTCAGGAAACAAACGACGACAAAAACAAATAATAAAACCATCCTGTTATACGAAGACTCACATACATAGAATCCTATTAGTGTTTTGTCATTTTATTTCTGGAAAGAAGAAGGGGAAGGAAAGATAGAGAACAGATGGAACTTTAAATTTTCCTGAGCATCTATTACTAGAAATTTTCCATCAATTTCTAATTTAACTTTTTTTTTTTAAACGGAATGTTCTGTTTTCTCAGATGCCTTTTCTGTGTCAATGGAGATTATGACTTTGTTCCTAATCTATTAATAAGGTAGGTTATATTAAACAATGATAGCTGCTATGCCAGGCTCTTTGAAATATACATATTTGGGATGATATTATCCTAGAGTTTACAAATGGGAAAACTGAAGCTCATGAAAGTGAAGTGAAGCAGCCATCACAAGGTTAATGAGAATTACTAGCCAGCTCTAGGCAGAATTATAGTTAGGCCTTGGCCAGGGTGTTCTGATACACTTCAAACCACCTCCCTGCAGCTGCTAACTATCCAAGAGGCATGTAGCATGCTGACCACCTGCTCCCCATTGTCCCTATAGGTAGAATCTTTGGCACTGGACCTTTATTTATTTATTTATTTATATGTTTTTTAGAGACAAGGTCACACTCAGTCATCTAGGGTGAAGTGCAGTGGTGCAATCGTAGCTCACTGCTGCCTCTAACTCCTGGATTCAAGTGATCCTCCTGCCTCAGTCTCCTGAGTAGCTACTACTACAGGTGTGTGCCACCATGCCCAGCTAATTATTATTATTATTTTTTTTTTGTAGAGGTGGGATCTCCCTACATTGCCCAGGCTGGTCTTGTACTTCTGGCCTTAAGCAGTCCTCCTGCCTTGGCCTCCCTAAGTGCTGGGATTACAGGTGTGATCCACCACTCCTGGCTGCTACTGGACCTTTTTACCTAAGAATTGCTTAAGATATTTTTTCTGATCCTGAATTCCAGCAAAATAGCTGACACCATCCAGTTTGAAGACCCCCATCAAGTAGCCACCTCAGCACGGGGATGCAGTTTCTTCATCTCCCTGCCCCGTGACTCCATCCGTCACTTCTCAACCAATGAGCAACTGCCATGCTTTAGCCCATCACCTGTCTAGACTCCTTACAAACCCCATACCCAAACCTTGTGGGGAGGTGGATTTGAGGTTTGCTCCCATCCTGTCATCCAGCGGGGCTATGATTATTATTATTAAACTCTTTCTCTGCTGTGACCCCTGGAGTCTTGGTATATTGGTTCACTTTGCATTGGGCAACAAACCTATGACAGTTGTACAAGCTTACACAGCTCAGGAGTGATGGGTGGTCCTGGTCCCACTGACTGGAAATGCCACGATTTTTCTACTTTAACTATACTTCCTTTCATGACTATTTCATGGTCAATTACTAATCTACATGGTAAATCAATGGCTTTTTAAAACAAATAAAACAATTGACCAGAGTATTATTTTTAAAAGATTTCTAAAAGCACACATTTTAAAGAGGAAATGCTAGATAAGCATCAATCCCTTTTTTAGTTCTGTTGTCAGAGGCCTGTATCTAGGCTACTTCTATAAGGCAAAGTTCTTCAAAGACCAACTGTTGCAGAATCACCTATGGCAGGAGGTCCCTAACCTTTCTGGTACTAGGGACCAGTTTTGTGGAAGACAATTTTTCCATGGACTGGAGGCTGGGGATGGTTTGGGATGATTCAAGCACATTATATTTATTATGTACTTTATTTCTATTATTATTATATTGTAATATATAAGAAATAATTATATGACTCACCGTAATGTAGAATCAGTGAGAGCCCTGAGCTTACTTTTCAGCAACTAGATGGTCCCATCTCGGGGTGATGAAGGATAGTGACAGATCATCAGGCATTAGATTCTCATAAGGAGTGCACAACCTGGATCACTAGCACACGCAGCTCGCAATGAGTTTTGTGCTCCTATGAGAATCTAATGCTGCTGCCAATGATCTGACAGGAGGTGGAGCTAAGACGGTAATATGAGCAATGAGGAGCAGCTGTAAATACAGATGAAGCTTCACTTGCTCACTCACCACTCACCTCCTCCTCTGTGGCCCAGTTCCTGACAGGCCATGGACTGGTACCCATCCATGGCTCAGGGGTTGGGGACCCGTGACCTAGGGGGTTTGTTACAAATGTAGATTCTGAACTGACCCCTTTATTAGTTTCCCTTTGCTGCTGTAATGAAGAAGGCTTAGTGGCTTAAAACAACAGCAGTTCATTACCTTCCAATTCCAGAAGTCAGAAGTCTAAAATGGGTCAGGGGTTCTGCTTTCCTGATGGTTTAGAGGAGAATCTGTTTCCTTGCCTTTCCAGCTCATAAAGGCTGCCGGCATTCCTTTGCTGGAGGTTGCATCTCTCTGGTCTCTGCTTCCATCCTCATGCCCACATCTCTTTCTCTGCTCTGACCTTCCTGCCTCCCTCGTTCACCTATAAAGACCCTTGTGATAACATTGGTCCCACCCAGTTAATGCATGTGAATATTTTCATCTCAACATCCTTTTTTTTTTTTTTTTTTTTTTCACCCAGGCTAGAGTGCAATGGCATGATTTCAGCTCACTGCAACCTCCACCTCCCAGGTTCAAGCGATTCTCCTGCCTCAGCCTCCCAAGTAGCTGGGACTACAAGTCCCTGCCACTATGCTCAGCTAATTTTTGTATTTTTAGTAGAGACAGGGTTTCACCATGTTGGCCAGGCTGGTTTCAAGCTCCTGACTTCAGGTGATCCACCCACCTCGGCCTCCCAAAGTGCTGAGATCACAGGTGTGAGCCACAGTGCCCAGCCTCATCTCAACATCCTTAATGTAATCACATCTGCAAAGTCCCTTTTACCATATAAGAAAATATATTCATGTATTTTGTGGATGAACATCTGTGAGGGGCCATTATTGCACCTGCTATGATGCCCTAGGGATTTCTTTTCAGAAATTCTGTGTGGGGCCCAGGAATCTTCATATATGACGAAGCCCCTGCTGGTTGTTGCACTAAAAATTTGGGGATCATTACTATAAATAATTATATGCTTTTTAAAAAAAAGATGAGCATCCTAGGAGATTTAATAAGTGCATCAACAACTTATTTTAAACCTAAATTTGTTTTATCAAAATCAATGATTACAAGGATTTAAAGTATGCCTTTTGCTCAAATCCAGTGTTCTAATGTCACAGTATTTAATTGTATTTATTTATTTATTTTTATTTTTATTTTGAGACAGAGTCTTGCTCTGTCACCCAGGCTGGAGTGCAGTGGCACAATCTTGGCTCACCGCAACCTCTGCCTCAGGGGTTCAAACAATTCTCCTGCCTCAGCCTCCGAAGTAGCTGGGATTACAGGTGTGCGCCACCATGCTTGGCTAATTTTTGTATTTTTCGTAGAGATGAGGGTTCACCATGTTGGTCAGGCTGGTCTCGAACTCCTGACCTCAAGTGATCAACCCACCTCTGCCTCCCAAAGTGTTGGGATTACAGCACCTGGCCATTGATTGTATTTTAAAATCTCTTATTGTGCTTTTGATGTCTTAAGCAGTCTAGGTTTCCAGTATTTATTTTATTTGCTCCTTACCAATATTTTCATAATAAGGGACACCAAAACCCATCATAAGGAATATCAAGCCAGTTCTGAGCATTGAAGCCAGGACCCCTTACTAAGATTTCACATAATTTAATTATTTATAGTATTGTACCTAAGAGCATCAACTTTATAGCCAAATTGCCTTGGTTCAAATTCCATATCTGCCATTACTAGCTGTATAGCCTTGGGTAAGTTACACAACCTCTCTGTGTCTAGGGTTCTTCACCTATTAAATGAGGGTGACAACAGTCCCTGTCTCATAAGATTGTTGTGAGGATTGAAGAAGTTAATACATGGCAAATGCTTAGACTAAGCACCTACTACATGGTATACATGTAATAAACACTGTTGTTAATGTTATTATTATTATTATTATTATTATTATTTTTTTTTTGAGATGGAGCGTCTGTCTTGTTGCCCAGGCTGGAGTACAATGGCAAGATCTTGGCTCACTGCAACCTCCGCCTCCTGGGTTGAAGCAATTCTCCTGCCTCAGCCTCCTGAGTAGCTGGGATTACAGGCATGTGCCACCATGCCCCGCTAATTTTGTATTTTTAGTAGCCGTGGGGTTTCTCCATGTTGGTCAGGCTGGTCTCGAACTCCCGACCTCAGGTGATCCGCCTGCCTCAGCCTCCCAAAGTGCTGGGATTACAGGTGTGAGCCACTGAGCCCGACATTATTATTCTTTAATAATGTGGTTCACCATCTTTTCATCTCTTTGTGTAGTAATACACCCCCAAGTGTTTGTCTTCATTCATTGTCGTGTAATTGTCAAGGAGAGATCATAAATAGCACATGTAGCCTGTGGTTGTTGAGGGGACTTCTTTAGGTGCACTGTGGGGCTTTATTTGTGTGACATGGCACAGTCCTCTGTGGAATGAATTAAGCAGTCCTAAAGACTGGGGAGACATAAAGTGTGGTCCTGTTGGGAAGGACTATCCTGCTGAAAGGAGGAATGGCATGGCGTGAGATGTAAGTCGCTCTCAATTGAAGGTCAGATGTCCTTATGTCCCATCAGCGGGAGGGCCAGAAGGACTCTCAAGGAGAGAGTTGTATCTGTCAAGGTCCTAGCAGGAAAGAGATGGCACATTCAAACTGGGATAATTTTAGGAGCATTTTATAAAGGGACAAAGATGGTGAGGAATAGGGAATCCCGGGACCTGTAACAACAGAGGTACATTACTGTCCTTAAGCCTGGAAGGGGAAGGGGAGGGTGGAGAACTAGAGACAGCCTTGTAGAGGGGGCTGTGGGGCAGGATGGGCTGCAACCCTGAGAGCAACCTTCAGGGAGGGGATAAAATTACTTTTTAAAAATAATCCTCCCCGGGCCGGGCGCGGTGGCTCACGCCGGTAATCCCAGCACTTTGGGACGTGGAGGCTGGTGGATCACGAGGTCAGGAGATCGAGACCATCTTGGCTAACACAGTGAAACCCCGTCTCTACTAAAAATACAAAACATTAGCTGGGCGTGGTGGCGGGCACCTGTAGTCCCAGCTACTCGGGAGGCTGAGGCAGGAGAATGGCGTTAACCTGGGAGGTGGAGCTTGCAGTGAGCCAAGATCAGGCCACTGCACTCCAGCCTAGGCGACAGAGCGAGACTCTATCTAAAAAAAAAAAAAAAAAAAAAAAAAAAAAAAAAAAAAGATCCTGCCCTCCCCTCCCCTTTTCTTCCCTTCCCTTCCTCTCCCTTCCCTTCCTCCTTCCCCTCCCTTCCCTTCCCCCTTCCCCTCCCCTTCCCTTCCCTTTCCCCTTCCACCTTCCCCTCCCTTCCCCTTTCTTCCCCTTCCCTCCTCTCCCACCCCTCTTTCTCTCTCTTCCTTTGTTTCATTTGTTCTTCTAACAGAGTCTTACTCTGTCACCCAGGCTGGAGTGCAGTGGTGCAATCATGGGTCACTGCAGACTCAACTGCAGTATCAAGCCATCCTCCCACCTCAGGCTCCCAAGTAGCTAGGACTACAGGTGCGTGCCACCATGCCCAGCTAATTTATTTTTAATTATTTGTACAGAGTCTCCGTATGTTGCCCAGACTGGTCTTGAACTCCTGGGCTCAAGCAGTCATCCTACCTCAGCCTCCCAAAGTGCTGGGAATGCAGGCATGAGCCACTGTGCTCCGATGGGGAATAAGAACTCTGACCTCAGTCTGCTCCCACTGATCTGTTGGGGTCTTCATTGGCCTAACCCAGCCAGATGCTAAAGGACAACTGTGTAGTGCCCACAGAGAGCCTCCTGTGGACTGAGAGAGCTCATAAGGGTGGCAAATGGGTCTGGAGGGGCAAATGAAAGATCTCTAGGATGAGAGGCATTTTCACTCATTGAAAAAGGTGTCTCTGCCCTGCACCAAGTGAACTTATGTTTCCTAAATTGGTAGTACAGGAATGTTAATCCTAGAATGTCCAGCCAGGAGCACAAGGCAGCCGAGACATCCCAGCAGCCCAGTAGACCAGGTCAGCACATTGCTTGAGAAGCGCAGAAAAAGAGCCAAGTAAGCCCTGTGGAGATCACTGGCAGGGCTTGTGCGAGCTCGCTGAGCTTAAGGGAGAGTCGGTGCCCATCCCTAAGGCAGGGCAGGGTGTGTCCTGAGACTTTTGTCAGGGAGCCACACGCAGTATTTCATCACTGTTGTGGAAAGACCTTTGCTGACAAACTAGAGTGCTTGGAAGTAAAGAAGCATTCAAATGCTCCCTGGAGAGTGTTTTATAGGTCTCCAAGCAGATGTGGGGGCCTAGGACACAATCCTCGGTGCTATGAGCGCACCTGGGCCAGGGCTACACTTGGTTATTGCATCCTATCCAGATGTTTAGGATGCCCTGAAGAAAGAAACATTATTCTCAGGAGCTTTAAGATTCTAGAAATGCAGTCAGAGAGCAAACAAACAAAAATAGCAAGAAAGAAAATAAAAAAAATTTAACCTGTAAAAAGGACGGAGCATTTTGGGAATTGAAGTGGAACATGAAATTGTCAATAGCATGATACTGGAGAACAGAAATGTCAGGAGATAAAAGAATACTCAATGACAGGAAACACTTTTAACTTTGCCTCCTACCTCTTCAATCTGCTTTCTACCCAGCAGTGAGAGTAGCTTTTCAAAAGGATATAAATCGTAACGTGTTACTCCTCTCCTTAGAACCTCTCAGTAGCTCTTCAGTGAGCTTTGAACAAAACCCTAACTCCTCACTCTGCTGAGAATCCCTGGATGATCTCTCCATGCTAACTGCTTCTGCCTGCGTATCTCCCACATGCTCACCTTAGTTCGCTGCATTCTGTCACTGTTCACTGTCCTTTCCCTAAAGCTGTGTGCTCTTGATAACTTCAAAATTGCTGCACTTGAGTTACTGGAAAGGGGCCCTGATCCAGACCCCATGAAGAGGGTTCTTGGATCTCACACAGTGAAGAACTGGAGGGGAATCCTTGCAGTAAACTGAAAGCAAGTTTATTAAGAAAGTAAAGAAATAAAGAATGGCTACTCCAAAGGCAGAGCAGCAGCTTGGGCTTGATTATGTGCTAAACAAGGAGTGAATTATTTATGAGTTTTCTGGGAAAGGGGTGGGCAATTCCAAGAATTGAGGGCTCCTCCCCTTTTTAAACCATATAGAGTAACTTCCTCACATTGCCACGGCATCTATAAACTGTCTTGGCACTGGTGGGAGTGTCTTTTAGCATGCTAATGCAATATAATTAGTGTATAATGAGCAGTGAGGATGCCCAGGTGTCACTTTTGTTACCATCTTGGTTTTGGTGGGTTTTGGTTGGCTTCTTTACTACAACCTGTTTTATCAACAAGGTCTTTGTGACCTGTATCTTGTGCCAACGTCCTATCTCTTCCAGTGACTTAGAATGCCTAACTTCTTGGGAATGCAGCCCAGTAGGTCTCAGGATTATTTCACCCAGCCCCTATTCAAAATGGAGTCTCTCTGGTTCAAGCGCTTTTGACGCTTGTGCTTCCTTCTGCCCGGGCTGCTGAATCATTTCCTTCACCAGTTCTCAATGAGCTGAAGGCCTTCCCGATCACTTTCTCTAAAGCAGACTGTCCTCTATCTCTGCACCCTGTTTGTTTCCTTCATAAGACTCATTTCAATGTATAGTTTTTATTTGCTTCTGTAAACTAATAATAAAATCCTAAGCCCCCCAGCCAACTTGGCCAAACGGACCCCAGAGAAACTTGAAAAACTCTTTTCTGGGCCATGATGGGAAGGGAGGTCCCACATGTTTTGTGATACCCACTCCCTTTTGGAGTTTAGGCGCAACTGACCAGCGTTAATGTTAAAATAGGGATTATAAGACTGACAGAGTGGACTCTTTGTGGCAATATGATACCAAGTTATAAACAAGACCTAAGCGCATGCAAGGCAAGGGTTAAGTCATGCCCTACAAACCACAAAAGCTCATTAAATGTGTGTTTTTGTTTTCGTTTTTCACATTAGCCTGGTATAATGTGGCTTACTTTCCAGCCTGACTCTGGTATAGCATCACATGACAGGTAGCAGACCTCCTTATCTTAACTTGAAGTCAATAGAAGGGAATGCTAGGCATTGTCTAAAGACTTCAAGTCTTTAGACAAAGCTTAACTCTTTCAACCAATTGCCAACTAAAGAATCCCTAAAACTCATCTACAACTTGTAAGCCCCTCGCTTCGGGATGTCCTGCCTTTTTAGGCTGAACCAATGTATACCTTCCGTGTACTGATTTATGATTTTACCTGCAATTTCTGTCTCCTTGAAATGTGTAAAATCAAATTGTAATCTGACTGCCTCAGGTGCACTTTCTCAGGACCTCTGGGACTGTTGTCTCTGGGCCATGGTCACTCATATTAGCTCAGAATAACCCTCTTTAAAATATTTTACAGAGTTTGGTTTTGCAATTAACAGTTTTTAATTTGTTTATTGCCTGCCTTTTCCACAAGAGTACAAGCTCCATATGGTCACGGTTGAGTTCTACTGTAGAATCTGTATTCCCCATACCTGGCATGGGTGGGTGAATGGATGGATAGATGGATAGATGAATGGATGAATGGATGGATGGATGGATGAATAGATGGATAGATGATTGGATGGATGGATGGATGGAAAGATAGGTGGGTAGATGGATGAATATATGGATGGATGGATGGATACGTGGATGGATGGATGGATGGATGGATGGATGGATGGATAGGTGGATGGATGGATGGATGGATAGGTGGATGGATGGATGGATTGGTGGATGGATGAATAGGTGGATGGATGAGTGGATGGACAGGTGGATGGATGGATGGATACGTGGATGGATAGATGGATGGATGGCCAAGTTTTCCAAAACCTAGCCTTTGCTTTTTCTGCTAACTCTAAAAAACTATGTTATTTAACATATAATTTATTTGGATTTTGTTCTGCTAGCCACCACTAAACATTTCTTGACCCTTTACAACTGGAGAGAATCAAAGCAATGTGAGACAAAGCAGGAAGTAATTACACATGGAGGAGAGGTCACATTTATTCATTCCTGAATAATTACTCCAGAAATAACAACTCTTATTTGCTTTAGAATTGATAACTTGCCTCACGAAAACTAAAAAGATCAAAAGCCTAATTTCCTTGTAAGAGAGATTATAAGTGGCTTTCTGTGTTTGTGCGAGCACATGAGTGTGTATGTATATGTGTTTGTGTGCACGTATAGCTGCCATGTACCTAAATAACAGAAGGATTTTAGACTCAGAAATTTTGCCAGTGCTTTTGTATAAACAGAACTCTCCTTCTTTGCAAAAAGCTAAAAAAAATTCCAGGCAAATCTGGAAAATCTGTTTTTGTCTAAAACCTCTTAGAGCACTTTCTCAAGGATTTATGATGTCTGAGAAAGTTTATACTTCGAGACACTGAAAGCCAAGATGGACAAAAATTAAAAGAAGTCGTTGGAAAGAATTCTACCCTTATATACCATTCCACCTCTAAGTTTGTTATTTAATATGGGCATAGGAAAATATGTAAAGGAGAGAAACCTCTTTTTACCTGACTATAGAATTTACACCAAGACGGTCTTATAGAGAGGGGAAAATACTCTATGACAAAGCCACAGAACAGGAGCATGAAAAGGAACTCAATAGAGGTAGGACCAAAGAGAGCCCTGCTGGAAGACTGCATGCATTGTGGATAAGATCCTTGGTTTTGGATTTCTAAGCATCTGGGTTCAAGTCCAGGTGTTGTCACTCACCAACTATGGTAACTTATCCCTTATTCTCTCTGAATTTCAGTCTTCTGGCTTGTAAAATTGAAATGATAATAATACATTTTTTAATACTGCTATTATGATGATTAAATGAAAAACCAGTGTGCACAAAAACCTTGGCATAGTATACCTGCTAGGTAACCCTTAGTACACAGTAAGCACTCAATTAACCTTAGTCATAATTGTTTGTCAAACTCTGTCCTGTGCAATTGAATAATAATGTGAGCCACATATGTAATTTACAAATCTTCTAGAAGCCACATTAAAAAAAATTTTTAAATAGCCTAGAGTAGTGGCTCAAGTCTGTAATCCCAGCACTTTGGGAGGCGAGGCGGGTGGATAGCTTGAGCTCAGGAGTTGACACCAGCCTAGCCAACATGGCAAAAACCCCGTCTTCGCAAAAACAAAAACAAAAACTAGCTGAGCATGGTGGTGTGCACAAGTAGTGCCAGCTACTCGGGAGGCTGAGCGGGGAGGATCACATGAGCCCAGAAGGTTAAGGCTACAGTGAGCTGTGATCGTGCCACTGCACACCAGCGTGGGCAACAGAGCAAGACCCTGTCTTAAAAAAAAAATTAGATGAAATTATTTTTAAATAATATATTTATTTAATTCAACATATTCCAAATATTACGCTTCAATATATAATCAATATAAAAAGATATTTTATATATTTTTTAATGCTAAGACTTTGAAATCCACTAAGTGTTTTGTACTTACAGCACATCTCAATTGAGACTGGCCACTTTCCAAATGCGTAGTAGCCACCTGTGGCTAGTGGCTACTGTACTGGATAGCACAGGTCTAACATCTGTCTCTGATTCCCACAGAATGACCCTCTAACTGCACAAAGCTCCTTTCTGGCAGTCGCACAGATGGACTCAAGATGGAAAAGCTCTTCATGCCTTACAGCTAATCCTGTTTTACGGAAGAGCTGCAGATGAAACAATGTTGACTATAAGGGTGAAGTAATTTTCTACAGTTTGACTCATATTCCCATGTCCCACACCCCTTCTCTGGAAACTCTAACGTCAATGCTGTGAGACTAGAACTGGATTTGTTTGTTTTTCGAATTCTGTAAGTCTTAGAGGAATATGGTACCACTCAATAGTGTTAGAGTGTATTGTTGTTTACTTAAGAATCTTTCTAGACGGGCGGCGGCTCATGCCTATAATCCCAGCACTTTGGGAAGCTGAGGCAGGCAGATCACGTGAGGTCAGGAGTTCGAGACCAGCCTGGCCAACATGGTAAAACCCGTCTCTACTAAAAATACAAAAAAGTAGCTGGGTGTGATGGTGCGCACCTCTAATCCCAGCTACTCGGGAAGCTGAGGCGGGAGAACTGCTTGAACCCGGGAAGCGGAGGTTGCAGTGAGCGGAGATAGCGCCACTGCACTCCAGCCTGGGTAACAGAGCGAGACTCCGTATGAAAAAAAAAAAGAATCTTTCTAGATCTCGGAGGCTGAATTATACTGCCAGGACCAAGAAAAATGGCCTCCACGTTCCCTTTCTTCTAGTTTACCGTTGTCTCCTCTGGGAGATTACCCCTAAGAGAGAAAGGAGGAGAAAAAAGGTCCTGTGTTGGATCCTTTCTTTCCCATGCATATTGATGGCGTACCAGCAGGTGGCAGTGTAACACCTTGCATGATACATTTCAGGCCCATGTTTTTTGCTGAGAAAAGCAGTGGTCAACGTTTGGTCTTTGCTTGGAGTTTATGAGACAATTATAGGATTGTGGTGAAGACAGCGCAGTTAAGGCTGAGGTGGGTATTGCAATATAAATCTCTGTCTTCACTTTTAACATATTTCAAACTGTTTTTTGGATTGCTTTTTCACATTTAGTTTTTCAGCTCAAAAGAATCATAGAATTAAAAAAGACATGAAATAATGTACATTTCCAGTTATTATTAAATGTTCCTTACTTTTCTCCTCTTTCTTCCATGCCATTAGCTCTCTGACAAGCATAACTTATGTAGTTGAGTGTTACTGAGGAACACTTGGTTTGCAAAATATGAAACTTTTGTTGAGCAACATTTATGACAGGCAAGGTTTAGAATTTCATGCTATAAGCCTATGGCTTCTTCATTTTCCATAATTAAATAACTTCTGAGAATGTGACTTCTCAGAAGGATGCATGAGAATTAAAACCAGCAGCTCTCAAAGATCAGATATCCACAGTTAAGAAAAACCCTTGAAATAAACACTTACATGGGTCAGTTTTTCCTTCTGACAAACATTGGCTTATTTCAACCTAATAGAATAATTAGATAATATCTAGCTTATTATAGGATTGTAATAGATTATTATTTTTGGCAAAACGACATCAGATAATATACACATGCTTCTTTAAGAGTTTTTAAAATAAAAAAATTGTAGAAATTAGTAAGTAAAAACTAGGCGCTTTCAATACAAATGTCAAAAAATGAAGGATTCTGATTTGTATTTGTTAGAGTCACTCATTAACGTCTCATGTATTTAATACATTAAATATTTGCTGGGTGTTTATTCTGGGATGAGCATGAGGGGACGTTGGTCTTTTTCCTGTCTCTGGACTGGGCTTTACACCATCGATTCCCCTTGTTCTCAGGCGTTCAGACTCAGTTTGGAAATACACAAGAGCTTTCTTGGGTCTTCAGTTTACAAACGGCTGACTTCTTAGCCTCTATAAGATCATGAGCCAATTCCTCATAATAAATCTCCTTCTTTCTGTCTCTGCCTATATCTATCTACGATTGGCTCTATTTCTCTGGAGAACCCTAATACAACCAGACACAAAAGGACAAATATTGTATGATTCTACTTATATGAGGTACTTAAGAGTAGGCAAATTCATAGAAACAAAAAGTAGACTAAAGGCTAGGCATGGTGGCTCATGCCTGTAATCCCAGCACTTTGGGAGGCTGAGTTGGGCAGATTGCTTGGGCTAATGAGTCTGAGACCAGCCTGGACAACATAGTGAAACACCATCTCTATGAAAAATACAAAAATGAGCTGGATGTGTTGGTGTGCGCCTGTAGTCCCAGCTACTTGGGAGGTTGAGGTGGGAGGATCACTCGAGCCCGGGAGGCAGAGGTTGCAGTGAGCTGAGATCACGCCACTGCACTTCAACCTGCGGGACAGAGGAGACCCTGTCTAAAAAAAAAAAAAAAAAAACCAGCAGATTAAAGGTTATAGCGGCTGTGGGGAGAGGAAATGGAGAGCTATTGTTTAATGTGTACAGAGTTTCTGTTTGGGATGATGAAAGAGTTCTGGAAATGAATATGGTGAAGGTTGGTTGTGTAACACTGTGAAGGTACTTAATGCCACTGAGTTATATACTTCAAAATGATTAATTTTTCTTTTTTTCTTTTCCTTTTTTTTTGAGAAAGGATCTCACTCTGCCCAGGCTAGAGTGCAGTGGCGTGATCATAGCTCACTGCAGCCTCAGACTCCTGGGCTCAAGCCATCCTCCCATGTCAGGCTCCTGAGTAGCTAGGACTACAGGTACCACCACCATGCCAGCTAATTTTGTTTTTACTTTAATTTTTATGTATAATAGACACAGGGTCTCGCTATGTTGCCCCGGCTAGTCTCAAACTCCTGGCCTCAAGTAATCTTCCCTCCTTGGCCTCCCAAAGCCCTGGGGATTATAGGTGTGAACCACCGAGCTCTGCCCTAAAAATTATTTAAATAGTAAATTATATATTATGTATATTTTACCACAATAAAAGAACATTTTTTTAGGCTAGGCACACTGACTCATGCCCAGCACTTTGGGAGGCCAAGGCGTGAGGATCAGTTGAGCCTAGGAGTTCAAGACCAGCCTGGGCAACATGGTGAGACCCCATCTCTACAAAAAAAAAAAATTAGCTGGGTCTGGTGGCATATGCCACTGTGCTCCCAGCTACTTGGGAGGCTGAGGTGGGAGGATGGCTTGAGCCTGGGAATTTGGAGCTGCAGTGAACCATGATCACAGTACCACACTCCAGCCTGGGAGACAGAGTGAGACCCTGTCTCAATAAAAAGGGGGTTTAAAAAAAAGGCAGAAAAGTTATAAGTGTTCATAGGAGAGTTCTGAGCAAAAGGAACGACATAATCCAAGGCTCAAGGGGCAGGAAAGATTGAGGAGGATATATTTTGGGAGAAACTTTAATCTCAGAAAAGCTCCCAGTTACCCTGACATGCAATTTTGGCAATGCAGGCTGGCAGGGTGATGGGGCAGATCTGGAAGAGAGGTTCTGAGGCAGCAGAGCCAGGGCTCAGCGCGGACACTTAAGTAGCTCAAGTCCTGCGATCTCTAGGACCCAGTGTCCTTGGGCATGGGTCAGGTCGTTCAGTGAGGTCCAATTCAATGAGCAGAGTCCTATGCTTCGGAAATTGAGTTGTTAGTCTAATACAGAAGTCAAGAGGGCTGGGAAGGATCCAGCTTGAACCTGGCTAGACTTGTGCAGAACACCAAGCCATCATTTCTGCCAGAAAAACGTGAAGAAAAATAGAACACAAAGAGCAGAACGAACCCACAAACTAGGCAGATTGCTCGTCTGGAAGAGGGTTGGCAATGCTCTGGAAGGAAGGCTCCCTCCTGACTTCCTCCTGGCTCCCTGGCTCCCAGCACTGACTGACAGGGAAGGCTACTGGGCAGGGCCATGCTCAGGAGCACAGGAGATCTGACCAGGCCAGTGGACTTGGGTCCCTGAGAAGCATAAGCCAATCCAAAACACTCCAGAAGTTGGGTGCAGGCTGCTGATGTACCTCTGTCAGGGCTACCTCGCCACCTGAGGAGCTGCATGGAACTAGAAGAGACCAAGGCAAAAGAAACGAAATGAAACTGATAGGATCATGGGAAACATACAGGGAAAAAATGGGAGAAAAGGTTGCAGGGAAGGTTAGGGCCAGCTTGCGGACAAATTCAATGCCAGGCTAAAGAGCCTGAGTAGAATTCCATGACTAACAGGAAGGTAGAAATCTCTTGAATAGAGAAGTGATATAAAGAAAACATTGCCTTTAAAAGATTCATCCAGACTGTGTGCGGTGGCTCACACCTATAATTCTAGCACTTTGCGAGGCTGAGGCAGGCAGATCACCTGAGGTCAGGAGTTCAAGACCAGTCTGGCCAACATGGCAAAACTCGGCCTCTACTAAAAATACAAAAATTAGCTGGGTGCAGTGGCGCTGCCTGTAGTCCCAGCTACTTGGGAGGCTGAGGCAGGAGAATTGCTTGAACCCAGGAGGCGGAGGTTGCAGTGATCCGAGATCATGCCACTGCACTCCAGCCTGGGTGACAGAGTAAGACTGTCTCAGAGAGAAAAAAAAAAAAAAAAGATTAATCCAGCATGTAGGATGGTTATAAATATAAGAGTCTATAAGTAGGTGGGAGAAAATAATAGCCAGAACTAGAATGGTGAAGTTGAATGCAAGATTCAGATGTATAAGTTATTTTTTTGTTGGAGAGAGGGAAGTATGCCACAATTGTATTTCCATGTTTCAATTGATTGCAGTCACTTAAAAATAAAATGTATTAATTTATTTTTCATTATAACTATTATACCCATAATAGGAAATTTGGAAAAATAAAAAAAAATAGAGGATAAAAAATAAAATTGTTCTCAGTCCTTTTTGCACCAGTATAGCCACTATTGATATCTTGGTATATTTCGTTCTTGTCTTTTTTCTTTACCTAATTATTTACATTGTGTTTTGCTTGTGTGTTTTACTAGTTGTGATTATGTTATGTATACAATTTTATATCAGTTTTTTTATTTAACATGGCCTTATTACGTAATAAGAATTAAGAATACAGACGTCGGCTGGCCATGGTGGCTCACGCCTGTAATCTCATCAGTTTGGGAGGCCAAGGTGGGCGGATCACGAGGTCAGGAGATCGAGACCAACCTGGCTAACACGGTGAAAACCAATCTCTACTAAAAATACAAAAAATTAGCCAGGCATGATGGTGGGCACCTGTAGTGCCTGCTACTCGGGAGGCTGAGGCAGGAGAATGGTGTGAACCCAGTAGGTGGAGGTTGCAGTGAGCTGAGATTGTGCCACTGCACTCCAGCCTGGGCGACAGAGCAAGACTTCATCTCAAAAAAAATAATAAATAAATAAATAAAATAAAAAATAAAAGAATACAGACATCTATTAAGAATACATGGCAGAACCAGACTGCCTGGGTTCAAATGCCAACATCTGCCATTAACTAGCTGGGTGACAACCTCTCTATGCCTCAGTTTACTTAGCCATAAAATGGTAGTAATAATAGTAGCAGTCTCATAGAGTTGTGGTGAGAATTAAATGTATTACTATATGGAAAGCCTTTGGCATCTGGCATATAGTAATTATATGTGTTGGGCATTTTACTAAGTTATTGTAAACGTGTGTTGGAATGGTTTGAAGATTTTCACTCAACATAGAAAGTAGGGAAATTTACAAAGAGTGGTGGTGCCCTTAACATTTACAGGAAAGAAGGAAGGATGGTTTGGAAGGTGGCAGGAATAGATGTGGGTTTAATTGTATCAAATTGAAGTTACAGGCAAAGAGAACAGGTGGAAGTATCTAAGAGGGCTTGAGATACAATACAGAGATTCAAAAGAGAGAAGTTATAACCAGACATCTGGATTTAGGGAACATCTGTCTACAGGTGACAGTTCATATCATAAGAAAAAAAATGAGATCACAAAAGTGTTGAGTTCAAAACTTTGGAGAACACCCGCATGCAAAGACTGAAAGACGGAAGTGGAACTAGGAGAGATGGAAGAAGAGGTAAAAAATCAGAAGAGGAAATGAGAAAGATAGGGAGGGTGTGATGGAGTTTGTTCATGGAAGCCAATTGATGTGGCTGAATCTCACAGTGTAACACCTTTGAACCCCTGGAGTCCTAAATGGGCAGTGGGCAGGAGCCTCTCCTCTGACCTCTTCCCCTTTTCCAGGGCAGAGCCTGGAAGGGGAGCATTAGAACACAGAATCACCCAGCCTTACGCCTTTCTCTCCTCTTCTCACAGTTCCCCACCCACTGCCCCCTTCTCCTGCTTCCTGGCTTGGTCCCCTGGAGCTCTGCTAAACCTTACATTGCTTAGGGCTTTCTCGCACAATAGACCTTTGTGAGCTGATTCCATAGAGCCTAGCGGATTAAATGCAGGGATGGAGGTGGGCAAGAGTAGGGGCTACAGGGGATGACCCATGACTCTCTTTAGAAATTGTTGCCATTCCTTTGATGACAACCATCTTTTCTTCTTTTTGAGACAGGATCTCACTCTGTTGCTCAGGCTGTAGTGCAGTGGCACAATCACGACTCACTGTAGCCTCTACCTCCTGGCCTTAAGCGATCCTCCCATCTCAGCCTCCCAGATAGCTGGGACTACAGGCACACATGACCACGCCCAGCTAATTTTTGTAGTTTTTGTAGAGACAGGGCTTTACCATGTTGCCCCAGGCTGGTCTTGAACTCTTGGGTTCAAGTGATCTGCCCGCTTGGCTCCTCAAAGTGCTGGGATTACAGGCATGAGCCACCATGCCCGGCCTGCTTTGGTGACAATAATCTTAATCTCCTTCCAGGTTTACAGATCCCTCAGGACAACTAAAGCAAGGGTTCATGTACTAAGCAGGGCAAAAACGTGGCATATTAATTTTTACGACAGTGCCTCGTAAAAGAAGGGTATATAATTGGAGGTACAAAGTAGGGTAAAGGCACAGGAAAAGAGGCTTGGAAAAGAGGAATGACAACTTCTAAATATAGGGAAGACTGAACATACCTCAACATTTTGAAGCAGAGGAGGTCAGTTGGAGGAGTGGCTGTGAGATGACTCAGCGGGAGTGTGGACAGACTTGAAGTGGTAAAGTGCAGGAACCCTGGAGACAGGCATTTGGGCTTGAAATTCCAGTTCAGCCACTTTCTATCTGTGATGCCTTAAGAAATGTCCTTAATTTCTGTATCTCAGTTTCTGTGTATGTTAAAAAAAAAAAAGTGACATTGACATAATAATATCTACCTCATGGGCTTGTTATAGGGATTAAATGCATTACTATATCTACATGTGAACTATATTTGCTCTAGATAATTAGGTAAAGGTGTGATAGGTGACCTTGGCAAAATGCAGGGGGTGGAGGCAGAAGAAACTCCATCCAGCAATTGTTGACAGCATTTCAGGCAGCCAGAAATTTAGCGCTAAGGAGACTCAGTGCCTGCTTTATTTTTCTCCGGTTGCCTTATCACCAACTGATTATGATTTTTTTTTTTAACGTTTTTTTGTGTGTGGGGGGGAGAGAGAAACACATGTATTTTAAAAGTCTTCACTGTTCTGAGAATCTTTTTGAATGAGAATGAGATAGTTCCTTTTATCTTCTAGAATCCAAATAAATTCTTCGAAAATTCTTTCTGATATTATTGCACATCTAGATGGGTTACTTCCCACCACTTTACCCCCTCTCTCTCTCTTCACTGGAAACTATAATTTCAGTAGTTGATTGAAAAGTTGATCAGCAAAGCCACATAAATGAAGAAGGACTTTTGAAATAGCCTCCAAATATTTTTCTGGCTAGGCACTAAGGAACACAGTTGACAGCTGTGTAGTATTTTCTGCTACAGGAATAACATTCCAACATCAAGTTAAAACTAATGCAACAAAAATATTCAATACTAAGAGAAAGTCACATGGCGGATTGCACCTTTAAAAAAAAAAAGTGTTTTTAGGCCGGGCGCGTTGGCTCATGCCTGTAATCCCAGCATTTTAGGAGGCCAAGGCAGGCAGATTACTGGAGGTCAGAAGTTCGAGACCAGCCTGGCAAATATGGTGAAACCCTGTCTCTACCAAACAAACAAAAAACTAGCCAGGCCCAGCTACTTGGGAGGCTGAGGCAGGAGAATTGCCTGAACCTGGGAGGGGGAGGTTGCAGTAGCTGAGATAGTGCCACTGTACTCCAGCCTGGGTGACAGGGACTCCGTTAAAAAAAAAAAAAAAAAATTTCAAGTAGCATTTAGCTGAGTTCCAGAATAAAATTTCTCCTGTGTGCAGACAGAACTTGTGTAGTTGTAAGGTCTCAGAAGGGTAAGTGCACCTGAATGGTGAAATGCTAACCATTTGGAAATATATTGATTATGAATTTATGTATTATGCATTATATTATATATTTATATATTTTATGTATAATACTTGTACCTATATATTTATATCATAATTATAATTATCAGCCTTCCACAACTAAAATGTAAGTTATCAGAGAACAAGGATTTTGCTCTGTTTTATTCACAATTAACACAATAGTTTAAAAAGTAAATGACTAATAGAATACATTAACTTGTAAGGAAACTTGTTTATAATTGAGCCTGAGTTCCACAAGATGCCAGGGTAGCTTTGGAGGGGCGGATGGGATGGGGTGGCGGTGCAGGAAGGGCTGTGGGGTGAGGTGGGGTCTGTGCTGGGCAAAGAGAGGGTGGATGGAGAAAGGGAGGAAGCCAAGGGTAGGAGTTCAAGCTACAGAGATGGAAACTGTGTTCTCATTGGAATGTTCATGGGAGGATTTAGTGGGACCCAGGTCAGGGAAATACATTCCTGTTTTGTTTTTTTTTTTCCAGTTTTGTATCTCTTCTGCTGTTAATTTTTTGAAAATGTGCATTTGTCTATTTTAAAATATAAATTGTCCATAATGGTCTCTTATTTGTCTAATCTATTCCAATGATTTTGATTTTTTTCTTACAATTTTTCTTCTTTCATTTATGTTTTTCTCAGTGACAATTTCATAAATTAGACTATGTCGATGGAGGAGTTTTCTTATTCAAATAACTCCATTCGAATGTATTTGTTTATTTAAATGATGGCCTGGTTTGTAATTTTTCATTCATAAATTCTTTCTTCTGATATCTTCAAGATTTTATTCTTTCCTTTTCTTCTTTTCTAGAGTCCTGATGTGAGTGTTTGATAATTTAACAGACAAAATAACTGTGTGGCTCCTGAAATTGGCCTTTTTTGGGGGTCTCTTCAGAGGCTTCAGGGAGAGGCAGGGGACCCAGGGAGAGGTAGGGGACCCAGGGAGAGGCAGGGGACCCAGGGAAGAGCAGGTGCTGCTAATTTCCATCTCTTTTGCCTGGATTTTAAAATGGCTCACAATGCCAAATCCTAAACTATATTCTTTCAAACATCAACCACCTTGGAATTGCCCCCTTTTGGAATTTTAAAATACGAGCTTGCTTTGTTTTCTCTGCCACCTTGCCATGACCTCACCCAAATGCTGTCTCCAGATTTCCCACCTAGGTTTTACAGGCAGAATATATATATATATACATACATATATATATACATATGTATATATATGTGTGTATATATATGTGTGTATATATATATATTTCTTTTTTTTTTTTTTTGAGACAGAGTCTCACTCTGTGGTCTAGGCTGGAGTGCAGTGGTGCAATCTCAGCTCACTGCAACCTCTGCTTCCCGGGTTCAAGCAATCCTCCTGCCTCAGCCTCCCAAGTAGTTGGGACTACAGGCGTGCGCCACCATGCCCGGCTAATTTTTGTAATTTTAGTAGAGATGGGGTCTCGCTATGTTGCCCAGGCTGGTCTCAAACTCCTGGACTCAAGCCATCTGCTGGCTTTGGCTTCCCAAAGTGCTGAGATTACAGGCGTGAGCCACTGGGCCCAGCCTGCAGGCAGAATACTTTATAGTGATAGAAAGTAGCGACCCTGAAGTTACATAATTCCAGGTTCACATCCCAGTTCTGCTACTTCCTCGCTGCATGACCTTTCTCTGGTTATTTAGCCCAAGCCTCAGTCTCCTCACCTGTCAGATGAGGGTCATGATAGCACCTGCTTCAAATAGCACTTCCGAGCATGAAAAGAGATGGTGTATGTCAAAGACCTATCACAAAAGGAATATTTGCTAGTTTGTTAAGCTTTTCTAGGGGCTTTTACATACAGGGTTGTTTCTTGTTTTGTTTTTTGTTTACGACAGGGTCTTGCTCTATTGCCCAGGCTGGAGTATGGTGGCACGATCACAGCTCACTGCAGCCTCAAACTTCTGAGCTCCGGTGATCCTCCTGCCTCAGCCTTACAAGTGGCTAGGGCTACGGATGTGCACCAGCACACATGGTGAATTTAAAAAAAGGTTTAAGAGGCAGAGTCTCACATTGTTGCCCAGACTGGTCTCAAATTCCTGGCCTCAAGGGATCTTCCCGATTCAGCCCCTCAAGTAGTTGAGATTTCAGGCGTGTGCCACTGTGCCCAGCTCTACTTCAGGTTTTTAAGTGTCATCTCACTGCCCAAGGGATTAGCTATTATTCTCAGTTCATCGTGAGGAAAGACACAAAGATACTAAATGCAATTTCTGCAATTAACGACTAATTAGTGACTAGAATTTGAGATTCCTTATTCCCAGACGCGTTGCTCTTTCTAAGGCGGCAAGTTAGCTCTTGGCCAAAACTGAAAATTAATTATTTTTTTTGCCCGTAGTGCCCAAACACCCCTCCTTACATTCTCTAATTCTTTCCCTGGGTCTTTTTCGTCTCTCTCAAGTCTTAACAGATAACACTTAACATGTTCTCCCTCCCAGAAGCATTTGGGTTATTTTTTTAATTTTTAAAAATTTCAACTGTTGTTTTAGATTTGGGGGTACATGTGCAGGTTTGTTATCTGGGTATATTGTGTGATGCTGAGGTTTGGGGTACAGTTGATCCCATCACCCATGTAGTGAGCATAGCACCCAATAGTTTTTCAACCCTTGCCCTCCTCATTTCTCCTCTCTCTAGTAGTCCCCAGCATCTATTGTTGCCATCTTTATGTCCCCATATACCCAATGTTTAGCTCCCACTTACAAGTGAGAACATGTGGTATTTGGTTTTCTGTTCCTGTATCAATTCACTTAGGATAATGGCCTCCAGCTGTATGCATGTTGTACAAAGGACATGATCTCATTCTTTTTTATGGCTGCATAGTATTCCATGGTGTATATGCACCACATTTTCTTTATCCAGTCCACCACTGATGGGCACCGTTTGATTCCATATCTTTGCTACCATGAATGGTGCTCCCAACAGCATTTGTCTTTTATCAGTGAATTCTTTAAAAATCAGAAAGCCTTCAAGAGGTGAAGAATGAACATCTAAAACAATTCTTAAGGCCAGGAACAGTGTCAAACAAGGGGCCTTCTCAGGGAGTGTACTTTTTTATTATATCTTGTGGTCAGAAGAATAATGCCCCCGAAAGATGTCCACATCCTAATTCCCAGACGCTGCCTTGTCACCGAATGTGACAAAGGGACTTTTTAGATGTAGGATCTTCAAATGGCGAGCTTATCCTGGATTTTCCTGGATTATTCAGGCAGACTCGGTGTCATCTCAAGGGTTCTTATAAGAGGGAGGCAGAGGGTCTGAGTCAGAGGAGGCAACCTGATGATGAAAGCAGGGGTGAGTGTGTGTGTGTGTGTGTGTGTGTGTGTGTGTGTGTGTGTGTGACAGAGAGGGAGAGAGAACCCTTTGACGGTGCTGCATTGCTGACTTTGAAACTGGAGGAAGGGTCAAGGAGTCCAGGAATCCAGGCAGCTCCTAGAAGTCAGAAAAGGCAGGTACATGAATTGTCCCACTGAGCTTCCAGAAGCAATGCAACTCCTGACACCTTGAATTTGGGAGTTCTGACATCCAAAAGCATAAGATAATAAATTTGTGTTGTTTTAAGTCACTAAGTTTGCATTAATTTTTAACAGCAGCAAAGGGAATCCAATACACATCTTACAGTCCATCTGTGGCCAAACAGATTCAACTTTTCCACCATTCAACTATTTGCAACACCTACCAAATGGTTCAAAGCAGCATGGTGCTGCACACCTCTTGCAAAATGAACTATATGATGAGAATTAACTAAGAGTTCAAACTTGAAACCATTGGCTTGGGGAATGATTCGATCAATACTAGGGGAGATATAACAGTATGGAAAAGATGCTGTTGATTCTGGCCAATGCATATTGCTGTGCAGTTTGGGCCCAGCTGAGAGTGCCTGACTGTGGGGGCAAATGACAGGTGAAGTCCAGGCCAAGCACCATCTGCCAAGTAGTGCACCTGGTCATGCAGCGGCCTTTGCCTGGAGGAAGGAACACCATTTTCTAATTTGCCCAAAGGCACCAGATGGACTAGCAACAGTCCCAGAAGACTTAGCATGGTTCTGCCAAGGACTGAGGGTGTGAATTCAGGTTTGCTACCACTTATCATTTTGGATAGAAGCTACAATTAATTAGGTAATTCACTTCTTTGGCATTCAATTTCATTGCTTAAAAGGGAGACTTCAGGTGAAATGAACTCATTGTTACTAACTCCACTCCAGCCCTGCATGCCTTCTTGCTGTTCCTCAAGCACATACCTCCTACCCCAGGGCCTTTGCACTCACTGTTTCCACTACCCACCACCTGGCTTGCTTGCTTCCTTCCTTCATTCCTTCCTTCCTTCCCTCCTTCCCTCTTTCCTTTCTCTTTCTCTCTTTCTCCCTTCCTTCCATCCTCTCTTTCTCCCTCCCTCTCTCTTTCTCTTTCTTTCTTTGGGCCTTGGTTTGTTGCCCAGAAGGGAGTGCAGTGCTGTGGTCATAGTTCACTCCAGCCTCAAACTCCTTGGCTCAAGTGATCCTCCCACCTCAGCCTCCTGAGTAGCTGGGACTACAGGTGTGCACCACCATGTCTGGCTAATTTTTTTTTTTTTTTTTTTTTTGAGATGGAGTCTCACTCTGTCACCCAGGTTGGAGTGCAGTGGCACAATCTCGGCTCACTACAACTTCCGCCTCCCAGGTACAAGTAATGTTCCTGCCTCAGCCTCCCGAGTAGCTGGGACTACAGATGCGCACCACCACATCTGGCTAAATTTTGTATTTTTAGTAGAGACCTACTGACCTCGTGATCCACCTGCCTCAGCCTCCCAAAGTACTGGGATTACAGGTGTGAGCCACCGCGCCCAGCCCCTGTCTGGCTAATTTTTATTTTATTTTTTTAGAGATGGAGTCTTGCTATGTCGCCCAGGCTGGTCTCAAACTCCTGGCCTTACGTGATCCTCCCACTTTGGCCTCCCAAAGTGTTGGGATTACAGGCATGAGGGACTGGGCCCAGCCCTAATAAATATTTCTTGAAGGCATAGACTTTTCTTCTTATGTTAAAACTGACTTCCACAATAGGATGCTTCGGCGTTTCATGTTTTGTGTATGTGAGTGTAATTTTGCTCCCTGGTGGGGTGTAAATTTACTTTCTGAGGCATGGGGGTGAAGGTGACAGTGACTAGTATATTGCTTCAGGATGTGTTCTGGCCCCTTCTTATGGTGTCACCATCTTCTAGGATGTGGCCAGAGCACGGTGAGGTATGTAACAAAATGAAACCTTTTGCTTAAAATCAAATTGGCCAGCAGGGCGCGGTGGCTCACGCCTGTAATCCCAGCACTTTGGGAGGCCAAGGCAGGTGGATCACAAGGTCAGGAGATCGAGACCATCCTGGCCAACATGGTGAAACCGTCTCTACTAAAAATACAAAAAAATCAGCTGGGTGCGGTGGTGCACACCTGTAGTCCCAGTTACTCAGGAGGCTGAGGCAGGAGAATGGCTTGAACCCAGGAGGTGGAGGTTGCAGTGAGCTGAGATTGTGCCACTGCACTCCAGCCTGGTGACAGAGTGAGACTCCGTCTCAAAAAAAAAAAAAAAAAAAAATCGGTCAAAGTACAATATTTGCTTCCTACTCTGCTCATCTTCACCTGAAAAATCTACAGATTCTTCAGATTGCAAACCCATGCTTACCAAAGATAAATGCTTGCACTTTGCATGAATTTGAAAATGTATCTCTTATTTTTCATTCAAGACTCCAAGTTGGCCAGACAGGATGACTCATGCCTGTAATCCCAGCACTTTGGGAGGCCAAGGCAGGTGGATCACATGAGGTCAGGAGTTCAAGACCAGTCTGGCTAACATGGTGAAACCTCGTCTCTACCAAAAATACAAAAATTAGCTGGGTGTGGTGGTGCGTACCTGTAATCCCAGCTACTCAGGAGGCTGAGGCAGGAGAATTGCTTGAATCCAGGAGGCAGAGGTTGCAGTGAGCTGAGATTGTGCCACTGCACTCCAGCCTGGGCTAACGAGCGAGACTCCGTCTCAAAAAATAAAAATAAATAAAAATACAAAATAAAAATAAAGACTCCAACTCAATATTTGGGGAAAAAAAGCCACTTTTATCCCTGTCTTTGACCCCTTAATCATTTTTCCTTTGCTGGACCTAGTCCTGTCTCTCTGAACTCTCTGCTGCAATTTCCTGACACTGTGGCCCAGGTCTGGGGAGCTCTTTGGGTGGGGCTGAATGCCGAAGCTCACTCACCACTTCCCTTCTTTTCAAAAGAAGCGAAAGTCTTTCTAGTTCCTTCGGTTTGGGTACTTTCTTTAAGTATGTGCCTGAGTAGACAAGTCATCGTATTTCCTGATTCTGCTCACTGAAAGTAGTTTCTACTTGTGTGCAGGAATAGCTTCTAGCTCTGATGCTTAATTCTTTTGACTTAAATATCCCCATATGGTGGGAGGTCTAGAGAGGAATTTATACCACTGAGACTCTCACTATATATATTTTTTCTGTCAGTTACTCTTGTAAGCTGTGAGTCTTTAATGATTACCATATGCACAGGCCCATATGGTCTGAGCCTCCACTCAGCACGTGTTCCTTGATCATAATGTCACAGAGCAGTGTGGCTTTTCCTGTGAGCATTCTGTGCAACATAGCATGGTGACAGATACCTTATCCGGAGTCGCCATTTTATTTTTTCAACGTTTTCAGTGCGTCTTTGGAAACACTAGCCAGCCACTTGTAGACACGTCAAGTACAGATTCATATTTGAAATATCCTGGGTAAATATTTAAAGTATTTCTGTGCCAAGCAAAGTGGCTCATGCCAGTACTTTGGGAGGCTGAGGCGGGAGGATCAGTTGAGGCCACGAGTTTGAGACCAGTCTCGGCAACATAGTGAGACCCTGTCTCTACAAAAGTAAAAAAATTAGCCGGGCATGGTGCTGCACCTGTAGTCCCAGCTATTCGGGAACCTGAGAAGATGACTTGAGCCTGGGAATTGAAGGCTGCAGAGAGCCACGATTGCATCACTGCACTCCAGCCTTGGCGACAGAGAAAGAACTGTCTCAAAAAACAAAAAACAAACAAAGTCTCTCTGTAAGTTTGTCTGTCCATGATACGCAGGGAAATTCAGAGAGGAATTTGAATGTAACTTTTATCTCTGTAAAACAGTAGCATTCCTTCTTTCTGGCCATACTAAGGACCTGTTCCCTAAATGGCTGGAGCCCACGTTAGTTTGAATTGCTGCGTGTGAAGCAAAAATGCAATTTCATTATCCGAACAAAACAACTTGGCTTCATCGTGGGAAGCTCGTTAATTTCAAATGGAAAATAATCAACCCAGAAAAGGATGGGTGGGCTTTTTCTTCCTCTTTTTCCTGTAAACTAGAGGAAAATGGTTTTTGGCTGAAAGATAGCTTGGCAAGAAGCTTGACTCTTCAAAAGGAAGCCCCTGTAGAGAGCAGATAGGCTCTGACAGTGGGGGGCACAGGTCTGTGTCCATTTGTCACACGATTTTGAAACTGGCAGGGGTGCCCCTGCTGCTTATATCACAAGAGGGTTTCCACAAGGCACGTGTTCTCCAGTGAGGGTTCTCAGTAACTCATGAGCCATTTGCGACTCGGTACAAATTCCCAGGGGCCCAATCTCTCCTCTTTTGCCTGCTCCACCTAATTCTAGATTAATGTCATGGGTGGGTGAGAAGAAAAAGAAAATTATAAGACTTTCTATCTATTTTTATTTTTATTTTTTATGACACAGGGTCTTGCTCTGTCACCCAGGCTGGAGTGCAGTGGTGCAATTATGGCTTACTGCAGCCTCAACCTCCCAGGCTCCAGCTATCCTCCCACCTCAGCCTCCTGAGTAGCTGGAACCACAGGTGTGCACCACTACACCTGGTTAAGTTTTGTATTTTTTGTAGGGATGGGGTCTTGCTATGTTGCCCAGGCTGGTTTTGAACTCCTGAGCTCAAGCAATCCACCTGCCCAAGCCTCCCAAAGTGCTGGGATTACAGGTATGAACAGTCACGCCCAGCTTCTAGCTATTTTATTTTAGATTCAGGGGGTGCACGTGCATGTTTGTTACATGGGTGTGTTGCATCCTGGTGGGACTGGACTTCTAGCTTACCCATCACCCAAATAATGAACGTTGTACCCTTTAGCTTTTTAAATAGTAACAATGAAAGCAAATCTGAAAACCACTGGATTATACACCCCAGTCTATAAAGATAGAAGCAAATTATATGTAAACACTGCATACATGTTGGGGATCAGCAAACGATACCCCAAAATATGGTGCTTTGACATACTGAAATAAAGAAGCAGCCTCAAGTTCACTCTGACCTTCTCCCCACCTCCAACTCCTGTCTCTTCACCTTCTGTCTCTCCCAAATGCACAAGAAGAGAATGTTCTCTGAAGTTCCCTAATCTAGGTAGAAACTGGACCCGCCAAAAAGGAACACAATTGCCTTCAATATCCTCCCTGAAATTTCATTAACCTGAGAAGATTAAAGCTTGTATCACAGAGGAGACTGAAAGTGAAACACCACACCTGGAGCCCAGATGAACTTTGTCCCAAACTATCATCTGTTCTCTGATCCCATTCAATTTCCAAAGAGAATCATTTACTTACCATTGTCTGAGCATGGGGCTCATTCATCTCCCCTATAAATCATTCACTACGTCTAAAAATAGCCATATTTCCCTTTTCTCCCATTCCTCCACAAAGAAGGATATAAAAGCAACTGAGCCTCATTGGGTTACTGGGTAATCATCCTTCTGTGACTCCCCTGTGCTAATGCACATTACATACATTTGTTTGCTGTTTTCTTCTATTAACCTGGCTATTGTCCATTCATGTTCAGCACATCTTTCAGAGGGCGGAGGTGAAGCTTTTCCTTTACCCCTAAATCTGCATAAGCAGCTCACTTTTCAGTTTCCTTCATATGTTGTTTTCATCACTCTTTCTCCTTCTTCCTCCTTTTTTCACTTATCCTATTTTTCTCAACCTGTTTTATTTTTGTTTTTCTCCTCCAACTCTTTCCTATTCTGTCTTTCCTCTTCCTTATTATTTTTCCTTCTTTTCTCTGTGAGCCTCTCCTTCCTCTGTAATTTCTGTCTTCCACAGCAGGCAATAGGAGAGCTCTAGATTTCATGTGCCACAACCTGGACTGGAAAAAGATATGAAGCCAGGTCACGTGGTAGCAACAATTGAGTCTTTTAAAACATTTCCAGGGTCCCAAAGTAGTACTTAGGATAAAACCCCTTTATTGTCTCCATATTGTCTTCTTGCATTAGGATTTTTAAAAATTGCACTTTTATAATGTTTTTTTTTAAACATAACTTAAGGCTGGGCGCAGTGGCTCACGTCTGTAATCCCAGCACTTTGGGAGGCCGAGGCAGGCAGATCACCTGAGATCAGGAGTTCGAGACCAGCCTGGCCAACATAGTGAAACCCTGTCTCTACTAAAAATAAAAAAATTAGCAGGGCGTGGTGGTGTGCACCTGTAGTCCCAGCTACTCAGGGGGCTGAGGCTTGAGAACTGCTTGAGCCTGGGAGGCAGAGGTTACAGTGAGCTGAGATTGCACTACTGCATTCCAGCCTGGGCAACAGAGCAAAACTCTGTCTGTAAAAATATATGTATTTTATTTTATATATATATATATAAACTTAAGAATGTTTGACTTGTAAATATTTCAGTATTATTTTAAAATCAAGGCTAGGATGTGTGGGGGTTTCATACTTGTAAATGAGTTTAGGTTGTATTATACCTGTTGTGATTTTTTTTCATTAGTATCATTTTTTAAAAAATGTTTTTCAAAATAATTTGTGTAATAGATCATCATAGCACTTTCTGTTAGAAAAGTTTTCTTAATTATAATCATTAAGTTGGCTAACTTTTCTGAGGCAGTAATAATGGCTTTTAGGTGATAGGGTGGTGGTAGACTTTGTTTTTTTATTTTTATTTTTTTGAGATAGGGTCTCGCTCTGTTGCCTAGGCTGGAGTACAGTGGTGTGATGCTTATAGCTCACTACAGCCTCGAACTCCTGGGCTCAAGAAATCCTCCTGCTTTGGCATCCCCAGTAGCTTCAGCCTCCCCAGTAGACTTTTATCTATGCTCAGCCTGTTTTGTTTTAAATTTTTTGTAGAGATAGAGTCTCATTACATTGCCCAGGCTGGTCTTGAACTCCTGACCTCAAGTGATCCTCCTATCTCAGGCTCCCAAAGCACTGGGTTACAGGCATGAGCCACCATGCCTAGCCTTATTGTTCTGTTTTTTAAAACAATTATCCAGTGATGTGAAGTTGTGAGAAAGAAGTTGACATCACACTGTAGTTTCTCCTCCTCCTCCTCCTCCTCCTTCTTCGTTTTTTTTTTTTTTTTTTTGATGGAGTCTTGTTCCATCACCAGGCTGGAGTGCAGTGGCATGATCTCAGCTCACTGCATCCTCCATCTCCCAAGCTCAAGCGATTCTCCTGCCTCAGCCTCCCAAGTAGCTGGGACTACAGGCGTGTGCCACCACGCCCGGCTAATTTTTTGTATTTTAGTAGAGGGGTTTCACCATGGGTTTACTCTTCTTCAGAATATTTATTAATTGTGTTGCAGTGCACTCTTACATAAATGCTGGGAGAGTCTCCTTTTTGCCCTCTGGAAAGGCTGGTCCTGGATGCAAGTTTCTCATCTTTCCGCAGTGTTCTCTGAGGGGCCTTTTGCGTATGTGTTATTATAACCCTCCCTATCACAGCCTGGCTGGGGTCACACTCTTCCCCGTTGGTTCAGGGGGCCTAGGCTCAGATCCCACTCATGTGAGACCCAGTGTGACTACCGAGCCTACTTGTGAATTCTGGAATCAAGATTCAGAATCAGATCCAGGGGAGGACTTCTCATTCTCTCTTGCAGAATTGTCCTTTGGCTTGAAGTACATGTTCTGATACATTCCTCTTCTTCATAGAAATGTCTCTACATGGAGAAAAGTATAAAAATAAAATAACATGTGGTGTCATCTTCCAAAGAAAAGGCCTAAATAAGGTGTGGTTTGAAGTTAGCAGATGTTTCCTCAACATAATGCTGACAATAGGCCCTTACCATAATGACTGGATTCCCTTATCTTTATCTTCTCAGGGCATAGCAAGTATCTGGCCATAACAGGCTCTTTATTCATTTTGAATGAATACATAACATAAAATACATTAAATAGGTTGTAATAGCATTCTAGAAATTCAATAATATGAAAGAGAAAGAGAGAAGGAGAATGGGCCAAAATATAATAAGATTTCAGTGTCGAAATCAATTATATTAACTAAAGACATTACTACTATATATGAAAAGTGCTCTGAGCTGGTCATGGTGGCTCATGCTTGTAATCCCACCACATTGGAAGGTCGAGGTGAGACGGCTTGAGGCCAAGAGTTTGAGACCAGCCTAGGCAATATAGTGAGACAGCCCCAGCATGTTTACACAAAAACTAAAAAAATTAGCTGGGAATTGTGGCACACCTGTAGTCCCAGGTACTTAGGAGGCTGAAGCAAGGGGTTCATTTGAGCCTAGAGGTTCAAGGCTGCAGTGAGCTATGATTGCACCACGGTACTCCAGCGTGGGCCACAGAGTGAGACCTTATCTCTTAAAAAAATTAAAAATAAACATAAAAAATAAAAAGACCCTTGCATTTTTCCCTACAGCTTATACAACAAACAGTACACAAGTGTACTGTAAGATACTTCTGACATATGTATATACCTTTGAAACCAGAACTGTAACTAAGATAATAAATGTATTCATCACCCTCACAAGATTCTTCTCATCCTCATGTAATCTTTCTCTCCTGTCCCTGTCCATTCACTTCCTGTCCCTAGGCAACCGTGATCTGCTTTTTGTCACTGTAGATTTATTTGTATTTCCTAGAATTTTATGGAAGTGGAACTAGATCCACATATCAAATACTGTGTATATAGTGTATGTACTCTTTTTTGACGGGCTTTTTTCACTCCGCATAATGTAATTATGTTGCTGTGTGTATCAGTAACCCATTTCTTTTAAATGCCTGACCACTCTTCCATTGTATGGATACACCACAGTTTGTTTATCCACTCACCTGTGTGGGCATTTGTGTGTTCCCAGTTTGGGATAATGGTGAATAAAACACCTGTAAACTTTCACGTATGATGCTTTCCAAAGTAGTCGTCCATTTTACATTCTTGCCAGCGTTGTATGAGGGTTCCGCTTGCTCATCATCCCCAACACTTGGCATGGTCGGTGTCTTTCATTTTAGCCACTCTACTGGGTATGTCGTGGTATTGCACTTTGTTTTTGTTTTTGTTTTTGTTTTTTTTGAGACGGAGTCTCACTCTGTCGCCCAGGCTGGAGTGCAGTGGCGCGATCTCGGCTCACTGCAAGCTCCACCTCCTGGGTTCACGCCATTCTCCTGCCTCAGCCTCATGAGTAGCTGGGACTACAGGCGCCCGCCACCAGGCCCGGCTAATTTTTTTTGTATTTTTAGTAGAGACGGGGTTTCACCGTGTTAGTCAGGATGGTCTCGATCTCCTGACCTCGCTGACCTCGTGATTCACCCGCCTTGGCCCCCCAAAAGTGCTGGGATTATAGGTGTGCGCCACCGCGCCGGCCTGTTTTGTTTGTTTGTTTGTTTGTTTGTTTGTTTGTTTGTTTTGAGATGGAGTCTTGCTCTGACGCCCAGGCTGGAGTGCAGTGGCTTGATCTCAGCTCACTGCAACCTCCAACTCCTGGATTCAAGCGATTCTCCTGCCTCAGACTCCTAAGTAGCCGAGATTACAGGTGGGTGCCACCACGCCCAGCTAATTTTTTTTTTTTTTTTTTTTTTTTTTTGAGATGGAGTCTCGCTCTGTCGCCCAGGCTGGAGTGCAGTGGCGGGATCTCGGCTCACTGCAAGCTCCGCCTCCCGGGTTCACGCCATTCTCCTGCCTCAGCCTCCCAAGTAGCTGGGACTACAGGCGCCCGCCACCACGCCCGGCTAATTTTTTGTATTTTTAGTAGAGACGGAGTTTCACCGTTTTAGCCGGGATGGTCTCGATCTCCTGACCTCGTGATCCGCCCGCCTCGGCCTCCCAAAGTGCTGGGATTACAGGCGTGAGCCACCGCGCCCGGCCTAATTTTTGTATTTTTAGTAGAGACAGGGTTTCACCATGTTGGTCATGCTGGTCTCACCATGTTGGTCATGTTGGTCACCTCGTGATCTGCTCGCCTTGGCCTCCCAAAGTGCTGGGATTACAGGCATGAGCCAACGCACCTGGCTTTGCACTGTGGTTTTAATTTTCATCTTACCAGTGATGAATGATGTTGCGTGTTTTTTCATGTGCTCATTTGCCATCCATATATCTTCTTTGGTGAAGTGTCTGTTCAACTCTTTTGCCCATTTAAAAAACTGTCTTGCTTATTTTCTTCTTGAGTTTTGAGAGTTAAGATTGTTTTTAAACAATCTTAAAGGTGTCTTTAAAAGATTAATGGGGCTTTTTAACGGAAAAAGCAGAGCAAACTTTGCAATTCTAAAAAGAAAAATACTATATAATACAAAATAGTATGAACACTGACTCTGTTCTTTCTAACTTGAAGAAGTGATTTTCTTTTGTTGGTTCACTAAAGCATAGGTGATTGAATTTATCAACAAAGCAATTTTAGTGTGGGCTTTAAAGATTTAAAATTTTCTTCATTTTGTTTTCATTTTAAATTTGTGTGTTCAGACACATATCACTCCACACATTACCTAATAAATGCTCGAATGCATAATATTAATACATATTCATGTTAATATTTTAATTAATTTCTGCTTTGTTGAAATGGTTGTCCTGTTGTGGGATCTCCTTGGCTAATCAGAATAAAGAGGAGAGTGAGTACGTTTGGGTGCAAGAGTTAAAAGATATACAACAAAACCTTCCTTGTGTTTGGTTAGTGCTTTATGCTATTTAATTTCTGCATATACAGTTATTTTATCTAGCTGCTGATCGTTTAAAAAGTACCATTGTGATGCTTATGTGGCACTAAAAGACATTGATTTGAGAAAAAGCAGACCTCATGTATTTTCCAAATAACGTTTTTACTACAGCACCATATGTTTAAACATAGGAAGTTTATAAAACAGGAATGACTGAGTAGAGTCCAAAAATAAATCCACATATACAGGGTTAATTGACTTTCAAAATAAAATACAAGTTTCGGAATTAGTCTGCCTTACGATTGTGGGCAATCCCTGCCTGTGTTCTCATCTATAAAATGGGAATAAATCCACTGGTAACACAGAGATATTGCAAGAGTACAAGGTCCGTCATGTTACAGGAGAGAGAAGTTATGTGGCAATGCATCGCATTTCTGTAAAGTTTGGCTGTATTTAGAGGGCTTTCACCATTTTCTCACTTGAAATCTCCCAGTCACCAACAAGATAGGCAGATGAGCCTCAATATCTCCCCTTCCTGACTTTCAAGGGCAAGAGAAAGATTAGAATAATAAAAATAAAGGTTGAAAAAGAAGTGTCCAGGTGATATACTCAGATTTATTATAATAATATGACATATCTGCCTCTGCTATTTCCTATGTTAGAGTCTATAGGCTCATACATAAGAGCAAAAAATTATTTAAATTATTCATTTAGACCAGCTGTGGTGGCTCATGCCTGTACTCCCAGCACTTTGGGAGGCCAAGGCAGGTGGATCACCTGAGGTCAGGAGTTTGAGACCAGCCTGACCAACATGGTGAAACCCCATCTCTACCAAAAATACAAAAAACAGCTGGGCATAGTGGTAGGTGCCTGTAATTCCAGCTACTCAGGAGGCTGAGGCAGGAGAATTTCTTGAACCTAGGAGGTGGAGCTTGCAGTGAGCCGAGATCTTGCCACTGCACTCCAGCCTGGGCGACAGAGAGAGACTCAGTCTCAAAAAATAAAATAAAATAAAATAAAATAAAATAAAATAAAATAAAATAAAATAAAAATTTATTTAAAAGGTAATGTGAGATAATGTTATAATCATAGTGAGTACATCCTTTCCTTTCCTTTCCTTTCCTTTCCTTTCCTTTCCTTTCCTTTCCTTTCCTTTCCTTTCCCTTTTCCTCTCTTCTTTTCTTTTGAGACAGAGTGTCACACTGTACCCTCAGGCTAGAGTGCAGTGGTGCAATCATGACTCAGCGCAGCCTCCAACACCTGGGCTCAAGTGATCCTCCTCCCCCAGACTCCTGAGTAGCTGGGACAACAGATACACACCACCATGCCTAGCTAATTTTTTAATTTATTTTTGTAGAGACAGGGTCTGATTATGTTGCACGGGCTGGTCTCAAACTCCTGGCCTCAAGCGATCCACCTGCCTCGGCTTTATATCCTATTTTTATAAAAGAAAAATAAGCTGCCTATTTGGGGAAGGGGTTGTTTGAAAGAGAGCTCCCATCTATTTAAAGAGGACTGGGGAAGATGACGGGGTGCACATGTGAGGAATTGAAGATGATATTGGAGAGGGGAAAGGTCTGGAGGCGAGGAGAGGGTGGCAGTGTGTGGAGTGTAGGGACTGGGCACAGGCCTGCCACGGGAAGATGCGAGAAAGAGACACATCATGGAGGAAGTGATGTGGGGAGGAGTGAAGAAAGAAAGTGCATTAACAGGCAGTAGATAGGGCTGGAGGGAACAGTACCCGTTTGACATCTGCTCCTTTCATTAAGGTTCCAAATGAGTAAAAGGAATTCAGCAGATGTTTAAAAAAAAAAGCTGGAAAATGGGACAAACTGTGGGACCAAAGGACAGTTTGCTGTTTCTAATAAGCTCCCAGGAGATTGGTTGTAGAAATCTTTTTTTCTTTTCTTTTCTTTTTTTTTTTTGAGAAAGAGTCTGGCTCTGACGCCCAGGCTGGAGTGCAGTGGTGCAATCTCGGCTCACTGCAACCTCTGCCTCCTGGGTTCAAGCCATTCTCCTGCCTCAGCCTCCCGAGTAGTTGGGATTACTGGTGCTTGCCACCACGCCCAGCTGATTTTTGTATTTTTAGTAGAGACAGGGCTTCCTGATGTTGGCCAAGCTGGTCTTGAACTCCTGACCTCAAGCGATCTGCCCGCCTGGCCTCCCAAAGTGCTGAGATTACAAGCGTGAGCCACTGTGCCTGGCCTGGTTGTAGAAATCTTAATCATAAGATCTATGAGATGATTCCAAGAGGCAGTTGCACGAGGCCCACAATGCAGGCACTAAAAGGGAGGAACTGGAGTTGGTCAATTGACAGTCTATTACCTAAAGATCTCTGGGCGAAAAGAGGAATGCTGTTGGGGATTTCTGTCCCATCACCAGGGGGCAAGCCAAGGTCAAAGACGGTCCTCTTATTATTACTGAGATGTGAAATGGTGGGAACAATTATGTAGTTGTGTAGTTGAAGTGATACTGCAGAATTCCCTCAGCCGAGTAAGAGAATGAACAGATACAGGGACAGGGAAGGGAAGAGAAGGTGTACCTGAAGAACTGTGCTAGACAGAAATGGGAGTATGTCATTCTTCTGGTCTGCTTTACCTGGAATTTAGAGAGCCCATAGGTATTTTTAAAAATAATATGTTTCCCTGGAGCCAGGCGCGGTGGCTCAAGCCTGTAATCTCAGCACTTTGGGAGGCCGAGGCGGGCGGATCACGAGGTCAGGAGATCGAGACCATCCTGGCTAACACAGTGAAACCCCGTCTCTACTAAAAATACAAAAAATTAGCCGGGCATCGTGGCGGGCGCCTGTAGTCCCAGCTACTCGGGAGGCTGAGGCAGGAGAATGGCGTGAACCCGGGAGGCAGAGCTTACGGTGAGCCGAGATTGCACCACTGTACTCCAGCCTGGGCGACAGAGCGAGACTCTGTCTCAAAATAAATAAATAAAAAAAAAATAATAGTAATAATAATACGCCTCCCTAAATACCCATCCTAAGAGCACCAAGTATTAACTCGCTTCATACTAGATCGCTTCCAGGATGGAGAATTGGGCAATTAAGAAAACCTTGCTGGGTCCACTGGCTCACGCCTGTAATCCCAGCATTTCGGGAGGCCAAGGCGAGAGGATCACTTGAGCCCAGGAAGTCTAGGCCAATCCGGGCAACATGGCAAAACCCCAACTGCTAAAAACACAAAAATTAGCCGGGCATAATGTCACAAGTGTATAGTCCCAGCTACTTGGGAGGCTAAAGGGGAAGATCGCTTGAGCCCGGGAGGCAGAGGTTGCAGTGAGCTGAGATCAAGCCACTGCACTCCAACCTGGGTGACAGAGCAAGGCCCTGTCTCAAAAAAAAAAAAAAAAAAAAAAAAAAAAAAAAACAAAAAAAAACCCTCCCCCCGCCCCCGGCCAAACCCTTAACCAAAGGAGATAGGTAGCGAGGTCACAAGTATAAGTAGGGAAATAGCTTTGCAGCTGATGAGAGAGAGAGGGGATTACTAAGGGACATTTCATTCAAAAACGGTAACAAAGGAGTCCACACAATCTAGGGAATAGCATCTCCTTGTTCTGCAGTCATGCCAATGATCAGAAACTATCCACTGTCTTCCTCTTCGGCCAAGTCTTCGGAGAGCCTTTCCCTACACTCACTTTGGAAACCAATAAAAACTCTAATCTCAGCCGGGCGCGGTGGCTCACGCCTGTAATCCCAGCACTTTGGGAGGCCGAGGCGGGCGGATCACGAGGTCAGGAGATTGAGACCATCCTGGCTAACGGTGAAACCCCGTCTCTACTAAAAAAAAAAAAAAAAAATACAAAAAATTAGCCGGGCTTGGTGGCCGGCGCCTGTAGTCCAAGCTACTCGGGAGGCTGAGGCAGGAGAATGGCGTGAACCCGGGAGGCGGAGCTTGCAGTGAGCCGAGATCATGCCACTGCACTCCAGCCTGGGCGACAGAGCGAGACTCCGTCTCAAAACAAACAAACAAACAAAAAGACCCTCTAATCTCTCTGAAAGAACAGGTAGGCGATACAAACATAATAACCAGAACATGCCTGGCACATAGGCAGAAGTCAACATGTGTTCTTTTTGTTTCTTTCAGTCTCATTTATTTTTATTATTATTTTTTTATTTTAAGAGATAGGGTCTCACTCTGTCGCTCAGGCTGGAATGCAGTGGTTCAGCCTAAAACTTCTGGGTTCAGGCAATCCTCCTGCCTCAGTCTCCTGATTAGCTGGGACTACAGGTACACACCACCACACCTGGCTAATTTATTTTTTGTAGAGATGGAGTCTCACTCTGTTGTCCAGGCTGGTCTTGAACTCCTGGATTCAAGCGATCCTGGCACCTCAGCCTCCCCAAATCTTGGGATTACAAGCATAAGCCACCATATCTGGCCCATGGACACAGGTTTAAGATATATTTATGAGACAGACTCAATAGATAGACAGATATCAGTGAGAGTGCTTATTTGGACACAAACGAAACCATTTCTGACTATATTAAGCAGAAAAGGGCTTGATTGGAACGTTGTGAGTAGCTCACAGGATTGATGAGGAGGCTCACAATGAGGCTTGAAAAATGAGCAGAAACCCAGCTGACTCTTCATTCCTGGGTCACTCTCTCATGGTCATGGGTGTGAGTATGAGGAACCACAGGTAACACACCCGTACCCTACTTGTGATGTAGAACAGATGTCTCCCCACCCTCTCTGATTCTTTTGTTTCTAAAGTGGGAGGTAGAAGTCTATCTCCTCCAAAGACCCATGAAAAGAAAGATTTCCCCAAAGTGAGACCAACATTGAGATACCGAGTAGACAAAAAATCCCAAAAGAGAAATGCTCATGATAGAGATAAAATAGATACAGAGATTCACAAGAGGCTGTTGGAAATACAGCTTAAGGTTTAAAAGAGAGGTCCAGCTTGGGCTATAGATCAATTATTGGTATTTAAGTAATATAGATGGTAGCTACCTGGATACATATATAATATATACATATATAATATGTAATATATACATATATAATAAACATAGTCATCCTGCAGAAGGATTTCAGTATTTACTATTCAATTACTCCATTCTATAATGTGAAAGCAGAACTGCGTTGAGTCCCTCATCCATCTGACACTATGAAGTCCAGTGTTCCCCAATCCCTGCTCTTGCCTCACATCTCTGGGGAATTCTCAGGAGTCTCACATTTCTACTTTCTGTTTCTACCTCTGATTTCCTGATTCTTTGAAATTCTTGGTCTCCGTTTTGCTTCCATTCTGTTATGTGCTGTCCCTTTTCTGTGTGATGATTACAAAATTTATTATCCCTGTAGAGATAAAGAATTTAAGGCTGGGCTGGTTGCCATGGCTCACTCCTGTAATCCCAGCACTTAGGGAGGTCAAAGTGGGTGGATCACCTGAGGTTAGGAGTTCGAGACCAGCTTGGCCAACATGGCCAAACCTTGTCTCTACTAAAAATACAAAAAAAATTAGCCAGGTGTGGTGGCTCATGCCTGCAGTCCCAGCTACTCGGGAGACTGAGGCAGGATAATCTCTTGAAGCCAGGAGGTGGAGGCTACAGTGAACCAAGACTGTGCCACTGCACTCCAGCCTGCATGACAAAGTAAGACTCCGTCTTAACAACAACCAAAAATAATTTAAGGCTGCAAAAGTCTAGACTGCTCACCCATGGCAAGAAGATCTCATTATACTAAGCTCAAGCTTTGGAACTGCTTTGGTGAAAAAGATGTAAGTGTTTAAGGACAAAAGCTGGAGCGAGTATGCCCCGGGGCGGGGTTTGAACTGAAGCTCCTCAGTGCTTGCTGAATGCCTGGCAGGGAAAGTGCTGTAGGAATCACTAGTGGAAATGTCCTTTTGATGGAGGTGCATACACAGTAAAGCTTTCTAGCCTAGGTCGGCAGCAGGGCTGCCCTGCCATTCATTCAACACACATTTGCTACACGACTGCACATGCAGCTTATCTCTACTGGAGGTAATGAACAAACAAATAAGTGAGGAAATATCCAATGGTTATATGTGCAGTGATGAAAAAAAAATGCAGACGTGGCAGAAGGCCGTGATAGAAAGAGATTTGAGATCATTCTGGATTGAGTGGTCAGGAAAGGCCTCTCCAAAGAGTTAATATTTAAGCCCCAAGCTGAATACCAAGAAGGAGCTCAGCAGGTGCCAATCTGGAGGAAGAGAGAGCCAGGCAGAGGGCAGCAGCAAGGCTGAAGACCCTAGGATGGGAAGGACTGGGGAGGGTTCAGGGAACAGAAGGTAGGCAGGTGTGCCTGACGCATAATAAGCCTCACCAGGTAAGTCATGTGTGAGAGGCAAAAAGCTAAGTACATTTCATTCCCTTTTGTACTTGATATGGCTTAGCTGTGTCCCCATCCAAATCTGTTCTTAACTTGTAGCTCCCATAATTCCCATGTGTCATGGGAGGGACCCAGTGGGAGATCATTGAATCGTGGAGGTGGATCTTTCCCATGCTGTTTTCGTGATAGTGAATAAGTCTCATGAGATCTGATGGTTTTTTAAAGGGGAGTTGGCCTGCACATGCTCTCTGTCTTGCCTGCCACCATGCAAGATATGACTTTGCTCCTCCTTTGCCTTCCACCATGATTGTGAGGCCTCCCCAGCCATGTGGAACTTTGAGTCCATTAAACCTCTTTCCTTTATAAATTACCCGTCTTAGGTACGTCTTTATTAGCAGTGTGAGAACCGACTAATACAGTACTCTATATTAGATATTTTCCTATGCTTATACATGAATATCAGAAGGTGGGCCTTCTGGATATGGAAGGGATCATAGAAGGAGCTTTGCTAGAACAAGGTCTAATTGCAGAATGGAGACCATGAATGGAGTAGGCTAAGAAAGAAACGGAGAATTGGGTAATTAGAAGAGGGAATAGATGCCCTGCTGGGGAATGTGGTTCAATAATTCAGGAGAAATGGGCCAGGTGCAGTGGCTCATGCCTGTAACCCTAGCACTTTGGGAGGCTGAGGTGAGAGGATCACTTGAACCCAGGAGTTCAAGACTAGTCTGGGCAACATAGGGAGACCCCATCTCTACAAATACATATTTTTAAAAAATTAGCCAGGCATGGTGGGACATACCTGTGGTCCAGCTACTGGGGAGGCTGAGGCAGGAGGACAACCTGAAGCCAGGATGTTGAGGCTGCAGTGAGCTGTGATGGCACCACTGTGCTCCAGCCTGGGTGAGAGAGGGAGACCCTGTCAAAAAAAAAAAAAAAAAAAAAAAGAAAGAAAGAAAAAGAAAGAAAGATGTTTCCCAGAGGAGGCTAGCAGATTAACAATACAACATAAAGCATCACATGGAAAGACGGAGAATAAAAAGCCTGTATGATCACAGAGCAACATGCTGTTAGAAGAAATAAAATTAGTCAGCCTCCTTAATACCTCTCTAATTCATACACTTCTCTAATGTCCTCAGGTTTTTCTATTTCTTTCTTTTTTTTTTTTTTCAAGAGACTGGGTCTCACTATGGTGCCCAGGCTGGATTCAAACTCCTGGGCTCACGCAATCCTCCTGCCTCAGCCGCCTGTGTAGCTGGGACCACAGGTGCACACCATTGTGTTCAGCTTTTCCACTGTACCCCGCTTCAAGTTTTTCATCTGTAAACAGAAATGATAATAATAGTACCCTGCTACACACACACATACACAGTTAGAAGATAATTGACATAATGAACATAAAGCCTTTGGTGTACAGTAGGAACTCAACATGTGTTCCATTGTAAACCCGCAGGGTCTGTTTGGGCTGTTTACTATTGAATCTCCAGTGCTGAGCACAGTGCCTAGCAAGTAATAGGCATTTAAGAAATATTTACGGAAAGGAGGAATGAATGAATGACTCCTTAGAGTGATCCTCATGGTTCAGATTCTTAGCATTAATTTTAGGTTGTTGCAGCATCCTTCTTAGGGGTCTTCTTGATGCTAATCTTGCCCTTCTCTAATCTATTTTCCAAAATGCCCATAGAGTTTTGGAAAATGCAAATCTGATCGTGTAATTTTTTTGGCTAATTCTTAAGAGGTTTTCCATTGCACCCCAGAGAAAACCTAATCTTCTTAGCATGGTTTAGGATGTCTTTCAGCTTTGGCCAATGTTCACTTCTCTTTCTCCAGAAAATCCTCTAAGAGCCTGGGGCTCCTTAACATGTGATATTTCTTCCTTCTCAAGGTCTATTGACTGAATTGAATTTTGCTGCCTGTAACACAAACCTAGTTACATAGGCTTAGTCAATTTTTTTCCCCTCACTTAACAAGAAATCTGGAGGTGAGCAGTTCAGAGCTTGTTGAGCTGGGTCTTTAAAATTTTTTTTATTTATTTTTGTTATTTTTATTTATTTATTTTGAGACCAAGTCTTTCTCTGTTGGCCAGGCTAGAGTGCAGTGGCATGATGTCGGCTCACTGCAACCTCTGCCTGCCAGGTTCAAGCGATTCTCGTGCCTCAGCCTCCAGTGTAGCTGGGACTACAGGTATGCACCACCACCTCCAGCTAATTTTCGTATTTTTTTTAGTAGAGATGGGGTTTAACCACACTGGCCAGGCTGGTCTTGAACTCCTGACCTCAAGTGATCCACCTGTCTCGGCCTCCCAAAGTGTTGGGATTACAGGCGTGAGCCACCATGCCCACCCTGTTGAGCTGTTAAAGAAGTTTTAATGGACTCAGAGTCTGTCCAGTCTCTTGCTTACTCTTAAGAACTGCAACCAGCTACATCAACAGTATAGCTATTAGGCTTAAGAACTGAGAACACCTGTGTCAACTTCTGGTAAAAAAAAAAGGGGGAGAGAGAGAGAGAATTTAAGGCTAAAGACTGAGTATGTAAATACCCAATTCAGCATGGCTTAGTTGTTCGTTCTGGGAAATGCCCAATTCAGCACTGCTTAGTTGTTGCCCCAGGAAAAGACTGTAATCAGTAGGTAACTTCACTGTTTGCTGCAGGAAATTTCTGCACATCGCTATATTTGAAGCAGCAGTCTATTCACCTGGGCAAACAACTCACTTAAAACAACGGTTTGCTTACCAAGACTTACTTCAAGACCCTCACCTTGCTATGTGCACCTCTTCTAAGCTATTATGTCCTGAACTTGGCCTGATCTCAATTGGTTCCCTGTCTCTAAAGATCCACCTTAAACCACTTGAGTCTAAACTCAAAATCCTATGTTCTTCTCTGACCTTCCCCTTTGGAGATTCTATGGAGACTGTTGAGGTAGTGTTTTCTCTCTTTTCCTGCAATGAGTTCTGATACATGTAGCTTTGTTTTATTATAGGTTGTCTGGTGATATTTTGGGGGTTTGAGTACTATCTTTAGATGTGGCTTCTGTCCTGTCTTCGGAGATGTCTTTATTCCAGGATCAAAGAAATGGAGACGAGTGAAGGAAAAAACACATGCCAACTCAATCTTCCCTTTTCTTAACAATTGGGATTGTTGAAAAGTGTATACTTCAGTACCACTCTGCTGATAGGAAAACCAAAGTAGTTTACTTTTCTGTTCCGTAAAACAATACACAAGGTAAGATGAGTACTTCTATTTTTTAAATCTTAATATTCTATCAGTGCCTATATATACGGTTCAGAAAAAGGTAGTTGAATAACATAGAAAATTTAGTTTGCATGAAATACCTTCAATGCTGAGCTGCTTGCAACAATTGTCAAAAATAGGAATTCTAGGCTGGGTGCAGTGGCTCACGCCTGTAATCCCGGCACTTTGGGAGGCCGAGGCGGGCGGATCACGAGGTCAGGAGATCGAGACCATCCTGTCTAACATGGCGAAACCCTGTCTCTATTAAAAATACAAAAAATTAGCCAAGCATGGTGGCGGGGGCCTGTAGTCCTAGCTACTCAGGAGGCGGAGGCAGGAGAAGGCAGGAGAATGGCCTGAACCCAGGAGGCGGAGCTTGCGGTGAGCTGAGGTCGCACCATTGCACTCCAGCCTGGTTGACAGAGCGAGACTCTGTCTCAAAAAAAAAAAAAAAAAAAAAAAAAAAAAAATGGGATTCTAAGTGATCCTTTCCTAGGATGGCCTCAGCATATTTCTCAGAAATGGAACAACTGAGGGGGCTGGTTCCATAAAACATGGATGCCAGAGAACTCTGAATTCTCAACTGTGGCTTATTGAGCCTCCCATATTTAAAACTTCTTCCAGTTGCAAATATGACATGTGCTAATGCAAAAATTTATACACTGCAAAATGAAAGCTCCCACTCCCACTGTCAACAGGCCCATCCACCATACCCCTTCCTACCCTAGAGGACTATTAATACTTTGGTTTACAGCCTTTCAGATCACCTTTCCATGCATTTAGGAATCTATGTATATATGAACATAAAAATGTTGTATGTTATATTAATCATATTACATAAAATGTCCCACAAGTTGGTTTGTCTACTGTTTTTTTTAAGAGAGTTTTTTATGTCAATATCCATAGCTGAAATAATGTATTAAAATCACCAAGTAGGTTCCATTGCAGGAGTGCACTCTAACCTGCTTAACTCGGTCTGCTACTTGAGCTATTTCTTCCCCTTCCTCCCCCTTTTCTTCATTTTCTTCTTTCCTTTTTGCTGTTTATTTTATTTTATATTTTTTGAGACAAGGTGTCACTCTATCACCTAGGCTGGAGTGAAGTGACACAATCACGACTCACTGCAACCTTGATCTCCTGGGCTCAGGTGATCCTCCTCCCTCAGCCTCCCAAGTAGCTTTGGACTATAGTTGTATGCCGCCACATCTGCCTAGTTTCTAAATTTTTTGTAGAGGCAAGATCTTACCATGTTGCCTAGGCTTCTTTTTGCTATTACAAGCAATCCTATAACAAACTTCTTTGTAGCTAAGACAAGTTTTAAATAATTTTCGGTTTTTCAGTGTTGGTCAATGCGGTGGGTGAAATGTGGCATCTTGTTTCTTTCATTTGCATTTCCTCAATGAAGAAATAGTTTAGTCTACTGGCCACTCATATTTATTTTGTGAATTGCTTAGACCTGTGCTGTCTAATTTGATTATCACCAGCCAAATGTGGACACTGAGCACTTGAAAAGTGGACAGCCTAAATTGGGTTGTGCTGTCAGTGTAAGATACACAGAAATTTCAACGACTTGGTCTAAACAAAAGATCTCACTAATATTTTTATATTGGTTATCTTAATATCTCATTAATATTCTTATATTGATTACATATCAATGTAATAAGAGATACTGCTTTAAATAATTTTAATGTGACTAATAAAAAATTTAAAATTACATATGTAGCTCACGTGATATTTCTATTGGACAGAGATGACTTAGATTTTTCTTTTAATTGGGTTGATTGTCTTTTTCTTATTGATTTATAAGAGCTCTTGATATTTTGTTAATCCATATTTTTTGACTGCTATTTTTATAGCAAATATTTCTTCCCCATCTGTAACTTATTTTTCACCTTGAATTATGGAGCCTCTTGCCATACAAAGGTTGTAAGTTTTTAAGAATCTGCCCATTGGCTGGGTGTGGTGGCTCACGCCTGTAATCTCAGCACTTTGGGAGGCCAAGGCGGGCCGATCATGAGGTCAAGAAATTGAGACCATCCTGGCCAACTTGGTGAAACCCCGTCTCTACTAAAAATACAAAAATTAGCAGGGCATGGTGGCACGCACCTGTACTCCCAGCTACTCGGGAAGCTGAGGCACGAGAATTGCTTGAACCCAGGAGGCGGAGGTTGCAGTCAGCTGAGATTGTGCCACTGCACTCCAGCCTGGCAACAGAGTGACCATGCCACCATGCCAAAATTACAAAAATAACTTCCTGTGTTTTCTTAAAGTCATTTCTTTCTTTAATGTTTACTTCTTTTAGGTACCTGAGTTTTTTTGTTTGTTTGTTTGGTGTGAAATAGCAGAAGTTTTAAAATTTGTATTAAATTATAGGGTAGGTAGACAAAAGAACACACATCAGATATGTACATAGTTGGATTTTCAGTGAGTGATGGTCATTGGATTGCTTATTCCATATGAAAACCAATTCTCCTAACATCATTTTTTGAGCACTCCTTGCTTTTCCAAATGATGTGAATTGGCTCTTTTCACATGCAGTATAACATTTCTGTAACAAATGAAGCATTTTGAACTCTTCCTCCGTCTCATCAGTATACTTGATTATTCCTGCACCAGACTCTCACTATTTTAATTACCAATATTTTATAGAATGTTCCTATATCTAGGAGATCAAACCTTTTCACAGATTTATTCATAGGAATGGTCTTTTCCAACAAACTTCAGAATCAGTTTACCAATATCCAAATTAAATTCTGTTAGAATTTTGAATGAGATTGCATTGACCATATAGATTACTTTGAGGGAGAATTTACATGTTTGCAATATTACTCCTATGCAGGAACATGATATATCTCTTCATTTATTTATGTCTTTAAAATGTGAATCAATAAAATTTTATATTTATTTTAATATCTGCCTTATGCTTTATGTATTAGGATTTTTCTTAATGATTTTCTTGTTCTTGTTACAAGAAAGAAACATTGATGATGTTGAATTGATTTTTTTAACTCTATGTTTTATAATTATGTTGTATCCAATCAACTTAGTTGAATGTTCTTTTGGTTCTTTAGTTTTTCACTTGATTATTTTTGATTTTCTGGATACACAATTATGTGATGCCATAGAGCTGGCTTATGCCAGTTTATGAGACTTGATTATTAAGTTTTCAGAAATTTTGTGAGGTGGTTGTTAAACATAGCCATTATTAAGAATTAAATTATGTAAATAAACTAAAAAATACATTAGAATGCCAATAATAATTTAAAATAAGCAAAAAATGTTAAAAAAGAGTTAAATTATGTAAACTTACAATTAAATAGATTATATAAAAGACTAAGGTAATAAATGCTCAAAACTCATCATGTCCTAATTGTTTTCTTACATTTTACTATTATCTATGCTCTTGAGGTTATTTATTTCTTCTGTTTCTATATAATGGAAATTCTTTATGACAGTATGCTATTGTGTCTCTTCCAGCTCCACATTCAGTGATGTCCCTCTGGTAGGTTGAAAGCAACCATCACAGGAGTACTGTATTTACACTACAGAAACCAGCAAATGTTACCATTTAGGTCTTGATTTATTGTTTTGTTAACTGTCTAGACTTAATAATGTAATGGAGAAAATGTTAATAATGGAAATTTCTATGGTTTGGACATGGTTTGTGTTTGTTCCCACCAAAACTCATGGTGAAGTTTAATCCCCAATGTGGTGGTGCTGGGGGTCAGGGGATGGGTCCCTCATTAATGTTTTGGTGCCATTCTCACAGTATTGAATGAGTCCTCACTCCAATGAGACTGGATTAGTTCTCGAGGGAACAGAGTAGTTCCCAAGAGAGTGGGTTGTTATAAAGCCAGGATGTGTTTCAGATTTTTGTCTCTCTTCACACATGTCCACTTCCCCTTTGATGTTCTCTACCACGTTATGATGCAGTACAAAAGACCTTGCCAGAAACCAAGGCCATGCCCTTGAACTTCCCAGCCTGCAGAACTGTGTGAGCTAAATAAACCTCTTTTCTCCTCTTTCTTTCTTTCTCTTTTCTCTTTCTTTCTTTCTTTCCTTTCTTTTTTTCTCTCTTTCTTTCTTTTTTTCTTTCTTCTTTTCCCTTTCTTTCTCCTTCCTTCCTTCCTTCATTCCTTCCTCTTTCTTTCTCCCTTTCCTGTCCTTTCCTTTCCTTTCCTTTCCTTTCCTTTCCTTTCCTTTCCTTTCCTTTCCTTTCCTTTCCTTTCTTTCCTTTCTTTCTTCTGTTCCCCAGGCTGGAGTGCAGTGGCATGATCTTGGCTCACTGCAACCTCCACCTCCTGGGTTCAAGCGATCCTCCCACCTCAGCCTCCCAAGTAGCTGGAACTGCAGGTGTGTGCCACCACATCCAGCTAATTTTTTGTAAATTTTTTTTGTACAGACTGGGTTTCAATATGTTGCCCAGGCTGGTCTTGAACTCTGAGGCTCAGGCAATCCACCTGTCTTGGCCTCTCAAAGTGCTGGGACTATAGGTGTGGGTTACCACACCTGGCCAAATCTCTTTTCTTTATAAATTACCCAGTCTCAGATATTTTGTTAGGATGACACAAAACAGACAACACAGAGATTAAACTTGTGAATGTGTCATACCTGTAGTCATTACATTGTGAAAAACACAAAAAATTGAGGAAATAAATACTCTTGAAGTATTCAAAAACGATTTTTCAATTTAACCAAGAAGTTGCTCATATCATTGACCAACAAGTGAAGTTCAGGCAAGTTGTTTCACTTTAATTTCAAGTTGTTCCATTTTAATTTTAAGTTGTTCATATATAAATAAAACCATCAACCAACATTCATACTGGAAACTACACTCAGAACCAGTTGTTTATCATATATCATCATACCACTGATTTTACAGCATATAAATAATGAAAGTCTCTCTTTCAAATATTACATCTTATCTTATTTTTTGCATCTACTGCATCGGCTAGGGCTCTAATACAATGTGGAATAACAGCAGTGTTTCTCGACATTCTTGATTTGATCCTAATTTTAATGTTTCTATTTTGTTATTAAAAATGATGTTGTTCTGGATTTCTGGTAGATATTAGTGAGAGTTCTGGAATTTCATTTGAATACTTTCCTTCCTACATACTAATAGGAAACTTCTGCTGCTGGTTCTAGGAAAATTTCCTATTAAAAAAAATTCTTCCATTTTCTACAATTCTTTATTTTCCTTCCAAATTGTATGAACATATGGATTCCAGAGACCTAGCAACACTTGGCACAACATCACACTTAAACAAAACACCTCTTGTGGCTCCCTGAAAAAACATGCCTATACTCCTTGTTTCTACTCCCTAGCCCATCATTACTCTTATGTCAATTTATGCCACTCTTATGCCATATGTGCTTTTGTTCCCTGTACCCACCCCACACCACTAAAACTCCTCAAGTTGAAGTTATCAGAGACCTCTATTGTGCCAAATCCACTTGGTAATTCACTGTCCTCATCTCAGAGCATTACCTATTATTATCCACTTGACCATCTTTCCTTCAATCCCTCTCTCTGCTTGGCATCTGGGGCATCATGCTCTTTTGGCCTTATTCCCTCTTCATTGGCCACTCCTTTTTAGTTTTCTTTACTTGCTGTGTTGGTCTGTTCTTGTGCTGCTATGAAGAAATACCAGCTCCTGGGTAATTTATAAAGAAAAGAGGTTTAATATGCTCATAGTTCTGCAGGCTGTGCAGGCACGGTGCTGGCATCTGCTCTGCTTCTGGGGAGGCCTCAGGAAGCATTTACTCATGGCGAAAGGCAAAGCGAGAATGGGTGCATCACATGGCAAGAGTAGGAGCAAGAGAGGGAGTAAGAGAGAGAGAAGAAGGAGGTCCTAGACTCTTTTAAACAACCAGATCTTGTGTGAACTGAGCGAGAACCCACTCATCACCAAGGAGATGGTGCTAAGCCATTCCTGAAAGATCTGCCATGTGACCCGATCACCCCCCACCAGACCCCACCCCCAGCACTGGGGATTACATTTCAGCATGAGATTTGGAGGGGACAGACATGCAAACTATATCACTTACTTCTCTTCCTCATTTTTGTCTCTGTATGTGGAAAGTCCTGGTGAGCTTGAGCTTAGTCCTCAGCCCTCTTTTCTACCCAGTTCGATGGCTTCAAGTACAGTTTATTTGCTGACAACTTCTACATTTATGTTTGCCAAACTTCTTTCTAGAGTGTTCAAATACATACTCCTATATCCATTTGGATATCTCAGAGACATCTCAACCTTAATGAAGCCAAAATCATACTCTTAATTCTGAGCCCTGCCTCCAAGTCTACTCCGTTTTCAGCATTCCTTTCTTAGCTAATGACACTATTATTGGCTTATACCACAATCTATAACTCACACAGGATTCTGTTCTTCCTCTCGCTTCCACAGTGGGTTTGTATAAACCAAACCCTACAGCCAAGTAATGTGATACACTTAATGAAGCGTTGGTAGCTATAGCCCCTTGGTCAAATCCAGTTTGCTGCCTGTTTTTGTAAATAAAGTTTTATTGGAAAGCACCATACAATTCAATTGTGTTTTGTCTATAACTTCTTTTGTGCTATAATGGCAGGCTGAGTAGTTGAACAGAGATCATATGGAACAGAGATCAAAAAGCTTAAACTATTTACTATCTTGTGTTCGCTATAGAAAATGTTTGCCAACCCTTCTTTTAATCGGCTGGAATACCGCTGACCCAACCTGAACTATGGTTGGGTCATATGTTTATGTTGCAACATTTATTTGCTGACAACTTCTACATTTTTTGTGACAATGTTTATGTTGAAAGTGTTTCAGTTCTCTGCCATGTTATATCAAACTACCACCACATTTCGTGGCTTAAAACAATCATTTGTTGTTGTTCATGATTTGTAGATTGTAGATCTTCTGTGTCACATGGTATTGGCTGGGGAGCTAGACTTGGTGGTTGGAAGGTCCAGAATTGCTTCACTCCCATGGCTGACAGTTGGTCTCTACCTGGGTCTTAAATGGGGCTGTCAGCTGAAACCCTCATTTTTCTTTGATGTGGATCTCTCCCATGTGACTGCTTGGACTTCCTCAGAATATGTCAGCTAGGTTCCAAGAATGGGCATTCTTAGAGAACAATCACCAATATGCAAATGCTTATGAAGCCTCTGCTTTGCAACATTTAATAATATCAATTTGTGAGGAGGAGGGACTGCTCCTCAACTCATTCTATGAACCAGCATCATCCTGATACCAAAACCTGGCAGAGACACAACAAAAAACATAAACTTCAGGCCAATATCCTTGATGAACATTGATACAAAAATTCTCAACAAAATACTAACAAATAGAATCCAGCAGCACACCAGAAAGCTAATCTAACATGATCAAGTAGGATTTATCCCTGGTATGCAAGGCTGGTTCAACATATGCAAATCAATAAACATGATTCATCACATAAACAGAACTAAAGATGAAAACCACATAATTAACTTAATAGATGCAGAAAAGGCTTTGGACAAAATTCAACATCCCTTCATGTTAAAAACTCTCAACAAACTAGGTATTGAAGGAACATACCTCAAAATAATAAGAGCCATCTATGACAAACCTACAGCCACGATCATATTTAGTGGGCAAAAACTGGAAGCATTCCCCTTGAAAACAGGCACAAGGCAAGGATGCCCTGCTTTATCACTCCTATTCAACATAGTGTTAGAAGTCCTGGCTAGAGCAAACAGATGGGAGAAAGAAATAAAGGGCATCCAAAAAGAAAGAGAGGGAAGTGAAACTATCCCTCTTTGCAGGCTACATGATTCTATATCTAGAAAACCCCATAGTCTTATCAAAAGCTCCCTGAGCTTTTAAGCAACTTCAACAAAATTTCAGAATACAAAATTAATATACAGAAATCACTGGCATTCCCATACACCAACAACAGCCAAGCCAAGAGCCTAATCAGGAACCCAATCCCATTCGCAATTGCCACAAAAAGAAGAAAATACCAGGAATATAGCTAACCAGGAAGGTGAAAGATCTCTACGATGAGAATTATGAAACACTACTCAAAGAAATCAGAGACGACACAAATGGAAAAACATTTCATGCTTATGGTTAGGAAGACTCAATATTGTTAAAATGATCATACTGCCTGCTATTCCTATCAAATTACTAATGACATTTTTCACAGAAGTGGAAAAAATGATTTTAAAATTCATATGGAACCAAAAAAGAGCCCAAATAGCCAAGTCAATCCTAAGCAAAAGAACAAAGCAGGCATCATGCTACCTGACTTCAAACTATACTACAGGGCTACATTAACCAGAACAGCATGGTTCTGGTACAAAAACAGACACATAGACCAATGGAACAGAATAGAGAGCCCAGGAATAAGACCAAACACATATAACCATCTGATCTTCAACAAAGCTGACAAAATAAGCGATAGGGAAAGAACTCCCTATTCAATAAATGGTGCTGGGATAACTGGCTATCCATATGCAGAAGATTGAAACCAGCCCCCTTCTTTACACCACATACAAACATCAACTCAAGATGGATAAAAGACTTAAATGTAAAACCCCAAACTATAAAAACCCTGGAAGACAACATAGGCAATACCATTCTGGACATAGGAAAGGGCAAATATTTCATGATGAAGACACCAAAAGTAATGCAAGAAAAGCAACAATTGACAAATGGGATCTAATTAAACTAAAGATCTTCTGCGCAGCAAAATAAACTATCAACAGAGTGAACAGACAACCTACAGAATGGGAGAAAATTTTTGCAGACTGTATCTGACAAAGGCCTAATATCCAGCATCTACATTGGAACTTAAACAAACTTACAGGAAAAAAACAAATCACCTCATTAAAAAGTGAGCAAAGGCATGAACACTTTTCAAAAGAAGATATACATGCAGCCAACAAGCATATGAAAGAAAGTCACTGATTATTACAGAAATACAAATCAAAACCACAATGAGGTACCATCTCACACCAGTCAGAATGGCTGTTATTAAAAGTCAAAAAATGACAGATGCTGGCAAGGTTGTGAGAAAAGGGAACACTTATATACTGTTTTGGGAGCATAAATTCGTTCAACCATTGTGAAAAGCAGTGTGGCAATCCCTAAAAGGGCTGAAGACAGAACTACCGTTTGACCCAGCAATCCCATTACTGGGTCTATACCCAAAGGAATATAAATCATTCTATCATAAAGACACATGCACGTGCATGTTCATTGCAGCACTATTCACAATAGCAAAGAAATGGAATCAACACAAATGCTCCTCAATGATAGACTGGATAAGAAAATGTGGCACATGTACACCATGGAATACTATGCAGCCATAAAAAAGAACAAGATCATATCCTTTGCAGGAATATGGATGGAGCTGCAGGCCGTTATCCTTAGCAAACTAACCCAGAAACAGAAACAAATAACCACATGTTCTCATTTGTAAGTAGGAGCTAAATGATGAGAACACATGGATACAGCGAGGGAAACAACAGATGTGGGGGCCTACTTGAGGGTGAAGGGTGCGAGGGGGAGAGGATCAGAAAAAATACTTATTGAGTACTAGTCTTAGTACCTGGGTCATGAAATAATTTGTACAACAATCTTTCGTGACGTGAGTTTATCTATAAAACAAACCTGTACAATTACCCCTGAACCTAAAATAAAAGTTTTTTAAAAATTAATTTGGCCCAAACTGGTCACATGGCCAAGTTCAGAGTAAATGTGAGAGAGAAATACACAAAGGTGTGAGCATGGGAGGTATGGTTCGTTGGGACCCCCAAAATACAGTGTACCTCATGGTGGTTCCCTAAAAACCCAACAAAAGAGTGAATGAGTGCTGGGCAGAGTTTTAAAAAATGTCTACTATGAGCTACTAAAGTTTTAACTTACTTAATTTGAATAAAATGTTGAATTTTATTAAATCCTTCTTTAGCACTTTTGAGTTGGTTATATAATTTTTTCTTTTAGTTTATTAATGTTGTTTCACAGTTACATAAATTCATTTAAAAAATTAATTCATTTAAAATTTGGACTATTATTTGATTCCTGGATAGAACTTTTTAATCATAATATATTATGTACTGTAGGATTCAATTTTCTAATAACTTATTTATGACTTTTGCATTTAAGATTGTAAATAAGATTAGGGGATTTCAATTCCTCTGGGAGGCCACTGGTGGTCCTGATACTGCAGCTTCTGTTGCATGGGACCTGCTGTGGCTGCCTGAATCGTAGAGAGGATGCCAGGACACCAGGAAGCTGGAAATGGACTCAGTAGGCTTTGAGAATGTGGCTGTGAACTTCACCCAGGAGGAGTGGGCTTTGCTGGGACCTTCCTGGAAGAATCTCTACAGAAATGCAATGCTGGAAGCCTTCAGGAATCTGGTGTCTGTAGGAATCAAATGGAAAGCCAGGACATTGAAAATCTGTCCCAAAATCTTGGGAGAAAGCTACGAAATAATATGGTGGAGAGACTCTGTGGATGTAAAGAAGGAGTCAATGTGGAGAAACCCGCAGCCAGAAAGCAGATTGTCATCTGAACAAGAAAATTCGTACTGGAGTAAAACCATGCAAGGCAGTGTGTGTGGAATAGTCTTTGTACATCATTCATTCCTTCATAGGCACATGAGCTCACTCTGGACACAAACAATATGAGTGTGGTGGGGAATATGGTGAAAAGCCCCATAAACATAAACAATGTGGGAGAGCCTCCATTTCTCCCAGAAGTGGTCCAAGACTCATGGTAATATGCACTAGAAAGGGATGTTATAAATGCAAGCTATGAGGCAAAGCCCTTAATTTCAGTATTTATTTCACAATGAACTCACACTGGAAAGAGGTTCTATAAATGTAGAGAAATTGTGAGAGCCTTCACTGTTTTCATTTACTTTCAAATACATGAAAACATTCACACTGGAGAAAAATGCTGTGAATGTAAACACTGTGGAAAAACATTTGATTGTTCCAGTTCCTTTCATTTTAATTTTTAATTAAATTAAATTTATTTTTTGAGATGGAGCCTCACTCTGTCACCCAAGCTGGAGTGCAGTGGCGCGATCTCAGCTCACTGTAACCTCTGCCTCCTGGGTTCAAGCAATTATCCTGCCTCAGCCTCCCGAGTAGCTGGGATTACAGGCGTGCACCACCACATCTGGCTGATTTTTGCATTTTTAATAGAGATGGGGTTTCATCAGGTGAAACCAGGCCAGGCTGGTCTTGAACTCCTGACCTCACGTGATCCACCTGCCTTGGCCTCCCAAAGTGCTGGGATTAAAAGGTGTGAGCTAATGCGCCTGGCCCTAGTTCCTTTCAAATACATGTTAGAACTTACACTGGAGAAAACCCTTACCAATGCAAACACTGTGGTAAAGCATTCATTTCTTCAACTTACCTTTGGACATATGAAATCAGAGCTCATGTTCTCGAGAAATCTCATGAATGTAAGGAATGTGGGAAAAGACGCAATTGTTCCAGTTTCCTTTGAAGACACAAAAAAATGCATAGTGCAGGAAACCTTCATGAATGTAAAAAATGTGGTGAAGTCTTTAGATGTCCCACGTCCCTTCAAGCACATGAAAGAACTCATATTGGAGAGAAACCCTACGAATGTAATACATGGGGCAGAACCTTTAATTATCTCAGTTCCTTTTGAAGACATGAAAAAACTCATACTGGAGGAAAATCCTATGAATGTAGAAGGTGTGGTAGGACCTTTGGGTCGTGCAGTTCCCTTGGAAGACATGAAAGGACTCACGCTAAACAAAAACCCTATGACTGTAAACAATGTGGGCAAGTCTTCAGTTTTTAAAATTACCTTTGACTACAGGAAAGAACTCATTTTGCCCAGTGCAGCCAGTACTTTGAAAGACTGAGGCAGGAGGATCATCTGAGTCCAGCAGTTTGAGACCAGCCTGGGCAACATAACAAGACCTTGTATCAAAAAAGAAAAAAGAAAAAAAATTAACTGGGTCGGGTGGTATGTGCTGGTAGTTTCAAGTACTCAGAAAACTGAGGCAGGAGGATTGCTTGAAGCTGAGAGATGGAGGTGACAGTGAGCAGTGAGCTGTGATCACATCACTGCACTCCAGCCTGGCCAACATAGCAAGACTCTGCCTCAAAAAAAAAAAAAAAAAAAGAAAGAAAAGAAAAAAGAAAGAAAGAACCTCATTTATACAGGAGAGAAATCCTGTGGATGTACAGAATGCATTCAATTTTCCCAGTTTTCTTTAAAGACATGAAAAGACCCACCCTGGAAAACAATTCAAAGAATATAAAAAGTGTAGTAAAGGCTTCAGATGTCCTGGTTCCATTCAAAATCATAAAAGGACTCACACTGGAGAAACCCCCCTAAATGTAAAACATATGGTAAAGCATTTAATGTTCTCAGTTGCTTTCCAACATGGGAAAGGGCTCTGGAGAAAAATCCTATGAATATACAGAATGTGGGGATGCTTTCCTTGCTGTCATCTCCATTCAAAGACACACCGCAATGCACGCTGGAGATGGACATTATAAAATAGAAGAATGAATGCTGGGTGGAAACCTTAGTAATATGGAAAATACAGGAAAGTTTTCCATTTTAATATTTACTTTAAAAATCATGTGAAAACTCCCACTGGAAAGAAATCCTGCAAATGTAAGTAATTTGGAAAACCTGATGTAAATTAATTATTGTAAAAGGCTAAAAACTCCACAAATGAATTATGATACAAAGTTATCAATATATGGTGTTTATCAGTGGCTCATTCTTAAAGAGGATTTCTGGAAGATGGATTTCTATTTTTTTTTTTTTTTTTTTGAGATGGAGTCTTGCTCTATTGCCCAGGCTGGAGAGCAGTGGAGCAATCTTGGCTCATTGCAACCTCTGCCTCCTGGGTTCAAGCTATTCTCCTGCCTTGGCCTCCAAGTAGCTGAGACTACAGGTGCCTGCCACCACGCCTGGCTGATTTTTGTATTGTTAGTAGAGATGGGGTTTCGCCAAGTTGGCCAGGCTGGTCTCGAACTCCTGATCTCAGGTGATCCGCCCACCTTGGCCTCTCAAAGGGCTGGGATTACAGGCGTGACTGAGCCACCCTGCTCAGCTGGATTTCTACTTCTTTTGCAAGGAAACATTGTGTTGAGAATTCTGTATGTACTCTTTAAGCCATGGTACCTGAGGCTTAATAGGAAGTGTTTTTATCCTAATACAGTTAAAAAGATTTTCTCTATCCATTTTAAAGTGTGTTGGATCTATAGGTGAATTGAAATTTATTTTTTATGCAGTGTTTAATTGTTCTGTGATTAATGGGCCATTGAAAAATGAGACTTTGTGAATTGAGATTTTCTTATTGGTGTTATGTGGCAAGTTCTGGATATTTCTAACCCAGTATGTATATTCCGTTTTCCTTTATTATGGGGAAAACTACTGCTTTGACATGACTCTTTATTCCATTTTCTTTGCTAATGAAGAGCTGGTGTCAATTTGTAAGTACGTCAAGTTTATCATACACCATTGTGTCATGGGAGTCATTTACATTTGTTGTCCTTTTTTTTGTCACTGTTTCTGAGTATTATTTGGATAGTTCATTTTGAATTAAAGACAGACCTGTGATATCACAATATTTTGTGTCTAATCTGATGGAGAAAGCATTTAGTCTCATGGTCAAGTATGATGTTAGCTGTGGTTTAAAAATAAATTCCTTAATTGAGTTTGAAAAAAAATAAGATTAGTCTGTAATTCCATTATATTTTTCTTTCCTCTTCCCTTCCTTTTCCTTCTCCTCTCTTACCTCTCCCTTCCTTCCTTCCTTCTTCCTTCATGATTTATATAAGATTGTGCTTGTCTTGTTTTGGCTTCAGGGTTAGGTTGATTTGAATCCCAGCACTTTGGGAGGCCGAGGCTGGTGGATCATGAGGTCAGGAGATTGAAACCATCCTGGCCAACATGGTGAAACTCCATCTCTACTAAAATACAAAAAATTAGTCAGGCGTGGTGGTGCTGTAGTCCCAGCTACTCAGGAAGCTGAGGCATGGGAATCGCTTGAACCCAGGAGGTGGAGGTTGCAGTGAGCCAAGATCACGCCACTGCACTCCAGCCTGGTGACAGAGAGAGCAAGACCTCGTCTCAAAAAAAAAAAAGAAAAATGAATCAGAAAGTTTTGTTACTCTGCTCACTGCAGTAAAACAAAGAATCTCTGCAGGCAGGAACTTCTTTTTGCTTACTGCTGTATCCCCAGCTCCTAAAACATAAAAGGAGTTCAATAAATAGTTACTGAGTAAAATGAATGAATCTTCCTCAAAACATTGGTAGGTTATACCAGATGTGAATGTGGTGCTCTTTCCTGTGAGTTTTTGATGTGTGTGTGTGTGTGTGTGTGTGTGTGTGTGTGTGTGTGTGTGTGTGGTGTTTTGCTACTTCTTCAAATACTTCTAGGGTTATGAATTTTTCTTTTTCTTTTTTTTTTTCCAGACAGAGTCTCACTCTGTCACCCAGGCTGGAGTGCAGTGGTGCCATCACGGCTCACTGCAACCTCCACCTCCCAGGTTCAAGCAATTCTGCTGCCTCAGCCTCCCGAGTAGCTGGGATTACAGACGTGCACCCCCACAACTTGGTTACTCATATTTTTCTGAAAAGTAATTGGTTTCACCTAGACTTTCAAATGTATTAACATAATGATACACACAGTCTTTCTTTTCATGTTTCTTATTTATTTATTTTAGGGACAGGGTCTTGCTCTGTCACCCAGGTTGGAGTGCAGTGGTACCATCATAGCTCACTGCAGCCTAGAACTCCTGGGCTCAAGTGATCCTCCCGCCTCAGCCTCCTGAGTACCCAGGACTACAGCCGCATGCTGCCACATCCAGCACTTTCTTATAATTTTAAAGTAGTATTCCCCTGTCTGGTTTTAGTTTTTATTTGTATCTTTTCTCTTTTGTTCTTGAGTAGACTTTTAAAGGATTGCTAATTTTATTGGCTTTTTAAAAGAAACAGATGTTTCTAAAACTCTGATTTCAGATAGAAGCAGAAGTTAATAAGAATTTTCTGGCCGGGTGCGGTAGCTCACGCCTGTAATCCCAGCACTTTGGGAGGCCGAGGCAGGTGGATCATGAGGTCAGGAGACTGAGACCATCCTCGCTAACATAGTGAAACCCCATCTCTACTAAAAATACAAAAAAAAAAAAAAAAAAGCCAGGTGTGGTGGCCTGCGCCTGTAGTCTCAGCTATTTGGGAGGCTGAGGCAGGAGAATGGCATGAACCTGGGAGGCGGAGCTTGCAGTGAGCCGAAGCTTGCAGTGAGCCGAAATCGCACCAGTGCACTCCAGTCTGGGCGAATTTTTTTTTTTTTTTTTTTTAATAGACAGGGTCTTGCTCTGTCACCCAGGCTAGAGTGCAGTGGTGTGATCACAGCTCACTGCCTCTTTGAACTCTTGGGCTCAAGACATCCTCCCACCAGGCCTCCCAAAGCACTGGGAATATAGGTATGAGCCACTGCACCTGGCCAGTAAAAGTTTTTATAATTACTTCAGTTGAATATTTAGATAATATATTTTTCTATCTTTTAGGTTTTTCTAATAATAAATTGAGGCTATACATTTTCCACTGAGAATTAATTTGATTACATCCTTAAGTTTTTAGATCCAGGACTCTAATTTTTATTTCTAATATCCTATAATTCCACTTGATATCTATCATTCAAAAGATCTTCTGATGGCTACCATTTCCCTTTTACTATGCTGTTTTGGATTTAGCTTTTTGGTAGCCAGACTTCAAGATAGCCCACATCCCTTAGGTAGTCATCTCCCACACTGGATCCAAGTTAGTCTGCATGATTAATACAAGATGGCAGAAATGATGACATGTGGCTTCTGAGGCTACCTCATAAAAGACCTGTGGCTTCGCGTGAACCCGGGGGGCGGAGCTTGCAGTGAGCCGAGATCGCGCCACTGCACTCCAGCCTGGGTGACAGAGCAAGACTCCGTCTCAAAAAAAACCCCAAAAAACCTGTGGCTTCTGCCTTGTCTTCTGTCCCTGGGATTACTCCCTCTGGGAGAAAGCAGGTGTCATGTCAAGGGGACACCCAAACAGCTCTGTGGAGAGTTCAGTGCCATGAGGAACTAAGATCTCCTCCCACAGCCGTGCAGCCGTGTCGGGAACTTGAGGGTGAATCCCCAAGCACAGTGAAATCTTCGGATGACAGCAGCCCCAGCAGCATCTTGATTGCCGCCTCGTGAGTGATCCTAAAACAGAAACTTTCAGCTAATTTGCCTCCTCATTTCTGACCCACACAAACTGAGATTCAAAAACGTGTTGCTTGTGTTAAGCCCTCAAGTTCTGGGGTAATTTGTTACACAACAATAGGTAAGTAATATAATTTTAAAATATTTTATCTCATTTCAATAGGATTTTGGAAGGGTGAGAAAGAAAATGTATGGGATGAGTCTGTCTTCCTAAACCAGAATCCCACTCTGTCTTTAGCTTAAAATATTTCCCATCACCAGGGTCTTAACTGTGTAAATAAAACATTGATATTCACAAAGAGAAAAAGACTGGGAGAAACAGATGTTCCTAAAGGGAAAGTGTTAATATTTAAATTCCACACAGCATTTTAACCCTTGTAGATTTGTATCTCTACTAGGGCACACAATTATTTATATCAGAACAAATAAACGTCAAGCACATTGACTTGAGTATAAACACAAGAACATTGAGGTCAACAGGTTGCTTGGCAACTAAAGAAAGAAGCAAAACAGTAGCTTCACTCAGACACCGTAACCATCATCTCATCCTGGATGCAATTGCTGTGGTTAACAGTTGAGTATTTAGTGGTGATGGGGAGTCAACTATCATGTTCTCTCTTGTTTTGTCCAGATCACGTTATTCTTATGTATAATATCTTGAATTAAAATGATTACTTTTATTCTGCTCCTTTAGTTGTTCTAAAACTTTGTTTTAGGAATTTTTCATCTTTCATTTTCTCCTTCATCTCACCTCCTTGATGACTCAGCCACTATTTTTTTTTTCTTTTTTTAGACAAGGTCTCACTCTGTCACCCAGACTGGAGTGCAGTGGCATGATCTTGGCTCACTGTAACCTCCACCTCCTGGGTTCAAGCAATTCTCCTGCCTCAGCTTCCTGAGTAGCTGGGACTACAGGTGTGTGACACAATGCCTGGCTAATTTTTTCGTATTTTTTGTTTTACTAGAGACAAGGTTTCACTATGTTGGCCAGGCTGATCTCGAACTCCTGACCTCAAGTGATCCGCCCGCCTTGGCCTCCCAAAGTGCTGGGATTACAGGCACGAGCCACCGCAGCCGGCCCCCTTGGCTACTATTATGTCTCCACTGTGCAGCCCATACAAAAATTTCTCGGCCCAAATTTTTCATCTACATCTGGGTTTGGATGTTTGGGAGGAAACCTCTGCTTTTCCTTTGTTTCTAGATAGACTTAAAAAAATTAATTCCACCTACTTTACATGTGTCTCACTGGGAAATGTGGCTACATGTATCTCTTTTCAAATGGAAACTGTTTCCTGCAAAATACTTGAAAAAGTTACATTGTAGAAAATTAGACTGTAATTATCTGTGCTGCCAAATTTGCACTAGACTTTAGTTGCAGTATTTCCTGCTTGTTGTAGTTTCACAAATGTACAACGTTGCATAACGGAACATCTGAGACCTACATGTAACCTTTTCCTGTTACTTCTGAGTGATTTACTTCAGCTGAAAATTTATGATGTGTGCTAAACAGGATAGTATAATTGCAGAACTCAAGAATTAGAATAGCGGCCAGGCGCAGTGGCTCACGCCTGTAATCCCAACACTTTGGGAGGCTGAGATGGGTGGATCACCTTAGGTCAGGAGTTCGAGACCAGCCTGGCCAAATGGCAAAACCCTGTCTCTACTAAAAATACAAAAATTAGCTGGGTGTGGTGGCGGGTGCCTGTAATCTCAGCTACTCCAGAGGCTGAGGCAGGGAGAATCACTTGAACCAGGGAGGCGGAGGTTGCAGTGAGCTGAGATCGTGCCATTGCACTCCAGCCTGGGCAACAGAGTGACACTCTCTGTCTTAAAAAATAAATAAATAAAAAGAATTAGAATAGTGTATTCCAGAATATTGAAATTTTAACACATTAGGTTAAAGTTAAGTAGAATTCTCACAATGCCATAAGCATAGCCTGTGTCCCCAGACATGAATGGATTCAAATCTTAGATGTGTGTATCAGCTGTTGGACACTTGACATGGTTTCCTCTGTACAAAGCAAATAGGGCCAGGCACGGTGGCTCATGCCTGTAATCCCAGCACTTTGGGGTGCTGGGGTGGGAGGATTGCTTGAGGTTGGGAGTTTGTGACCAGCTTGGGCAACATAGTGAGACTCTGTCTCTATATAAAAATAAAAGAATTAGCCAGGCATGGTGGCACGTGCCTGTGGTCCAAGCTACTTAGAAGGCTGAGGTGGGAGGATTGCTTGAGCCCAGGAATTCAAGGCTGTAGTGAACTATGATTGTGCCACTGCACTCTAGCCTGGGTAATAGAGTGAGACCCTATCTCAAAAAATGGGGGGCAAATAATAACTTACCTTACAGAGTTGTTTCAGAGTTAAATGTAGTAACATATTGGAGAGTAAGTGCTACAATTTAAGTGCTCAAAACCTGTTGATTTTATACACATGCACAATACTATGATAAAGTTTTCTAACTATACCTATTTCTAACAGGTTTATACTATTTATATTCTAATTCATGCCATTGCACTATTTAGATCACAAAATGTGTGTAAACTGCCAACTGTAAAATAATAACTTTAAAACTCCCATGCTTTGAAATTTTTAAATGATATCCTTTCAACTTTAAGTTACATCATAAGTAAGAGGGAAATATAGTTAGGACAGCCCTTAGAGAAATAGATGGGAAATGGAAATTCTGTACCCAAGATTAGCCGCAATTTATTAAACACACACACACACACACACACACACACACACGCATACATTTGACAAACTGGCAATGTACGTGTCTCAAACATTATCTAAGTTGCTTAAAACGTGGTGTTAATGAAATGAAGACTTGCAGCTTTTTGTAAGAAAAAAACTCAATTTCTTCTGGTGGCTGGGAAAGGAGCTCAAGAACTGTGGTTGAAGGAATAACCCACACCAGTACCACAGCTGAATAAACAAAGCAAATGCTTGTTCAATTACCAGTGAGTCAGTAGCTTTATATTCTCTTATAGAGGGCAGAAATACAATTTCTAAACATCTGCAACCTGGAATTAGTGCCTGTGACTTCAGCAATACCAAGGAGATGAATTGTAGGAATACAAATTGTTCTCATTTCTATATAAAGATAATATCTTTTAAGGCCAGGCAAGATGGTTCATGCTTGTAATTCCCGCACTTTGGGAGGCTGAGGTGGCTGAAACACTTGAGGCCAGGAGTTCAAGACCAGCCTGGCCAATATGGTGAAATCTCATCTTTACTAAAAATACAAAAATTAGCTGGGCATGGTGGTGTGCACCTGTAATCCCAGCTACTCAGGAAACTGAAGCACAAGAATCGCTTGAACCCTGGAGGTGGAGCTTGCAGTGAGCCGAGATTATGCCACTGCACTCCAGCCTGGGTGACAGCGAGACTCTGTCTCAAATAATAATAATAATACTAATAATTTTTAAAAACCCTACAAACTGAAAATTGCTTTTTAAAAATATCCTCTTTAGCTTGTATTATAACTCTCATCACAGGCTGACTGGGTAAATTATGAGCGAGACCAACAATTAGGGTTAAATATTGTACTATTATATTGCATATGTGGTTTCTTGCCTTATAATTCATATCATAATTCATACTTATAATTACTTAAAATAGTTTCCAAGACCTTCTCCTGCATTTGACATTAGAAACTTACCCTTGTAACTTCCCTGAGGCTCCTCCCCTCAGTGAGGTTAGTGTAGAAAGGAAGAGAAGAAGGAAGTTAATTGAAGGCAGGACCCACTCAATGAGTAGCCACTGAGATGGGAAGCCAGAGAAAGTCTAAATGGACTCTGAAGACATTTCCCTTTTTTCATTAATTCATCAAATATTTGTTGAGCACCTGCTAGATGCTAGATCCCAAGCTAGGTAAACAGTGAACAAAGTAGATATGACTCTGCCCTCATTTAATTTATATTCTAGTGGGGTAGATGGTAAATAAACAAGTATGACACACATAATTTCAAATTGTCCTCAGTGCAACAAAATGAATACGGTACTGTGTTAAAGAATAACAAGATGGATCAGGACAGGTGCTGTGGCTAACACCTGTAATACTGGCATTTTGGGAGGCTGAGGCAGGAGGATTAATTGAGCCTAGGAGTTTGAGACTAGTCTGGGCAACATGGGGAGACCCTCAACTCTACGAAAAACAATTCTAAAAAATTAACCAGGCATAGTGGTGTGCACTTGTAGTCCCAGCTACTTGGGAGGCTGAGGTGAGAGAATCATTTGAGCCCAGAAGCTCAATTTTACAGTGAGTTATAATTGCACCACAGCACTCCAGCCTGGGTGACAGAGCAAGATCCCATCTTAAAAAACCAAAACCAAAAAACAAAAAAAGCAACCCCATATTTTATCCTCTGATCCCCCAATAATTCAATAAGACTGTGGCTTTCTTCCTGAGTTCTAGCCACCCCATATTGCATAGGCCAGAGAGTGCTCTTAGAGGAAAAGCCACATAAGTGAAGCTTTTACCCAGTCTCTTCCTGCTTTTTTTAAAAAAGTCTAAAAATTAATAAAAAATCTTTTCTGTTTAAAGATGAGATCTTGCTAAGTTGGGCAGGTCAGAGCACAGTAGCTATTCACAGGTGTGATCACAGTGTACTATTTGAGCCTATTTTAGACATTTTGGAATTTCTTCTCTTCCCAACTCCTGGGCTCAAGCCATCCTTCTCCTTCAGCCTCCCAAGCAGCTGGGATTACAGGTGTGTGCCATTGCACAGTTCAGTTTTGACCTGATTTTAGTCACCCTCCAGTGCCTTCAAATCATTTTCAAAAACTATTTCAGCATTTATAGTTGTCGTTGAAAGGAAGCTCAGCTGATATAAGGTACTCCACTATTACCAACATGAAAACTCTGCAAGTAGTATTCTTGTTAGTGAGTATGGCAGGTGTGTTTGGTAGATGCTATGTGGTACCTGTTGGGAAGCTATTAACAGCACCTCACCGAATTGTCTCATTTATCCTTATTTTACCTCAAAGCAGGAAGAAAAGGAGAAGTATCACTCTTTTTGCTGCACAAATGTGAAAACTCACAATAAAGAGAAGGGAGAAAGGTATTTATCATTAGAGCATTTTAGTCAGGAGCTGGGATTAGACCCCAAGCCTTTATATTTATATTGTTCTTGTTGGACAAGGTTAAAATCTATAAAGCTGTTAAAGCTAATCAGATTTATATAAATGTGCATATCCTCAGTTACTGGAAATCCTCATTTCAGATTCTACATTTTGATCATTTAATTTAAACTACAAATGCGACTCAATTTTGCATTATTCATTAAGGAAAGTTTCTCAGCTGAAAAACTGTTAGAAAAGTATTAGTAAAGTAGTGGTTTTTTTTTTTTTTTTTTTTTTGAGACGGAGTCTCGCTCTGTTGCCCAGGCTGGAGTGCAGTGGCGCGATCTCTCAGCTCTCTGCAAGCTCTGCCTCCTGGGTTCACACCATTCTCCTGCCTCAGCCTCCCGAGTAGCTGGGACTACAGGAACCCACCACCACGCCCAGCTAATTTTTTTGTATTTTTAGTAGAGACAGGGTTTCACTGTGTTAGCCAGGATGGTTTCCATCTCCTGACCTCGTGATCCGCCTGCCTCGGCTTCCCAAAGTGCTGGGATTACAGGCGTGTAAAGTAGTGGTTTTTAAGGTAACATGTAAAAATCGATACTTTTCCAAGCTCACAATAGAAAATGAAAATATCAAGTAAGAGAGACAGCATTCCCTCAGTTACAACAACAAACCAGAAACATAAAATCCTTGAGAATTAATAAGGTAATATTCTAGAAATGTTGACTATTTTAATGCTTTAGAGCAAGCAATGTTTTGAAATATTGATACTATCTAAATTAACCAATAAATCAAAAGATATTCCAATCAATTGAAGGCAAGGAGGTGGGCAAGGAGACTTGATAGATTAGTTTACAGGTCATTAAGAGGTTCAAGAAGTAGCCAGGGCAATTTTAGAAATGAACAGAAAATATCAGTACCTTTATAATACATTTTACTATGTAGCACAATAAAAATAAAATGTGTTACAATATACAACAATGGTAAAACAGTGTGGCAACATAAAAGCTATAATGGTGAAAACAGTGGGGCAATAAAAAGAAAGAGACATCGTAATGGTATAGTGAGGACAGTATGTAGAAAAGTTTAATATGTAATAAAAGTATTTCAAATCAGTGTCACATGGTATTTCGACAAATAGACATTAAACAAAGCTGAATTTATACAAAATCTGTGCCAGCTATACAGAAAATGTAAACGCTGCAAATATAACTAAAAGGTATTAGAAGAAAACATGAATCAATATAGTTATAATTTTGGTATAATATCTTTCCAGTGTAACAGAAAAGCACATAAGCCTTTCTACTCTATTTGGAATGTAAACAAACTTTTAATCCAAAAAAAAAAAAAAAAAAGTGCTTGCTAGTTAAGGAAAAGTCTCAAGACAGAAGCACTTTTTTCCTCCCTCTTAACTATGAGTAAGCTCTTGACACCTGGAGAGAAAAAGCTAAGAATTCTACCAGAGCTCATAACTTAAACTTATAAACTTAACTAGGGCTTATAAACTTAAACTCTACTAGGGCTTATTTTACTACAGCTTATTAATCTCATCCTTGCCATATTTAAAATTCTGCCCTACTGAAAAGGAGGGAATACTAGAGTTAATGTTCAATTTCAAGAGATTCAAAATTTAAAAACTATGAAATAGACCTCAAAAAACAGTTATTCTATACTTTTTAAGGTGTGAATTTGAACATTGAACCTTCGCATGTAGGTAAAAGTCAGTTGTAATTAGATTTTTATTTTTTTCTTAAAAAAATCAGAATTAAATCTGACTGAGCTGAGATTTTTTTATTAGCCAAGTACCAAGACTGTATTATATTAATGAAGCACTAGAAGTTTGAGTCAAATAAGAAAAGGATTCATGGTTCTCAGCACAGAACAACACTGTACATGAGGACAAAAACGTCTTTGCTGATTGGATGGAGACAGAAGCCTGCATCAATTTCAGCAACTGAAAGATACAAAAACATTTCCTTGTTCAACAGGTCAGGGGACTGAGGGAACCCCAAGTCAAATGCCATTTATTTCCTCTTATCTTTAAGGAGTTATTATCCGAGCTCTTTCTGGTCCATGGAATTCTTCCAGTCACCTCTGTTCTGAATGACACAATCAGTGCACACTCACGAATATAATGTCAGGGCACAATAGCTGCTAGTGTGCTGAGCAGCCAGGCCCTGATTTGGGAATAAAATTTTCACTTGGTTCTTGACTTGAAAATTCATGTTCTAAACATGTCCCTAGATGGTCTCAGCATGATTCACCCCCATTGGTTAAAAATAGAAACCTCGCTGGAACAATAGGAGCTAGATTAAACAGCTTCTGTAAAATAAATAAATAAATAAACTAGAACTCAGATAAATCCATATATTTGGGTCTTTAAAAACTGTTAAATTAAAAAAAATCAAAAGTTGTTATTTCTGTCTTTATCCAGCTCTTCCTATTAGTCCACGAATTGAAGAAGTTCTTTATCAAGTTTCTAAGCTGGTTTGCCAGTTTTTCTTTTTATGGTCAGATGAGAAGAAATATAAATTTTTTTTTTCCAGCTGCAAATCTTTTTCAATTCTTTTGCAAATGACAGTCCAATGAATTTGAAACGAGCTAGGTAGAAGGGGTAATATTTGCATTTTGAATATCTCTTTCCAAAACAACTTCTCACAGTTAAGACTTTTTTTTTTTTTTTTTTTTTTTTTACTTCTTTGACAAGTTGAAATCAAAACCTGAGAGGCTCTAAGACTTCCCAGTTCCTAGTTTGGGCTTTGCTGGATGCTGAGCTATTTTTACCCCTGGCTTAGAGCCATCTGGTTTCCCTTTGAAGGTTCACGTTGGTGTTTTTCAGTGCAGCTGGTCACATGTGCTTTGCTTTCCCAAGTAAATGCTGGTGACCTGGGGAGGAATGTATCCAGACTCTCCTGGCATCTCCGTCCTCACCATATCCTTCCCTGGTCATTGATACCGTTCATTGTCATGGCTGAGTCCTGGGCTTAGTGGCCACGAACACTTCAACTCTTTCTTGCATCTAAGCATTGAAGCTTTTTCTGGTCTATGGGATTTAATAGAATATCAGTGCAGCAGACAGAGCCCGGGAGCTGGGGTTTGCAAACTCTCTGGTGAACCGACTGGCATGTACCCTGGCAATGTGGCCCAGCACTTTCTGCCACTTGGCTTTGCTGTTGAGAGCGTTGTGCCAGGTGAATGTTAAGGAACTGAGTGCCTTGTCACAGTAAAACTACGCTGTGGACAGGCAATTTGAAAAATGTATTTTCAAGGCTGACTTAGGGGAAAGAATAAATCATCTTACCATGTGACATTAGCCTTAGCCAGGGCTTGCTCTGCTGATGGCTGTAACTTAGCACTGCCAAGAAAGCCCTTCTAATGATCTGGACTTCCTTGTTTGTCTTTTTCTTTTTAAAATTGAGCCCGGAGCATTGACTGTCACCATTTGTAGAAGTGTAAGTTTCTTTGCCTTATCAACACCTTCCTTCAATTAATATTTATAGAGTGCCTGAAGGATCAATGTCGTACCCACACCTCTGACTTCTCACATTTACAATTGGTAGCAAGGAGGAACAGCAGCTGCCTTCATTTGTAGCAGCCCTTCTCTGCAAGATGAACAGCGGTCTTTTTATTCTGCCACACTGATTGATTTCCTAAAGGTCTTTTGGTGACAGTGTCTCCCGGAAGTACAGAAAAACCCCAATAATTGATATGGGATTATATAAATAAAAATAAGAGATTTTCACACCTGAAAAACGTTTCTCTGCATTATCACGTCTACCCCAAATCTTTGGTGTGCAGCTCCAGAATAGGGTAACCACATACAGAAAGCAGTGAGCTTCTACATGCCTGGAGATGGAGAAGGATGGGCTATGCCGTGTCCTATAAAGTTAACTTAATTACTGCAGGCCAGATTTTTCTCTTTAAGGAATTTTTTTTTTTTTTTTTTTTTGAGATGAGGTCTCACTCTGTCACCCTGGCTGGAGTGAAGTGGTACGATCATAGCTCACTGCAGCCTTGAACTCCTGAGCTAAAGCTATCCTCCCACTTCAGGCTCCAGAGTAGCTGGGACTATAGGTGTTCACCACCATACCTGGGCCAATTTTTAAATTTTTTGTAGAAATGTGGTCTTGCGGCCAGGCGCGGTGGCTCATGCCTGTAATCCCAGCACTTTGGGAGGCTGAATCAGGTGGATCATTTGAGGCCAGGAGTTTGAGACCAGTGTGGCCAACATGGGAAAACCCCCTCTCTACTAAAAATACAAAAATTAGCCGGGTATGGTGGTGCATGCCTGTAATCTCAGCTATTCGGGAAGTTGAGGCAGGAGAATCCCTTGGACCGGGGAGACAGAGGTTGCAGCGAGCTGAGATCACGCCACTGCACTCCAGCCTGGGCGACAGAGCAAGACTCGGTCTCAAAAAAAGAAAAAAAAGAAAAAGAAATGAAATGGGATATTACTATGTTGCCCTGGTCGGTCTCAAACTCCTGTCCTCAGGTGGTCCTCCTGCCTCTGCCTTCCAAAGTGCTGAGATTACAGGCATGAGCCACCGCACCTGGCCAAAAATGTTCTTAATATCAGTACAAGTTATTCCTTATTCCCTAGATATCTGCTATTACAAATGCTTCTACTACTTATTACAATACTACTTTCAAATACTAGCTAATGTTATTGACTCTGACCATGAGGCAAGCCCTGTGCTAAGCCACATACTGTATAGTGGTTAAGAACACAAGCAGCTGGCACAGTAGCTCACACCTGTAATCCCAGAACTTTAGGAGGCCAAGGCAGGAGGATCACTTGAGCTCAGGAGTTCAAGACCAGCCTGGGCAATATAGTGGGACCTCCATCTCTACAAAATATATTAAAATTAGCCAGGTAAAGTGGCATGTGTCTGTAGTCCCAGCCACTTGAGAGGCTGAGATGGGAGGATCACTTGAATCTGGGAGGTCAAGGCTGCAGCGAGCTGTGAACACAGGCTTTGGAACTGGACTATTGGTTCAAATCTCAGCTCTATCACTTATAGACTTAGGCAAGTCAACTAACCTCTCCATGCTTCAGCTTCTTCAACTGTTAAAAAGGGGCTAATAACTGATCTCCTAGGATTTATAGTGAGGACTAGATTCACTCCGGGATGTATAAACCAGTGGGTAGAGTTCTGGATACTTGTGAACTTGAATAGGAAAAATTAATTACATCTATGCTCATCAGTTTTTCAAAGTCATGGCATTGTTAAACCTGTCTCCAGTTCTCATTATGAAATGTATTTAAAAAGAAGAATCTTTATTACCGTATTACTTTTTATTCTTTTGGCAGCTGTCTCAGTATATTTGGTTATCCTATATGTTCTATTTTATGCATATAGAATTCTTATTCTGAGAAAGGGTGGAGATGCTCCACTAAATTGCAGAAAGGGCCTGTAGTGCAGAAAAATTAAAGAACCCTTGAGTGACAACATGTGCCAAGTACTTAGAACCATTCGTGGTACATAATAATCTTACTATCTGTGTTTTCTATTGTCTTAGTCTGTTTGAGCTTCTATAACAAAACATCATAGCCTGGGTAGCTTCCAGATTACAGAAATTTCTTTCTTGCAGTTATAGAGACTGGGAAGTCCAAGATCAAGGCGCTGGCAGATTTGGTGTCTGGGGAGGGCCTGTTGCCTGGTTCATAGACAACGTCTTCTCTCTGTGCCCTCACGTGGCAGAGGGGCCAGGGAGCTTTCTGGGGCCTCTTTCACTACAGGACTAATCCCATTCAGAACCTTCATGACCTAGTCACAGCCCCAAAGACCCTGCCTCCTAATATCATCAACTTGGGGGTTAAGATTTCAACCTATGAATTTTGGCAGTAGACAGACCGTCACAGCTATTGTTATTATCTCATTTTAGTCCTCATAATAACTGAAGAGGTGAATATAGCTATTATCATCTCACTAGGATATATGGTTATGAAGGCAGATATTTTTTCTGTTTTATTCATTGTGTATCCCTAGAACGCAAAATGTGCATGGCATATAGTAGATATTTAATAATATCTAATGAATGTCCACATCCCAATTTTGCAAAGAGGACACCATGACTTGAAGAGGTGGCGTATTATGCCATATTCAGTCACCCGGCATCCAAACCATCAAGCTCCATCAGTGTGGCTCCAGGACTGGAGACTGAACTTCATTCATTGTCTCCCAGTCATTTCATGACTCTTTCTCTCTCTCTATTTATTTATTTATTTATTATTTTTTGTGTGTAGCAACAGGGCCTTGTTATGTTGCCCAAGCTGGTCTAGAACTCCTGGCCTCACGTGATCCCTTCACCTTAGCCTCCCCAAGTACTGGGATTACAGGCTTGAGCCACTGTGCCTAGCCCATTTCACAATTCTTAGAGCAGCAATTTTTCCTAAGCTTAGAACTTGCATACTGGGGAAAACAAAGCCCGGTTTTGGCTGGGATTTCTTTCTTTCTTTTTTTTTTTTTCCTAGATAGAGTCTCACTCTGCTGCCTAGGCTAGAGTACAGTGGTGCGATCTTAGCTCACTTCAGCCTCCAACTCCTAGGCTCAATTGATCCTCCTACCTTAGCCGCCCAAGTAGCTGGGACCACAGGTGTACACCACCATGCCCAGCTGATTTATTTTTCTTTTTTTTTGAGATGGAGTGTCGCTCTGTCACACAGGCTGGAGTGCAGTGGCCTGATCTTGGCTCACTGCAAGCTCCGCCTCCAAGGTTCATGCCATTCTCCTGCCTCAGCCTCCTGAGTAGCTGGGACTACAGGCGCCTCCACCACGCCCGGCTAATTGTTTGTATTTTTAGTAGAGACGGGGTTTCACCGTGTTAGCCAGGATGGTCTCAATCTCCTGACCTTGTGATCCGCCTGCCTTGGCCTCCCAAACCGCTGGGATTACAGGTGTGAGCCACCGTGCCCGGCCCCTATTTTTCTTTTTTGTAGAGATGGGTCTTATTATGTTGTCCAGTCTGGTCTTGAACTCCTGGCTCAAGCAATCTGCCTGTCTCGACCTCCCAGAGTGTTAGAACTACAGGGGACTGCTTAATGAAACAATGGAGGCAGAAGGTGACTTTGAGATGATGTACAGAACTGAGCAACCCCAATCTCACCAGGTCTTATCAATAATTTAACACAAATAAAATCATATTAACACGTGGGTGCTCCTAGCTTTCCCCTCACACAGCTGCTAAAGGAAACTTTGTCTTCTTCAGCTTGGTTCTTGGGCTTCTATGGTGCAGGATCTGGGCTTGGAGAAACTGGAGAAGTGACAGAGTGTGGCTGTGCTCTAGAGAGCACTGAGTTTTACCCCTGGGAAAGGTCAAAGAGTAGAAATCAAAGGAAAGAGACAGCGGCGAAGAGAGACAAGACCCGCCAAGAGCGGGGTGTCAATGACAGCCAAAAGTAACAGAGAAAGGTTGGGGCCTGGCTGCCATTTTATGGAGAGTGGGTTTTTCAGATGGGGAGAGAGGGTTTTTCAAAGTTTTTTGTGCAAATCTTCTGATCCTTCCAGAGTCATGAGCTTTTATTTTTTATTTATTTTATTTTATTTTTTTAGAAAAGCAGGAAAAATGTTAATAACTTGAACTTGACAACCTCTGATCTAATGTTTCTTTTAATACTACTTCTTCAGAGCAGGAACCGCAAGACATCCAGCTTTTATATGGATAATAATATCCCATCTGTTTCAGCACCACACCATCTCCACCTGTACTTGATCTCTTCCTCCCACTTCTCCTTACCATGGTCAATTGCCTGCTAAGTTGATTGCAAGTCCTGGAGTGCAGGGCTCCTTATATAAATGGAACGTTTGTCACCTCCCTGGATCTGTGACTCATTTTGTCACATGGCCCTGAAGTGGCACAAAATGCATCTAATGTCTTTCCAAGTTTCCTCAGAAAAGCAGGTTTTTATCTTCTGTGAGTATCTGTACAGCTAAACACACACACACACACACACACACACACACACACACACACACGTCTACAAAAACAAGTTGTAGCTTACAGGTATAATGCAGTCTAAATAAATTCTCTAAAAATTTTCTGGCTAGGCATGGCTCATACCTGTAATCTCAGCACTTTGGGAAGCCAAGGTGGGTGGATCACCTGAGGCCAGGAGTTCGAGACCAGCCTGGCCAACATGGTGAAACCCTGTCTCTACTAAAAAATATAAAAATTAGCCGGGTGTGGTGGCACATGCTTGTAGTCCCAGCTACTCAGGAGGCTGAGGCAGGAGAATTGCTTGAACATGGGAGGTGGAGGTTGCAGTGAGCTGAGATCGCACCACTGCACTCCAGCCTGGGTGATGAGCAAGACCCTGTCTCAAAAACAAAAACAAAAAAATTTCTATTAAAAAATACCCTAATCTGAAGGATTTAGAATGACAGTGAAGGGTTTTGACTTTGACATGAGGCAGACCAGTTTGACTCCCAGCTCTGCCAATTATTCATCATCTAAATTTGGGCAATTAAAATAATTGCTCTAGCCTCAGTTTTCTCACCTATAAAATAGGAATAATAACATCCATCCCATGATGTCAACTGTGAGGACTGCATAAAATAATCCAGGAAGATGTGTATTGGGTGTTCTCTGTTACTGTTACTTAACATGGAACAATTTAGATGTTTGGAGCAGTAACATGAAAAGAGCTTTTCTCATTTGGTGTCTATTTTCATATCTAAAATTAACCTTTTTTTGTTCATTTTCCAGAACAATATGCCCCAAATATATATCCTAATTTCTATTTTTTTGCAGGAGAGGAAACTACATATATATTTGAGATGTCAGCTTTTCTTTCTGGTTTCTACCAGCCCCATTAAGGTTTCAAACCTTTTAGATCCAAGTCTTGGCCTGAGCTAGGGCTCTGGGAGTGAGGAACTGCCTATCTCCCCGGTGGGGAGGAAGCTTCTCCAAGCACCGCGCATTGTCAGAGTGGGCATGGGGCCTGAGCATGTCCTGTGCCATGCATAGCTCTGGGGGACACTCTGTCTGCCCCTGAATTGCCTCACTGTTACAGTTAAGAAGATGAACCTCGTCAGGGGCTATTACCAGTGCTGCCTTTTGTTCCAAACCACTGCAGAGGAACAAAAAAAAAACAAACAAAAAACTGCACTAGTTTTAAAAATTGGAAGTGGCAAAATAGGAGATGTAGGCTTGATGTAGATATTAAGTAATTATTCTAAATTAGTGAAAACTGACAACTGAACAACACTGATTATGAAACAAAGATTTTGGACCGCCCACCCTGAATAATGAAGAGTTATGTCAAGCAAAATTGATATGAAACGATGTGTAGTGATTTCAAGTTGACCCCCCTTCCACTGTTGATAAGTACTCGGTCACTTCGATAGTTTTATTTCTATTTTTTTCTTAAGAAGGCTTATTCTAAAGGTCCTCTTTTCACTATCATTGTAAAAAATAAAATAATAATTTTAATTATTTGACTTGGAAATAGTCTCTCTTTTTTCCCCTATAAGATTAATTGTCCTAAAATACCATTTTCCTGGCAAGCTAAAAAAAAAATCTTCAGTAACTTCTATTGATTTTAGAATCTGGTCCAAATTTCCCAGCCTGACAATCTAGGTCATTCCATGGCTGTCCAACCCTTCCCTACAGAAATGTTTTGTTCCAGCTGGCATCCTCGTTTTCCTTTAGACATATACAGCTCATTGCTGCCTCAAACCTTTTATTCATGATGCATCCCAAAAGGAATGCTCTCCTCCAGGGTACCTTCTCGGCCCATTTCTCTCCTTAAACTAGTTTCCTTTTCTTCAATTCCTGTTGATCTCTCACACGTATCTTCTCCAGAGTCACTAACTGACTCCTTTACATAGAGACATTCAGTGCGTGACTGGGGAATATAAGTAATGGGCCTCCCTTGGGAACTTCAATAGAGCAGTTTCCCTTACTGAGGTATAGAGGGCACCGAAAGAATAATTTGGGTGAATAAAATATGTATTTTTTTTTGTTTTTGAGAGAGAGTCTGTCTCTGTTGTCCTATCTCAGCCCACTGCAACTTCTGCCTTCTGGGTTCAAGCTATCCTCCTGCCTCAGCCTCCTGAGTAGCTGGGACCACAGGCGTGCATCACCACACCCGGCTAATTTTCTGTATTTTAGTATAGATGGGGTTTCTCCATGTTGCCCAGGCTGGTCTCGAACCCCTGGCCTCAAGTGATCCACCTGCGTTGGCCTCCCAAAGTGCTGGGATTACAGACATAAGCTACAATGCCTAGCCACAATATGTGTTTTTATAAATGGCAGTGTCAACATTTAAATACCCCCTCAGAATTTATGTCCTGAATTTACTGAACTGTAGCCAAATGTAAGTCATAATACAGTTAACTGAAGATATATCATCTCTCTCTCTCTCTTTTTTTCCCAGACCACCATGCTGGGCTAATTTTTGTATTTTTTTGTAGAGACGGGGTTTTGCCATGTTGCTCAGGCTGATCTTGAACTCCTAGGCTCAAGCAATCCACCTGCCTCAGCCTCCCAAAGTGCTGGGATTACAGATGTGAGTCACCATGCCAGCCTAAAATTCCCATCTAGGAAGATAAAATATTGATATGGTTTGGCTCTGTGTGCCCAATCAAATCTCATGTTGAAATGTAATCCCCAGTGTTGGTGGAGGAACCTGGTGGGAGGTGATTGGATCATGGGGTGGATTTTCCCCTTGCTGTTCTCATGACAGTGAGTGAGTTCTCATGAGAGCTGATTGTTTAAAAGTGTGTAGCACCTACCCCTTCACCCTCTTCCTCCTGCTCTGGCCATGTAAGACATGCCTGCTTCCCCTTCACCCTCTGCCATGATTGTAAGTTTTCTGAGGTCTCCTCAGCCATGCCTCCTGTATAGCCTGTAGAACTGTGAGCCAATTAAAACTCTTCGTTATATATTACTCAGTCTCAGGTATTTCTTTATAGCAGTGTAAGAACAGACTAATACAAACATTCAAATATGTTTCAAGGAAAAATATGTCTTTGACACAGATTTCTAAAGCATCATATTACATTTACAAATTGGTTCTTTCACAAATAGAAGTTATAAACTGCTTCTTGCATGTAACTTGTGAAGAGAAAACACACACTGCTTGTCTACAGATGGTGTATGAGATTTGAATTTGGCTTCACTTAAGCAAGGCAAGTAAAAAACCTTTCCATCATCCGACAACTAGAAGGGCAGGGCTATGTATCTAAGAGTACTTTCACAAGAATAATCCTATTGCTTTTCTTTTCTTTTATTTTTTGATATGGAGTGTCACTCTTGTCACCCAGGCTGGAGTGCAGTGGCATGATCTCAGCTCACTGCAACCTCCACCTCCCAGGTTCAAGTGATTCTCCTGCCTCAGCCTCCTGGGTAGCTGGGATGACAGGCACACGAAACCATGTCCAGCTAATTTTTATAGTTTTAGTAGAGATGGGTTTCACCACATTGGCCAGGCTGGTCTCAAACTCCTGACTTCAAGTAATCCACCTACCTTGGCCTCGCAAAGTGTTGGGATTACAGGAGTCAGCCACCATGCCTGACCCCTATTGCTTTTCAACAGAGAAGCTTGACTGTGCTGTGTTATGTTACACAGAGAAGGAAGAAGAACCAAGCCTCAGTGGAGACCTCATTATCTGTCAGCCACTGTGCTCAGTGCTTTGAAGTGTCGTCTCATTTAATGATCATAACATCCCTGTTCAATGGGTGTTATTATTTCCTCTGTTACGGTTGAGGAAATTGCAATTATAGATCAGTCCAAGAGTGGGATTCTTTATTTCAGTTCAAGGTAAACAAAATCATGATTTCCCATGGTAGTTGGAATGCCCGCTCTTTTGGGAGAAGTATATATAGTGAGGCATGAAAGTAAGTTTGAGGTTGCCAAGGCTCTAAATAGATGACACATGCTCATAATAGGCGATGGCACCCGGAACAACAGCATATGGTTGTGCAGCTTGTGTACTGCACAGGGTACTGCAGTCATGGCGTAAGCATCACACATTTGTATTTTTATTATGACACATTCCTGGCAGATGTCAGTGAAGTGTCTTGCTCTAATCGAAGCAGCATAGCATAAGAATTTTCCAACAAATGGAAGGAAAACATCTTGAGGAAGAGTGCCTTTTCCTAATTAGTGCCAAGGCAGCAACTGCTTGGACCAGGCATGGCGGCCACCCTGAAATCGTGACCTACCCCATGCCTCTCTTAGCTGGTCTGCATTTAACTCACTTTCCTGCCACTGTATCAATGTGGTGAAATTTGCAAGGTTACTATTACATGTGACTACTTTAGACTTTTCCTTTAATATGGTTTTATTTAAAAATAAAAGCAATTGTGGTTAGAAGTCAGGAGAGCTGACATGACTACTTGGGAGCTAAATCAATCTTTACCGAAAACAATTTTTTACCCTTTATTTTTAAATACAGGGTCTTGTTATGTCATCCAGCCTGGGATGCAATGGTATGGTCACAGCTCACTGCAGCCTCGAACTCTTGAGCTCAAGTAATCCTCCTGCCTCAGCCTCGCAAGTAGTTGAGGCTACAGGCATGCACCACCACACCCGGCTATTTATTTATTTATTTTTGGTAAAGATGGGCTCTCCCTATGTTGCCCAGGTTGGTCTTGGACTCCTGGTCTCTAGGGAACCTCCCATCCTGGCCTCCCAAAGTGCTGGGATTACAGGTGTGAGCCACTGTGTCCAGCCAAATAAACAACTTTTATATATCTTGATTTCTTAAAATTTTGTAAATTCTGGGATTAGCATAGAAGCTTTTCTAGCGTGTATAAATGGCAGATGCTAATGACAAGGATGCTCTTTGTTTTGGAATATCTGCCCTTAATTTTTAGGATATTGACTTCATCAGTGAAGCCTTTCCCTTGCATCACCTTCTTGGCACTTCAGAACTTTCTGGCTCACAGTTCTTCCCCCTTTTATGAAAATGATCACTTACATACATGCGTGGGTACAGCAGCAGGATTCTCCCACAGAACCCTGACCAGGACTCACAGATCCAGGCTCAGACTCCTCCCCAGGCTGAAGTAATGAGCTTTTCTCTTTGACAAATTTGAAATATGGAACAGAGAGACTCAAAGCCTGACAGAGGACAGAGCTGAGTCACGTTAAAGGCAGCGAGCGCCGTACAGGAAAGAGCTGCTGAAAACTTAACTTTTCCTACTCAAGTCTTGAGTGTTCAAATCTTCCACTGATTCCTTGAGATACACCAGTATCCTTCATATGCATGTCTACATACAACTCCATACGTATATATCATCTGTTTAAAATAGACTTTATTTTTTGGAGCAGTTTTAGATTTACAGAAAAATTGAGAAGATAGTACAGAGAGGTCCCATGTGCTCTGCTCCTAGTTCCCCTTACTATAAACATATTGCTGTGGTGCATTTGTTATAATTAATGAATCAGCGCTGGTGCATTGTTAGCAACTAAAGTCCATACATTATTCACATTTTCTCAGATAGTTTTTTTTTTTTTTTTTTTTTTTTTTTTTTTTTTTTTAAAGACAGAGTCTTACTCTGTTGCCCAGGCTGGAGTGCAGTGGCACGATCTCAGCTCACTGCAGGTTCTGCCTCCTGGGTTCAAGCGATTCTTCTGCCTCAACCTCCTGAGTAGCTGGGATTACAGGCGTGCCACCATGCCCGGCTAATTTTTGTAATTTTAGTAGATATGGGGTTTCACCACGTTGGCCAGGCTGGTCTCGAATGTCTGACCTCAAGTGATCTACCTGCCTCGTCCTCCCAAAGTCCTCGGATTACAGGCGTGAGCCACCATGTCCGGCCACATTTTCTCAGTTTTTATGTGATATCCTTTTACTGTTTCAGGATCCCATCCAGGGTACCACATTACATTTACTTGTCATGTCTCTTTAAACTATGGCAGTCTCTCAGCTATGTCCATCTCAGACTTTCCTTGTTTCTGATTACCTTGGCAATTTTGAGGAGTACTGGTCAAGCCTATTGTAAAATGCCCCTTGATTGGCATTTGTCTGATGTTTTTCTCATGACTGGGGATAGGGGTTTAGGGGAGGAAGGCCATGCACACAGGCAACATGACTTCTCATCACTGTTGATGTTGACCTTGATCAGCTGGTTGAGATAGTGCTGGTCAGGTTTTTCCACTGTAAAGTTACTCTCCCCGCCCCACCTTTCTGTGTTATACTCTTGGAAGGAGGTCACTATGGGCAGCCACACTTAAGGGATGGGGAGGTATTCTTCACCTCTCTGAGGATGGAGTATTTACATAAATGATTTAAAATTCTTCTGCATGGGTGATTTGTCTCTTCTCTCAGCAACATACATATTTTTAATTTATATTACCTTGAAACAGTTCCTGTAGCTTTCAACAACTAAAAGAAGCCCTTAAAAACCATCCAGTTCAGGAGACGCAAACTCAAATGTCTGCAGTGGCCAGGAGGGAAGTGGGAGGATGAGTGAGGCCAGTGGGCAGGGTGCGCCACAGACTGCAAAGCACATGCCAGCTCGAAAAGGGGGCACAACGCTCTGCTTCAGGTAAACACTGCCACACGGAGGTGTGGGTCAACCTTCCCTCCCTCCCTCTCTTCCTTCCTTCCCTCCTTCCTCCCTCCTTCCCTCCCTCCTTCTTTCCCTCTCTTTCCTTCCTTCCTTTTTTCCTTTCTCCCTCTCTCCCTCCCCCCTCCTTCTTTCTTTTCCCTCCCTCCCTTCCTTCCTTTCTCCCTTCCTCCCTCCCTCCCTTCCTTCCTTCCATCCTTCCTTCCTTCCTTCCCTCCTTCTCTTTGTTTTTCTCTCTCTCTCTTTCTGTCTTTCTTTCACAGGGTCTCCAGGCTGTCACCCAGGCTGGAGTGCAGTTGTGCAATCACAGCTTGCTGCAGCCTTAAACTCCTGGGCTCAAGCAATCTTTCTGTCCCAGCCTACCAGGTAGCTGGTTCTACAGGTGTGTACCACCACACCTGGCTAATTTTTATATTTTTTGTAGATATTGGGTCTTGCTATGTTGCTCAGGGTGGCCTTAAACTCTCAGCCTCAAGAGATTCTCCTGCCTTGGCTTCCCAAAGTGCTGGGATTACAGGTGTGAGCCACTGTGTCCGGCCTTTTTTCTTAAAAATAGAAACTTGTGAGTTGAACTTTTCCAAGAAATCTCCTGATTTTGAAATGTTGGCAACAAATCAAAATTTCTACAAACTTTGTGCTCACCCTGAATAACTTCAGTTTGTAACTTCTTGGGTGGATTAATCACTGCACATAAATTATTAATAAGGAAATGGCCTCAGAAAAGTAAATGAGATGTCCAAGCTCACACCACTAGCTTTAGTGTCTAAGGTAGAATTGTCATTCAGTGTTCCAATCTTACTGAACATGCTTCTTCTTTGGAGATTCTTCAACACTTTGCGATTGTTCTCAAAATCGTTTGGACTTCATTCTAGATTCTCTGCCTTTAGTGAACATACGCGGAAGCTAGAACTCCTGCAACACCAGCTCTTTCATCAAGCCCACTCCAGGAGGCGGTGCCATTAATCCTATTCAGAAACTATCTGCCTTGTTTTCTTTTGTTTCCTGCTGCATTCTACAGTTCATTTGCTTGTATAATCCTTATGTTACACTGGAGATGGACAGGGCCTGAGGCAAATGCCTGTTTTGACAATGATTGCAAATGCACAAATCAGAATTCTGTGAACTCTGAGAGGCTATGGATTTTGGCCTAAACATGTTTGTATTCTTTCCCACCAATCCAGAACCCACCACACTACCTGGCACATAGTAGGTGCTCAGTAAATGTTTGTTGAATGAATGACAGTTATTAATGACTTAAGATGAAGTATCGTAATGCATAATAATATTGATAGAACCTAAGAAAAATCAAATAGTGTGGAAATTAGAATATTTAGCATTTGCTAACAGGAGCCAGCCATTCTAAACAGCATGGAAGCTCTTAGTTTACAAGGTTATTCCGTGCTAGGCACAGTGGCTCATGCCTGTAATCCCAGCATTTTGGGAGGCCAAGGCGGGAGGACTACTTGAGCCCAGGAGTTCAAGACCAGCCTGGGCAACATGGCAAAACCCTGTCTCTACCAAAAAAAAATAAAAAAAATAAAAAAAAAAAAATTAGCCAGGTATAGTGGCACACACCTGCAGTCCTAGCTACTTTGGAGGCTGAGGTGGGAAGATCAACAGAACCCAGGAAGTTCAGGCTGCGGTGAGCCAAGATTGTGCCACTGTACTCCAACCTGGGGGACCGAGCAGACCCTGTCTCAAAAAAAGTTATTATTTGGTTGTTTACAGAGCATAATTAGAGCCTTAAATTATAAATTTCATAAATCGTTCTTCTCTGCGGGGATATTAACCTCTTTAGTCAATTCTTCAGCTATATTATGTATATCTTACATTCTTAAATTTGTCACTATTTAGGATATCTCTGTCTTTTTGTTTCCTTTTTTTTTATTTTATCTTTCTGAGACAGAGTCTTGCTCTGTCGCCCAGTCTGGAGTGCAGTGGTGTAATCTAGGCTCACTGCAACATCTGCCTCCCAGGTTCAAGAGATTCTCCTGCCTCAGCTTCCTGAGTAGCTGGGATTACAGGTGTGTGTCACCACGCCCAGCTAATTTTTGTATTATTTGTAGAAACGGGGTTTCACCATGTTGATCAGGCTGGTCTCCAACTCCTGACCTCAAGTGATCTTCCTGCCTCGGCCTCCCAAAGTGCTGGGATTACAGGCATAAGCCATCAGACCCAGCCTGGCTTTATTTTTTTAATTGTAGAATTTGCACTCATATGTATCAGAGAGTTAACTATTAAGTTCCTTTGTTTTCTGCTCATATACCAGGGACAGGGAATTTTTGGATAAAGGTGCTAGACAGGAGAAAGCTGTGAGTTAAGAAAATAGACACAATTAAGTGAAAGAGTCCCATCTTCTAAAGTAACATCTTTGCTGGAAGTGAAGCCTGGGTCCTGGAAACATCCCCTCTGTGTGCACATCCTCAAACTGCCCCTCCTGCTGTGGGGGTGCTGTTTTCTATGTTGCTGTAGCTCATCCTTGCAAGTTTCCTAATCTTCAACGTGGAACAAGGAGTTACTTAGTTTTCAAGTGGCGAGATAAGGAAGCTTCTGCTTTCCAGGTCAGCACAAATTAATTAATGCTGGCATAGTTTCTAGGATAACATAAGTGGTGCAAGAGTCACTTTGCTTGCGATGCTCCCTTGGGAGATCAACATGGTAAGTACAAAGATGACTGAGCTTAATTAAATCTAAATTCTGAATGACTCATCTCACTATGTATTTTTTTCTCAACGTTTCCATCACTGGCCTTCTTTCTGAATATAAAATGCTTATTCCAATTATACGTGTTACAAAGTGTTCACGTATTTTGTTCTTAATGAGTATGGCTAAAAAGTGTTGAGACTGGTTTTTTTGGTACAAGGTAGAAGTGTTCTCAATTTATAATCATGCTGAGAGGTGAAGCCAGCTGGACTTCCTGGATCAACTTGGAGAACTTTTGTCTTACAGGAGGATTGTAAAACGCACCAATCAGCACCCTGTAGCTAGGATTGTAAAATGCACCAATTAGCGCTCTGTAGCTAGCAAGAGGATTGTAAAATGCACGAATCAGTGCTCTGTAAAACACACCAATCAGCACTCTGTAAAATGCACCAATCAGTGCTCTGTAAAACACAACCAATCAGCAGGAGTCTAAAAGTAGCCAATCGTGGGGAGGACTGAAAAAAGGGCACTCTGATAGGACAGAAACAGAACATGCGAGGGGACAAAAAAGGGAATAAAGGCTGGCCATCCCAGCCAGCAGCGACAATCAGCTCAGGTACCCTTTCACGCTGTGGAAGCTTTGTTCTTTCGCTCTTCACAATAAATCTTGCTGCTGCTCACTCTTTGTGTCCGTGCCATCTTTAAGAGCTGTTAATAAGGACCATCTCCATTCTTGAAGTCAGCCAGACCGTAAACCTGCTGGAAGGAACCAATTCTGGACACAATGCCAGAAAAAAAATTGATCTTTTTTTTAAAAAAGCTAAATGCAAGTTAAAAAATTATTTTATAATCCCAACTTCAAACACTATAGATAAAAGAGTATTTTAAAAGTATCCAAACTGGTTCAACTTAAAGCTTTCTAGACATGGGCAAGAGGGAGGACGGAGCATTAGTTGACATGAGAATCTCAGTGTTTGTGTGTGTGTGTGTGTGTGTGTGTGTATTAACACATCTATGCATTCTATTTAATTTTTTAATTTTTGTAGAGATGGGGTCTTGCTATGTTGCCCATGTTGGTCTTGAATTCTTGGGTTCAAGCAATCCTCCTACCTCAGCCTTCCAAATTGCTGGGATCACATGTATGAGCCACCATGCTCAGCTATATGTATATTTCAATCAAATGGACATATATATTACCGGACACAACTTGTTTGAATAATCAAAGACTAAATCACAAACAGGCAGAGGCTCCTCAGGTTAGCATACCAGCATTTACGTAATTATCAGTCTCTTTATTGTGTTTTATTTAAGAAGTTCTTGACTATGTTACTGTAACACATATGGTCACATACTATGCTGGGGACCACATATAAATTGGTATAGAGGTATTCATGAGGTCGCTAGCAATCCAACTTCAGACACCCACACATCATGCTGTCATTCACACCCGTATGCCTCAGAATTATTAGATCACTCTCAGTTTACATACAGAAGTCCTTGAGTATGCAGCCAATTGCAAACCACATGGAAAATCAATCTTGAAGGGTTGCCAAATAGAAAAAAATAAATATAATGGATCACAGTCACTGCTAATACTTTAGATAAATGTTTCTTGCTCAGGTACAACTGGTTGATGAAAACTCTTTCATTTTAAAATGAGTTCCAAATGAGTTAGTTCAGTAAATCTTCACTAGATTCTTGCTATGTCTCCAACCTGTAAGCCACTGGGGATCCCATAGTGAATAAGTCAAAGCCCCTGACATTGTGGGGACAGTTTTATTTATAAGCAAGATCAAACCTGTAATTTTAGCTAAGAGAAAAATATTTTAGGTTGATGCAAAATTAATTAAGGGTTTTGCCATTACTTTTAAATGGCAAAACCCGCAATTGCTTTTGCACCAACCAAATATATTCCCCACACTTATAGACTTAGAATTCCAATGAGTCTATCAGATCAGTGCAGGGTAAAGTGGTTTATAGCTTTTTCCCAAAAATACCTGAGGGTCCTCTACCATCACCAACAGGATCACTGCTGTAATGAGGTAGATCCAGGTGTGTGCATTTGGGGAGAGCCTGTTAAGAAGCATTGAATTAGCATCTCAGTGCTTGTATAATTTGAAAAGGCTCTTCAGGTAATTTTAATACTGTTGCAAATTAATGGTATAAGGAAATTAGTTTTTTCTTATGTTTGAAACTATTAATATGATTGTTCCTGCATATGCACATGTTTATGGTATTTTTAATGGTATATAATTGAAAGTTGCTGGATTCTGGGTGATTCGTGATGGTACCATGGTGGCAACGAGTTCGTGTGACAGCGCAACAGGAGGAGATGCAGGCATGAAGACAGAACATGGGAGAGTGGAGCAGGAACCTGAGCTGGGAAGAACTGGCTGTGTGTTAGGCCATTTTTGCACTACTTAAAGGAATACCTGAGACTGGATCATTTATAAAGAAAAGAGTCAGGCACAGTGGCTCACACCTGTAATCCCAGCACTTTGGGAGGCCGATGTGGGCTGCTCACCTGAGGCCAGGAGTTCGAGACCAGCCTGGCCAACATGGTGAAACCCCGTCTCTACCAAAAATACAACAATTAGCCGGGTGTGGTGGCAGGTGCCTGTAATCCTAGCTACTTGGGAGGCTGAGGTAGGAGAATTGCTTGAACCCAGGAGGCAGAGGTTGCAGTGAGCCGAGATTGTGCTACTGCACTCCAGCCTGGGTGACAGAGCAAGACTCCGTTTAAAAAAAAAAAAAAAAAAGGTTTAATTGGCATTGGCTCCCAGTTCTGCAGGCTGGATGAGCATGGCGCCAGCATCTGCTCAGTTTCTGGGGCGGCCTCCGGGAGCTTTTATTCATGGCAGAAGGGGAAAGGGGATCAGGCATATCATGTGATGACAGCTGGAGCCAACCCTGGAGCCAATCCCCAGGGAGGGGATGTGCCACACACTTTACTCAACCAGATCTCCAAAGAACGCACTGACTGTCAGAAGGATGGCACCAAGCCACGAGGGATCCGCCCCCACGACCCAAACACCTCCCACCAGGCCCCACCTCCAACACTGGGGACCACAATTCAATGTGAGATTTTCAGGGGAAAACATCCAAATGATATCAGGTTGTTAATGATAAAGTTCAACAGCCAAACACCATCAGAGACAAACCTGCAGTCTAACTTGGTTGGGTTTATGAGCTTGTAACAAGGGGGAGTGCTCCAAGGAACCCACAGAGGGTCTCACCAAGGGAAAAAGTAGCCTTCTTGTAGGAACTGGGAGAAGGAATTGGAAGGAAACAGTGTTGTGATAGACTGAAAGCAGAGCAAGGCTGTGAGTAGCATTTTTTTTTTTTTTTGAGATGGAGTCTCACTCTGTTGCCCAGGCTGGAGTAGAGTGGTGGGATCTTGGCTCACTGCAACCTCCACATCTCGGGTTCAAGCAATTCTCCTGCCTCAGCCTCCTGAGTAGCTGGGACTACAGGCACCTGCCACCACGCTCAGCTAATTTTTGTATTTTTAGTAGAGATGGGGTTTCACGATGTTGGCCGGGCTGGTCTTGAACTCCTGACCTCAGGTGATGTGAGTAGTATCTTCTTAACATTTAGTAATATTTTTATTAACATGAGTTCTGGTGTGACAGATTCAGAGTTCTGTTTCCTTGGAGACCATAAAGTTAAATGTGGAATGCTGGGTCCCCACATCTCTGAACTGAAGGCTGGAAATAAAGACTGCTTCCTTGGGTCAAGTGATCCTCAGGCTTGAATCATCCAGGCAAGAGTGGGTGTTCCATTCTCATTGATCATCAAATAGCAGTTTCTGACTAGTTTTAGAGTTTTCCAATTTTCTTAGTCCGTGTCCTTGGTGTTAATTAACAAGAGCAGTTTTTACAGATTCACATCAATATAGAAAAATGTAAAAAGAAAGTTTTGACTGAAGCAGGAAGAGACAATAGATGTGAAATTCTTTTTTGTTGTTGTTGTCTTTTTTTTTTTGAGACAGGGTCTCACTCTGTTGCCCAGGCTGGAGTGCAATGGCGTGATCATAGCTCACTGCAGCCTCAACCTCCTGGGCTTAAACAATCCTCCTGCCTCAGCCTCCTGAATAGCTGAGACTACAGGTGTGCACTACCACACCAAGATAATTAATAGGTGTGACATTCCAAAATAAGTTGTCAGAGCAAGAAGCAAATCTTAAAAGGAAATATCCTAGCCCCTTGGTGACTCTTAAAAGTGCCTCACCCAAAATAGGATCATAAAAGGGCAGAGGAAGTGGAGTTCAGGAAAGAATCTATGAAGATGTTTTCTCTGAAGAAAGCAATTCTGTTACTCCTGCTTCTTTGAGACCTTTCTCCTTAAACTCACTAGAGAGGCAGTGTCAGTGAGGCAGACCATGAAGGCAACTTGATTTGTGTCCCCTGGTATTTGGAGACAAATCTCAAGTGGAGAGGCTGAAGATACTGGCTTGAGGCAGCAGTGGGGCAGTGGTGGAGAGAGAGAACACTGAAGACCAGTCTGCACACAGCCAGCTGCACTTTTACCAACCATGGGCGTAAAGTATGGATGAATGTCTGAAGGACCAGATAACAGCTGTTTGTTAAGAGACAGCTGGGCTGAAGGAGTTTAAATCCTGCCTACAAGGATCACCTGGAGCAGCCTAGCGACCATTTCCCTTCTTCCCCTGCAACAGGAGACTATAAAGTGACTGGCAGGGAATGAGAAAGCGAGGGGAAGTGTTAGAGAAAATTGCATTGCTCAGGTCAAGAGAAGTGGAGTTGGATGTTTCAAGTACAGGTCTCTAAGAACCCAAGAAAAGACCCAAGAAGGAAGCGCACATTTTAGTCATTGTCCAGGCTTGGAGAGCAACCCCTGCTAGCAATGCACCAGTTAAGCATGAACTTGCTAGTCCTGGACTCTTCCCCCTTCTTTTTGCAACCTGAATTTGAAGGGGATTCTAGGGGGATAGAGAGAAGGATCCTTTCCCCCTTTTTGGAGTTCCATAGCTTGGCTGCATGGGACCCTTTCTGGGGAAGCAGAGGGAAAGTTTAACTGTGAATGAAGCTTGAAAGTGTTGATCAATGGCATTTACATTAAAATTAAAGCTGTATATTGTGATTTAAACTGACCAAATGATTTTTATTACCTGTGAGCAATCAGAAAAATTTCGGGATCACCCAAGTTTTCATCCAGGGGTGGGGACAGATGTCCTCATACGGAATGCCTGTGGAAGGGATGGTGGCAGATCGAGGTTTGCCATCTGCTTCCCTTCACGCCTCTGTCCTGCTTGTTCTGCAAGCTGGTCTCATCTGAGCCCAGAGCAGCAGGCTAGTTCACTGACACTCATAGATTTGGCAGGAGCATTTGCTCTTTGAATACATTGATGTCAGGAGGTACACTTCAGATAGGGAAACAGGAAATTACTAGAAGACCTGAACAAGAATGGCAACTTGAAACTGGAACACACAAGGGTACTGGGTGTCTGGAAGCCAACTGAAGTAGAAAGATTTCCAGAGAATGTGGGAAATTACCATCCAAGCCTTCGGCCTTGGCCTCTAGGTCTCCAGTTTACTATAAACAGCAGGTGAAGACTTTCAGTAACTAGAAAGGAAGCCTCATTGACTGGCGATTGAAAATGTCAGGGGTGCAATGAATGCGTGTCTGGTAATCTGCCCAGTGTGTCTTCTCTGGGAAACCTCTGCTCATAAACAGGGATGGGCCCTGGCAGCCATACTGGTCCCCTGCAGCCCCCATCATCTATGATTAGGGTTAGGGTTAGGCAGGTGATTTAGTCCTTGTGGGTGCAGCTCTGGAACATCATTTCTCTGACACTGGGACATAGGAGCCAGGGGCTGGTTATCAGAATAGGAGAATAGAGCACAGGTGTAGAGAGAGCACCTGCTATGGAAAAAAATTCCATTGAGTTCCTCCTGGCTTTTCAGGTCTGCGATCTGGGTCTTCCTGAGGACTAACTTATTTTTGCCTTTGGGTTCTATTATACATCTATCTAATCTATCAATCAACGATCTATTATCTATCTATCAACTATCTATTATCTATCATCTATCTATCAACTATCTATTATCTATCATCTCTCTCTCTCTCTCTATCTATCTATCATCTATTTTAGAGACAGGGTCTTACTCTGTTGCCCAGGCTGGAACGCAGTGGCAAAATCTCTGTTCACTGCAGCCTAGAACTCCTGGCCTCAAGCAATCCTCCCACCTCAGCCTCCCGAGTAGCTAGGACTACAGCTGCACACCACCAAACCTGGCTAATTTTTAAATTTTTTGTAAAGATGTCTTGCTATGTTGCTCAGGCTGGTGTTGATTTCCTGGCCTCAAGTAATCTTTCCACCTTGGCCTCCAAAGTTGTTGAGATTATGGGCATGGGCTACTGTATGCAGCCTCTTCTGTCTATCTAATGAATTTCTGTCCTCTATTAGGGTGAAGAGATAGCTTTTCAGTGGCTTTGAAGCATTGTGCCAAATATTTCAAAGATCACATTTTAAAATCTACTTTTTGATTTATTTAGTTGCTGCAAATTTTGACTTATCTGTCACTAATCAGCTGGATGTACTGAGATACTTTGACATTTCCTAATGTCTGGTGCTTTCTCTTTCTGGCCCTCCATAGTGAGGGCTGGATCTCTTCCCTTATAGGTATCTGCTAATGCTGGAGGCTCAACTGATAAAGTAAAGATAGCCATCCCAAGAAGCAGGCGGAAAGGCTGGGGCTAATAGAACAGATCTCTACTCCAGGGGCTTCAATTCTGCCCTAGTTCTGGTCAAATAGGATTAATACTGCTCACCGTTACTATCCTAAAAGGGCTGTCATGGTTGAAAGTGGGCATTTACTATTTTCAGTGTCTTTTGTTGCTGGAATAAAGGAGATGATAATATGAAACAAAAATCAGGTTGCTTCTCCTCATATTTTGCTCAGCTCCCAAGCATTCAGAATGTCGTTACTAATTAGACATTTGTTTCAACATTCTGGGGCCATCCAGGCTAGGCAATCTTGTGATGTGGGGAAAGTTGACTGGTTATGCAATGGCTTTGCATTAGATCCCCTGCTCCCTTGCAGGCGCTGAATGCTCTTCTGTTGTTCTCTGGATCTAGAACCCTGTCCCTTTTCTCTGGGATGGCTCCTACTGATGTTTCAGCTTATTCCTCATTTGCTGCAGGACAGTCTCCTTGGCCCCATAGTACTCTTGATTTCCCCATCACCTGTGCAGTAATAGTTTCTCTATAGATCCACCAGTCTTGTCTTATTCATTGTTATATCCACAGATCTAACCTATTTCTAGTAAACAGTAGGTTCTTCCTAGATCCATTCCTGATGATTGGCTTAATGAATGAATGCTCATTTTACTGGTGACTCTGAAAAAGGAAAAAAAAAAATAATGATTTTACTCCACTATCAGCAACTCGATGTTGCCCGTCAGGAATCCTTGTAACAAAATACAAAGTTACCATTGCCTACGAGGTCCTCACCTCCTTCTCCAACCTGTCTAGTAGCACTCTCCTTATGCACCATGATACCCATGCTGGCTTTCTCTCTGTTCCTGCTATACATCACTTTTCTTCCTACTTCAAGTCCTTTGTTCTTGCTATTTTATCTGCCCTGGAGTTTTGCTAAGTTGGTGTTTTCTTATTTAGGTGGTGCCTCAAATCTTAGAGCATTTCTCTTAGATCATTTCTCCTTAAAGCATTTTTCTCCTTTCCCAAAATTAAGTGTGTCTCCCATCCCTCTGGTCACTGTTTTCTTCTTTGCCCTGATCCCGGTCTGGAAGTTTATCTTTTTATTGGATCATTGTCCATCTTCTGATAAAAACAGCTGCAAGTCTGTCTTGTTCAAGGCTATACTCTGAGTGCTTAGTAGAAAGCCTCGTTCATTGCAGTATCTAGTATTTGATGATTAATATTGATTACGTTTGATGAGTAAATGAATAAAAGAATAATCTTAGACATACATTATTTAATCCCAGTGAAAGAATGTTAGTGATGGAATTTCAGGTGTTATTGTAGAAGAAACTTTTGAAGGGTATTCCCTACAGTTTGTTCATACTAGGCTAAGTTCCTCTTCTTTTCCTTACACAATGTAAAAATATTAGATCTCAAAACTATTTGCTCAAAGTACTTACTTTAGGACACGTATTTTTAGACTACAGTTTAGAATTACAGTTATTATTAGAAAGGTTTGGTAAAAACTCTTTTTGTTAGGCAATAAGGTTATTCTGTCCTCCAAAGACCTTTACTTTATTCTCAGGAAGTAAGAGAGAAAAAAGAATTTCTTGTCTTCTTTCTATCAGGTGTTTTGCCCTTACTTCTCTTTAAGTTTATGTTTACCTTAACATTCCTTTCCTTCCTCAGGTTTGCTTTTTGTCTATCTCCATTTTTCACTATTACGTAATTCACGGAGTTGCTGGGGGGAAGTGCTTAATTTCAAATAGCCTGTTTTAGAACTTTGCGAGAATGACAAGAACAAACAGAATGTTAAGGCAGCTAGAGAGAGTTAAGTGAGAGTGGTCCCTAGGTGAGAAATGCTTCTTGCCTTCTAGGCTGACACCAGTTCTGGGGGATGTGTTCTGAGAGCTCATATTAACTGCAGGTCATTGATCCTTATCTCAATCCCCTTCCTCTCCCTTCAGCTTTCCATTCAAAGTCTCTATCACATCTTGAAGTGTTGTCACATTATTTTTTTTCTGATGATTCCCTCCATCAGCTGAGCTTTCCAATTTATATTACCTGATTTTTTTTTGTCTTCTGCTTTTTACTACCCCTTTTTCTAAAGCTTTATTGATTGTGTACTTTGGATTCTAATTCTTCCTATAAGAGTCTTCCTGTAATTCTGTTTGCAGTGTAGTGCTGTCCACATTATGTGTTGGTTACATGATAGGAAGGAGTATGGGGGCACCTCGGTCACATATGTAAAGTTCTTTAAGAGAGCTGAAGGGCGCTGATACCAGTTCATGTTTTTTCGGGGTAGCCCTCAGATATTAAGCATGTTTACTGTATTTTCTTCTATTGTGAAAGAATCAGTTCTCTGGATTTCCTTAAAGTTTGTCTTTACCATTCTCCGCACCCTACTCATTTTTCTATTTAAGAATTTTTTTTTCTAATCATGTAGTACATGTTCAATATGGAACACAAAAAGGTAATAAGAAAAAGTCACCTACAGTGTCGCCAAAGGTGAAAACACCTTATGTCTTTTTTCGTGCATAACAATATCCCTCTCAATCTTATGCAGCATTTTTAAACCTAGGAGACTTGTCTGAATCCAAAGGAAGTTAAAGATTACGTTATTCACCAAGTTCATACTGAAATCAGAGAATCGCAGCGGCTTAAGAAAACTCGCATCTGGCGAATGAACCTGCGTATCCGGGGTTCTCCTCAGGGAGGTTGCTCGTCCATGAAACACACTCCAGTCTGCAGCCACCTGGGAGTGGGAACCAAGGGCGAGCGAACCGGGCGGGCAGGGGTGGAACTTGCGGGGACTGCGGGTATGAGGAGGAGCTACAGAGCTGTCACCAATCAGAGCCCAGCTTTGTTTTCTCTTGCCGACCAATGAGGGAGTTCTGCTGGAGAGGCGTCTTCAAGTCTGAGACGCCTATCGCCTTCGCAGCCTATCAGCAGGCCCCTCTTACCCGCGGGCGGTGCAGCCCCGCCCCGCCCCTCCAACCGCGGTCCCGCCCCTCCGAGGGTGGGGGCCGTGTTGGTTACTAGCCGGGCTGGAGGCGGGGGCCGGGCTCCCACTGGGCTCGTGCGTTCTGCGCCCGCCGCGGCGGTGCCGAGCCCGCTGGCTCCCGATTGTCCTCTGCGGCGGTGGCGGTCGCTGCCTCCTTGCCTCCGGGCCCGGGGCTGCAGGGGCCAGAGCGAGTGCGCCTCCTGCCCGCGGACCGCGGCAGCCCAGAGCAGGTAATGGGGCGCCTCTGGGGAGCGCCTGTCGGAGCCCAGGGCTAGGCTCGGGCGGTGGGGTCGGCCCCCGAAGCTGCTCCCTGCGCCGGCGACCGGGCCGAGCGGTGCCGCGGTCCTCCGGAGCCTCCTGCCGGCCTCTAGGCGCCTCAGCCTGGGAGCCCGCGGCGGGCACCTTGTGAGGAGGTGGGGGCGGGGCCGGGGCAGGGGCGGGGCCGCCTCGGGCGGGACCCTGAGGACCCCTGGAGACCCCTGTTGACGCGCGGGACTCCGGGCGGGGGCGGCGGCGGGGCAGACCCAGAGCGGGGAGAACCGACAGGTGGAGGAAAAACTGCGGAGTTGAGTCAGAGTCCGGCTCCCCGGGGAAAAGAACCGACTGAAAGGGAGCGATAAGCTGGCTGGCTTCTTTTTTTTCTTTCCCTAAGCCAGAAAGGCGTCTTCACTTGGGTCGTGTTAATTACATGTTTTCTGAGAACAGGCGTTTGGCCGTGTAATCTACACGATAGCATTATTTATTTACTTATTTGCTATTTAAAAAATTAAAAGCAGCATTTAGCGTGAATCTATTTGGGGGCTTTTTCTTAAGTGACAGGTAGACCCAGCCGAGTAACTCAGCTTTGTCTGGGCTGAAGTGGGGAGCGGTGAGGTAGGAATGAGGGGGAGGAGTGTTCGTGAGGAATGCCTGTGCAGGTTTGAAAGGATTGTGGGGGTGGGACCTTGTTTCTGTCACTGTGCCATGGGTGGGAGTAGAATTGTGATTTTTTTCTTTTTCTAATTTTTAAAAGCAATATTCACATTTAAAAAAGGGGGGGCTCTCTAAAAACAGTCTCTGTACTCGAGGCTTTGGGGATGCACCTGCTAGTCAGGCAGTAATAGTTTGCAGGTAAATCCTGGGCTATTAATTACGTAATTTGATTTACTTATAAAGAAGTATCTTGAATTGTTGCTGCCTTTCCTTTGACTTGCTCAATATATTGCTTGTTTACAAGTGAATTGATGAAGGTCACTGAGTTTTAGCGGTAATGTCACAGCGATGGCCCTTGGAGAGTTTTCTATGCTCAGGTTCACTCTGGTTCTATAAAAACAGTATTTCCATTTAATCGTGAAGCTCATAGCACTCTATCAATTATATAGTATGCCATCCTCCTACTCTTCTGAGGCAGGCTGTGCATAGCATGTCCATTTTACAGGTATGTCAACTGAAAGCCCTAGAAATGAAAGGAATCCTGCCCCACTTTACTCCTACTTTATTTTATACCTATAATGGATTTAATCCAAAATCTGGGTAAGATTCCCGCCATCAAGCCAACTTCTGCATACCAATTTGATCCCGTATACACAGGTCAGAGGTGGAGATGGTTATTTTCAAGTAAAGAAATATTATCTGCGAGGTTTTTCTTTCCATTCAGGTTGCTTAGCTAGTTTGAATTTCAGGTGAAAGGTAATTTTCCACACAGGCAAAACAAACAAAAGTTAGGAATGCTGTGTGAAAATCTCTATTTTAAATTTTGGGAAGCTTTCCAAATTAGAGAACCTTATTTGTGTTTGCATCTCTAGCTCAGCATTGAATTTCGGTACCTTTTTTTGAATTGAATAGAAATAATTGATATGCAGAAGGAAAATACTAATGAAGTGTAATGCATTTTGATCATGACTTATGACTTTGTTTCGGGAAGTGTTTACTGTAAATTTATAGACGGATTGAAGAATAATTTCTTAATTAGAATAACTTGACCAAAGGAGTTTGGGCATTAGTGTGGGACAGGCTGAAATGGGTAGTTGGGAGTAGCCGCTTGTATGATGTTAAGGCTTAGGGAATTCTAGAGAATCGTTAGGTTTTGTTAAATTTACTAGTTATCAGGAACATGAAAATGTCTTATGGATTACTGAATGGAACTCTTTTTTTTTTTTTTTCTGAGGTGGAGTCTCACTCTGTTGTCCAGGCTGGAGTGCTGTGGCTCACTGTGATCTCTGCCTCCCTGGTTCAAGTGATTCTCCTGCCTCAGCCTCTTGAGTAGCTGGGACTACAGGCGCATGCCACCACGCCCAGCTATTTTTTTTTTTTTAATATTTTTGTAGAGATGGGGTTTCACTATGTTGGCCAGGCTGGTCTCGAACTCCTGACCTCAAGTGATCTGCCTGCCTTGGCCTCCCAAAGTGCTGGGATTACAGGCGTGAGCCATTGCACCCAGCCTGAATGTAACTGTTCTAATCATGAAGTTATCTCTTGTTTTGTGGCTAATACCTCTGTTTCACATGTACATTTTAACATATTCATGTAACATATAAGGCAACTCTTCTTACACAAGGCTGTCACTCTAGCCCAGCATTTATTTACTTATTTATGTTTTAGTGGCTTTATTTAACTTTTACTCTCCTGTCAAAATTTCTAGCACCCAAGCAAAAATTTCCATAAAGGAACTTTTATCATCTGTTGATTATACAGAAAATGAATCATTTATTCTCATAAGCCCAGCCCTCTTGCATTGTGGGACACTGGAAAGATATTTTGGCTGTTTGTAAAGTATTTGCTTGTATTCTTACCTGAAGCTTTGACTTCTCCCCCTCCCCCAATGGTTTTCAGAGTTTCTGTGACTTTTTTCTTTAAATTAATTATGACACTACCTGACTTCCACTAGATGGTGCACTGGGGGGCGCTTACTGGAGATTTCAAACAGATTTTTGTTTTTCCTTGTTATAAACATTTCACTGACAAAGATACAAAGGTACTGCAGCTGTTTCTCTCCTAATTGCAATTCAGACAAAATTGTAATGAATGACTTAAGTCTTGAGTTTTGGCCAGGCATGGTGGCTCACGCCTGTAATCCCAGCACTTTGGGAGGCCGAGGCGGGCGGATCACAAGGTCAGGAGATTGAGACCATCCTGGCTAACACGGTGAAACCCTGTCTCTACTAAAAAATAGAAAAAATTAGCCGGGCGTGGTGGTGGGCGCCTGTAATCCCAGCTACTCGGGAGGCTGAGGCAGGAGAATTGGCCTGAACCCAAGAGGCAGAGCTTGCAGTAAGCTGAGATCGTGCCACTGCACTCCAGCCTGGGCCACAGAGCGAGACTCCGTCTCAAAAAAAAAAAAAAAAAGTCTTGAATTTTGTTAAATGAGATACATTCGGAAGGAAAGGGTATTCCTTCATTTTGAATTTAAAGTGAAGGAAATTGTTAGTCAGGCTTGCTCTCTGAAGATACTGTGTTTTTTACAAACTGAAGGTTCGTTGGCAACCCTGCAAGTCGATTGGTGCTATTTTTCCAATAGTGTATGTTCATTTTGTGTGTCTCTGTCATATTTTGGTAATTCTCACAATATTGCAAACTTTTCATTGTTATTCTGTCTGTTATGGTGATCTCTGGTCAGTGATCTTTGATGTTACGATTCTAATTGTTTTGGGGCTCCATGAACTGCACCTATATAATATGGTGAACTTAACTGATAAATGTTACATATGTTCTGATATCTCCACCAACTGGCCATTCCCCAACTCTCTTCCTCTCCCCAGGCCTCCCTATTCCCTGAGACACAACAATATTGAAATTAGGCCAATTAATAACTCTACATTGGCATCTAAGTATTCAAGTGAATGGAGAGTCGCGTGTCTCCCACTTTAAATCAAAAAGCTACAAATGAGTGAGCTTAGTGAGGAGGTCATGACAAAAGCTGAAACAGGCCAAAAGCTAGGCCTCTTGCACCAAACAAGCGAGCTCTGAATGCAAAGGAAAGGTTCTTGAAAGAAACTAAAAGTGCTACTCTGCTGAACGTCCAAATGATAAGAAAGTGAAACAGCCTTATTGCTAATATAGAGAAGGTTTTAGTGGTCTGGATAGAAGATCAGACCAGCCACAACATTCCCTTAAGCCAGCAGAGCAAAACCCTCTCTTCAATTCGATGAAGGCTGAGAGAGGTAAGGAAGTTACAGAAGAAAAGTTGGAAGCTAGAAGAGGTTGGTTCATGAGGTTTAAGGAAAGAAGCTGCTTCCCTAATGTAAAAGTGCAAGGTGAAGCAGCAAATGCTGATATAGAAGCTGTAGCATGTTATCCAGAATATCTAGCTAAGATCACTGATGAAGGTGGCTACACTGAACAACAGATTTTCAGTGTAGATGAAACAGCCTTATATTGGAAGAAGATGCCGTCTCGGACTTTCTTAGCTAGAAGGAAGTCAGTGCTTCACCTCAAAGGCCAGGCTGACTCTTTTGTTTGGAGCTAGTGCAGCTGGTGACTTTAAGTTGAAGCCACTGCTCATCTACCATTCCAAAAATTGTTAAGCGTCATGCAAAATCTACTCTGCCTGTGCTCTATAAATGGAGCGACAAAGCCTGGATGACAGTACATCTGTTTATGGCGTGGTTTACTGAATCTGTTAAGCTCACTGTCGAGACCCACTGCTCAGAAGAAAGGGTACCATTGAACAAGTGCTGCTCATTGACAATGCACCTGGTCACCCAAGAGCTCTGATGGAGATGTACAAGGAAATTAATGTTTTCATACCTGCTAACACAACATCCACTCTGTACCCATGGATCTAGGAGTCATTTCAACTTTCAAGAGTTATTATTTAAGAAGCACATCTTGTAAAGCTATAGCTGCCATAGATAGTGATTGTTCTGATGGATCTTGGCTAAGTAAATTGAAAACCTGGAAAGGATTCACAATTCTAGATGCCATTAAGGGCATTTGTGATTCAAAGGAGGAGGTCAAAATGTCACCATTAACAGGAATTTAGAAGAAGTTGATTCCAGCTCTCATGGATGACTTTGAGGGGTTCAAGACTTCAGTGGAAGAAGTACCTGCAGATGTGGTGGAAATAGTATACTGAGAACTAGAATTAGAAGTAGACCCTGAAAATATGACTGAATTGCTGCAATCTTATTATCAAACTCGAATGGATGAAGAGTTGCTTCTTCTGAATGAGCAAAGAAAGTGGCTTCTTGAGAGAGAGTCTATTCTTGGTGAAGATGCTGTGAGCATTGTTGAAATGACAATGAACGATTTACAATATTCTGTAAACTTGGTTAATAAAGCAGTGGCAGGGTATGATAGGATTGACTTCAATTGTGAATGAGGTTCTACTGTGGGTGAAATGCTACCAAAAGAGAGATCTTTTCTGAAAGGCAGAGTGAGTTGATGTGGCAAACTTCATTTTTTTTATTTTTTTGAGACGGAGTCTCGCTCTGTTGCCCAGGCTGGAGTGCAATGGCACGATCTTGGCTCACTGCAACCTCCGCCTCCCAGGTTTAAGAGATTCTCCTGTCTCAGCCTCCTGAGTAGCTGGGATTACAGGTGCACACTGCCACAGCTGGCTAATTTTTTATATTTTAGTAGAGATGGGGTTTCACTCTGTTGACCAGGCTGGTCTTGAACTCCTGAGCTCACGCAGTCCACCCACCTCAGCCTCCCAAAGTGTTAGGATTACAGGCGTGAGCCACAGCGCCCGGCCTTATTGTTTTCTTATTTTAAGAAATTGCCACAGCCATCCATCTTTCAGCAGCCAGCACCTTGTTCAGTCAGCAGCCATCAACATCAAGGCAAAATCCTCCACCAGCAAAAAGATTATGACTCCCTGAAGGCTCGGATGATCACTAGCATTTTAAAAAAATTATAAAGCATTTTAAAATTAAGAGCTAATGCTATTGCCAACATAATAGACTACAGTATACTGTAAATATAACTTCTATATGCACTTGGAAAGCAGAAACATTTCTGTTACCTTATTGCAGTGTTAGTTTTACTAAGGTGGTCTGGAATGGAACATGTGATATCTTCAAGGTATGCCTACGATTTCAGAAATAACCTCTCCTATTGAACCCTCTGATTCTTCCTGTGTTCAGAAACCCAGACCAAAGTGTAGATTTATTGGTCTTTATTTATGAGTAGTTGAATTTTTTTAATGTCTTGTGTTTTGTTTAAATTTTATGTAAACTGCGGCTTAGCTCTTTCAGCATAGTCTTATGCTTTGCTTTCTTAGATTACTGAGTCTTTAAAAGAACTGGTAAAGTGCATATGTGTGGAAAGATTATTTGCTACCTACTATGAACAGATACTTAAGTAAAAAAACAAAAACAAAAAAACCCAAGATGTTTTTTCCAGGCATATAAATGTTTTTTTCTTGAAGAGGCATTTAGTCTTTCTATTTACTAGAACATTATCAGCTTGCTTTACTTATGAAAGAGAGGAGACCATTCTTTTCTCTGTGAATTTAGGAGCTATTTGTCAGGCTTGTTTATTACTGATTGGGTTGCTTGTTACTGATTGTTAGAGAAGGGAGATGAAAATACATAGCAGTTGCGATATCCATTTTGGGTATAGAACTGGCAATGTTAGTGGAGATTAAAGACTAGCTGGTACGACTGCATTTTGCAAGATATTTTGAAGACAACTTTGGACTTTGAAAATGCAGGATAGGAATCTAAGTGAGAAAGTCTTTCAGTGGTTGGGGTGTGTGTGTGTTCACTTCAGTTGCACTGAACTGTGGGTGGGGAGGAGAGCAATAGTAAATTGTTTCTTACCAGAACACTGCCAGTTCTTAGGGGATTTGGTGGAGATTTGGGAGAGAGAAAATAAATAGGATTCAGCCCTTCTAGGAAGGTCATTCTTGGCAGTGCCTTCAGCCCTTAGGAGAGCGTGGGCATGGAAAAGGTGGGTGGTTGTAAGTAGCCAGGCAGATTAAAAGGCTGCTTCCTAGAGTTTTCTTTACCTTTGATGACCTTAATCAGGTCATTAAGCATTTTAAGACAGGTTTATAGCTCTCCTGTGGTCCAAGCTTGGACTAAGTACTCCTTAATCTTCAATTTTATGTTTTAAATTTTTGGAATAAGTAGAAACCTGAAATTTATAAAATTAATGACTTGAGTATGCGAGTGAATAGCTTCAGAGAGTTATTTGGCTTATGGAAGATTTCAGATTATGGTAGGTGCTTGAATATACTTATTTCTCATACTCTTTCTTCCATCCCTTTAACAACAAAAAAAGGCCTTATTAGAAATAGGCAAACTTGAATACACATAGAGCTGTACTGCTCAAATTGAGTACTTGAGTTGGGGAGAAAAGTCTCCCGGTCTAGATATAGCTTTGAAAAGAGAAGGATCAGGTAGGATGCCGTACACGGCAGGTGTGTGCAGGGACAGGGATAACGTTAACCCCTTTTGCTGTGAATATTGTCAGAGGGTCTGATGTGTAATTAGGCATTCCTTAGCTTCACTCCTGATAAAAACACACTCTTGGACAGTTTCTCTGTATGTGCACTTAAAGCAGTTTGAATCTTGTTAATCAAATATTTCTCGGGGTTGTAACTTCTTTTTTTGGCATTGGGAAGACTGTTGAAGTCATGTTGTAAAAATTTGGAGTTGAGCCTGGGATCAAAATTTGGAGTTATGGCCCAAGATTTATCAAGCTTCTGCTGATATTCAAAATATTGTTTTTTTCTCTTCCTATTATGGCTTCTGATTACTTCTGAAGAGTGAGTTCAGACCTCTGTGCTCTAACGCTCATCAGAGTACCCTTTTTGTACATAGTATAATCAGGATAGAGATTAGGCATTTTGTCAAGTTTGGGAGAAAGAAGTTGAGCAGTGAGGAAATGAACTAACACTGTTTTCGTTTCTTCATAGTCATTTTAAATAGGATACAAATTTTATATTTTAGAAGTTTCAAAATGGTAGTAATTTCACCTTTCACATTATGCTTAGTATGAAAAATTTCTACCAGTGGTTCTCAAACTTTAGCATACCTTGGGATCACACGGAGGGCTTGTGAAACCTTAGGCAGCTGCCTTCCAGCCCCAGAATTTCTGATCAGTCGGTCTGGGAGGGGAGGTCCTGGCGATTTGCATTTCTAATAAGTTCTAAGGCCATGTGCTACAGCCACTGCAGGGGCCAGCCACTCTAGGGGGAAACGTAAGTGTAGTGGTTAACACTTTGAAAGACCTGGGTTTGAATCTCTGCTCTGCTGCTTTCTAGTACTTTGACTTTAGGCAAGTTTCTTAACCTCTGTTGTTCCGTCTCTAAAGTGGAAATAATATAGTATTTTGTTGTGAATGTAAGTGGGCTCCAATGTGTAGAAGCTCAGGGAACAGGGCCTTGCAGATTGCAAGCATGCAATAAATGTTTTCTTTTATCCATAAAAACAGTACGTATATAAAATAAATAGGATCCTGCATCTTATACAATTGAAGCAAAGACAGAAAATTTAATACTTAACCTCATTTCCTGGCACTGTGCTGGGGAAAAAATATGATTACTCAATTACTTTTTAAGGAGTGAAGGAAAAGTTTGTGGATCCTAGTAATTTTCCAGAAACATTTTTTAGAGGCATAGCACATTCATATCGATGCTGCCTCCTCCCTCTTCCCCTTCAAAAAGTTTGCATTCTTTAATCACCGTATGTTGGACTCTCACAATAACCCTTATAGTTTACATTTTATATAACAGGTATTTTGAAGGTTGCTTCTGGGAGCTGAATGACAGGAAGTACCTGAAAGTCATCTTTAGAACACACTGTCGCCTGTACTATGACAACTTTGTATTTGATGACCTTGAACGCAGTTCTTCTCGAGACGGAGTCTTGCTCTGTCCCCCAGGCTGGAGTGCAGTGGTGTGATCTCAGCTCACTGCAGGTTCCACCTCCCGGCTTCACGCCATTCTCCTGCCTCAGCCTCCAGTTTAAAACATATTTAAACTGGACTACAGGCACCCGGCTAATTTTTTTGTATTTTTAGTAGAGACAGGGTTTCACTGTGTTAGCCAGGATTGTCTGGATCTCCTGATCTCATGATCCGCCCGCCTCGGCCTCCCAAAGTGCTGGTATTACAGGCGTGAGCCACCACGCCCAGCCCTTGAACGCAATTCTTTGGGATCTCATCTCTCGGCTTGCTGAATGCCTGGTTCATTTTCTTTCTGCAGACCTGCGGGATCTCACCTCTGGCTATCCTTTCATTAGTGAAACCCTCTTTCCATCACTTTCTGTCACTATCACTGTCTTACTTGTTAGCTGTTAACACTCTCTTATCATTATCTTATTTGTTTCCTTTTTATTGTTTCCTTCACTAGGACATAAACCCTATGAGGGTAAGGGCTTGATCTTTTGCTACTCGGTCGCTAGGATGGGATGCAGTTCCTGGTATGTAGAGACTGAATACCTGCTGGTTGGGTGAAGGGACCTGTGACGCGGAGCTGCCCCGCTCCGCTCCCTCCCCAGCTCAGGGGCTCGGACTGGAGTTAGCACTCACTTCATGGCACACTGTCATGATTGGTCCGTGTAGAGTCTCCCACCTTATTTTATTGTATCTTTCCCCTTCATCACCTATCCCCATTCATGTTCTTCCTTGCCCCCAGGGGACCCTCTCTCTGGCATATGCATAATTCCCTTAAGTACGACCAGATTGTTATCTCATTGACACTTTCACCAGCTGTTGCTCCCTGCATTCTTGCTGGCATGTGGCATTTTCTGACCTTATAATTTTTTCCAATCTGATGCAACAGATGGAGCAATCCAGCACAAAGTGATATGTTATTGTTCTTATTTGCAGCTATCTGATTACTAATGCAGTGGAATATCCTATCGTATACTGTGTGTGTTTTTCCTCGGTTGAGTTCGCCATTTATATATCCTTTGCCTCTTTTTCTGTTAGCTTTTCATATCTGTTTCCCATTTTTCTGCCCTAATTTATAGCAGTTTTCTTCTTTTTTCAGTCTCTCGTTGGATTTTAAATGGTATACGCATCTTTTGTTTTTCACCTGTCAGATTTTTTCTTTGAAATCTTTCATTAAACGGAATCTTTAATTTTGTTATGATCCAACCTTTTTTTTTTTTTTTTAACCTTCTGGGTCTTGTGTAGGAAATATTTCTCCATTCCTAGTTAACAAAGTTATGTTTCTGTATTTTCTTCTATGGCAAACGAATTTTCCCAAATCTCATTTACTAAATAACCTAGTGGTTTGTGATGCTACCTGTATCATATGTCAAGATCCACACACTCGTATATATGCACACAGAGACACAGACACACACATTCTCTCTCTCTCACCTTTTTAGGCTCCCTGCTCTGTTCTGATCAATTTGTCTGTTTCTGTTCTAATTTCACAGTGGATTTTGCTTTTATTTTTATTGCTACAACTTGTTTATATATTTTGATATCTAGAAGAATGACTCCCTCCTGTGTTATTTTAAAAACATATTTAAACTGGTAGTTTTCAACCATGGCTTTATATTAGAATTTGCTAGGTAGCTTTTAAAAAAATATGTCCCATTGACCACAGATGAACTGAATTATAATCTCTAGAGAGTGGAGTCTAGCAATTGTATTTTTTAAAATCTCCTCTGGTGACACTGATCTATATCCCGAGTGGAAACCACTTATCAGTGGTATTAATGTTTTATTCAATGGAGGTCAGATTTTTTTTTTTTTTCCGTAATGATCTTGTCTTCTTTGTTACAGTAAGAGACCCTAGTTCAGCTTCTGTTTCTACTGTGAATGCCATTTTTTCTTCTGTTGTATTTTCTATTGTTTATTTCCCCTGGTGTAGGGGAATCCTACATATATCGACAACTATGCATCACTTAACAGGGATATGTTCTGAGAAATGTGTCATTAGGTGATTTCGTCATTGTGTGAACATCGCAGACTGCACTTACACAAATGTAGATAACACAGCCTACTACACACCTAGGTTATATGGTATAGCCCGTTGCTCCTAGGCTACAAACCTGTGCAGCAGGTTACTGTCCTGAATACTGTAGGCAACTGGAACATAATGGTATTTGTATATCTAAACATCTGTAAACATAGAAAAAGTATAGTAAAAATATGGTAAAAAAGATTAAACATGGTCCACCTGCATGGGACACGTTACATGTGTCTGGACTGGAAGTTGCTCTGGGTGAGTCAGTGAGTGGGTGGTGAGTGAATGTGAAGGCCTAGGGCATGACTGTACACTCACTACTGTAGACGTTATAAGCACTATGTCTAGGCTACACTATGTTCATTTAAAAAGTGTTTTTTCTTCAGTAATAAACAAAGCTTAGCTTAACTTTTTTGCCTGATAAACTTATAAATGGTTTTTAACTTTTGACTCTTTTGTAATAACACAGCTTCAAACACAAGCACATTTTATAGTGTACAAATATATTTTCTTTTATTAAAAAAATTTTTTAAAATGTAAAACTAAGACACAAACACACACTTTAGCCTAGGCCTACACAGGGTCAGGATCATCAGTATTACTGTCTTTATTTAATTTTTTTTTTTGAGACAGTGTCTCTCTCTGTCTCTGTCGCCCAGGCTGGAGTGCAGTGGTGCGATCTTTGGCTCACTGCAACCTCTGCCCCACTGGGTTCAAGGGATTCTCGTGCCTCAGACTCCCAGGCAGCTGGGATTACAGGCATGTGCTACCACACCTGGCTAATTTTTCTATTTTTAGTATAGACGGCGTTTGCCATGTTGTCCAGGCTGGTCTTAATCTCCTGGCCTCAAGTGATCCACCCGCCTCAGCCTCCCAAAGTGCTGGGATTACAGGCGTGAGCCACCGTACCCTGCCAATATCAGTCTTAATCCCTAGTTAATGTTTCTAGCTGTCATCCTATCCAAAGGAGCTACTTTTCCTGGTCTTGCCAGCATCAGTGGTTATAGCAGTTGCTGTATTTTGCGTTACCTGGGAGTCCATTTTTCTTTACATTATTGCATGTTTGGCATTTGCTAGTACATGTTAGTAGATGTTCACTAAATTTATATATGTAGCTGTTCATGATAATATTCTAATATCCTGAAATACTAGAAACATCCTAAACTGTGCAGCAGTAGGCATTTATTCTTCTTCTCCATGGACATTGTTAATATATGGTGGCAAAAGTTTACAAAATCGTGTCATCAGGATAATCCTAATTTTGTAACAAGAGAATAAGTTAATTTTCATGTACAACTCTATATTGTCCATGTACTGTTAATTCATATCTGTATGAGTGTGAATGTTCAAATAAAAACAGTTCAATTCATATCAGTAATGGGCATTAAGATTCTAGGTGAGTTACTTCTTTCACGTGTTAGTCTGTTTTCCTAAAATCCTTTTTGTTTAATAAGAAAACTGATTGGGGCCGGGCGTGGTGGCTCATGCCTGTAATCCCAGCACTTTGGGAGGCTGAGGTGGGTGGATCACCTGAGGTCAGGCGTTCGAGACCAGTCTGACCAATGTGATGAAACCCCATCTGTACTAAAAATACAAAAGTTAACTGGTTGTGGTGGCATGCGCCTGTAATCCCAGCTACTCGGGAGGCCGAGACAGGAGAATCGCTTGAACCTGGGAGGCAGAGGTTTCAGTGAGTCGAGATTGTGCCATTGCACTCCAGCCTGCGCAACAAAAGCGAATCTCTTATCTCAACAAAACAAAACAAAATCTGATTAAAAATGACTTTATAATAAGCTGGGATGGGGAGGTGGGGCAGTTGCAGATAAAGTAAGACTGGCCATAAATTGAAGGTAGGTAAGAAGTTCAAGAAGTTTCCTTGTAGTATTATACTCTTTCCTCCAGTTTAGTATATGCTGGAAATACTCTCTATGTTAAAAAAAAAAAAAAAAAAAGGAAAGTAAAAAGACTGTAATTCGTGAGTGGGGCCACTTAGTAAAGGATATAGGGCATCAATACAAGGCATACTTTTATTTTGTTATTGCTCCAAGAGAAACTAATAGAAGATCTTTATGTACTGTATGTATCAATAGTAGCGTAATAGCATTAGAAATCAATGGTTTGGCTGGGCTCAGTGGCACACGCCTGTAATCCCAACACCTTGGGAGGTCGAGGCAGATGGATGGCCTGAACTCAGGAGTTTGAGACCAACCTGGGCAACATAGTGAAACCCCATCTCTACAAAAAATACAAAAATTAGCTGGACGTGGTGGCACATGCCTATGGTCCCAGCTACTTGGGTGGCTAAGATGGGAGCATTGCTTGAGCCAGGGAGGCGGAGGTTGCAGTGAGCCGAGATTATACCACTGTACTCCAGCCTGGGTGACAGCATGAGACTCTGTCTCAAAGAGGAAAAAAATAAAATCAATGTTTCGGCCTTTTTGGGAAGAAGTAAATCATTATCTGTCATGTGGCTTACTGTAGTGACTTCTCTGCTCTTGCCCCTGCCCCTAAAACCTTTTCTCCATTTCTCCACCCAAAGCCCAGAGTGGGTTCGGGTGGATCCTGTCACTCATTTGCTCAGAACCTTGCCGTTTCACGCAGATTCAAGGGCAAAGTCTCCATAGTGGCCCACTCACCTTAGACACTGTATTTGTGAGCTCTTGGCCACACATCTCTTAAACACGCAAAAAAATATTGGAGAGCTGAGACTGCACTTCTTGCCCCAGTTCTTAAGATTTAAGTGACTTTTGTGTTAAGTCTGGTCCTGAAGAATTTACCAGTCTGTTAAAAAGGCAGAGATTTCTGTTGGTTGGGATGGCTGTTTTGATATTTCTTGAGTTAACCAGAGGAGGAAGCGCACGGGAAACAGTTCATCTCAGCTTCCTTAATCCACTAGTCTGCTAGTCTGGACTGATATGGTTAGCTTTTTTTTTTTTTTGAGATGGAGTCTGGCTCTGTTGCCCAGGCTGGAGTACAGTGGCATGGTCTTGGCTCACTGCAACCTCCGCCTCCTGGGTTCAAGCGAGTCTCCTGCCTCAGCCTCCTGAGTAGCTGAGACTACAAGTGTGTGTCACCACACCTGGCTAATTTTTTGTATTTTCAGTAGAGACGAGGTTTCACCATTTTGGCCAGGCTGGTCTCGAACTCCTGACCTCAAATGATCCGCCCACCTCGGCCTCCCAAAGTGCTGGGATTACAGGTGTGAGCCACCATGCCTGGCCTGGTTAGCTATTTTTGAGACCAGAATCTCAAGAAAGAGGTATGTGCTGAGCTAAGAAGGAAAAAGTGCTGCTGACTTCCCCCACCCGAGGTCTTCTAACCTCACACCCGAGCCTAATACAAAATATTCTGCTCATAAGGCCCTTTCTCAGGATGGCTGTGGCTGGTGGTTCTTGGTGCTCTAGGCCAGACATTGGGCTCTGCTGAGCTTCCAACTTTTAGCGTTTGTTCAAACAGGAACTCAAAGAATAAGGTAATTCCTGAAGGCTCACTTGAACAAGCACAGCCTTGACCTCAGCTCCATATCCTTGGAGCTGCAGTTTTCAGACTTGTTTCAGTACCGCTTCACGCTCTTAACAATTATTAAGGACCTCAAAGACCTTTGCTTTACATGAGTTATATCTATCAATGTTTACCATATTAGAAATATAAGTGGGAAATTTTAGAGTATTTATGAATTCAATAAAACATAATAACCTGGCTGGGTGTGGTGGCTCATTCCTGCAATCCCAGCACTTTGGGAGGCCGAGGTGGGACGATCACTTGAGGCCAGGAGTTCGAGACAAGCCTGGGCAACATAGTGAGACTTTGTCTCTACAAAAAATTTAAAAAATTAACAGGATATGGTAGTGTGCACTTGTGGTCCTAGCTACTTGGGAGGCTGAGGCAGGAGGATTGCTTGAGCCCAGGAGGTTGAGGCTGCAGTGTACCATGATCACACCACTGCACTCCAGCCTGAGTGACAGAGCGAAACCCTGTCTCATAAAAACTAAAAATCAAAACATAATAACCCTTTTGTATATGAACATAAATAATACTTCTGTATGAAAAATACCTTTACAAAGATAGTTTAGGGAAAGAGTGGTGGTGGTTTACATTTTTGCGGTTCTCTATAACGTCTGGTTTCGTAGAAGCAGCTGGATTCTCATAACTGCTTCTGCATTCAATCTGTTGTGATTTGTTGTTTGGTTGGAATATGTGAAGAAAATCCAACCTCAGGCACATCTGTAGTTGGAAATGGAGGCGTGTTTTAATAGTCTTTTCTGATAATTGTGGATATTCCCTTTGATGCTACATCAAACTCTGCAAGTGGCCATTTCTTAAAGCTTATTTGCGGTGTGGAATCTGAAACCATATCAGTAAACTTTTCTTACTTTGTTGCATTAAAATCCATTGACCTGTCTTTCATTTTGGATCTTTCTTACTCATGTATCATTTGGGAAATACTGATTCATGGAATTAAATGTTAGCACATTTTATAATACCATTAGAAAAAAATTACATTTGTTGAAATCAGCGGTCATCTCTTGAAAAGTCTTCTTCCCCTCCAGCTTTATTGAGATATAATTGGTATACAAAAACCTGCATATAATCAATGTATAGAATTTGTTGAGTTTGGACAAATGTATACACTCCTGTATTTGGCATTATAAAATGTGCTAACATTTATTTCCATGAGCCAGTATTTTCCAAATCATGCATGAATAAGAAAGATCCAAAATGAAAGAAAGACCAATGGATTTAAATACCACAAAGTGAGAAACATTCACTCATATGGCTCCATATTCCACATTGCAAATAAACTTTATATTACATTTACCATCTCCACAATCCAGGTGATAAACGTGTCCATCACCTCCAAAGTTTCCTTGTGTCTTTGTGTTTTATTTTTATTTTGTGTATTAAAAACACTTAACATGAGATCTACCCTCTACAAATTTTTAAGGACACAATACCGTCTTATTAACCGTCTGCATATTGGGAAAGCTGTCACACTCTTGGTGGCAGATACAATTTTTCCAAGTATCTAATTTTTGTTTGAAGGCTTGACTTTTATCATTGGCAACAAATAGGTCAGTTATTATTTTTTTTTGAAGCAACAGGCTAATTTTGCGTTTGAGAAAGTGTGTGCCAAATACCCAACTTTAAATACTAATACTTTTAGTTTTTATTTCATGTAAAAATGATATTCTATAAACAAAAACTGCTAGTTCAGCTTGTTGATCAAACGGTTGGCATAAATTCTTTTCCTTCAGGCAACCTCCATACTTCAGTATGCCGCACAGCTCCTTCATGTGAACTTTCCTATTTCAGCACAAAGAATATTAAAAAGGTCAAAAGGGCACATACTCAGGGGTTGAGATTTCATGCAATTGCTAATGTTCACTGTTTCATCAAGGATATTTTTATATGAAACCGTCCTTTTTTTTTCCCACTGTGAGTTCGCAGTGGTCATGAGGACCTATACTGGTGGTGCCACTGTCTTGATTTGTGCTAAGGGGCCAGCAATTTTATACACCCTTGCTTTGATCATCAGTGCTTCCTGTCAGCCTATGAAAGTTGTGAATGACCTGTTTGCATTATTATAATGATAATTTTGATGTCATGGACGTCCTGAAAGGTGCCTGAGGACCCCCAGGGTGTCTTGGAGCACTTTGAGAACAGCTGGTGCCAGTTCAGTTGAAAGTGGGCTCCTCACAGTGATCTGTCTCCTCTGAGGTTGCTCAACTGCATCCAGCTTCTTCTTTGCTTATTACTCCTAAAGCTGTCATTTTAGAAGCAGGGACCAGTTACTTCTTGGCTCAGCTGTGCTGTAGTTTTCCAAGTGAAAGGAAGTTTAGTAACGCTAGGAAAGAAATTTTTATTTTTTTATTTTTTATTATTATTTTTTTTTGAGGTGGAGTCTCGCTCTGTTGCCCAGGCTGGAGTACAGTGGCGTGATCTCGGCTCACTGCAAGCTCTGCCTCCCGGGTTCACGCCATTCTCCTGCCTCAGCCTCCTGAGTAGCTGGGACCACAGGCGACCACCACCATGCCTGGCTAATTTTTTCTGTATTTTTAGTAGAGACGAGGTTTCACTGTGTTAGGCAAAATGGTCTCGAACTCCTGACCTTGTGATCCGCCCACCTCGGCCTCCCAAAGTACTGGGATTACAGGCATGAGCCACCATCCCGGGCGAAAGAAAATATTTTTGAGATAGGCAACTCCTGACCTGTACAAAGTTGTACATTTTGTTGTCTTACACAATAAATAAGCACATCCATAAACATGCTTGTACTTGATAGACTTTCCTCATCTTTTAAGATGAAGATAATCACAAAGAGAACATGAAGAAAGTTATGTTCATTTATCAAAAAGTACTTGTTTGGTTATCATAATTAAATAAAAAAAAAAACAGGCTACCACCTGTTGTAATGCTTTTTGTTTAATGAATGGTTTAACATGTTCTTTTGTTCTTTTAATGCCTGTAAATAGTAATCAGATCTTGATTTGATTCAGTTTCTATTTTTTTTGGCAAAACTACTTCGTAGGTGGTGGCCTGTACTTCTCACCCCAGTCAGGTAATATTGGTTGTCTCACTTTTTGTAGTGTTCATGACCATTGATAACCATTGCCTAGATCCATTATTTTATCAAGGGTTTGCAAAATGGTGATATTTTTATTGTTTTCCTGTTTTAGTTATTAGAATATTTTTATGAAGAGAAACTTCCCCTCATCAACTCTTTGAGATCTAGTTAGTACAGAAAAGGTAGGTTGGCTGGGCACAGTGGCTCACACCTGTAATCCTAGCACTTTGGGAGGCCGAGGTGGACGGATCATCTTAGGCCGGGAGTTGGAGACCAGCCTGACCAACACAGAGAAACCCCGTCTCTACTAAAAATACAAAATTAGCTGGGTGTGGTGGCGTGTTGCCTGTAATCCCAGTTACTGGGGAGGCTGAGGCAGGAGAATCATTTTAACCCAGGAGGTGGAGGTTGCAGTGAGCCAAGATTGCGCCATTGCACTCCAGCCTGGGCAACAAGAGCGAAACTTCATCTCAAAAAAAGAAAAGGTAGGTTAAATGCCTGATTCTTTTTTGTTTTTGTTTTTAACATCAGTTTTCAATATTATGAGCTGGTCTCTTAGATTAGTCCCTTAGAACAGGACTGTTCAGGTTGTGTAAATTAAATTGGTCTCTACAGCATTTTTGTTGGAAACACCAAGCTAAATTGTCTGGTTTTTAGAAGCAAATCTAAAGGAAACTATTAATAGAAAAGTCATTTTGTTCTATTCTGAAAGTAGCTTAATTCACTTGAAATAAAAAAATAATGGCTGAGACATCTTGGGGCTGTTAAATGGGAATAAAAAAATTAAAACACTTGTTCTTGTCTTTAGAATGATGTATTCATTGCATGTCATTATCCTTTTATGTATCTTATATTGTATTCTGAGATCAGATTCAAAAATGTATAAAGCATCCTTGCCTTCAAGGTTCATAATAGAGTAAGTGAAAAGTTGACCTCTGTTCTTGTTACATTGATTTGTTACAATCATTCCATGGGTGGAATGCAAACAAAAGTTCTATTTACTCCAATATTCCCCCCACTTTAAAATTCATAATTTTGAGAAATGTCTGATAGACAATAAGATAAAGTTTTCTTCGGAAAAAATGGAAGCAGTCAGTGAAACCTATTATGTAGAGGGGGCAGTCAGATGAGACTGAAGAGGTCCTATTGGAATTAGGGTGAGAGGAGAAAGGAAGGGAAGGCAACTTTCTTCAGTCTTCAGCTGCAGACTTCACTGGCTTCTTCCTGCTAATGCTGCCTGTGACTTGAAACAGGTCCTCCTGCTTCAGGCCAGACCTGTTTTTAAGCTGCTGCTCCCTCCCTGAATTCCTTCTCATGATTTGAGTGATTACTGAATACACAAGACTTGGTGCCTAGACAACAGAAGATTATATAAATGTCTGTGTACATTTGTGTACCCCTCCTGGGAACCAGTTAACAGCTGTCCTTGATCAGCAGGGATCTTGGTGACACTGGTTTTTCCTGTGTGCTTCCTTTCATGTGCATTTCAGAGTGGTATCCTCAGTAAAGTACTTTACTTAATCATTGGTGTTCATACCAACTATTAATCTCACCACCAAGATCTGTTCAGTTGTTTTCAGTTCAGTGTCTTACACTTAATAAATGATTTCAGTTGTTTTCAGTTCAGTGTCTTACACTTAATAAATGATAACTAAAGTGATTTTGACTTGGCTTCTGTTATCCTGGGTGCTTCTAATTTCCAGATGGGTCTGAAACTGGGTATTTAAATTTAGTCTTATTTTTGCATATGGAGCTAAAAGTATCCTTTGGGACAGGCTGTGTATGATATGGCAAGTCTGCTTATCAAAATAGACATTTTCCTGTCTAATAACAATTTTGGATGGAAAAAAAGCTTTGGGGGCTGGGCGTGACGGCTCACCCCTGTAATCCCAGCATTTTGGGAGGCCGAGGTGGGTGAATCACTTGAGGTCAGGAGTTTGAGACCAGCCTGGCCAACATGGAGAAACCTCGTCTCTACTAAAAATACAAAAATTAGCTGGGCGTGGTGGCGGGCGCCTGTAATCCCAGCTACTTGGGAGGCTGAGGCAGGAGAATAGCTTGAACCCAGGAGGCAGAGGCTGCAGTGAGCTGAGATTGCGCCACTGCACTCCAGCCTGAGTGGAAGAGTGAGACTCTGTCTCACAAAAAACAAAAGCTTTGGAATGTTTTAATAGAGTGGTATGAACTTGGTGTTTACAGATTAAGAGCGGTCATTTCTTGGTTCTTTACAGTATGCCAGGTGCTGTGTTATGCAAACCCTCCCTAGATGTCCATGCTTAATTCAGCTCTTTGAGTATTCCATTTACATTTACAAGTAGAAAAATGGAGTCAGGGAGAAGTTAGGTAATTTGCCTTTGGGGTCATATAACTAGGAACTGGTAGAGCCAGGATTCAAACCCAGGTTACCCATTCTCCTATACATCAGAGACCAGTGTGTAAGAACTGTAGGATTTGAATTCATATTGGAAATTTCCTCCCCTTTATGGATCTTTAATCTTTCTTTCTTTGGCTCCTTCACATAATTTGGATAAGCACAAGTTTCACCTATTTTGGCCAGTGCCTTAAGTTACTCCACCAACGTGCACCTCTTCCCAGGAGAAGACTGGGTCACATTGAAAAGTAGCCCACTGCAGGCATGACATTGTTATGAAATTTTATGTTTCATGTAAAAGATTAAAAGTTACTTTCCACTGTGCGCAACTGACACACCAGAAAAAGGTATCTTTTTTTAATGCCTACCCCTATCCACACACCGTACCTCAGGTTGAGACACAGGCTATAGAACTTTCCAGTCATGTCATAATCATATATGGAGTTCAGTTAATTCACTATGTTGTTGTTGTGGGGGTCAGGTTGGGAGGAGGTCACCGACACAGAACAAGCAGGCAATAGCGAGGGGTTGAACTGAGGAGTAACACAGATCCGAACAGTGTAAGGGAGAAGATTTGATGACTGGAGATGGGGAGCTTAGTTCCTCCATTTCTGGTTTCTTCTTGGTTTCTGCCACTGTTTTTCTTTACGCTCCTGTCCTTTAATTGTGGGAGTGTCTTCAGTCCTTTTCCCACTTACTCACCCCCACCGCCCCAATTGTGCGTTTGCCCATTGTCTTGGTTTCAGCTCTCATTTCTGTCTGAGTGGCTTCTAAACTGCCTGTGGCTTTAATGAGCTCCAGTTCAGTGAATCCACCTGAGCCCTAATTTGCTGTAGCAAATTTGCAGTTGCTCAGTGGCTATATCCTGGATATTTGAATGTCTCAGAGTGAGTACGTTTGATTTTAACCGCTCTTCCTCCAAAGCCAGCTGTAAGCATTTTTAAGTGGTACACAAATTGATAGGAAGAGAACATTCCCAGATCCACTGTAGATGAGGCTCAGGTTCCTATTTTATCAGCCAAGGTTGCTGAACTGCCCTGGAAGCGGGCAGCCACATTTGCTGGAAAAGAGACAATATACTGAGGTGTAGTTTTCTCTGGCCCCTTGGTGCCCTGTGAGGCACACAGCTGTCTGTGATAATGTCAGAGATTACATCACAGTGCCAATGGAACTAACAGGAACCACCTGTGCACTTCCTTTTACAGGAATGTTCATAAACAGCAGGTTCTCCTAGGCTTTGAACAAAATTTAGCTTCTCCAAGGCCAAAAGCCTCATTGTGAAGAGAAAGAAAGGTGGGTGTTCTTCTTAACGATGACTCTGCTTGTAGCCTTCCAGTGTCCTGCAACGCTGGTTTCCACAGCTGTCTTCCTTGCTTAATTGGTGTACACTGCCCTCGGCATGCAACTGAAAACGTTAGGGCCATACGTCCTAATGGTTAAGAATGTGGACCGTAAAACTAGACATGTTGGCTTCTAAATTCCAGCCCTGCTTATTGCTGGTTTTATGAATTTAGACAAGTTATTTATTCTCTCCAAACCTCCATTTTCTTAACTGAAACAGGCTAATTAGAGTACCTACCACAAAAGTTGGTAGTGAGAATTAAATCCGATAACACATTAGAAGTATTTAGTGCAGTGCCTGGCACATACCAAAGGTCAGTAAATGCTAATTGCTATTATTAATTAACAGTATTGTTGGTAAATACCCTAAAAAAGCTGTTTTTATTTTTTCTGTCTCTGCTATCTGGTCAATAACCTGATATTGTCATCTCTTCCTACTCATAGAATCTCATGTTGTCATTTGTCTCTCTGAGTTACTGCTGCTACCTTCTTTGAGCAGATACTCATTACCACTTCATTGTGTGTACAGAATGTTGGTACAGAAGTCATCTTCCTTTTTAGAAATGACCATTAGGCCTGGTGCAGTGGCTCACGCCTGTAATCCCAGCACTTTGGGAGGCCGAGGTGGGTGGATCACTTGAGATCAGGAGTTTGAGACCAGCCTGGCCAATGTGGCAAAACTCCATCTCTACTAAAAATACAAAAAATACAAAAATTTGCCAGGTGTAGTGGCGTGCGCTGGTAATCCCAGCTACTTGGGGGTCTGAGGCAGGAGAATTGCTTGAACCTGGGAGGCAGAGGTTGCAGTGAGCAGAGATTGCACCACTGCATTCCAGCCCCGGTGACAGAGTGAGACCCTGTCTCAAAAAAAAGAAAGAAAAAAAAAGAAGAAATGACCATTTATTCTTTGGATCTACTCTACCACACTGAGTCTAAATTACTCAGTTTGCCTTTCAAAGCCTGTCATATTGAGGCCTGTATATGGTATTTTCCATTACTCTTGTTTTTCTTTTACATACCCTCCACTCTAGTCAGACACAGGAATGTGTACAAGGCATGCATTTTTCTTTCTCTTTTTGTCTAAATTGGCACCCTGTATTGCTTTGCCAGGCACATGCCCATTTGTCTCTCATGGGACAGTTTTGACCCTGTTATGTGGAGGTCGCATGTGACCTTTGTCTGGCCTGCGCTTTCCCAGGGTCTGAGATGATCAGGGTCTTGGCTGTTGCACCTCCTCTAGGCTGCGCCCTAGCCTGCCTTTAGGAGTCTAGATTCTGGGAAACTTTATTACTCTGTTGCTATTTATTAATCTGGAGTCAAGAGTACTAGAAATCACACCATTTTTTTTATGCCTAAGCCCTGTTAAAAGGAATTCTGTTCCTGAAATTTGGACTGCATATGACATCACTATACCGTCAGGCCCCTGTATGCATGGGTTCTGCATCAGGGAATTCAACCAACTGCAGATAAAAAATACTAACAAAAAAATGAATGGTTCTTTCTGTACTGAATATGTCCAGGCTTTTTTTCTGTCATGATTCCCCAAACAATATAACAACTATTTACATAGCATTTGCATTGTATTAGGTATTGTAAGTAATCTAGAGATGATTTAAAGTGTGCAGGAGGATATGCACAGGTTATTTGCAAACACTGGGTTATTTTATATCAGGGGCTTGAGAATCAGTAGGTTTTGGTATCGGGAGACTTTTCGCCCACATATACAGAGGAACGACTGTATAACTTCTTTATATCGTATTGTTCCTAAAACAAATCTAGAGCAGGTACACAGTAATGTTCCCTTTATTTTTGTCCTGTTAGGTATAGCAGTCTTGGCAGTTGCTGAACTGAATTCCTGGCTGGTAAGAAGTGTAGTCAAATATGAATGAGCATGCATTCATCCTTGTTCTCTGTAATGGCTCATTGTCCTGGTTTACCAGTGGTGGCTTGGGCACATTAGGGAGGCAGAGACCTTCCTAAGTGGTTGCCCCATTCAGATAGCCTCATCTCACACATCAAGTTCTTACCTTGGCTCATGACAGTCATAATAATTCTAAGGGATCATTCAGCCACAGTTTAGACTTGATTTTTCTTGTGTTTGATGGTGGGAACATTTTAAGACTAAGAAATTGAGTGGAAGAAAAATTAATAGACGTGTCTTTGAAGGTAGGAATTCCGTCCTTAAACTTACATCCCTGATGCCTGTGCGGAATAAGTGATATTGAAAGAATGCATGGAGTTCTTTTTTTTTTTTTTTGAGACAGCGTCTCGCTCTGTCACCCAGGTTGGAGTGCAGTGACGCAATCTCAGCTCACTGCAACCTCCACATCCTGGGTTCAAGTGATTCTACTGCCTCGGCCTCCTGAGTTGCTGGGATTATAGGCATGTGCCACCATGCCCAGCTAATTTTTGTATTTTAGTAGAGATGGGGTTTCGCCATCCTGACCTCAGGTGATCCACCCGCCTCGGCCTCCCAAAGTGATGGGATTACAGGCATGAGCCACTGCGCCTGTCCGAAATTCTTAAAGAGCATGCTGTGCATTTCTGTAGTGAGCCAATGACAAACCCGAAAGACCAATCAGAGATTCACCTCTTAGAAGGAAAAAGATCCACTAACCTGCAGAACGTCTCTATCGGTGACTTGAGGAAGGACTTGGAAAGGGAACAGGGAGAATTAAGGGTTAGGAAGGAAGGCATGGATTTATTTGGGAGAACTTTTAGTAGCTTCGTCCTTCTGAATCTTCCTCTTAGCTTCCTTAGGAGATACTGAGCCTTAGTGCCCTTGCCTAGTTGCTGCCACTGGAGAACTTGCCCGTAGCTCAGGCCCACCCTGTAGATTCACTCTGGGAGATCAAACCAGCATTTAGATCTGCTAATTATGCCATTTCTATTTCAAGAAATACGTTGAGTCCAAAATAGAGATTGACTGCTTGCTTCACCCTGTTCACCCTGGAGTTATTCAGGCAGAATATGTCAGATATGTTTCATGTGATATCTTCATTAGGCAAGAGATATGGATCCTTTTCTTTCCTTCTTTTTTTAATTTGGGTAACATTTCAGAAATAATGAATGGCAAAGAGAACGCAATAAATGACCTTTACCTCCATTAACATTTTGGTGTTTTTTTTTTTTCAGATTAAAAAAAATGGAATAAATGAAATGTTACGGATAACGTTTGAAATATACTTTGTTCCCCTTTCCAGTTTTATTTCCCTCTCTTCTCAGAAGTAGTTAATATGAATTTGTATATATCCTTTTATCTTTTTCTAAATTTACTTTTACTATATATGAATATTTCCTTAAGGACCTATACAGTGTTACATGTTCATTAACATAAATGATACACTGTGTGTTTCATTCTGTTACTTGCTTTTAAAAATCTATCATTTTGATAATATCTAGCCATGATGATATAGAGACCAGATGACATTTTAGTTTTTTGTGGTGTCTTCAGGTGTTTTCTGTAAGTACCTGGTTGCTCATGTAAATCCATCAGTACCTCTAACATTTCCTAAAAATCTTTGTTTGTATGCCTTAAATTGATTAGGAATTTAAAAATGGATACCACCAGTAAGTCGAAAGTCTGATGTTTGGTGGAAACTTCCATATGCAATTTAGCAGGCTGTCTCAATATTTTGTGTTCCAAAAAGATGCTGCGAAGATAATGCAGTGGGTATGGAATCGTTTGCAAAGGACTTGAGTAGGTGGCAGGGAGTTTTTGACTTGTACTAACATACATAGGAGTGCTGTTGCTAGGGCCACTTTGGGAACTTGTTATTGTGTGGGAAAGTGTTATGCTATTAAAAGCTTTATTTTTCTTTTTTTGGTAACAGTGTTAGTTTTCTATATTAAAACAATATTCTCTTTGGTTTAAGAAATATGCATGGATATAAAATTGTTATTTATAATATTAATCTGGCCCTGTTCTTCTAACCAAGCTTTGGTCTCATTGCCCTGGCAGCCTGTTGGACAATTTCACGTGGATAGCTCTTCATGTCACTCAAAAGATCAAAAATGGAAAAATACGTCCACTTTTTCATGGATTCCTTTTCTGTTTAGGGTACCATTATTCTTTTTGTATCTAAGATTTGGAACCGTGGACTTACCTTCGAATCCCAATACCTCTTTAATTTTTCACTTTCAGACCTGCTCTTTTCCCCTTTGACATTCTCTTGTGCGATAATCTCTTGTATTCTAATCTCATCACTATCATTCTAGTCTAATTATGCTCACTTCTGACCTAGATTACTACAGCTGCTGCTTTGCTAAGTATATATGCAGCCTTCGGTTTACCCCGTACCCTGTTATTAGGTTTTAAAGCTTTCCTTGCATAACATCATGTTTGCAGAGGACTTCTTTGTGGACTTGTAAAGGCTCTGAGGTTGCTATATTGAAACCCCAGTTCTGCCAACTGTATGACCTTAAATATGTTATAAATCAAGCCTATCCAACCTGCGGCCCATGGGCCGCATGCAGCCCAGGACGGCTTTGAATGTGGCCCAACACAAATTCCTAAACTTTCTTAAAACATTAGGAGATCGTTTTTGTGATTTTAATTTTTTAAAAAATTTATTTTTTTAATTAATTTTTTTTTTTTTGCTCGTCAGCTATCATTAGTATTAGTGTACTTTATGTGTGGCTGAAGACAATTATTCTTCTACTGTGGCCCAGGAAAGCCAAAAGATTGGACTCAGTTCCCTCATAAGTAAACTGAGACAGTAGTAATGGTATTTAGATGATAGGGTTGTAGTAGGATTGATTGATTGATTGATTTGGAGACAGGATCTTGCTGTGTCTCCCAGGTAGAAGTACAGTGACACTGTCACGGCTTACTGCAGCCTTGACCTCCCAGGCTCAAGCTATCCTCAGCCTCCTGAGTAGCTGGGAGCACAGACGTGTGTCACCAAACCAGGCTAATGAATTTTTTTTTTTGTAGAGGCAGCATCTCACTATGTTGTCCAAGCTGGTCTCAAACTCCTGGGCTCAAGTGATCTTCCTGCTTTGGCTTCCCAAAGTGCTGGGATTATAGGCAAGAGCCACCACACCTGGCCTGTAGAAGGTTTTAAATCAGAGAATATGTGTCAAGTCCTATAGCTGGCACAGTCAAACGATAGGGCTATTATTCCTAATCCTATCAAGTCTTAATCCCTTTACCCAGATCCCATTGTTCTTCACATTGTGCTGTTCTCAAAATATTCAGCTTTAAACTTTTCCAAACATAAACCTGTTCTGTGATCAGATCAGTGACTTTGTCCTTTGATTCTTCTCCCTTCATATCAAACCTACGTGTGCATGACTTGCGCTCCTGAAAACAAACGCACCCATGTGTGATGCCTCCCTAGTTTTTCATCTGTAGTGTCTTCTGTTTTGTTTACATTCTATTGATCCTTTAGTAATCCGACTCAAAGACTCTTACAGTGATATAGTGTTCTGTTTGTCTTTATGTAATTTCATCTTGTTTGTTTGCTACCTTGTATATAGAAGCTATTTCTCATCTCAGCTGTAAATCCCATCTGGGCTGGACTATATTAGATTACTTTGGTAGCCTAACCAATGCTAAAATTTATTAATGTCTTCATAATAGCTTGCTACTTGGTAATGTTTATACTTGTTGTAAAAAGCATGTGACAAGGCCAGGCACGGTGGCTCATGCCTGTAATCCCAGCACTCTGGGAGGCCGAGGCGGGTGGATCACCTGAGGTCAGGAGTTCGAGACCAGTCTGGCCAATATGGTGAAACCCCGTCTCTACTAAAAATACAAAAATTAGCTGGGTGTGGTGGTGGGCGCCTGTAATCCCAGCTACTTGGGAGGCTGAGGCAGGAGAATCGCTTGAACCCGGGAGGTGGAGTTTGCAGTGAGCTGAGATCATGCCACTGCACTCCAGCCTGGACAACAGAGCAAGACTCCATCTCAAAAAAAAAAAAAAAAAAGTATGTGATGGCCTTTTTGGTCAAGAGGATGGGTGAGTATTCATCTTTATTGCAGACCTACTATGTGCTAGGTTCTCCAAGAGGTATAATGATTATGAGATACATAAGGTTTCTGCACAGATACACACATATCCACAATTTTTTAACTTAAAGATTGCTCTTTAAAATTGCTGTGTAACCAGTGAGTTGGAGACCTATCATAATGGCTCTGTCGTGAGATTGGTTGGGAGGTTGTTCAGGTGTTTGAGAATAGTGGCTTGGACTGGCATGTTGGTGGTAATGCAGATGTAGGGAAGAAGACTGATTCAAGAAATATTAGGAAGGGGTTGGGCATGGTGGCTCAAGCCTGTACTCCCAGCATTTTGGGAGGCCGAGGCAGGTGGATCCCTTGAGGTCAGGAGTTTGAGACCAGCCTGGCCAACACTGTGAAATGTCTTCTTTACTAAAAATATAAAAATTAGCCAGGCGTGGTGGTGCGTGCCTGTAATCCCAGCTACTCGGGAGGCTGAGGCAGGAGAATTGCTTGAGCCCAGGAGGCGGAGGTTGCAGTGAACGGAGATTGCGCCATTGCACTCCAGCCTGGGTGACAGAGCGAGACTCTGTATGAAAAAAAAAAAAAAGAAATATTAGGAAGGTGACAGGACACAGTGATTATTGGATGTAAGAGGTAAGGGAGAGATAGGACTCAACAGCACATCTAAGATTTCTGCCTTGGGCATCTAGGTGAATGGTCATGCCGTTCATGTAGAAGAGGGTATCCGGCAGAAGAGCACGTCTTGGGGAGGTAGTGGAAAGACATGTTCATTTTCAAACATGTTGTGTTTGAGATGCCTACACATTAAGTGAAGATGACACATGGTTATATGTTGGGTCTAGCTTAGGGACAGAGAACTGGAGATGTCAGCTTAAAGGTGATAATTGCAGCCAAATTTCTTGTTCTTTAGTGGCAGCATTTTCAGGTTCAACAATGCCTTTTACTAAATCTGGACTATGGACATTTAAGCCGATTTCATCAAGATGTATTGAATTCTGATTATAGTATTTGAATGTACTGTGTTAAGCTCTGGGCAGATACAAAGGTGAATACTGTCTAGTTTCCATCTTGAGACCTTAGAATCTAAGGATAAAATTGAACTAAAGCAAATTAAATGTGACTAGAAAGTCATATAATGAGAGTAGCTTATTTTTGCTCATTATTTGTGAAATTGATGGCATATAAAAAAAAGCCAGAGGAAGGGATGGTGATGAAGAGTTTATTTTCAGAGGCATTTAGATTTTTTAACCTTTCTGTAGCAGGAAGTAGAGAGGAAGTCATCCAGGCAGCCTCCTATGTAGTCCAGGGTTTGAGCTGTGCTATACTTTAGTCTGTGTAGTGTAGGCACTGTGTAAACACTGGGTGGATGGATATGATTGCCCTATAAATCTTTTTCATTTGTTTTGTTGGTTCTGGGAGCCAAAGAATCTTCTAATTTATTAGAGGGCTATCAGAAAATTGGTAAATTTTGTGAAACTATATTATTTATTTTGTTTCTGTGATGTTAATGTTGTGTGAAATTCTTTTGATTGTTGAAGAATATGGGCAGAGTTTAGGGAGCTTTGATAACTATAAATGTAATATTTTAAAAAAATTTTGGCCGGGCGCGGTGGCTTATGCCTGTAATCCCAGCACTTTGGGAGGCCGAGGTGGGCGGATCACGAGGTCAGGAGCTTGAGACCATCCTGGCTCCGGTGAAACCCCGTCTCTACTAAAAATACAAAAAATTAGCCGGGCGTGGTGGCTGGCTCCTATAGTCCCAGCTACTCGGGAGGCTGAGGCAGGAGAATGGCATGAACCTGGGAGGCAGAGCTTGCAGTGAGCCGAGACTGCGCCACTGCACTCCAGCCTGGGTGACAGAGTGAGACTCCATCTCAAAAAAAAAAAAAAAAAAAGAAAAAAATTTTATTTTACAGAGATGGGGTATCATGATGGTCTTGAACCCCTGGACTCAAGCAATCTGCTTGCCTTGGCCTCTCAAAGTGCTGGGATTATAGGCATAAGCCACCGTGCCCAGCCTTTGTTTGTTTTGTTTTAGAGATGGTATCTGTGTTACCCAGGCTGGACTCGAACTCCTGGGCTCAAGCAATCCTTTCAACTCAGCCTCCTGAGTAGCTGGGGCTACAAGTGTGCACCACCATGCCTGCCTTGTAGTATTTTCTAATCAACATTCTGAGATACATGCAGCTTTGATTATTTATACAGGGATAAGAATAAAAATCTGGGAGGTCTAGTGAATGCAGAACTTGACATTGTTAATGCAGAATAATTGCGTTCTGCAAAGAAGAGGAAATTCTTTCATCGTGTTTGCATTTTGTGATAGTCCTCTTGATGCAATTTGCCTTAAAGTAGCAGAAGACTTAAATTCCTTGCTTTTATAGTCTCTGAATGCTGCTCTTAAACATGAAGGTAGATGTGGGTGAGTAAGCTGGAATGTGAGAGTGGGTAGAATGTTCTCAGTTCATTGAGGTAACTCTTCTGTAGGAGAGGCTACGCCGAGCAATTGCTTATGTCTGTCTCCACTTACCTTGTAACGGCACCAATAAAGAGGACACCTAGGAAATCTTGACAAAACACCTTGATCTGAATGCCTTTAATCTTTTGTAGGCTGTGTTCTTTTTCTAGATAGAATTCTTTTGTAATTGTACCATAAGATATGGAAAAGACTTCCTGGTTAATTTAGGGCAGATTGACTTGTAGTCTCTTTTAGATGATTCCAGATTGCTTTTGAACTGTTAATACTGGCTAATACTGTTTATGGTTTAAAATAACATTTTGGGGCTGGGTGTGGTGGCTCACGCCTGTAATCCCAGAACTTTGGGAGGCCGAGGTGGGTGGATCACTTGAGGTTAGGAGTTCGAGACCAGCCTGGCCAACATGGTGAAACCCCATCTCTACTAAAAATACAAAAAATTAGCCCAGTGTGGTGGTGTGTGCCTGTAATCCCAGCTACTGGGGAGGCTGAGGCAGGAGAATCGCTTGAACCCAGGAGTGGAAGTTGCATTGAGCTGAGATCGCGCCACTACACTACAGCCTGGCTGACAAAGTGAGACTCCATCTCAAAAACAAACAAACAAACAAAAAAAACAAACCATTTTGGGTTGTTTTACTTGGTCTATAATAAAATCATTATTCTTCATAGGAAGTAGTAACAGGTGAGTAAGACTTAATAAGTAAGTGTATTAAATTTAAAAAATGACTCCAACATCTCCAGGCATCAGTATCCACATATACTTTTCCCCTCCTGTTCCATTTCTTTTTTTTTAAACTAAGAGTTTATATACATTTTTTTAAAAATCAACAGTGTATATAAAATTAAGATCCGAGCAAATCTTTATGAAAACTCAGTTAATGAAAAGGTGACGTTTAGTTGACTGAGTCATTAACTATATCTGTTGATTATTCATTAGCAATTGCTACTGGAATGAAATTACTTTCTAGAGATGTTTCTAGCCATTAAATGAAAAGCCCCAATGAAAAGCACTTCTTTTCATTATTTGAGGGTCTATCAATACCTTAATGAATTACCTCTATTTATTATTTTATATACTTATGTCTATAACTATATATGCACACACAATATATGTACAGATATAAGTAAAACTATTAAAAGTAAAATATGTGCCAAAAAGTGCACATTTAAGTGTAGAGCTTGATGAATTTTCACAAATTGGACACACCTGTGTAAATAGCACATTTTGGTATATATTTTACAAATAATTTTCCCTGGTTTTATGTAACAGGAAGAAACTTTGATCTAAGTCACGAATCTAAAAGTGCATTTTAGTTTGGCTGAAGATGGGTGAATAGTCTTACTTCAGGTATTTTTCAGGCTTAGGTGCTCATGGTCAAACTATATGGACTAGAATGTTGGGTCTTGATCATTCATTAGTCTGCCTCATTTTCAGAGGAGAATATTGAACCTTGTCTTCTTCAGCTTTTCAGAAGCTGCAGTGAGCTGGCTTTTTATTCAAACATGCATCCTTGTAAGTGCCCCAGAATCTTTTTTTTGTTTGTTTTTTGAGACAGAGTCTCGCTCTGTCACCCGGGCTGGAGTGCAGTGGCATGGTCTCGGCTCACTGCAACCTCTGCCTCCCAGGTTCAAGTGATTCTCCTGCCTCAGCCTCCCGAGTAGCTGAGACTCCAGGCACGTGCCACCACGCTTGGTTAATTTTTTGTATTTTTAGTAGAGACAGGGTTTCACTATGTTAGCCAAGATGGTCTTGATCTCCTGACCTCGTGATCCACCTGCTTCAGCCTCCCAAAGTGCTGGGATTACAGGCGTGAGCCACTGCCCCAGGCCTCACAGAAGAATTTTAATTGCCCTTAGACTGCATGTTAAGGCAGCTGCATCTGTCTATATATCTATGAATTTCAAATAGGTACTCTCCAGACATTTCCCAGGGAGTACAAACAGGGCTCCCTACCTTTCAAAATTTATGGAAATCTTGCTTGAAAGAAGCAATATTTAGGGAGGAGTGCCTGAAGGATCTGCAGTTCATACATTAGACAAGGTATTTCAAATTATGCTCCTGCATCAAGCCAGATTAGCAAGAGAACAGTGTCTTTATGTCATATTTGATTGGCATACCAACAAGCTTTTGCTGAATTTTTAGCTGGTGTGATATTAGTGGGTGTTGCAATGGCTAATACTCCAAAAATCCTGTGATAGTATTATAAATCCTGTTGTCCCAGCACTTAATGTTTTTTCTTCTCAAGTAAAACAAATGTTTTTCAGAGATGTGACTGTTGTCTGACTTTAAATGAAATATTCCTTTGGTTTCTCTGCTCCTTCCAAAAAGATAGGCAGCACATCTGCAAAGATGGAAAGATACATTGCAAATTTTGCCTAACTTCCTTTTGCCTAGAAACCATATTTGGGACCTCTTGTATTGTTTCGAATTATGCACACAAACCATTTTGATTGATATAATTCTTAAAAAAATTAAAACACACCAGTTGCTGGTCATGACAAGGTACAACAGTTCTGCCTGTAATTATTATGGGTCTAGATCAGTGTACATCACCAGCTAATTATTTAGCTTACTATTGTACTAAAAAGTCCAAAAAACAAATGGCTGGGGCAGTCCCACTGAGAGATCCCATCATCATTTAATGTCCCTGGAGGAAAGGCAACATGCGCTATTTCAAAGAACCGTGGTCTTCAGAAAGAGCTCTCAGGCTTCAAGACTCTTCAAAAACAGCAGCCTAGGCATTACAGCCAGAGGTTTCTGATGAACTCTGATTTAATAAGTTCCCCAAAGACAGTTTAACATTTTCATGCATTTTTAATGATAAATATTTTGCTTCCATTTCCTACTGCATGTTTAAGAAAACGAGGATAGAGGGCGTTGATGTTGAACAGGCGCTGCAGATAGAACTGAAGTAGGCACACGTGCCTTTCCCCACCCAGCAATAGATGTAGATTGCGCCCCCTCCCCAGCTCCCCTCCTCCCCCCCCCCCTTTTTTTTTTTTAAAGAGATAGTCTTGTTATGTTGCCCAGGCTGGTCTGGAATTCCTGCGCTCAAGTGATCCTCCTGCCTCTGTCTGCCAAGAAACTGGGACTACAGGTGGGTGCCACTGCCCTGGCTTCCTCCTACTCCCCTTCAATTAAAACAATAGTTTTAAACATGATTTAAAGCTTCTGAACTGCTGGGCTGCTGTGTATTGTGATTATAACCATGTCAATGTATTAGGCATTAGAGGAGAACCACTGTGATGTTTTGCTGAATGAAAGCATAGTCAGCAATTCTCTCTGCTGAGATTTGCCTTGACCTTAGCTTTATGCCTGTGAAAATCTTCCCGTTCCGTAAGGACTGTGTCAAACACCTCATCATCCTTCAAGCTTGTCACTCTTTTAACGCGCCATCTTAGTCTCGTGGCATTTACCAGCCTACAAGTCATTGCATGTGAAGCCGTAATGCGGTCTTGGGAATCCTGTGGTTTGGGGATACCCAGAGGCCTAGGGGATTCTGGGACTGGCTGCGGCCATGTTGCTGTTTTTAAGAGAACCAGTAAAACCAGGTCTAGACTCCACATTCCCTAACTCCAACTCAGGTCTCTTTCTGTCCTGATATCCTGTCTTTGCAGAATACCCCGATCTTAAGCACTGTCTGTTCATCAAAGTTTGAAGGAAAATGATCTAATCTTATGTACTTTGAAGTACTACTTATTAATTTTATGTTTAAAATATTCAAACATTGTACTTGGGAGGCTGAGGCAAGAGGATCGCTTGAGGCCAGGAATTAGAGACCAGCCTAGACAACATTGTGAAACCCCATCTCTAAAAAAATTTAAAAAAATTAGCTGGGTGTGGTGGTGCGTGCCTCTAGTCCCAGCTACTTGGGAGACTGAGCTGGGAGGATCACTTGAGGCCAGGAGTTGGAGGCTGCAGTGAGCTTTGATCATGCCACTGCACTCCAGCCTGGGTGACAGAGCAAGATCTCATCTCTTAAAAAAAAAAAAAAAAAGATAAAAACAAATATTCAAACTGTGAAGGTGAAGTTCTCCAGCCAATTGAAGATTTAATGTTGGTGGAGATTTACTTTAGAATGATGATGGATTGGCTTCTTTTGTGGTAATAGCTGAAGAGTTTGGGGGCATAATCACTACCCAATTTATGCTTATGCAAGGTTGGACTAGATTAGAAGAGAATTGAGTTAAAATCGACCTCAGTTTGTTGAGCATTCACTGTTGTCATCACTATCTGGGCATTGAGGCTATGGCATTGAATGAGCTAATTTGTTCTCCTTTTCTATTCTTTGCTGGAGCAATGGGGTTAGGATAGCAGGGCATGTTCCTCACCTGCCTCTCCCAAAGGTCCTGCATCAATCAGATGAGCAGGGTTTTAGAGACGTAAAGTATTTATATCACACTGAATCCATGGCTTCAGTCATAAGTAATCAAAATGTTTAAGGAAGTAGAAATAGTTATGGGAAAGAAAGTCCTTACTTTTGAGTAAAAGGTGTATGTAATTACAGGTGGATTTGCTGTATATATTCATGAATATTCCTGAAGGAAGAGTAGTTTCATGAGTCTATAATATTAGCCCCATTTTCTTTTTCTTTGTTTTTTTTTGAGACGGAGTCTCGGTCTGTTGCCCAGGCTGGAGTGCAGTGGCGCAATCTTGGCTCACTGCAAGCTCTGCCTCCTGGGTTCATGCCATTCTCCTGCCTCAGCCTCCCGAGTAGCTGGTACTACAGGTGCCTGCCACCACGCCTGATTAGCCCCATTTTCTACAATTGCCTTTTTTTTTTTTTTTGAGACAGAGTCTCACTCCGTCATCGAGGCTGGAGTGCAGTGGTGCATTCTCGGCTCACTGCAATCTTCTCTGCCTCTCATGTTCAAATGATTCTTCTGCCTCAGCTTCCTGAGTAGCTGGGATTACAGGTGTGCACCACCACACCCGGGTAACTTTTGTATTTTTAGTAGAGACGGGGTTTCACCATGTTGACCAGGCTGGTCTCGAACTCCTTACCTCAAGTCATCCGTGTGCCTTGGCCTCCCAAAGTGCTGGGATTACAGGCATGAGCCACCGCGCCTGGCCCCTAATTGTCTTTATAATAAAAATGGTTTTTAAAAATGTAAAAATTAAAATTCAGATTTAAAGTGGCTTACAACGTACTCTATGATGTAACCTTTGCCTACAGTTCCTTCTTTATCAAAATTTCTCTGGCTCATTTTGTTCCAGCCACATCTTCTTTAGAACATATTGGGCTCTTTCCTTCTTCCCAGCCTGAATTCTTCTTGTACCTTCTGCCGGATGCCCTTGTCTCTCACATGGCGGTTCCCTGCCCCACAGTGATTCAGGGCTGAGCTTAATTGCACCTGCTTAGAGAAACTTCACCTTCTACCCAATATAGAGTATGCCTCCTCTCTACTCACATTTGTTATTCTTCATTTATTTAATTTTATTTTAATGTAATTTTTGTTTGTTTGTTTGTTTGTTTTTGTTTTTTGAGGCAGGGTGGGTGTACTTCACCAGCCTGGGTGGAGTACAGTGGTACTTCACTGCTCACTGCAGCCTCGACTTCCCACGTCCCAGCTATCCTCCCACCTTAGCCTCCCGAATAGCTGGGATTACAGGCATGCACCAGCACGCCCGGCTAATTTTTGTGTTTTTGGTAGAGTTGGAGTTTCACCGTGTTGCCCAGGCTGGTCTCAAACTGCTGACCTCAAGTGATCTACCTGCCACAGCCTCCCAAAGTGCTGGAATTACAGGTGTGAGCCATCGTGCCTGGCTCGTTATTCTTTCAAATAGTATTATCTACTTTTCTTTTACCATGTTGATCACATTTTATACAGGTTGGGTATCCCTTATCTGACATGCTTGGGACCAGAAGTGTTCTGGATTTTATTTTATTTTTCTTTTGGAATATTTGCATTATACCAGTTGCTCAAGCATCCCTAATCTGAAAATCCAAAATCTGTAATGCTCTAGTGACCATTTCCTTTGAGCATCATGTTGATAATTTTGGATTCTGGAGCATTTTGGATTTCAGATTTTTGTATTAGAGATGCTCAACCTGTGGTATTTATTGCTTCTTTGTTTATTTATTTGACTACCTGAGTGTGTTGTCTTTTTTGCTTGCTAGATTATAAGCTCTGTGAAGGTCAGGGATGTGCCTGTTTTGTTCACCACACTATACCCAGCATCTAAAGGCAGCAATTGCCTCATAGTAAATATTCTAATATTTGTTAACTTACTGAATGGATCCAACTAATGCAGAGGTTAGCAAATATTTTTTTTGTAAAGGCCAGATGCAATGTACTAAGCTTTGCAGGTCCAGTGGTCTCTGCTTCAAATATTCCACTTTGCCATTGTAACATAAAAGCAGCTGTAGACAATATATAAGTGAATGAACTTGGCTGTGTTTCAATAAAACTTTATTTATAGGAACAGATGGTGGGCCAACTTGCTGTAGTTTTTAGGCCCCCGAACTAACGCATATGGCAGAACAGATGGCACACGGCATACCTTAGCTCTTTGACATCTGTGACAATGTTGATGGGCCTAGTGACTAAGGTTTTAGAGGCAACCTAAGCAGATAGCACACTTGGATTAAATATTAACCAGAATTAGTTGGAACAAGAAACACTTATTGAGCACTTACTGCATGCCAGATGCACTGGAAACTAGAGACATAAAGTTAATGATGCTCAAAGGCTGTGGTTCTTGAAGAGTTTACTGACTATTGAGAAACAGACAAGCTAACAATTATAACATGGGGACAATGCTGATTGGGGTACACATATGGTGTCAGAGGGACATAGAAGAGACAGCACCATAGCTTAGAAAGAGCAAGGTTTTAAGAAAGTGATTACAAAAATGAAACAGGAAGGAGATAAGGAAACCAGCATCTATTGAGGAACTTCTCTCTGTTGTGTTATCCATGCATTCACTTTTTTTTCTTTTTTCTTTTTTTAAAGTCAGGGTCTCACTCTGTCACCCAGGCTGGAGTACAGTGGCATGATCATAGCTCACTGCAGCCTCCAACTCCTGAGTTCAAGAGATCCTTCTGCCTCATATGTTAACTTTTTCTAATTCTTCATGGCAAAACTATATGTTATGAGGACCTGAAGCGCAGAAGTTGTGGGAGGTGGCAGAGCTTGATGTTACAATTTGAGGACCGTGAAAGCATTTCTCTTTAGAATCAGGCTCAAGTTCAGATCCCTGCTCTACTTCTTTATTGACTTGGGTAAATTGTTGAACCTCTAAACTGAAAAGGCCCTTGTGGGCTGGGCACAGTAGCTCAAGTTTGTAATTCCACCACTTTGGGAGGCTGAGGAGGGTGGATCACTTGAGGTCAGGAGTTCGAGACCAGCCTGACCAACATGGTGAAAACCCGTCTCTACTAAAAATACAAAAATTAGCTGGGCACGGTGGTGGGCGCCTGTAATCCCAGCTACTAGGGAGGCTGAGGCAGGAGAATCGCTTGAACTCGGGAGGCGGAGGTTGCAGTGAGCCTCCTGAGTACTCCAGCCTGGGTGACAGAGTGAGACCCTGTCTCCAAAACAAAACAAAACAGAACAGAAGGCCCTTGTGAAGGTCAGATGAGAGAGTCTTGTAAATCCCTTAGCATGTAAGTACTTATGCTTACCTAAGTATTCAAGCAATAATGTAGTTTTTTTGCTCTTAAAAATATAATTTAAACCCAGGTCTGGATAATCCTAAAACCCATTCTTTCCCTTTCCTCTGCACTTACTCTGCTTATTGGATTTCATTAAAAGAAAGCACAGTTTGTGCCAACATTTATTAACTCGATAAAGTTAAAAAAGCTATGATATGTATTTCTTGGTTATTGAACAATGGAACAGACACATTATCAACACTGAATAATTTATAGACATTTTACACTGAGAAACCATTTGTTGGAAAAAGAGTTTCAAAGTGGAATTTTTTTAAGATGTAAAGGCATTTTTTGGGGGTGGGGTGGGGAGACAGGATCTTATGCTGTTGCCCAAGCTGGAGTGCAGTGGCATGATCTTGGCTCACTGCATTCTTGACCCCCTGGACTCAAGCAATCCTCCCACCTCAGCCTCCCAAGCAGCTGGGACTACAGGTATGTACCACCATGCCTGGCTAAGTTTTGCATTTTTTGTGGAGATGGGGTTTCGCCAAGTTCCCCAGGCTGGTCTCGAACTCCTGAGCTCAAGCAGTCCCCCCGCCTTGGCCTCCCAAAGTGTTGGGATTACAAGCTTGAGTCACCATGCCCAGCGTAAATGCATTTTGATATGAGCTGAGCTCATAATTCTGTTCTTTTAAACATTCTTTATCAATTACCCCTTCTCGTTTTTGCATCTTTAACCTGTTGACTCAGGTCTACCTGTTTTTAAAAATATCAGCAGCAACAACAGTAAAAGCAATACCTCTGATGGGAACTCAGGGACCTATCTCTTGTCTCTTTTTATACATAACTTCCTCAATGGGAGGTGCATCCTGAGTACTGTTCTATCTCTTGAATTGATTCTGCCCTTGTCCTGTCTGTCTACCCTATAATCTCCACTAATGAAACTGGTAGAGAGGATGCCTTCTAATTAGTATTTTTATATTTCTCAATATCAACAGCATTTGGAGATGAGGACTGTGCCTTCTTCCTGAAAGTCTCTCTTCCTTGGCTTCTAAGATGGTACTGGTGAATTAATCTTCCAAGACACCATTCTGAACATGTCCTTTTTACCCACCGCCACCATAAAATCCTTAGGCCAGCATTGGAAATCATTCTTTCATTCCAACACTTACCTTTTATTTTATCCCAACTGTAATAAACAGTTTCCTTCACATGCTCTGTGCTTCCCACTTCCATATGTTTGCTCAAGCTGTTGAGAGATGGTGGAAATTAATGCTTGGGCTCTTCAGTCAGACTTTCTGTCTTTTTCTTTGATCGTTTGAGATTATATTTTATTTAAAAAAAAAAAAAAAGCTCCCTGAGGCCAGGGCTGGTGTCTGTGTTGCTTATCTCCACTCTAATTTTGTGACCAAGGCAGACACCAGGACGGTCTAATTTAAAGTGCAGCCTTCTCACGTGGTGGGGTTTCTGGTCCACCAGCGCCCCATCCTGAGGATCTGTGGTCTCAGGGCTGGGCACTAGATTTCTTGCATTTTTCCTTATTTTTTTGCCAGTCATTCCTGGCTCTGATGCTCCTCTTTGTCCCTGTTGCTGCTCTTTGCCCCAATTTTTAGCTAAAATGAGACTTAAAAAAAAGAGACAGGGTCTTACTATGTCACCCAGTCTGTAGTGCAGTGGTGCAATCGTAGCTCACTGTAACCTTGAACTCCTGCCATCCTCCCACCTCAGCCTCCCAAGTAGCTGGGACTGCAGGTGAGTGCCATCCTGCCTGGTTAATTTTCAAAATTTTTTTGTAGAGACAGGGTCTCCCTATGTTGTCCAGGCTGGTCTCCAACTCTTGGCCTCAAGCGTTCATCCTGCCTCGGCCTCCCAAAGTGCTGGGATTGCAGGCATGAGCCACTGTACCTGGCCTAGAATGGGGCTTTTTATTTGGTTCCTGAAACTGTGCCTATCTCTCAAACTTTCTTTTTTCTGGGGATTGAAGCTCTGCCTCTGGAATTGGGTATGGAGCTAGAACGCTTTCCCTACCTGACTCCCAAGCTGCCAGACTTCCCATTGCTATCTTCCATCTGTGAGATTTGGATACTATTCCTGTGTCTTGGAAATTCTGGTACCTGCTGTTGCCTGCATCACCACTAAGGTTCCCACATGTGTCGGATGTTTCACCTGGCGCCTTCAGCTGCAGCTCCTCCGTCTGCTTCTGAGCTGAGATATGCCGCTCCTCTCTGCCCCTCCCCTGCCATCCTTTCCTCTTTGCAGATCGTGGGCCAGCTCCAAGATCCCTCCCCTTCCTCCTGGCTTGGTTGGTCACGCTTCACAGCCAAATCCTGAGAAAGGGAAACACTTCAGTGTTGATTTTAGAAGTCTTCTGTATATGGCTCATGAGCCAATTTAATTTTTCATCACAATCTACATTGACGGGAAAAATGTAGCTCTGTAGAACTTTTAAGAGCCAACTGGCAGTGGTGGATCAAGGTCGGGGGACACTTTTGGGGCTTTATCCCTTCTGTAATACCCCACCTCCTTTATTTGACATGAACAGTTTCCGTGTTCTGAATATTTATTTGCAGAACTATGCAAACACAGCTTCAAACCTTGTGACTTTACCCTCCCCAGGCCCATCAGGTCACATTCCTCATTTCTTAAATTCAAGATTGGCTGCTACCAGATGGTAGTGGCCCTTTCACTCAGCGTATTTAGATGAAAGCAATTTGAATACACTACCACCAGAGAAATTTGGGTTTTCTTTAAAATATTTTATTATTGCCTCTGATTTATATGTGGTCAGGTACTTAGACACCTGAGTGCAGGTAGACTCATTATGTTTCTTTTTAAATGTGAGATTTATTTTTATTTTATTTTATTTTTTTGAAACGGAGTCTCGCTCTGTTGCCCAGGCTGGAGTGCGGTGGTGCGAACTCAGCTCACTGCAGCCTCCGCCTCCTGGGTTCAAGCGATTCTCGTGCTTCAGCCTCCTGAGTAGCTGGGATTATAGGCACATGCCACCTCTCCTGGCTAATTTTTTTATTTTTAGTAGCGATGGGGTTTCACCATGTTGGTCAGGCTCATGCCTAACTCCTGACCTCAAATGATCTGCCCACCTCGGCCTCCCAAAGTGCTGGGATTACAGGCGTGAGCCACTGCGTCCGGCTAAATGTGAGATTTAGCATTGTATTAGTCTCCTCAAGCCACTCAAGTAAGAGTTCCTGAGCTGTGTACATGATTGGACTTTAGAGTCTAATGAATGTACAACCTGTTTAGAATAGGTGCAGCTTTTTGTGTAACTAGCGAATGTTTCTTAGGAAAGAAAGGATCCATAGTTTTCATCAGATTAAAAAATGTCTGTGGCTTCCAAAGGGCCAAAGGCCATTTATACTAGAGTATTATTTATGACACCTGTGTAGTAACCTAAAATATTTGTGACAACTTTTTAAAAGGACTTGCAGTTACTGGCTTAATGCATTGTGCCTCTTTGGGATATACTGTTAGTTTCATTATAAATTACTAGTTCAGTCAAAAATTATATTATTGGCTGGGCATGGTGGCTCACACCTGTAATCCCAGCACTTTGGGAGGCCGAGGCCGGTGGATCACAAGGTCAGGAGAGCGAGACCATCCTGGCCAACATGGTGAAGAAAAAAAAAAAAATATATATATATATATATACATATATATATATATGTATATATATATATATATGTATATATATATATATATGTATATATATATATATATATATAATTTATTTATTTATTTATTTCCTTTTTCTTTTTTTTGAGACAGAGTCTTGCTCTGTCGCCCAGGCTGGAGTGCAGTGGTGCATTCTCAGCTCACTGCAACCTCTGGTCCCAAGTTCAAGCGATTCTCCTGCCTCAGCCTCCTGAGTAGCTGGGACTACAGGTGTGCGCCACCATGCCCGGCTAATTTTTTGTATTTTTAGTAGAGATGGGGTTTCACCATGTTGGCCAGGCTGGTCTTGAACTCTTGACCTCAAGCAATCCACCCACCTCGGCCTCCCAAAGTGCTGGGATTACAGGTGTGAGCCATAATGGGGTCTTGTTATGTTGCCCAAGCTGGTCTCGAGCTCCTGGGCTCAAGCAATCCTCCTGCCTCGGCCTCCCAAAGTGTTGAGGTTACAGACATGAGCCATTGGCACCTGGCCAAAAATTATAAATGGAGAGATAGAAAGTGAGATAAACCGGTCTCTCTCTCAGGATAGAGAAATGTATTTGTGAGTATATTGTATGATCAGTTTCTTGTACTACATTGGAGGGTGTTCTACGTCATTGTCATTGGGGTGTGTCTGATATCCACACTCTGTGTACTCTGGGGTCACCTGATGGAGAAGGCTGTGCTGCCTAGGTATGTATTTGGAGGTCAGCAGAAGAGTGGAGGTGTTGCAACCTTGGATAAGTACTGTGGCTTTCTCTGCTGTCCCACTTATGACCACATTTAGGATAGAATGGCAGGGACAATGGTTTGCCTCGCTTAAATCTTAGTGGAACTATGGTGACTGCGCTGGATCTGGTCTTTGACTCATTTCAATATAAAAAGCACTGGCCAGTGGAGCGCAAAGCCACCGTGTTGGTGGGAAGTATGTTTGTGATAAACACCATAGGGTTCCACCCCAGTGAATGACTTGGGCAGTCTTTCGTTAAGTCATGGTTCAGTGTTCTGCTCACCTTGCTAGGAAGGAAAGTGTTCACAGTTAATTCTGTGTTTTCTCACCTGTGTGTAGGATCTACTTTTGCTAACAAGCATACATCACTGCCAAAATGGTTAATTCTGGAAAGAGAACTACAGAGACAAAGTATATAAAGAGCAATTTTTCTTAGTTGAAAGATTAAAGATAATTGATTGAATTGGGGACCCATCTGGCTTTGTGATTTGCTGGAGTGACTTATGAAAACTAATTGCTTTGGTAAAGAACTAGGCTATTAAAGAATAAATTTTATAGTGTAATTTTGTAGGCACCTTACATACTTGGAAAAACCATTTGAATTCTTTCTCTAACATCAATTGGGCATAAAATAAATCAACTCACACTGAGTTGAAATGCATCATGTAGAAAACAGAGCCTTTTCACTTTCACTTTAAATTGTGCCAGAAGAAACATGCTATTTAAAAAAAATTTTTTTTTTTTTTTTTTTTTTTTTGAGATGGAGTCTCTCTGTTACCCAAGCTGGAGTGCAGCAGCACAATCTTGGCTCACTGCAACCTCCGCCTCCTAGGTTCGAGCGATTCTCCTGTCTCAGCCTCTTGAGTAGGTGGCACTACAGGCATGTGCCACCATGTCTGGCTAATTTTTGTATTTTTAGTAGAGACAGGGTTTTGCCCTGTTGGTCAGGCTGGTCTCATTCCTGACCTCAGGTGATCCGCCCACCTTGGCCTCCTAAAGTGTTGGGATTACAGGCATGAGCCACCATGCCTGGCCAGAAACATACTATTTGGTTAGAACATAGTTAAATATAGTCTCTGGTATTTTCATATGTTTTAGATTTCTTTATCTTGACAAGTGATTGAAGGAAAGAACCATTTATAGTCTGTAGGTATAAGGAAGCTTTGTATAACTGCTTCAGATCATTAACTAATGCATACATATAGACTAATACATAATATAATACATAGATCATTTATAGAGAGCCAGGGAGACTGGAATGGATGAATTGCCACTGGAAATGATTGAATACTTTTTAGATAATTAAGCATGTATTAATTAACAAGTAGAAAGAGGGATGGACTCAAATATGTCGATGATGATAATGCCATAAAATTATTGTAACAGTATTTATAAATAGCTGCTAATATAGTGTTTTCTGTGTTTTTGTTTGTTTTGTTAAATATCAATGTTTCCTAAGTATGGACATGCAGGGTTATTTCTGAAGTATTCTAATGAAGAGTTTTTGTTTTAAGCACTATGCTTTTCTTGTTATGGGGGACAGAGTGACAGACTCTTGCTCTGTCACCCAGGCTGGAGTGCAGTGGCACAATCATGGCTCACTGCAGCCTTGACTTCCTGGACTCAGGTGATCCTCCCACCTCAGCCTCCTGAGCAGTTGGCATTACAGGGGCACACCACCGTGCCTGGCTAATTTTTTGTATTTTTTTGTAGAGATGGGATTTTGTCATGTTGCCCACGCTCTGGCCTAGAACTCCTGGGCTCAAGCGATTCTCCCACCTCAGCCTCCCAAAGTACTGGGATTCCAGGCATGAGCCACTGCACCTGCCCATATGCTTTTATTTTCATGCATATTAGAAAACATAACTAACTCATCTCCTGCCTCCCTGCATCCTTCTCTTCTCTCCCCTCCCCCTCCCCTCATCTTTTTCTTTTTCTTTTTGATGGAGTCTCTCTCTGTCACCCAGGCTGGAGTGCAGTGGTGCAATCTCGGCTCACTGCAGTGGTTCAGTCCCACCTCCTGGGCTCAAGTGATTCTCCCTCCTCAGCCTCACAAGTAGCTGGGACTACAGGCGTGCACCATGACGCCTGGCTAATTTTTTGTATTTTTATCAGAGACAGGGTTTCACCATGTTGCCCAGGCTGGTCTCGAACTCTTGAGCTCAAGCAATCCGCTGGCCTAGACCTCCCAAAGTGGTGAGATTACTGGTGTGAGCCACTGCACCTGGCCTCACTGTAGGTATTTAAAAGGAGTCTAAAATAGGTATTTAAATAAAATAACTCTGTGTAAGAAAATTGTTAAGTAAAAAAGTAGTTTTGTATGTAATGTAAAAATTGTGAGGCTGGCATATGAATGATCAAAAGTGTGAGAACTACTAATTTAGGTGACTGATAAACAGCTGTTTCTGTTTAAATTCATTAATATATTTTAGAGTTAAAAAAAAACCTGGTGGAGGATGAATGGTGGTGGGCTGTCTACATTAGAGGTGCAGTTTCACCTGTAAGTTTGAGTCCTGAGCCTTCTCATTCTCTGAGTAAAAGTTCTGAGACATGTTACACAAAGGCTCTTTCTTTTTTCCCTTTAGCAGCTGTTTAGTGCAGTAATAACTTGGTGTTTTCACAGAAATAGGGATTTCTGTTTTTCCACTGTGTGGAGAGCTCTCTCTCCCACTCCACAGGAGTAGAGACAGGAGATACACTGTGATATCTCTGATTCTAGCATAGTGCCTGGTGGTTGCTCAGTAAATGTTCTTTGGATACCTGTAATTGCCATTTAGTAAAACTAATAGGAGTAAAATGTAATATATTTTATTTAAATATATATTTAGGCCAGGCGCGGTGGCTCAAGTCTGTAATCCCAGTACTTTGGGAGGCTGAAGTGGGCAGATCATTTGAGGTCAGGAGTTGAAGACCAGCCTGGTGAACATGGTGAAACCCTGTTTCTACTAAAAATACAAAAATTAGCCAGGTGTGGTGGGGCATGCCTGTAATCCCAGCTACTTGGGAGGCTGAGGCAGGGGAATTGCTTGAATCTGGGAGGCTGAGGTTTCAGTGAGCTGAGATCATGCCACTGCACTCTAGCCTGGGTGACAGAGTGAGACTCTGTCTCAAAAAAAAATTTATATATATATATATATATATATAATATTTAATATGTTATTTATATCTTATCAGTCCTAAGTATAATAGGAAATTTACTAGATAGTAGTATATATAGGCAAACTGTAGACTTTTGGTATTAATAGCAGCAATGCCTTTTTTTTTTTTTAACCTTTCTTGTCTTCTTGGTGGTCTCACCTTGACTCTACTTGAAAAGGTGACAGGAGTGTGACGAAGTGGAAGGAACATCGGGTTCTAGACTTGTGTCTGTCCCCTTCTTATAGAATCTGGGATGGGAAGGATGGAATGGAGGTGTAACCTACCTTAGAAGGTGTGGGTTAAGTGTGAAATAATAGCTGCATAAATACTCAATATTGTCAAGTTCTGCAGATGTGTATGTTTATGTTATTTGTGTACTGTAAGGTGTCAGCACAGGACTGTAATACCTTACCTAGAAATGATTATATTTACTCCCCGCAGAATGTCTGCCCTTTTCTCATTGAGAAGCCAAAACAGAGCCCCCCATTAAACAAAATTTAATGTTCATGGGGGTTTGTCAGAAATGTGGAGATATCACATTGTATTGATCAGGAATTGCATGTAGCTATTACAGACATAGAACCTGTTATAAAAAAGAGTTACGTTCATGGAAACAAGCTTTCTTTTCTTTTTTTTTTTTTTTATTATACTTTAAGTTTTAGGGTACATGTGCACTTTGTGCAGGTTAGTTACATGTGTATACATGTGCCATGCTGGTGCGCTGCACCCACTAACTCGTCATCTAGCATTAGGTATATCTCCCAATGCTATCCCTCCCCCCTCCCCCCACCCCACCACAGTCCCCAGAGTGTGATATTCCCCTTCCTGTGTCCATGTGATCTCATTGTTCAATTCCCACCTATGAGTGAGAATATGCGGTGTTTGGTTTTTTGTTCTTGCGATAGTTTACTGAGAATGATGATTTCCAATTTCATCCATGTCCCTACAAAGGACATGAACAAGCTTTATTTTCTATGAAGATATCTGAGAAGGTTTTCTTTGGGAGTTTTATATAAATTCTGTGTTTAATATCTTCCTTAATATGTTGGTTTTCAGTTTCCTTATCATAATTAAAGAATATAAGGAAGACATACTTGATTGGTTTCACCAAGCTCAGACCTTCCCTCCCAGGCACCAGATAAATGATATTATTTCCAGTTCGTGTCATGACATGAAACGCTGAATTGCGCTTGTTGCTTTTTAATACTGTGACATCTCAACTGCTGTCATTGGTTTTAATCTGTGGGTGATCTTGGAAAGGGATAGGTTTGATGTAGGTAGCCTAGAACCTTCTCAGGGATTGTGGAATATGTTGAAACTTATGCTGTTTCTGAGAACTATCTTTCTCCTTTCTGTGGGTCAGGCTGACATAACTCAGAGCACTTGTAATCATGACTGTAGCCAACTGTGGTTACCTGCAGAGGCTTAGATCAAATAGGAATTTGTCTCTTCATTTACTCACTCGGCATACATTGAATGAGCATCTCTGTACTGGGCATGGGGGAAGATGACTTATTATTTGTCTTGGTTCTTAAGGAATTTATAGTCTAATGGAGGAGAAAGACACACAGATTCTCATATAAATGGATGGCGTACAATGATAGATTAAATAGGCTTTGAGACTTACAGTGGAACTGTGGGCCATGATTGCCATTTGAATTTTAAAAAATTAATAGAATGTATGATTTTTCTGTTCTTAGTTATATACGTAAGACTTGAATAAATACTCATTGTGAAATAAGAAAGGTAGAAAGATTATAGCCTAAAAACGAGTCCAATTTTATATCCCATCCTCCTCCCTGTGCCACTTTTCATTATTATTATTTTTTAAAACCATTGCCTGATTGATGAACATTTTAGGTCATTACTTTTTTTTCCTGTCTAATGATGCTTAGTCAGTTTTTTTGCACATATATATATTTGTTTACCTGTGTGAATTATGTCTGCAGTGAAATTCTTAGAAGTAGAATCTTGGCTGGAGTATTTTTCTGGGGGTGCATTTAATCTGTTATTGGAATTCATATTAATATTAGAATTAATAGGCTTTTTTTTTTTTTTTTTCCCTGAAAGCAACTGAAAATGTATGGCAATGTGGAGTTGCAGGGCAGTAGTCCTAATGGTTTAGCTACAGCATCTGCATAGGTCTTTTATATAGAAAGTGTCTGGGTAGTGGTGTTTGACCTTGGTAACTTTTCTCTCTGCCATTTGAGCCGCTGCTGTCTTCATATCCTCCCTATCTAGAAATTCCCTCTCCAAAGTTGTTCCATATTCCAAAATTTCCCTTTTCACACTCCTAGTATACTGTTGACCTCAGGTAGGCACAGTTTTGATTGTCAGAGCAAAGAAAATTAACCATGTATGTCTTTCCAGATAGTAGAATTTTCAGGGTATTCCATGAGTTCCAAAGGATGATTTGTATGAAGTATATTTCACTAAGTATAAAGGAAGTAAAACACTCATACTATGGTCTCTTCCCTCTCCTCTTCACCTCCCAGTGCCTCTCTACAAACTTTTTAGGATACCACTAATGAGTACTTGACATATTCATAGTTAGTCCATAAACCTGAGAGTGCTCCTGGATCCTCATAGGTATTTCATTGCACTCTGTGATTGGAATTTTGTTTGTTAAAATTGACTAGGAAACTATATTTCAGTAACAAATATGTAGAATTAAGAAAAAGATGGGCTGGGCACAGTGGCTCATGCCTGTAATCCCAGCACTTTGGGAGGCTGAGGCAGGTGGATAAAGAGGTCAGGAGATTGAGACCATCCTGGCTAACATGTTGAAACCCTGACTCTACTAAAAATTAGCTGAGCATGGTGGCACGTGCCTGTATTCCCAGCTACTTGGGAGGCTGAGGCAGAAGAATCGCTTGAACCTAGGAGGCGGAGGTTGCAGTGAGCCAAGATCACGCCACTGCACTCCAACCTGGGTGACAGTGAGACTCCGTTGCAGAAAAAAAAAAAAAGAAAAAGGTGGGCCAGGCGGTGGCTCACGCCTGTTATCTCAGCACTTTGGGTAGGCTGAGGGTGGATCATTTGAGGTCAGGAGTTTGACACCAGCCTAGCCAACATGGTGAAACCCCGTCTCTACTAAAAATACAAAAACTAGTCAGGCGTGGTGGCGGGCACCTGTAATCTCAGCTACTCGGGAGGCTGAGGCAGGAGAATCACTTGAACCTGGGAGGCAGAGGTTGCAGTGAGCTGAGATAGCACCATTACACTCCAGCCTGGGTGACAGAAAAGATGAGTTCCTATCCCTTTTCTTTACATTTGTTTTTTCAAAGTATGTTTGCACTATGTTAGAGTGAGTGCATACATTTAGAGAACAACAGGGGAAAATGCTAGAAATTCAGTAACTTCTAGTTTCCATTTTATAACAAATGTATTTTTATTATTAGCTTCCTACTGGAATCCTACTCCCCACCATTATGTCATCATTTTCACATCCACGGTCTGTAGCGATTATGTCCATGTGGGGCCTCAGTAGTTTTCCCTTTAATTTTGTGCAGATTTCCTTACTGCATAAACTCAACTGCTCTCACTGAGGTCGTCATTAAGTCCTGTGTGTGTTTGGGCAGGCCGACTTGATTTACAGCCAGCACTCCACTGCGGGTGAGTAAGATGGCAAGTTTCTCCCTGTTTTTCCTCTCAGCCCTTCCTATCTAGAGTGCAGATAACATAATTACTCAGTTAAATATCATCTGCCCAGGTTTTCATTTTGAGATAAATCTATATTGTGGTTATCTGCATTATACTTAAAACTTACACCGAAGATAATTCTGTTGGATAGGTTTTAAGTAATTATCTTCAGTATTTCCTTTTCATTTATGATATGAGGCATAGCAAATCTTGGATTCCTTGATATTAAAATAGATAAGATCAAGCTGTGAACTCAGGATGAGTCAGTACTGTTTTAAGAGTTGGATTTGCCATGCTTTTGGCAAATTAGTACTTCAGAGCAGGAGCCCAGAGGTTTCAGGTAATCCCAGTCACCAAAATGTTTGTTACAATATAACATCATTACTTTTCACTTGGGAACCTTTTATTTTGTTGGGCCCTTTTCTTTCCTGTTTTCTTTTTATAGCCATTTATAATTCAGGGATTCAGGCAAAGAAATACAGCCCTTGGACCACAAGATAGTTATATTCAGCAAGATTTTCAGAACTTGTACAGCTATGATTTTTCTCAGTAATCTTGGCTAGTTTGTGAAATTAATGGCTTTAGAAATATTCTCAAATGGTTTAGAGGAGAGTAAAAAGAATCTTTTGAAACATTGTCCCATTTTGTTAATTCAAGGAGATTATAGTGCAATTGAATGTAATTCCCATAAGAATGGATATAGCAAAAGTATGTCTTTTTTTTTTTTTTTTTTTTTTTTTTTCTTTTTTGTGAGACAGACTCTCTCTCTGTATCCCAGGCTGGAGTGCAGTGGTGAAATCTCAGCTCACTGCAACCTGTGTCTCCCAGGTTCAAGTGATTCTCCTGCCTCAGCCTCCCTAGTAGCTGGGACTGCAGGTGCCCCCGACCATACCCGGCTAATTTTTGTATCTTTAGTAGAGACGAGGTTTTGCCATGTTGACCAGGCTGGTCTTGAACTCCTGAGCTCAAGTGATCCACCCGCCTTGGCCTCCGAAAATGCTGGGATTACAGGCATGAGCCACCGTGCCTGGCCAAAAGTATGTCTTTTTAATAATTGAGAAATGATGTCTTGAGCAGTCAAGTAGGAACAATTACTTGGTTGTCCTTGTGTAATGTGCAGAAATTAAGGAAGATGATTTTTCACGAATCTACATAGGACCTATCAACTATAAGGAAATATATTAGTAAACACTGTTTCTACATCCTGATGCTTGTAGGTTTCCTTGATGTTGAAATAGTGTTAGCACAGATTTGTTATTTTTCCTCTTTCTGATTAATCCAAACCTGGAGTGTGGCCCTGGTTCTCCGGCTGCAGAGAAGTCAGTCCATCTTTTGTAGGCTCCTTTTCTGTTTTACATTTGTCGGGCTCACTACTTGAGCTTACTCAGCAACCTTTAAAGCTCTAAATCCTCGTTAGTCTTAAACTCCCCAGCTCATATTTGGCCGGCAACTCTACTTGGCATTTCAGTAATTTCCCACTTGCCAGCTCATCTTTTACCAAGAATCAAAAACCATTCTGATCTTTAAAGAAATGCAGATGAGGCCGGGTATCGTGGCTCACGCCTGTAATCCCAGCACTTTGGGAAGCCGAGGAGGGTAGATCACGAGGTCAGGAGTTCGAGACCAGCCTGTCCAACATGGTGAAAACCCATCTCTACTAAAAATACAAAAATTAGTTGGGCATGGTGGTGCGTGCTCATAGTCCCAGCTGCTCGGGAGGCTGAGGAAGGAGAATCGCTTGAACCAGGGAGGCAGAAGTTGCAGTGAGCCAAGATAGTGCCACTGCATGCCAGCCTGGGTGACACAGTGGGACTCCGCCCCCCCCTCCCAAAAAAAAAGAAATGCAGATGAGAAAAGACCCTTTCTAGGACACAGAGAATAAACTTGCAGCTGTTAAGGAGTGGGAATTTCTGCCACACGTGGATGTCAGAAATGGAAGCTTTTATTATCAGGAGAAATATTTGCTGGTTGATGTTACTTAAATAGGTTCAAATTTCAAACAGTTCTAAGAGCCTGTTGAATGTCCGCTATGAAGAGTTGATTTTGCCAAGATGGAAAAAAAAATCTCATCTGGTTGCCTTTTAACGCCTCTGTATGATGTTAGATACAGGTGTACTTCTTGCCTTTTCACATATTGAAGAAAACAGTGAGAGTATCTAGAAAACGGGGGACCTAGATGGAGAGACTGAATGCATGAGGGTTAATGCCAGTTTCCTCATATTACAACCCAGGCTTGAGCAATATCTGATTTTTTAATGCTTCACAGAAAGCTAAATAAATGCCTATGTACTGTGGTGGTTCCATTCTTGTTCAGTACCATCTTGGCTTCCTTTCAGGTAAGGAAGAAATTGAGCAGTGATTGTAGCAGTGATTCCCCTGTGGGGGAATGCCCTACTATGGAATACTCTGAGTGTGTGACATGTCGCCGTTTACCCAAATCCTTGAAGTTAATGAGTAAAACGGCAGAATACAATCTAGACTCATAGATTCTGAATTTTGGAAGTGAAATTGATCTTAAGATAATGAAATCTACTATGTTTATAGTTTGATATTTTTTGTTATACCCCTGACATAGTACTTTGCTAATCACAGGAGTTTGATAAGCATTTGATAACTAAGCAATGTATAAGCTAAGTCACAAAATGAAAAGATTGATTTTGGCAGTAACCGATAATTTGAGGTCTGTTGTCTTGTCTCAAGTGTAGTCACTGCTGATTGTTAGCACCTTTCTGAAACTGCAAAAGAAAAACTAAAAATGGACCAGGAATTAGCGTAGGAAAGTATAGATTAGAAGACCCAAAGTGAAACAAATGGAAAAAGTTTTTTTTTGTTGTTGTTAAGTATACATATATTAGAGATGGGGGTCATTACTGTGTTGCTCAGGCTGGTCTTGAATTCCTGGGGTCAAGTAATCCTCCCACCTCAGCCTCCCAAGTATCTGGGACTACAGGTGTGTGCTATCCTGCCTGGCTAAATGGCAAAAGTGAATAAAGAGGTGCCAGGGAATAGAGGCCTCCTGTGTTGGTGTATTGAAGTCGGAATACCTGTGCCTGCATCAGTTCTGTGTTGATATTGTGAGTGAAGTGAAGTAGTAACTCTGCAATGAAGATACTTTCTTTAAAAACTTGAACACTTTTCTGTTATATTTTACAGTAGATTGATTGGCTCATTGTTGCATACTTGTATGATTATTTCTTAGGGTGTATTCCTACAAGCTATTGTTGGTTCAGAGGGTATAATCACAATTAGAATTTTTATTTTATTTTATTTTTTTAATTTTTTTTTGAGACAGGGCCTTGTTCTGTCACTTAGGCTGGAATGCAATGGTGCGATCTCGGCTCACTGTAACCTCCGCCTCCCGGGTTCAAGCAATTATCCTGCCTCAGCCTCCCGAGTAGCTGGGACTACAGGCATGTACCACACCTGGCTAATTTTTGTATTTTTAGTAGAGATGGGGTTTCACCATGTTGGCCAGGCTGGTCTCAAACTCCTGACCTCAAGTGATCTGCCCACCTCGGCCTCCCGAAGTGCTGGTGTTACAGGCTTGAGCCGCTGTGCCCAACCAGAATTTTGATGTATTCTTATATGGTTCTTTCTTAAATCAAAAATATGTTATTTGTTCAGATTAAGACAATGTTGGGTGTTTATTTTTAGTTTCACATTCCTTACTTATTAGAAATATATTTTTTATAGCTTTAACACATCAGCTAAAGCTTGTGAAAGTTGCCTTTGTTAACATGAATTCCATTTTCCTTTTAAAAATTAAATCATGGCACCCTCTACTGAATTTGAAAGGAATTGCTGAATAGTCATATGCAGGTTTGAAAAAGACTGTATGACTTTATAGATTAGACTTTGTTGACACCTATACTTACTATTATGATCCTTTTTGCTCACAGGCTCCTCATTAGGCAGTGTGGTAACATACATGTAATTAAACCTATATTTTGAAGCAGGCAGAGGAACTAGAGTGATCAAATTCAAAGAAGCATGAAATAACACAGTGTGTTCAGGGTTGTAGTTTTATAGAAAACTTGAGAGAGGGTGTTGGTGTGATTTTTGCAAAGAAAGCAATAAGAAAGGACCAAGAGCATGTCTCAATTTAAGGAATTTAAACTTTATCATGAAAGTGCGGTTGAATCATCAGCTCGTTTATTTAGAGTAGTCAAGTGATCACGTAAGGATCTTTGAAAGATGATGCTGGCAGCCTGTGTAGGATGGGTTGGAGGTGGGAACAGACCAATTTGAGGATTACTGTGTTTGCCGATGGGCTTATTAGGGTTCTCAGAAGGCACATAATTCTGGGATATAAGAGGCTGGGAGATGTGGAAGTTCTTTTTTTCCCCTAAAAAAGTTTTAGCATAAAAATTTCAAGATATATAGAAAAGTAGAAAGAATAGTACAATGAATACCCATATGTCCATCTTAGATCCAGCAACAGATGACATTTGGCCATATGTTCTCTCTCCCTCTCCTCCGCCTCTCTGCTGAAGTATTTTTGCATAAATTACAGACACCATTACTTGACACCCCTAAATACTCTATTGAGCATCTCTCCAAAACAAAGGATGTTAGGAGAGAGATGTTTAGGGAAATAAAATCAGGAAAGTTAGAATTTGGTGGTATAGATAATGGGTTCTGTTACATCCAATAGGAGAACCACAAAGGCTTGCTTTTACTGTTAGTAATTTGTGGTTATATAATAGTTTCTTTCTACAGTTTTTTTTTTTTTTGAGACTTTCAAGAGATGGATATATAGTAAATGCTATTACATTTTAAATCAAAATGTTGAAAAGGACACTTTTTTCATCAACAAAAATTTCAAATGTGCACAAAAGTTGAAGAGGACATCATTCTTGGCTAAAACAATGGCCCATGCTAGACTTCTCCATGCGAGAAGAGAAGTGGAGCCATTCCAGAGAGGAGTGGGCTAGGCTCCTCCCACCAGGGGAAGGTGCAGGCTCTCTTATCATATCAGAAGCCCAGGTCAGCAGAAGTTTGTGTGAGAAAGGCACGCAGCCAGCACAAGTGTGACCCAAACCCAGTGAAATGGTGAGAGTGGGCAGCCGGCAAGCTGACTGGCACTAGCAGAGTCTGCTTACTCGGGGAAAAGGGAGCACGAGATGTCAAGGGGACTGGGCACATATGACCTTTTTTGGCGGTGTACAAAGTCTCTCTCTGTTGCCCAGGCTGTATTGCAGTGGATCTCAGCTCACTACACCCTCTGCCTCCCAGGTTCAAGCAATTCTCCTGCCTCAGCCTCTCGAATAGCTGGGACTACAAGCGTGTGCCACCATGCCCGGCTAATTTTTGTATTTTTAGTAGAGATGGGGTTTCGCCATGTTGGTCAGGCTGGTCTTGAACTCCTGACCTCATGTGATCCCCCCACCTTGGCCTCCCAAAGTGCTGGGATTACAGGCATGAGCCACTGTGCCCGGCCAGATAGTGACCTTTTAATATCTAATTTGTTGACAGTTTTCCTACTATACTTTTGGTCTAGTAAATATTTTTAGGTTGTGATCAATGAGATTAGCAGTCTTTTTCCTTTGGACAGGAGAACTAAGAAGAGGACAGGCAGAAACACAAAATAAATAATATATATAAAATATATAATATTATCATAGCTAAAATTGGTAGGAATTCCAGTAGTCACTCATTCATTTTTTCATTCATTATTCAATTAATGTTTGGAGCCACATATTATTATGGCAGGCACTATTCTAAGACACCAGGAATTCAGCAGTGAATAATGCAGACCAAACTCCCTGCCCTCTCATAGTTTCTGTAAGTCATACGTTGCTTAACGACAGGGAGACGTTCTGAGAAATTTGTTGTTAGGCGACTTGGTCCTTGTGGGAGCATCCTAGAGTGCACTTAGGCAAACCCAAATGGCAGAGCCCACTACACACCTAGGCTGCATGGTGCAGCCTGTTGCTTCTAGGCCAGAAACCTGTACAGTAGGTGACTGCACTGGATATTTCTGGCAATTGGAACACAGTGGTAAGTATTTGTGTATCTAAACATACCTAAACATAGAAAGGGAAGAGTAAGAATATGAGACCACTGCCATATATGTGGTGTGTGATTGACAGAAACATCATTATGCCCTGCATCGCATTGACTGTATTCTAGTAAAAGACAGACTCTAGACAAGAAGAGTGAAATACGCATAGCTCATGAAGTTGGGATGGGCACAGGCAAAGATCATTAAGTGGAATTAGGAAGGTGTGAGGGAGATTTTAGAAAGGGAGGCCAAGGAAGCTGAGAAGATGCCACCTGGGGAAACACCCGGGAAACCTGAACCACTTGAGCCGCGTCGGAGTGCACAAAGCCTCCTGCTTGGCGTTTACATCATTTTCCGTTTCTTGTGAGGGCATGTCTCCTCCCGGGAGTGTATGAATAGGAAGTGGCTGACAGCTGGCTTCCATGTGGTCTTAGCAGGCCCTGTTTTTCCCAGCCAGGTTCCCCTTCTAGCCCTCAGATTTCTTGACACTAAATTGGTCATAAAGTAAGTTCTCCTAATCAGATAGATTCATTCCAGGGTGTGTTAGTCTAAGAGAGTTTGGCTAGCAGTCCACTAGCAGGCTGTGCACAGCTCTGTGAAATGCTCTTTTCTGTAACCATTTCCCGTGGTTTTTGGACAATGACTGGCATGTTACTTTCCTTAGCAACTTAATTTTTGCTCCGTCTTTACATAACTCTTTGGAAATGTTAACTTTTCCCCTTTTCTGTTCATTTGTTTCACTGTAGAAATGAAAATACTCCTATTCAGAGCTATGACATACAAATTAAAAATTTACAAAGTATACTCAATAGATTCCAGCAGCTAATATTCATGAAGTATAAAAATTGAGGTTATTGAAGAAAGTGACATTAAAAGGTGTATGAACAATGCAGTGCTCTTAAAGTTTCTCTTGGGTATAGCTGACTTCAAATGTAAGAGTCTCTACCGTTTAATACATAAAGGGCTAATACAGAATAGATTCTCTTCTAGTTCATAAAGGATGCACTGTTCTCTACAATATAACATTAGGATTTTGAATTGTTTGAAGGGCTTATCTTGGTTTGTTCTTAGCATTGGAAATAAAATAGATGAATATGCTAGAAGAATGGAAACATGGGTATAAGCTCATACACAGATAAGTGAGGATTTCCTTTAGGAGTATAAAGATAGACCACCATGGAGAAAAACCTAACTTAATATAAAGTTGTTTGTGTTATATATAATGAATGCTTTGGATTATATATTTCCTTTTATCACTGTCTGTTTAAGATAGCTTCAAAACATACATACATAAATATACATGATTGCAACCATTGTGTGTTACATTTAGTTTAACTTTTTAGTGCTGTCCTTAATTTGAAAATGCATACAGTTAACTTTAGTATTATGACATAATTATTTACAAACGAATCAATTTTTAGAAAGTGTATTTTTTGATAGCTCTGATATAGGGCCTAGGAAACTGACAAAACTAGACAATTTACATGAGTCTGTTGTCAGTAAACACATGAAATCATCTTTGTGAATGTCCAGATTTATTACAGATGTTTCTAGTAGCCCACAAATTTTTGGAACTATTGTGTTGAACCACTTAATATTAATTAGTACTTAGGAAATAACAATGTAAATACTTAGAGTGAATGATTTATTTTATTTTAAAATCATACTATTGATATTTGTAAATGAGCAGTATATCAGTCATAATGGGCTATGTTGTATTTCAGTAGCAAATAACTCCAACAACACATTTATTTCTTGCTGCTGCTGTATATCCATCACATGTTGGTGGGGTACTGTGCTCTATGTCAGGGACTTGAGCTGATGGACTTGTCATTATGGGAAACATTAGACAACTTGGGAAGGAGAAGATGTATGATATGATTCAATTCTGTGTCCGTACCCAAATCTCATCTTGAATTGTAATCCAAATTGTAATCTCCATGTGTCAAGGGAGGGATCTAGTAGGAGGTAATTGGATCATAGTGGTGGTTTCCACCATGCTCTTTTTGTGATAGTGAGTTCTTACCAGATCTGATGCTTTAAAAGCGTTTGGCAGTTTCCCCTATCCTCTGTTTGTCTCGCCTGCCACCACATAAGACATGCCTTGCTTCCCTTTCACCTTCTGCTATGATTGCCCAGCCTGAAAATTTATAAAAGAATTAAAAGTGATTTATGCATCATTACAATATTACTGTATCTTATATTTGTTCATATATTCAGCTTTACCAAAGAGCTTTATATTTTCATGTGGTTTCATGTTGCCGTCTAGCGTTCTTTCATTTAGACTTGAAAGACTCCCTTTAGTATGTGTAATACAGGCATAGTGGCAACAAACTCCCTCAGCTTTTGTTTATTTGGGAAGGGATTAATTTATTTTTCATTTTGTGGGACAGTTTTGTCAGATGTAGTCTTCTTGATTGGCAGATTTTTTTTTTCACCACTTTGATTGTATCATCTTACTTCAACCTGCAAAATTTCTGCTGAGAAATTCACTGATCCTCTGTGGATGCTTCCTTGTACATGATGAGTCATTTTTCTCTTGCTGCTTTCAAGATTCTCTCTGTGACTTTTGACAATTTAATTATAATATGTCTTAGCATGAGTATCTTTGGCTTTATCCAATTCAGTTTCTTAAGCTTCTTGAATTTTTGTGTCCATTTCTCCCCTCACATTTGGGAAATTTTCAGCCATGTCCCTTTCTCTGTTCTTCTCAGACTCCCATAGTGCGTATATTCATCTGCTTGATGGTGTCCCATTAGGTTCTTCCCTTTTCTTCATTGTTTTTTCGCTTTTGCTCTTCTGACTTTATAGTGTCATATGATCTATACTCAAGTTCACTGATTTTTTTTTTCTGCTTGATCAAGTCTGCTGTTGAGCCCCTCTTGTGAATTTTTCAATTCCATTATTGTATTTGTAAGCTCCAGAGTTTCTAGAAATAGAAACTTTTAATAGTTCTGTTTCTCTGATTCTGTTGTTATTTTGTTCATGCATCCCTTTCCTGACAGGTTGCTGTGAGCCGAGATCGCACCACTGTACTCCAGCCTGGGCAACAAGAGCGGAACTCTGTCTTGAAAAAAAAAATGTGATAAAAGCGGCCATCTGTTGATTGGCTGCTATATATGGGTTAGATGTTTTACTTTTGTTATTTCATTTAATCTCATTTCATTAAGTAGCTTGGCCAGGATCATGGAGTCAGTAAGGCGGGGCTTGGGTGTGATCTTAGGTCTGTCTGATTTCAAAATCTGTGCTCTCATTGTTAGGCTGTGCTATCTCCCTATAGGTAAAATGATGAGGTGACTCTGACTTGGAAGGGAAAGACAGCGGATCATTATTCAGTTTTTAGGGACATATGATGATATGGGTTCCATTCTCAAGGAATCTAGTGGGGGACATTGATTGAACAAAAAAATGTAGAATTATATTGATGTACGTTAATTACAAAAAAGGACTGGTTTCTGCGGTAGAGAGGACTTAAGGGAATGCCAGTGGAATGCTGAGATGAATCTGAAATTGAGAATTAGTCAAGGAAAACGTAATCAAGAAGTTGTATCACTCTTCTCTGCCCCCAACAATTAGAGGAAAGAGATACAGAGCAAAAATAGTGGGTCATTGATGGTCAGTGGTGTAATCTTGAAGATTTAGCCAAGACTTTTTAGCAGTAAGTGGTAGAATATAAATGCAATGGAAAGGCAGTCATCATCAGAGAAGTACCCCAGAGGAGAAGTGTGGAGGATGTGCCAACACTATAAATGCTGCCATTTTTGCTTAAGGAGAGTAAAAAAGGAAAATGGGGTCATGGTGCACTCATTGTTGTAGATGGTTTGGGTAGTCTGGAATGAGTTCATTGCCTGCAAGTGCTAGTTCATTCATTACACCTATGCTTGCAGAGAAGGGGCGGTTGTGTGCCTTCCCGAGCCCGCACTAGATGAGTCCCTAAGGGTCTTGTGGTTAATACTCCTTCCTGGCAAATGGACCAGGGTTCCCGGCAGACTTTCCTAGCAGCCTTGAAGCCTGGGTCTCTTCGCCTGGGGATTATAAAGCAGCATGTTCTCTTGTTTCCTTTCTGAAGTCTTTAAAGGTTTATAGGATTCTTTTAGTGGGATTCTTCTTTTCTGTTGCTTCAGCATTTCCCTTTCCATGTGTGGAAAGGACATATGTTGGTTTTATATTAATCATTGAACCCCATTGGATTTGTAAAATGTGAGACATTTTGATCCTTCATAATCTTTTTTTCTTGAAAACTAGGAATTTTTGTTTTTGGTTGTATAAATCATCTTTTCTTACATACAACATCCTAATACTTGGCCAGTTGTAAGTCTGTTTTTAAATTCTTTATGTATAGTGACGAGTCTGAGATACTTGAGATAGCCAAAATTGAAATGCAATTTTGTTTATGATTAAGAACTGAATCTTTAAAAATTTTCACAGTTTTGCACAACAAAACAAAATAGATTTTTTTAACTTTCTTTTTGAATGTATAAATAATGACCAGTAAAAATGTTACTAGAAAGCATGCTACTTCTAGATCCTTAAGTCACTAGCAGATAGGATGTAAGGATATAGAATAGTGGTCAGCAAACTTGGCCCTCATTCATTTCTGGAAATCAAGTTTTATGGGAACACAGTCATACTCATGTACCTATTGTTTAGGTTGAGACCATACGGACCACAAAGCCTAAAATGTTTACTGTCTGGCCCTTTACAGAGAATGTTTGCCAAACCTTGGCATTAGAGAAGCAATTCTCAACATTTTTGGGCCTCAGATCTATACTCTTAAAAATTATTGAAGGCTCTAAAGAGTTTTGATTATGTGGGTTATATTGGTTTAATTAATTTAAAAATAACTATTAAATTTGCTTCATGTTAACACAAATAACATTTTTATGAAAAATAATTTTACCCTCAAAACAAAAACATGAGTGAATTGCAAATTTCTTTAATTCCTGGCTCAACAGGAGACCTTTATATTTTTGTATCTGTGTCTACTTTCATTTTGTTGCTGTATGTTCCGGTTGAAGGATATGAAGAAAAACTGAACTTACAGAGATCTGTAGTTGGAAAAGGGAGGAGTATTTTAATAGCCTATTCAGTTAACTGTGGATATTTGCTGTTACACCAAAGATATATGGCAGTTTCTTAAAGATAAGTTTCAGTGTAAAATCTGAAAGTATAGAAATAAAATTATTGTATTGGAACTTTAAATCCATTGATCAATCTTGAGCTTTTAATGGATGTCGTTCATGCATGATTTTCTAATGTGTTAGTAGAAAATGGGAAAATATTGGTTCACCGAATCATGCAGATCTTCCCAATGTTGATACAAAATGCCAAAAAAAAAAAAAATCACATTTGTTAATACCACCGTGGGTCTTCTCAGCAAAGGCTTTGGGCATTGAGAAGCTGATAGAACCAGTGCAAAGTGGGGACTTGGTTCCACCATGCGTGTATTTCAGTTAACATAGCAAAATGAGCCTCTAGTGGATGCAAGTTTTTAAAATTCTGATTTTTGCTTGGAAGCTCATTTTTATCATTAGCAACATATACTGTTTTTGGTTTCCCTTGAAAGTATGGACTCTATTTATCTTCAAGAAAATGTTTGCCAAATACCGAAGCTTGAATAACCATAGTTTGTCTTCAGTTGTTCTTTTAAGTTAAAAAAAAAAAAGTTCCATGATCAAAGCAGCCAGTATAACTCACAACTCAAATCATTGCACAAGTGTTCTTTTGAGACAGTATTTCCTTTGTTTATAGCAGCAGTTACTTTATGTGTGCTTCCCCTTATTCACACAGGATGTTAAAAAGAAGGGTACTCAAGAGTCAATTAATATTAATTTTTACTGCTTCATTAAGGATATTCTATAATGAACCTTCCCTCTCCCCTCCTCCTCTTCCTGCTTTTCTTCCTTTTCCTCCTCCTACTCTGAATGAGCATCCTTGGCAGTGAAGAACACAATGTTGAATAGTTTCAATTTGGTGCCATTATCCTGACTCATGCTCAGGTGCCAGTGGTTTTACCAACTGTGACCATTGCTTTTCACCATTGGTGCAAATGCTGGTACAGTGCAAAAGACAAATAACATCTCAGTACTTTCTTTAGTAATTTTATGAAAATAGTTTGACTTCATGGACCCCTCTGGAAGGGTCCTGGAGACCACTAGGGGTCTGTGGACCATGCTTTGAGAATGGCTGGTATAAAAGGTACAAGTACCATTTTATATAAGCAGATGTCTGCCACTTAGTATATGTTGCCTCCTTTTATTCTTACAATTATAATTTATGAGGGTCCAAATATGTTAACAGATATAAGTCTGCTTCTTGCACTGGCTAATAGAACTAATGAGTCTTTCAGATTGAGCTTTTACAAAAATCTGTGATAGATTTTTTTTTAAAAAGTTTACTCTTGTTTGTGTTATTTTATTGCTCTATTAGGTTTTGAAAATGTAACTTTTGAGTATGTGTATCTGGTGAAATAATCTACAGTTGGATTTCTGAGCACACTTATTCTTCTGAAATGATAGATTGCTAACATAATTATTAAAGTAGTTTATGATGACAGTTAATTACAAGTTTTCATATTCTTGAACACTTACCCAAATTTAGAGGAAATGTATTTGAAAAGTACTTGGTTTCTTGTTGATATATATTAACTGTGTGTGTGTGTATATGTTCACATTAATAAAAAATGTTGCAGACTATGGAATTAATTATTTACTGAAAACAAGTTTTAAACACTTGCACTTCTGTGGTTGACCACTAGATGTCATGAGTGCCACGGGAGCATTAAGAGTTACCCAGAGTGGGTAGAAATTGAACGTTGTAAGCTCATAGACCTTCACATAGTTCACTGTTTCCACATGATCAGTGCCAGAGGAACCTGATACAGTGTGATATATAGAAGCAAGGTACAACTGGAATAATGAAATTTCAAAAATAAGCCCTTTTAAAGGAGGGTTGTAATCGTTCTATTGGGTATTGTAAATGCTTCAGGTGCACTTGATACTGCTGTTATGTTCCTGGCTTTCGGGTCTTTCTCTTTTTTATGGAAAGATGGATTGAACTTCAATTTAAGAATATTCGGTAATCCCTCTTAGGACATACTTTACAGCTGGTATTTTTGTGTTGTAGTAAATCGATTCCATACAACAGTCAGTAATAATTATGGCTGCGTTCCGACAAATTCCAAAGCATTTTCAATGAATTTTGCCAAAGAAAATAACATCATTACTACAAAAGTTTAACTCAGTTTGAAAGTTAAACCTAGCAACTTTGCTTCATTCCACAAAATACAAAGTATTACTGGTTAGGATTCTGTCAAACCATTTTTTAAATTCATATGCTTGTATATGGTCTGAGAAGGTGATTACTTTGTAGTATATATACTTAAAAGATAATTGTTTTGTAGTAAATGATACAGCTTTGGAAAAATTTAACCTTGAGTGTTCATTATGAAATAAAAAACAAGAAATATGAGGGCTTTTTGTATATGGCATAGATGAACAGCAGCAATATCAGCTCAAAAGGATATTTTGATTTGGAATGTAAGGTCTTTAGTATTAATGGAATGTGAATGTTTCAAATTGTATGAAATTCTAATTGATATAAGCATATGTTGTCTTATTATATGGTGTGTATGGTTTACAAGCATGAAACATTGTAAGTTCTTTAAGCTGTGAAGAAAGTGATAGGTTGCATGGTGTACATGGTATAGCATATGTGCAATCTATACCATATAAATTTAGGCTTTTCTCATGACATAAAGAAACTTAAATTACATATATATACACACACATATAATAAATACCTACTCACAAACATACATGCATATATATTGGCCTAATGGTACAAATGTGTCTGCAGACATTTTAGAAATTTTAATTGATTTTCATTTTTTAATATTAGCAAAACAAAAGTCTACTAATTGACTGTGTTCTTTAAATTATACAGTCTTTTTTTGACTTTGAATTACTTCATTTCTAGCCTTGCTTTATATAAGGAACATTTTCCTGTAGTTGAATTCATCACACTGATTTTTTAGAATAATTTATGAAGGCAAAGCAAAGTTGCTTTCAAAATTGTTAGAAAAAACAGCTCCATACGTGTGCATTAGTGAAATCTTGCCTCACATTTTTAATTTTTAGCTTAGTCAGCTATATTTTCATTTGGCATTTCAAATAACAATTCTTATATTTTAAATTAGCACTCTTTTCTATATGGATTTGTATGCATGTTTTAACTATGTCAGCCTTTGCAATAACATAAAGGAAAATTCAAGGTATTACAGCAGATAGTCTGGTCTAAAATAATCCATTTGATGGTGAAGTTTTTAATACGAATTTTCACTTTAACAATTAAAAAGCAAATTTAGAAGGCTTTAATAGAATCTTACAGTTTGGATTTTTTAAAGTAAAATTTGGCAAGTTCATTTCTCTTTATTCTGCAATTTGAATCAGCAACTTAAAGGCTTTCAGAATTGATGTGAACCAGTCTTTCCAGTGTTTCCAATGTTTTTTTGTTGTTGTTAATATATGTTAAAAATATGCTTCTAAATTACTGAATTTGCTTTATAGAGAATTGAGGAAAGTGCATTAAAAATGAACTTAAAACACAGTGTATGGTTCTTCTGATTTCTACAAAAATGTAAATGGAGTACTTTCTCTGTTATTAGCCAGGGGTGATCCAAATTTAAACCAGATGGCCTCCCTCTAGGTGTTAGGCCAATGTAAATTTTAATCTTGCTACTTTCTTTTGTGTTTTCATTGTATAATCTCATTACCTGAATTAAAAAAAAACCCTAACAACCATTGTTTCTTGTTTATTTACCATGTGTCAGACACTGCATTATATGTCTGAGTATATTTAATTACCAAATAGTTCTAATTTACTATTGTCTCTATTTGCATATAAGGAAGTTAAGGCTTAAGAAGATGAAATACCTTGTTGAAGATCACAGAACTAGCAGCATTAAAGATTAGGTCAAACTCTAGATCCCTTGTTCTTAGCTACTATGCTATACTGCCTTTACTGCTTATTTGAGGATAAACATTAGTTAAGATAGTTATTGAAAAAAAAGTTAATATTTTTCCAGATAAAGCAAAGGTTAGTTTTTACTAAAAGAATTTACTTATGTATGCTAGCTTGGATTGTTAGATTTACTTTGGATTACTAACACTTCTGTAAATCTATAATAACATCTTGCTTCCATTCTAGTAAATATTCCTTCAAGGTTAGTTGCAGACATCAGTTAGAGAACCATGCATTTGTCATATTAGGATGAGCTATTTAAAAAAATACAATTAGGCTGGGTCCGGTTACTCACACCTGTAATCCCAGCACTTTGAGAGGCCAAGGCGGGCATATGACCTGAGGTCAGGAGTTCAAGACCAGCCTGGCCAACATGGTGAAACCCCCGTCTCTATTAAAAAAAAAAAAATTAGCCAGGCTTGGTGGCGGGCCCCTGTAGTCCCAGCTCCTCAGGAGCCTGGGGCAGGAAGAATTGCTTGAACATAGGAGGCGGAGGTTGCAGTGAGCCCAGATCGCACCATTGCACTCCAGCCTGGGTGACAGAGTGAGACTCCGTATCAAAAAAAAAAATAAAAATAAAAAAATAAAAATTATAAGTTGCTGACAATTTATATAGTCTCTGTTCTACATTTAGAAATGTAGCTGAGAATTATAGTAACACAGGGAAGGAAGTTGAGAATGACATTGACTTACAGAAGCTTCTTAAAATTATCCACGTATCCAATCAGTGTTCCTCAACCCAAATGTAAAAATCTTTAAGGAATCCTCAACACACGCATGCAGAACATTCATGTTTTCAATTCGAAGTTGCTTGTCAAGATCAGAAACTCTCACAGTTTGTACTTGCATGTGGTCTGTAGAAAAAATTCTGAAGAGTTGCGATCTCTCCAATAGTGATTGGGATGAGAATTTTGAATTAGTTACAGAATGTTGTGATTTGGTGATGGTCCCTTTTTAAAAAATATAAATGTTTCTTTCCTTTCTAGAAACGGCTTACAAAATATACAGATCTTGGTAGACAACGTGGCTGCAGGCTGTTGAATTGGAATTCCCTGTGGCTGTCCGAAGGCAGGGTGTCCGGAGAGCGGTGGGCTGACCTGTTCCTACACCTTGCATCATGCCAGCTTTGTCAACGGGATCTGGGAGTGACACTGGTATGTGACCCCAAGAGGGGCAGTTCTCATTCCATCTTTGCTTAAATCTTGTTCACAGTGAAATACAGCATGCTTTAAGCAAATGCAGGCAGATCATGCTTGTTTTTCTGTCACCAACACTAGGGACATAAGATCAACTCAGGGATGCCCTCCTAGGTAAAAGTTACTGGAGGACATGGACTCATTGCCTCTTTCTCTGGGTAGTGATGGCATGTGCAGATATTCTCATACTGTCTTGCTTTTAGAATAATTCTGTGCATTTAATTTAAAAAATTAAGTATTTGAAACTTATAGAAAAGTATGGCAAATACTGTGATACCCATATTATCCTTCATTCATGTATAACAGCTAGGAACTGTTTGCCACACTTGATTCATATTTTTCTCTTTTTTTTTTCTTTAAGAAATAAAACATTATCCTTACCCCAATTCTCTGTTTTCTGTCTGTCACCAGAGGTAAAACTATCCTGAAATTGATACATACCATTAAGGGATTCAATTAAAACTAACAAACAAACATATTTTATGTTATTATCAGTTATAAGACTTTGAGATACCTAGAATAGGTATTTATAAGAAAGGAAAAAAAAACTAACACACACACATGTGTACATAAAATCCTCCCCTTCTGATCTGATTCAGGAAGTAGAAGTGTGGTGGTAGATGCCTCTTTGAGGTCCTGTTCTGGACCAGAATCAGCACTTTTTCAAAGTGTAAAATCCTGGATGCCTCTAAGAACTACTAAAACAAAATGTAAATGGGGTTGGGGGCCTTATGTCATGCATTTTTAAAGCCCCTTGAAAGAAGTGGTAACATAGTGTGACGAAAAGGAATGTTCTCTGTTTTATATGGGCCATCCTGAATTTGGTTGATATAGCTCTCAAACCAGCTGAGGTGGCTGTCTCAGATTGGACAATTACAATGACTGGTGCTATAATCTCAAAAACACCGAAACAGAAATTCAGTTTTATCTTGTATTATGTTACACTGGCATTTTCATTTGCACTATTTGCAAATATAATTCTTTGCTATTTCAAGCATATCCATAGTTATATTTTGGCAAGTTTTGTCTCATCTTTATCCATCAAGAATGATTTTTTTTTTCCGCTGTGATTTACATTGAGGATTCGTTTTTGTCAGGAAGAAGTTTTGATTGTTAGATTATGTAAAGCTTTTCTTTCTCAAGACCTTAACTTGGAAGCCAGACCCTTTGGAAATTTTTTTTCTTCTTTTTAGGTTTTATATAGTCCCACATTGTGTTCTACTTTATAAAAATGAATGATTTAACTTTCCATAGTGCTTTGGGAAATTATGGATAAAATTTATGTGAACCATAAATTTACTACAGTCGTGTAATGAATATGTTTTAAACCTTGCTGTTCACCCAAAATGCCTTAGTTTAATTTAATGCAAAATATCGTTGCTTACATATAACTTGAAGGAGGATTAAAATGGAGTATTTATAGTTTATAAGGCAGTTTAGGTGTCAGTCATGAAAAATAGCATAGGCTATTAAGAATTTAAAAGGAGCTTTTCCACACACAGCCAGCTCGCTGCAGTGCAAATCTAAAGTGCTGATCTGAGTGACACCTTGCTTTATGATGTTTTCTGACCTTATGTCCCCACAAGGTTTGAGCAAAGCACAGAAGACAAGAGTCTCTGCATTTACAGAAGCCGCAAAGTACGGCGTATGCATCAGATGTTTGCAACTGGCCAGTCGGGTCATTTTTCCCATAAGCAGCGTTGCTTAGCAGTGTCGCTGACGTCGTCCCATTAGTTCCAGGGGAACAGAGTTGAAGTCAGACCCTTGTGCCACAGGAGCAAGGCACCCGACTCACAGCAGCCTAGATGCATGGATTGCTCATTTGGGAAAATACGTTCTGTGTAAAACTTTTACCACTTCTTCTTTCCCTTCTTGCTTATTTCACGAAGAAAAAAAAAACTAATTATACAAGTAATACATAAAAACATGCCGCTTTCCCCCGATCTCATTTTTTTTCTCCGTTTGATAAGTAGCCTGTAAGAGTTTCCTGTGCATTCAATACTTGCATATATATGTCATTAATACATTGTTTTTGAGTCTCTTTTCCTTTTGTTTTTAATCACAGATTTTGTTATGCCCTATTTATTATTCTTCAGCTTTTTTTCTACACCAAGCTATATTCTTGGAGAGATATTTCCGTGTTAAATATAGAAAAGTGTTGGTGTGTTTACGCACGTTTATCTATATCTCTCTATACATCTGTGTATTTATCTCATTCTTTTAAACTAATGTATACTTTTCCATCATATTGCTGTTTAGTGAACCATATTGCTGTTAACAAAAGCCTGGTTTTGCTCCTTTTGTAAATATTTTGGAAGGGAAGATGTACACATTTAATGATGTCAAATTGTCCTCCAGAGTGGTTAAACCACCGAATGATCTACAGTCAGTGTATTAAAGATGCTTTCCCCTACATTCTTGGCAATATTAAATATTGTCAATCCTTGTAATTTTTACCGATCTGTTGGGAAAAACATAAAATCTTAAGTGTGAAATGTGCGTTACTAGTGATAGCTAGCGTATTTCCATTTGTTTAATGGTCATTCCTCTGTGATTCATCTCTTCATATCTCTTCCCCATTTTTGTACTGGTTCGTCATTTTCTAATTTACTTGCAGAATTTATTTACATTTTGTGTATTCATCCTTTGAGCCATTATAGGTTGAACATCATTTCTTCTGGTCAGTCATTTGTCCTTCTTATTCCTTAAATAATAACATTTCTTCTATAATAGTTGAAAACTTTTTTGTAGTCAAATCAATCTTTTCTGTATGGTGCATGCTACCTTTCTTCTGCTTAAGAAGGCCTTTCATATCCCAAGATTATGAAGATATTCTCTAAGATTTTTAATAGTTATCTTAAAGATTTGTTTTTACACATTTGAAATTGTAATCCAACTGTAATCTGTATGTGGAGCATGGCAGTAGTCTAATCTCACCTGATTTTATTTTTTCATGTAGTCCACCAAGTCCCTAGATCACTTATTCAATAGTCTGTCCTTTCCATGTATATTTTTAATATCCCCTCTATCATAATCCAGCATTACATATATTTTCTGAGTTCTCTTTCTTGGCTGTATGATCTGTTGATTATATTTAATTTTTTATAGATTATTTTTAGAGCAATTTTAGAATTATAGAAAAATTACGAAGACAGTACAGAGAGTTTCAATATGCCTTGCCTTAGTTTCCCCTGTTATTAGCATCTTACATTAGTATGGTAAATTCATTTCATTTGGAGAAATGATATTGATACATGATTATTATTAACTAAAATCTGTACTTTATTCAGATTTCCTTCATTTTCCGTTAATGTCATTTTTTTTTTGTTCCAGGATCTCATTCGTAATACCATATTACATTTAGTTGTCGTCTCTCATTAAGCTTCTCTTGGCCATAATGATTTCTAAGACTTTAGAAATCAGGCACAGTGGCTGACACCTTAATCCCAGCACTTCGGGAGGCTGAGGTGGGTGGATCTCTTGAGTCCAGAAGTTTGAGACCAGTCTGGGCAACGTGGTGAAACCACATCTCTACTAAAAATACAAAAAATTAGGGCCATAGTGGCATGTGCCTATAGTTCCAGCTACCTGGAAGGCTGAGGTGGGAGGATCACCTGAGCCTGGGAGGTGTAGGCTGCAGTGAGCAGTGATCACACCACTGCACTTCAGCCTGGGCGATGGAGTGAGACCCTGTCTCAAAAAAAACAAAACAACAAAACAAAACAAAAAACAACAAAATCCAAAAGACTTTCCTTGATTTTGACAATCTTGAGAGTTTTGAGGAGTTCTGGTTAGGTATATTGTAAGGATTCCCCTCTCCTGGAATTTGTCTGATATTTTTCTTGTGAAAAGATTGGGGTTATGTGTTTGTGGGGTAAGATCAGAGCGGTGAAGGGCCATTGTCATCATATCACACTGAGGGTATATTCTGTCAACTCGATTTATAACTGTTGACATTAATGTTGGTGACCTGCCTAAAGTACTGTGTGTCAGGTTTCCCCACTGTAAGATTACTCTTTTTTTCATCCTTTCCATACTGTAATCTTTGGAAAAAGTCTCTTTGTGCAGCCCACACTTACAGTAGCATGTGTCGTTTCTCCTCCTTTAGGGTAAAGGAGCTATCTAAATTATTTGGAATTCTTTGTCTTTTCTCTCCCATTTATTAATTTATTCAGTCATTCAGATCAGTATGGAGTCATGGATACTTATTTTGTACTTTGGGTTATAAGCCATGACTACTTTATTTTGTTGCTCAAATTGTTCCAGCTTTGGCCCTTGGGAGCTCTTTGAGTTGGCTTCCTTGATAACCCCCATCAATGTGGGCTCATTGGTTTTTAGCACTTCCTTACTTTTGATACTACAAATATTCTTGGCTCATCTTGTGTATTTCCTGCCCCAGTCCTAGAAGTAGACATTTCTCTAAGGGGCTCTAGTTCCTTTTGTTGGGATGGGCTTAGAAATCAAGATCTGGGCAATAGGTTTGCTTATCGCTGCTGGAGTGTTGTTTCTTTTTCGTTTTGTTTTGTTTCATTTCGTTTCTTTTCTCTTTTCTCTCCTCCTTCCTCTCTCTTCTCTCTTCCCTCTTCTGTCTTCTCTCTTCTTTCCCTCTGCCTCTCCTTTCCTTTCTTTTTCTTTTCAATTCTTTTCTTCTTGGTAGAGATGGGGTACCCTGTGTTGCCCAGGCTGGTCTCAAACTCCTGAGCTCAAGTGATGCTCCTGCCTCAGCCTCCCAAAGTGCTGGGATTATAGGCATGAGGCACCGCACTCAGCCTTGGAGTGTTGTTTCTCTCTTTTTTTTTTTTTTTTTTGAGACGGAGTCTCGCTCTGTCGCCCAGGCTGGAATGCAGTGGCGCTGTCTAGGCTCATTGCAAGTTCCGCCTCCCAGGTTCACACCATTCTACTGCCTCAGCCTCCTGAGTAGCTGGGACTACAGGCGCCCGCCACCACGCCCGGCTAATTTTTTGTATTTTTGTTTTTTTTTAATAGAGACGGGGTTTCATTGTGTTAGCCAGGATGGTCTCGGTCTCCTGGCCTTGTGATTCCGCCTGCCTCGGCCTCCCAAAGTGCTGGGATTACAGGCGTGAGCCACCGCGCCCGGCCGGAGTGTTGTTTCTTTAAGCCTCTTTCAGCTGACAAAGCAAAGAAGTGTATGTGTGTAAGTTAACCCATGCGTAAACACACATAAACGTATATGAACATTTCAATGTGTAATCATCTGTAACTATACTAAACTAAATATGAGTTCTCATTGATGTTTTCAACTCTAATCCTTAGCAAACGGATCATTGTAGCCTCTTCCCCCTCCAACAGTGGAAAACCTGCTACTACCATCCACCATCGATTTACTTAATTGTTCAGTCCCAGTGTACGTGTACCAATATAGCAGTATCAGAATTGTTAACCCATGGGAAACAACTTTTATTAGCTAGAGAGTTGATTTTATTTTTATTCCCGGGATAGTGCCATACTATCTTTATAGTTTTTAATCTTATGGAATCATTCCTTTCCTGCATAATACCTATATTAGTTTTAGTTTTATAATTTCATTATGATTTTTACAAGCATCATATAATGTGAAATATAATATAGGTACAGAAATGCACATAAAAAACCTTTATAAGTAGAGTTTTAAAAGTGGTTATAAGCCAGCATCCATGTGACCTGGTCATATCCATGTGACCATCATCCACCTAGGTCAAAAATTCCAACACCTTGAAGGCAGCCTGTGTATCTCTTCTCAGTCACAATCTTCCCAACCCCCTTAATGACTCCTACGTCAGACTACACATAAGACATAGTTTATGATTTGTATAAGCATTCATAGGCAATGTGGTTTAATTTTGCTGGTTGAACTTTATAAATGGAATTACACCATAAGCAGTTTTTAGTTTGAAAGTGAATATTTATTTAGAATGAAAACATATTGTAAATTTTCGAAAGTGGCTACATATAACACGTATTATAGAATCCAGGGGAAAAGTATTATTTTAAAAAAATTAACTCCCTAGCACACCTCCATAAAGCTTTTTCTTCTATATTTTTGGCTGTCTACTCTTTGCTTGCCTCTTCATGTGTACTATTTTCTTTAAAAGAAGAGAAAAGCAATCCAATCCATCTTACGTTACCAATCAATTTGTGTGTGTGTGTGTGTGTGTGTGTGTGTGTGTTTTAAGAGACAGGATCTCACTCTGTCACCCAGGATGGAGTACAGTGGTGCAGTTGTAGCTCATTGCAGCCTCAAACTCCTAGGATCCTCCTGCCTCAGTGTCTCAAGTAGCTAGGACTTTAGGCGCATGCCACCATGCCTGGCTAATTTTTTATTTTTTGTAGAGACTTCTGTGAGTCTTCCTGTGTTGCCCAGGCTGGTCTCAAACTTCTGGGCTCAAGTGATCGTCCCACCACTGGCCTCCCAAAGTGCTGGGGTTACAGGTGTGAGCTATTGTGCCTGGCCTTACACTGATTTTTGAATGTTAAACCAACTTGCATTCTAGGGATAAACCCAATTTGGTCATAATTTACTATCCTTTTTATATATTTCTGGATTTGGTTTGCTCGTATTTTGTTTAGAATTTTGAGATCTATGTTGATGAGTGAGTTCAGTTGTAATTTCACTTTTTCATTCTTTACCGAATTTCAAAAAGTCATGCTGGTCTCGTGTAGTGTATTGGGAGGAGCCTTTCCTCTTCTGTGGAAGAGTCTGTGAAAGATTGATATTAACTTTTACTTGAGTAGAACTTACCTGTTAGGTCACCTGTGCCTGGGAATTTTCTTTTTGATAAGATTTTTGGTAACTAATTCATTTATTTTAAAGGTTAAAAGAATATTCTAGCTTTCTGTTTCTTCTTGAGTCAATTTTGGTGATTTACAGTTTTCCAAGACTGTCCATTTTATCAGAGTTTTCAAATTTGTTGGGAAAGAATTATTTGTATTATTATTACTTCGTACCTGTAGTTTCTACATTGATGCTTTTTTTTTTTTGGTCCTGATGTTGGTAATTTTCGCACTCTCTTCCTCTCTCCTCTTAATTTTGTGAGAGTTTTGTCAATTCTATTAGTCTTTTTAGATATAAAACTTATGGCTTTATTTTCTCTATTGTACATTTGTTTTTATTTCATTAATTTTTACTGTTCTTTTTCTAATTTCTAGAAATACTTTGTTTATAAATATTTAATCTTTCCCTTTTCCTAATGTTCACATTTAGGACTATTTCTCGCTAAGTTTTGTTGGCTCTATTTGTGCTATAATTTAAAAATATTTTCTAATTTTATTAAGTGTTTGCTTTAGAATTTTTGTAATTGATTATTTAGAATTAAAAAAATATTCACATAAGAGTTTTTTTCATTTTTTTTTTTTTGTTACTGATTTTTTACCTTAATTGCTTTGTGGTCAGAAAGCTGAATTTGCACCATTTTAGCCCTTTGAAATTTGTTTATTTTATGGCTTAGACATATGGTTAATTTCAATAAGTATTCTGAATATGTTTAACCATAGGTATATTCTGTAATTATTGACTGTAGTTTTCTATATGTGTCTATTAGGCCAAACTTATTGATTAAGTCATTCAAATATTCTGTATTCTAATTGATTTTTTGTTGCTGCTGCTTATTCCTTCAGTTACCAAGAGAAGTATTTTTAAAAATCTCCCTCAGCGATTATGGATTTATCTTGTAGTTCTATCAGTTTTTGTTTAGTTTATTTATTTATTTATTTGAGATGGATTCTCGCTCTGTCTCCCAGGCTGGAATGCAGTGGCATGATCTTGGCTCACTGCAACCTCCGCCTCCCGGGTTCAAGCAATTCTCCTGCCTCAGCCTCTGGAGTAGATGGGACTACAGGCATGCACCATCATGCCAGCTAATTTTTTGTATTTTTTTTGTAGAGATGGGGTTTCATCATGTTGGCCAGGCTGGTCTTGAACTTCTGACCTCAAGTGATCTGCCTGCCTCGGCTTCCCAAAGTGCTGGGATTACAGGCGTGAGCCACTGCGCCTGGCCTTCTTTTGTATATTTAAATATGTTATTTTGTTGGTATATTAAGCCTTTTAAATAAATTTTATATTGAAGTATATACTTTTTTTTTCTGTTAGCACTGAGTAGTTTATCTTTTTCTGTCCTTTTACTTTCAGCTCTTCTGTGTTCCTAATGTATTGATGGAGCTCTTGTGAATTGCTTGTAATTGAAGCTTTTTGGGGTTGTACAAATCTTTGCTTTTAACTAGAGTATTTTCAATACAGTTAACGTAATGACTGACTTTTAAAATTTAAAATCTACCATCCCATTTTATGCTTTCTCTTTGTCCTATTCTTTCTTTCTATTACTTATATTTTCTTTGGACTGATTAGAATATTTCTATCATTTTCATTTTTCCCCTATGTCTTGATGTTATACATTCTCTTTCTGTTGTTTTGGTAGTTTCCTTCAAAATTACTACTTGAATCCTTTATTTTAAAAATTCAACATTAATCTCTACCTTCATTGTCACCATGGACAAGCTAAGGACCTTACAGGACTTCTACTTCATATGTTCCCAACTTACATGCTACTGTGTCATGTATTTTCATTCTCTTTTTAAAATAAAAAACCCCAGACCTTGAAGATATCATTGTCACAGTTCTTTTTGTTTTTGTTTTTTTTTTTTGAGACGGAGTCTAGCTCTGTCACCTAGGCTGGAGTGCAGTGGCGTGATCTCAGCTCACTGCAAGCTCCGCCTCCCGGGTTCACGCCATTCTCCTGCCTCAGCCTCCTGAGTAGCTGGGACTACAGGCGCCTGCCACCACGCCTGGCTAATTTTTTGTATTTTTAGTAGAGACGGGGTTTCACTGTGTTAGCCAGGATGGTCTCGATCTCCTGACCTCATGATCCGCCTGCCTCGGCCTCCCAAAGTGCTGGGATTACAGGCATGAGCCACCGTGCCTGGCCCATTGTCACAGTTTTATACTATCAGTATTCATTTAGAGTTCCTCACATATTACCATTTTCTTTGTTTACCTCCAACTCACAACTCAGCATTTTCATCCACCATGGTTTTTCCATCTGCTTACAGTAAAAATCTTTAGAATTTCCTGTTTTGAAGGTCTACTGCTATCAAACTGTCTCTGTTATTGCTGAAAATGTTTTTATTTGTGCTCATTCTTGGAAGTAGTTTTTACCAAGCACATAACGCTAGGTTAGCAGTTATTATTTTTTCCTCAGTGCGCTGAAAGCAAGAGGCAATGAAATTATATATTCAAAGTGGCTATTTAAAAGTCAGTTGTCAGAGTCTCTCTTTGGAAGTAATCTGGCTTCTTTCTCTGGCTGTTTTTATTATTTTCTTTTTTTCTTAGATGTCTGCACTTTCACTATTCTGTGTCTAGGTGGAATTTCATTTTCTATGCCTTATCCAGAATTCATTTGGCTTTTTGAATGCATATAAATCCATGTATTTCATGAATTCTGGAAAAATTTCAGCTGTTAATCTTTTAAGATGTTACCTGTACTTCATTCTTCCTCTCTCCTATCATTCTAGTGTTCCAGTTAAATATGCCTAAGACATTTCTTCTATCCCTTATCTTTCTTAACCCTCTTATATAGTTCAGTCTTTTTTGGTCTTTCCATCAGCCATCAGCCCTTTGAGTAATTCTCACCTATCTTGTTTGGTTAATTCTTTTTTGAGCTTTATTGCTCTCCTTTACATGCTGGGGCTGAGTTTTTAATTTCAATGATGATGATGATTTTTATAAGAAGCAACTGCTTAGTTTTTTTTCTTTTCTTTTTTTCTGTTTTTTTTGAGATGGAGTCTCACTCTGTCACCCAGGCTGGAGTGCAGTGGTGTGATCTCAGCTCACTGCAACCTCTGCTTCTTGGGTTCAAGCGATTCTGCCTCAGCCTCCCGAGTAGCTGGGATTACAGATGTGCCACCACACCCGGCTAATTTTTGTATTTTTAGTAGAGACAGGGTTTCACCATGTTGGCCAGGCCAGTCTCAAACTCCTGACCTCAGGTGATTTGCCCACCTTGGCCTCCCAAAGTGCTGGGATTACAGGTGTGAGCCACTGTGCCTGGCCAAGAAGTGCTGCTTAGTTCTTTTAAAAATGTTTGGCCCATGTTCAAGTTGTTTGCACTATAGATCAGTTTGCTTAGGGAAGTCTCGTTAACCTCACTTCTGGTACCAAAATCATGATCCTTTATCCTTAAAGTGATAGATTCAAATTACTGAAGGTAATGAATATATCACTGAGATTTACCACTCAAGGAATCCAGTTTAAAAAACAAAAGTGGATTTTACTGATATCGTCAGTGTCATGAAATTACTTTGTTCTCATCTTTCGTATAAAAAAAAATCTCATGTTAACATTTTTTTCTTCTTGGTAATTCATATATTTCCTTGTGGAAAAGCAAGGTCTTGAACTTGTTGCTTTTTTCCTCCAACAGTTCCCCCACCCAAAGTATACTTTGCTGATTTGATTTGATCATATTCATACTTTTCGGTTTCTTTGCAGAGCAAATTAAGATTGTTGGGCAAGTAGTTCAGTCAGGATGGCAATTATTAAAAAGTCAAGAAACAACAGATGCTGGTGAGGCTATAGAGAAATAAGAATGCTTTTATCCTGTTGGTGAGAGTGTAAATTAGTTCAACCATTGTGGAAGACAGTGTGGCGATTTCTCAAAGATCTGGAACCAGAAATACCATTTGATCCACTAATCTCATTACTGGGTATATACCCAAAGGAATATAAGTCATTCTGTTATAAAGATACATGCATGCATGTGTTTATTACAGCATTATTCACAGTAGCAAAGACATGGAATCAACTCAAATGTCCATCAATGATAGACTGGATAAAGAAAATGTGGTCCATATACACCATGGAATACTGTGCAACCATAAAAAGGAACAAGATCAACCATGTCCTTTGCAGGGACATGGTTGGAGCTGGAAACCATTATTGTCAGCAAACTTATGCAGGAACAGAAAGCCAAACACTGCATGTTTTCTCTTGTAAGTGGGAGCTGAACAATGAGATCACATGGATACAAGGAGGGGAACATCACACACTGGAGCCTGTCGGGGGTTGGGGGTGGGGGAAGGGAGAGCACCCGGAAAAGTAGCTAATGCATGTGGGGCTTAATACCTAGGTGATGGGTTGATAGGTGCAGCAAACCACCATGGCACACGTTTACCTATGTAACAAACCTGTACGTCCTGCACATGTATCCTGGAACTGAAAATAAAAATTAAATTTAAAAAAAGATCGTTATCCATGTAGTTGACCTCAAGCTGTTCTCTGTGAACAAGAAGCAGTGTGTGAACTGGCATTTGGGAAAACCTTCTTTTTGGGAGTAATGTACTTCCTTGTACACAGAGCTTGTATTCTTTAACACTGAATCAGTACACTTACTCTTGTCCTTGTCACTACTCACAAAATATTTAGAACTAAGTGAAAAAGTCCTCTTCAGGTATTATGGGGTTTTCAGTGATAAACTAAAGAAAATCACTGAGTATTCTTTTCTTACAATGTTTCTCCTGCGTGCAGAGAGTATGCCTCAATGTTTGTCATATCAGTAGCTTCCTTTAATGGTAAGGTAAAATACCTGCTAGCAAGCATACATAATAGTGATTAGTTTACTACATTGCATGCCTTTACTGTTAAAAAAGTCCTTTCATATAGGAATTTTACCAGTAATCTTTATCAGTGCATAATATTTGTGTTTCATTTCATTGCTCATTTTAGAATCTTTATGGGAATAGTGCGAGTTCTGCTTTTGCTGTAAGGAGTGTAACCGTTAATGATGTCTTTGTAGTTTATTTTTCATTTTTAAGATTTTCTTATTGAGATAAAATATGTGTGATATAAAATTTGCCATTTTTACCATTTTTAAGTATAAAATTTAGTGTAATTAATTGTATTCAAAATGTTTTATGATCATCACCACTATCTGCTTCCTAAACATTCTTTTCACCCCATACAGAAACTCAGTACTCATTAAGAGTAACTTGACCTGGCCGGGTGTGGTGGGTCACTCCTGTAATCCAGCACTTTGGGAGGCCAAGGTGGGTGGATCACCTGAGGTCAGAAGTTCGAGACCAGCCTGGGCAACATGGTGAAACCCTGTCTCTACCAAAAATACAAAAATTAGCTAGGCATGGTGGTGTGCCCCTCTAATTCCAGCTACTCAGGAGGCTGAGGCATGAGAATAGCTTGAACCCGGGAGGTGGAGGTTGCAGTGAGCCGAGATTATACCACTGCACTCCAGCCTGGGTGACAGAGTGGGGCTCAAAAAAAAAAAAATTAACTTTACCTGTCCCTCTCCCTCCAGCCCATGTCAATCACCATTCTACTTTCTGTCTCTAGAATTTGTCTATTTTAGATATTTCATGTAAGTGGAATCATAGAGTATTTGCCTTTTTTCTTCACTGACTTATTTTACTTAGCATAATGTTTTTAAGGTTCATCTGTGGTGTAGCATGTATCAGAAATTAATTTCTTTTTATGGTGGAATAATATTCCATTGTATGTATATACTGCATTTTGTGTATCCATTTATCAGTTGGTGGACATGTGAGATGTTTCCATATTTTAGCTATTGTGCGTAATGCTGCAGTGAACATTGCTGTACAGGTATCTCTTTGAGTCCTTGATTTAGATGCTTATGTGTAATATAATATTGCCTAAAATTAGCCAAGTCACTGGGTTTAAAAAATATAATATTCATTGTCACAAAAATAAGTATGTCCCTGTGAGTGTAGTTTCCTGGTCATATGATAATTCTGTGTTTAGCTTTTTAAGGAACCACCAACCTATTTTCCATGGATGCCGCAACATTTTACATTTCTACCAGCAATATGTGAGGGTTCCAATTTCTTCCCATCCTTATCAGCATTTGTTATTTCCCATAGTTTTTGATTATAGCCATTGTAGGAAAGTGTGGAGTGATTTCATTGTGATTTTGATTTGCATTTCCCTAATGACTAATGACACTGTGCAGTTTTACATGTACTTTTTAGCCATTTGTCTTCTTTAGAGAAATGTTTACTGAAGTTTTTTGTCCATTTTTTAATTGGATTGTCTTTGTTGTTGAGTTTCCCTGTTCTCTATATGTTTTGGATATTAAACACTTACCACATTTATGATCTGCAAATATTTTCTCCTGTTTTGTAGGTTGTCTTTTCACTTTTTTTGATAATGTCCTTTGATGGACAAATGTTTTTAATTTTGATGTTCAGTTTATCAATTTTTTCTTATGTTGTTGATGCTTTTGGTGACATATCTAAGAATCCATGATCAAATACAAGGTCATGAAAATTTACTCCTATGTTTTCTTATAAGAGTTTTATGGTCTTAGTTCAAATATTTAGGTTGTTGATCCATTTTAAGCTAATTTTTGTATGTGGTGTGAGGTAAGGGTTGAACTTCATTCTTCTGTATGTGGAAATTCCATTGTCCCAGCACTGTATGTAGTTTTTCATCTCTGCATTTAGTGACTACCAGTTTTTATCCTGGGAAGCACTAGTTTGTGTTTATTTGCAGAATAAATCACTATTCTTTATTTAAAAGTTACTAGAGAACTTTGATGGCTTTATACCACTGTTTGACAGAATTTCTCAACTGACAGAGCACTGGGGATAGGGGAGAGTGGCTCTCACAATTTTTAAATTTAGAATTAAAAAATTTTTATTTTTATTTTTTTGATAAACAAAATCTAATTCTTATGGTCATGTTTTGGTCGTTTATTTTTTGGTTACCTAAATGCATTTTTAGTTTAACTTCTCCTAACACAGATAGATTCATGCTGTGTTTTAAGGTTGGAATCCTGTTAACTTTCTCCATTGATGCTTTTGTTATCTAATAGTAATGGATGGAAGAAAAGGGCCATATAAAATTAATCTACGTTAAATGGGGGATGGAAAGAGCATGTTAAATAGTAGCAAAAATGATCAGAACTTTATCCAGAAAAGGGAAGCAAATTATCATGTTTTTAATTTAATGAAGGACATATTAGGTTATAATTTTAGCTTTGTACTAATTCATAGAATGTAGAATGGATTCTGCTGAATTTTTCTTTGTTGGCTTAATATTGCTCACAACATTTTGTGACAGCACTTTGTTTTACTTCCAGAAAGTCAATGAAAAGAGCATTTTAACAAAAAAATTTGCAGTCTTCAGTTTCTCTAGGTTTTTTTTTTTTTAACTTTGATATTCACATTGTTCTCTTTTCAAGTGTAATATGTTGTTAAGCACGTTAGTTTTTTCTTCTAGTTGTTAACTGGGTAAGATTTTCAGAAACTAATTCATCTCCAGCATTGCTTACAGTTGAATTTTCTCACCTCTGTGAAATTGTGTATTTATTTATTTTTTCTTTTTGAGATGGAGTTTCACTCTATTGCCCAGGCTGGAGTGCAGTGGCATGATCTCGGCTCACTGCAACCTCTGCCTCCTGGGTTCAAGTGATTCTTGTGCCTCAGCCTCCTGAGTAGCTGGGATTATAGGCGTGTACGCTAATTTTTGTATTTTTAGTAGAGATGGGGTTTCACCATGTTGGCTAGGCTGGTCTCGAACTCCTGACCTCAAGTGATCCTTCTGCCTCGGCCTCCCAAAGTGCTGGGATTGCAGGTGTGAGCCACCGCACCTGGCCAAAATTGTGTATTTTTGCAATGACGTTTATGGCATCCAAGATAAAGACCAATGACATTAATAGAGTGAGCATGTGTTAGGTGGGAAGAGATGTTGGAATGAAGCCTAATATTATACATTTCAGTTTATAGGTGAATAGCCTTATATTTACTTTCCTTTGTAGCCTTATAACACTTGAGACTCAGATCAGAAATACTCAGAAGATTGGGAGCCTCTATGTTTGCATTACTATTTTTGATTACTACTGTAAACTAATCCTGTCTTTGATCTGTTTTACTCAGTAGAATGTATGGCTCAATATAATTGTAATTTTGTAAAACAGTAATTCTCCAAACACAAATGGCAATAAGCAAATGACAGTGGAAGTTAGTTAGAAGAACTCTGACAAACATAATCTCTACAGTACTTGTATAGCCTTATGCAACGATGATGGAATGAGATTTCTGCAAAAATTATAATCATGCTGCAAATTTGAGCATAGGTGAACAAAATCTTACTGACTGAAGCAGCTTGTGGACCACTTGAAAGATTATTGGGACCCCGCATTGTTTGGCAGGCCACACCTTAAGAAACAAGAATTAATCTGGTCTCTTGCACTGTTTCCTCAGAAGATTCGAGCTCAGTGATTAGTGTGGAAAATGCCCATCCTCGCTTCCTAGCAGTTTCTTGCTCAGGAGAAAATGCTATAACAAGTGACTCTTAAATTTAAGAGAGCATATTTCAGTGGTCTTATAAAATATTAATACATTTGAATAGTTATATTGGGAGGCTTTTTTTTTTTGAGACAGAGGCTCGCTCTGTCACCCATGCTGGAGTGCAGTGGTGCGATCCCGGCTCACTGCAACCTCTGCCTCCCGGGTTCAAGCGATTCTCCTGCCTCAGCCTCCTGAGTAGCTGGGACTACAGGCACCTGCCACCACGCCTGGCTCATTTTTGTATTTTTTAGTAGAGACAGGGTTTCACCATCTTGGCCAAGCTATTTTTATAGCCTAGATCCCCAGTATGCTTATGTGTATGTAATACTACCTAAAATTAGCCAAATCACTAGGTTTTTTTTTTTTTTGAGATGGAGTCTTGCTCTGTCACCCAGGCTGGAGTGCAGTGGCGCGATCTTGGCTCACTGCAAGCTCTGCCTCCTGGGTTCATGCCATTCTCCTGCCTCAGCCTCCCAAGTAGCTGGGACTATAGGCGCCCGCCACCACGCCTGGCTAATTTTTTGTATTTTTAGTGGAGACGGGGTTTCACCATGTTAGCCAGGGTGGTCTCTATCTCCTGACCTCGTGACCGCCTGCCTCGGCCTCTTGAAGTGCTGGGATTACAGGCGTGAACCACTGCCCGGCCATCACTAGGTTTTAAAAATTGTAATATTCATTGCCACAAAAAAGTTTTGCTTTTTAAATTTTTTTATTGTTTTTTAATTTTTAATTTTTTGAGACAGAGTCTCACTCTGTCACCCTGGCTGGAGTGCATTGGCGCAATCAGGGCTCACTGCAGCCTCAACTCCCAGGCCCAGGTGATCCTCCTGCCTCAGCTGGGACTATAGGCACATACCACTACACCTGGCTGATTTCTTATTTTCGTAGAGATGGGGTCTCACCATATTACCCAGGCTGGTCTCAAACTCCTGAGCTCAAGTGGCCCTCCTGCATCAGCCTCCCAAAATGCTGAGATTTACAAGCCTGAGCCACTGTGCCTGGCCACTTTTTTTTTTTTTTAATCGTAGTACAAATCTTAGGGTTCAGTCCTAAAAAGAGTTTGTGATGGCTTGAGTGACCAAATATATTAAGAATTGTCTTGGTAGATTTCAGATTCCTGTTGATGTAGAATTGTTCAATATTAAAATAGTCTTTTCTGTTTGTGAATATGAACTTTTTTGTCCTTCAAACAACATGACCTTTTCCTCTTAGAAGAGAACTTTAGGGATGGATAGTAAGCAGTTCCAATAAAAATGGAGATCATATCTAGAAGATGATTTCATTCTGTTAAGATGAAATTAAATAGCTAGCATAGCACTATTGAAAATACTGATAAAAACTTTAAAATATTTTATTTGCTAGCACTCACATTAAATGTTAAACTTCTCTTTCCGATATAGTGCAGCACTCGAATCACCTAGATTTTAAAAATATTGCCCAGGGAGCTCCAGTGAACATGTTTTAAGATAAGGCACAGACTACCTAAGGTATATATATTTTGCTTTGTTTCTTCTTGACAAATTTAGGGGTTGTAGAAAAATCACCTCCGTACGTATCTTGAAGGGATTTTTACTCTAGCAAGTGTCTCTTAGACTGAATTTTCATAACATGATTTGGATGTAATGAGATTATTGGGATTCGCCTCATTACGTGGGGATCTAGTTTATTTGATTTCACTTGTTTCTGAAATGGTGAACCAGCAGTTACTGCTCTTGGTAGAATAATTCCTCACCACATAACTGATTTGAAGTGCCACTCTTATCTTGTATTCAGTTCTTTATGCATCACCAGTCTGCTTCTGGATATTTCATTATGTGTCAGGAAGTTTTGCTGGCTGCTCCTTTGTTCTTTTGGGTGGGAAGGATTTAATCCCAATAGTTATGAATTCTGTTGCTAAAAAAAATGTCACCTGTTTAGAGAATACTTGAGTGTGGATTGAAAGGCTGGGAAGCATTTAACTTGGTAGTTATCAGTAGTGAACCACCAGTTTGTTATTTTTAGCTAAAAAGAAAAAACGTTTACAGCTTAGATTACTTTATTTTTCTAAAATTCACGGTGGAAGGACCTTAGTTATTATTAGTTGCAAACTTTCTAACCTACCATGTCTTTCCCTATTGAAATGAGGGTTCGTCTTTTTGTTAGCTTGAGGTTTCTTAGGAGTTCAGCCGCTGCATTATTGTGTAACAGGTTGTTCTTGGAGAATGTTTGCAAAGAAAGCCATTTAAGATACTTTTATCCCTTGAACTCTGCTAAGAGCCTTCCTTTCACTTAAATGCTTTTTAATTCCACTAACAAGCCTCTAAGAGGATATGATAAAGATGACAATAGAAGCTACTGCTTATTAAGGGCCAACCTTGTGCTTGATGTTTTTTATGCTTTTGTCCCGTTGCAAAACTGGGAAGCATTAATTAGATGCTACATACTCATTCTTTATCTCTGTTGACTATGATAACAGCTCTAGGAGAAAAGCCTACCTCTCTTTCTACTACATCATCTCTACAACCAAATAGGCCACTTTCTGCTTCCATGGTTTCTCTTGCCATGACCAATACTTCCTGATCAAGGTTAGCACCTACTGATCTGTTGATTGCTTACCACTTAATACAATGAATGCTGGCTACAGTAATGTGATGAGAGGTAAGATTTGAATTGCTACCTTGCAATGTAATGTAAAATCCAGATTTACTGTCCAGTTTGGTCAAACTACATGTTATGCTTGAGATAAGTCCTATCTTACTATGAATATCATAAAGCCAATACTGCATTTTAGCTTTTATAGCCAATTACTTCAAGTAGGAAAGCCTGTAATTGTTTTAATGTAACGTAAATGTAATCGATTTTTGGAAAGGATGGTTATAGGCCATAATTTATGAGCTTTAGAAGTAATTTTCATTTTTCTATGGCTTTATTTTTTGGGTGAATACTGCTAAAAATCAAACTACCATCGTATTTATTTTGGTAGTAGAGAATACTTTGTGCAGAGCTACAGACTATTGACAGTTAATTACAAATTGGAACCTATTTAAAGCTTAGAGATGGCATGTACAAATGAAAGTTAGGTAAAGTTGTATGCATGTTCCCCTGTTAACTCACCCTGAATTTATGGACTTTAAGATAATTGTATAAAGTGTTATCAAGCAAGCTGCAATACTATAATTATTTAGATTGTTTTACATATTTACAAACTCAGCTGGCCCAATGCTTTAATAAGTTATTTGCAGTTGAGGGAAAGTGTGAGAAAGAGATTGCCTCTCTCAGGGTTGTGTTAGTATTTTAGTGTACTATAGGTAGTTTTGGAAATAAAACATACTTTAAATGGGAAAAATTGCAGCCTGTTATGAATGGCACCGAACAGTGCTGATTATTTTACCTTTGACAAAGTGGAAAATTTAAAGCTTGGTGTATCCTATTTTATTAATATAATAAAATTTTATAGTGTTGTTCTGGGCGTCGATATATGTTCTTTAGTGTTTATTAGCCCTAGGTTATAGTAAAACGTTTTGGTCCGATGCCTGACCATACTGCACAGAATGCAAATGTGAGAACTAAGACAAAAAACACGTAAATACATATTTGTTTTTCCCTCAAGTCTTTTTCCATATGACTTCTAGATATTTTGGTTGCTTATATGAGTATGATTGAACCCAGAGAACATCTTTTTTTATCATTTAACATAGGTTTATGGCTTCCCCAGACTTGTACTAATAATGAAGCTATGAGGGATATGACAAGAATGGTGATATTAAATTTCTCTAGACTAACAGTAAATTTTTCCGTTCTGATGTCAGGAATGTTGAGCATCTGGAATCTGCAAGCAGAGTGAATTGTTCGCTGCGGGAACACTTTCATCAAATTCTGAGCCATTTATTCTCTTAGGAACCACTACTGTCTTGTACAGAATATTATATTTTTACAGAAGCAGTTTTCTGGAATTGGAAAAATGTCTTTCCTTCTTGTGCTTCTGTATTTTTTAAATTTTTTCCCATTTTAGATATGTCATTGTTTTGAAATTTAGTGTCACATTTTAGCATTGAATTTATGTTTTTAGGTTTAAAAGCAATAAGTTATATTTGTTCAAATTCTGTGAGAAAGCAATAGGAAATAAGTTGTTCTAAACGAAATTCTCTTTATAGTTTGTATAGGTGGATCTATGCTCCGTACTTTGTCATCATTTTCCTTGTATTTTCAGAATATCTATGATATATAGTTAGATCAATAGATCTAGATACTTGTGCCTTGATTGTGGCATAGATGTATTTCTTGAAAAAGTGCTGTGGAGGTGGAGGGAAGGAAAGTGTGAAATTCTCTAGTTTCTCTAGTTTTGTTTCAAACATTTCTGAAATGAGGAATTGAGATTCTAATCGGCCCTAGGTCGTGCTGGGTATTTAAAATAAGTATCTGTTGGTGTAAGTTACATGTTTGTTTTATTTTTTAAAAAAAATTCTGGTGTTTTTAAATTTTGTTTTGGACAACAGAAACTTCTATTTTATTTAGTAATTTTTTACTTTGAATTAGGCTTTCCTGAATCTTGATTTTCTTTTTTTGGTTCCTTGTGTTTGGAGACTGTGATCGCATGGCAGTAGGTATCATTGCCTAGAATATGGCCTGGATGGTTTGATTAGAAAGCCTCCTATTAGGTCTTATAGTGTCTTCGTGGCCTGTGACTAACATATGTTTGAAAGTCAGTTATTTACTTTAAGGGAGATATTTCTGCCTCCGTTTAACATTAGTTAGCCAATCTTTTACCTGTCTGTCTCACCTGTTGTTGCTGAGACTAAACATGGAGCTGATAAAGCTGCATTTCTTTCTTCCACACACGATTTTGCTGCTCAAGTGTGCAGGATCACAGCTTGCCAAGTGCATAAATGGTTTTAGTGTCATATTGATCCTTTAATCTGAAGATTAATTCCTCTACGACTAAATCCCTTTGCTCTGTATTCTAGTTCTCCCCCAACCACCTCTCTACCACCGCTGCCCTACCCCCGACTCCTTTCCAGCGTCCGATTTTATTTATCACACTGCCTCAGTTGAACCATAGCCAATTCTCCACCGGCCTCTTTTGGCCTCCTCCCTACTGATCTGAAGTTAGCTATCACTGCTACTTTCAACTGTTATCTACTCATCACTTTGATCAGGCTCCTCAGTAACTTTCAGTTGCATTACACATCGTTATTTTCATTTAGGCGTAAAGTCTCCATGAGGAGCTATGAATCATCAACCCAATATGTGTTAGTAAATCAGAGCTCACATACTTTGCCTAATTCTCTTTAGGCGTTCTGAACCACAAGCATTTGGGTAAGTTGGAGGTTTTATTTTTTGCCTTGCTTTGATTGCTTTTGATGTAGTCCAGCTGGTGTATGCTTGCTTTATAGTTTTCCTGATGAAAAGACGGTTCTCTATTGTTTGACAAACATGACAACCCTGGTAATTTTCCCTTTTACAAAGCATGAGGACTTTATTCTCATCTTTTTAGGAAGAAAATATGTTTCCTGGCTTCTTTTTTCTTACTACTTCCTTTTCCCTTCCCCTGCCTCATCTTAGTAATTCAGAAGATAATTTCTATAATAAAGGTGGGTTTTGTGAAATGGTTCCTAGCAAATGGTAAAGCCTTTTTTTGTGACTTTTTTTGTTAAAAGTTCTTCCCTGATGCAGTTTTTCTTTTCTTTTCTTTTCTTTTCTTTTTTTTTTTTTTTGAGACAGAGTCTCACTCTGTCACCCTGGCTGGAGTGCAGTGGTGCGATCTCGGCTCACTGCAACCTCTGCCTCCCGGGTTCAAGCGATTCTCGTGCCTCAGCCTCCTGAGTAGCTGGGATTACAGACACACCAGTACACCCAGCTAATATTTGTGTTTTTAGTAGAGATAGGGTTTCACCATGTTGCCCAGGCTGGTCTGAAGATCCTGGGCTCAAGCAATCCACCTGCCTTGGCCTCCCAAAGTTCTGGGATTACAGGCATGAGCCACTGGGCCCAGACTAATTCAGTTTTTCTGACTTCTGAGTATGTTATATCCTTGTCTAAAGGATAGCCTTGTTGAGTTGCAAATTCTGTCAGCTTTTTCCTATATAATTAATATAGCCTTTGAAATGGAAGATAAAAGTGTATTAAAAACTTTAAAGCACTGAAACTATAAACAGGAACCTGCAAGCATGAGTTCTCTACATTTTTTTTCTGAATATCTTAATTACATCCAGAAATTTTAGAAAAATTGCTGGGAGAATTAATGTTAAAAGGCTCAAAATCAAGACTTTGAGTATTAAAAATACTTCTAGATGAATTATATTGCTGACTCTTTTTGCCACCATCTCTGAATGTAACCAGGATTTTCCAAGTTTTCGTTCTGCCAAAAAAAAAAATGAGGATAACAATGCTTAATACTAACAACATTGACCCTATATCTAATGAACTGTTTTGTGCTGTCACTTCAAGAGTTAGGGACCCAGAGATCCAGACAGATCGAATAATTTGAATGCACATTTGTTGTCAGCAGGTCTGTTCTGAGTAATAATTGTTTCAATAAGCCCACATCTGTATGCCATAGCTGGTCATCTCCAGTGTGTGTGTTTATTATGTCTAACACTGGTAGTCTGGAGGAAAGTGCAAATTATTTCTAATTACCTCAATAAAGGGATTAATATTATTTTTCTGTATCACTTGAAACATTGTCTAAAATGACTCTGCAACTATTTCAGTGTGGTTAGTGTTAATGACAAATGATTGGTTCCCTGGAGTCTCAGTTTGGATTTTGATATAGAATGTGCACTGGTGTACAGTTTACATCAGCCAATATTGTCAGTATATTGTTAATAGATACATACTATTGATATCACCAAAATTATAGTTGTCTCTTGCAAATATATGTTGCATTATCTTTATATTGAAAGTTGTTTTTAAATTTTAATTTTTTGAGACAAGGTGTCACTGTGTCGCCCAGCCTGGAGTGCAGTGGCACCACCTTGACTCACTGCAGCCTCAAATCCTGGGCTCAGGCAATCCTCCTTTTTTTTTTTAGAAACGGGGTCTTGCTATGTTGCTCAGGCTGGTCCCATACTCCTGGATTTAAGCAATCCTCCTGCCTCAGCCTCCCAGTGTTGGGTGTTGGGTTTACTGGGTGTGAGTCACTGTGCCTGGCCAAAGGTCAATTGGGGGAGGGTGCGGCAGGTGTGATCACATTTTTAAGTTCTCATCTCTCAGTTCACTCTACCCAATACATGGGGTCTGTTGTTGCCTGTCTTTATTGCCTATTGTGAAAGCTTTCTTTTCCCCTTAATGCATCCAGCAGGATAAACTTACATTTTGTCATCTGCCTCCTTAATGCTTGGACATACTTAATAAGTTTTAGCATTTAATTTGGAATTATTTTTATTTAAAAGATGCTTACATAAGTTGTTCAGCAAAGCAAGGCATCATTGTAAGCTTTACAAATAACTCATTTAACCCTTATAACAATTCTGTAAGGTTAGCATGACTATACCTGTTTTACACAATAAACAATGGATACACAGAGATGTTTACCAATATGCCCAGTTGCAGAGCTGGGATTTGTAATTATGTCGCATGGCTCTAGAGTCTAAGCATGAGCCTAGAGTCTAAGCATGCTACCCCAGGGCCTTTGTAAGTGCGGTTCTCTTTCTGTTCCTCACTTCAGCACCTCCAAGTTAATGTCTGTGCTTCCTTCAGATCCCAGCATAATTGTCGCTTCCTCGAGAACGCTGTCCCTGAGTTGTTCACATCTCTCTCTCTTATACTTTTCCTGGTGCAACAACCTCCTCTTGTATAGGGCTTTTCAGAGTTGTCACTTTGCATTTATTTTCATGATTATCGATATCTGGCTGCTACCCTACACTGGGGAAAAAACTTGTGTTTGCTTTTATTTTTTTTTTCCTCCCTTCTTTGTAACCGCCCAATGGGTTCCCTTGCCCACTGCCTAGACAGAACTGATTTATCAAGACAGGGGAATTGCAATGGAGAAAGAGTAATTCACACAGAGCTGGCTGTTCAGGAGACCGGAGTTTTATTATTATTCAAATCAATCTCCTGAGCACTGGGGAGCAGAGTTTTTAAAGATAATTTAAAGAAATTTGGGTAGGGGCTTGGGAAGTGAGAAGTGCTGATTGTTCAGGCTGGAGATGGAATAATAGGGGGTTGAAGTGAGGTTTTCTTGCTGTTTTCTGTTCCTGGGTGAGATGGCAGAACTGGTTGAGCCAGATTACCTGTCTGGGTGGTGTCAGCTGATCCATCGAGTGCAGGGTCTACAAAATATCTCAAGCACTGATCTTAGATTTTTCAATAGTGATGTTACCCCCAGGAGCCACGTGGAGAGGTTCAGACTCTTGGAACCAGAGGCTGCATGACCCCTACACTGTACTTTCTAATCTTGTAGCTAATTTGTTAGTACTGCAAGGTGGACTGGTCCCCAGGCAAGAAGGGGGTCTTTCTGGGAAAGGGCTATTATCAGTTTTGCTTCAGAGTCAAACCATGAACTGAATCCCTTCCCAAAGTTAGTTCAGCCTATGCCCAAGAACAAACAAGGACAGCTTAAAGGTTAGAAACAAGATGGAGTCGGTTAGGTCTGATTTCTTTCACTGTCATACTTTCCTCAGTTATACTTTTGCAAAGGCGGTTTCATCGTCACGGCATCTCCAGCCCTTCATAGTGCCTGGCACATAGATAGTAAGCACTCGGTGTTTGTGGGGTAGGGATGAGAAAGGCTCAAGAGGAGTTTTGAAGTGTGGAGGGGACTTGGGAGCTTGCCAGCTTCCGAAACACGCCTCTTGAAATGTTGGCAAGTGTGTTAAGTTAAACCTGTTAATGAAACTTTGATGTAAGCATGTTACCATGCTTCTTTCATCTTTCAGGTAGTTTCAGGGATCCTGAAGAATGGGAACATGACAGCAGTAGCAGTCATCAGGAAATTAATTATCTGGTGAATTGGTGTAAAGTTTCCTGGATACAGTTGTAATTTCAGGGTACAGCAAATAACAATTCACTGTGGCTGGAAAAGAATTTGAGGAGAAGTTGTAAACTATACTGCTGAAAACAAGGTTTACAGCAGATTATTACATAAAAATGCAATTTGGAAATTTATAAAACTGCTGTTTATCTTGTAAAAGCTCAAGCAGTGTAGAAATATATATGGCAAAAATGAAAGTAATTGTCTCCTGTTCCTTTTGGTTTTTCTTCCAGATTAAACATTGATAACAGTTAGATATGGATCCTACTATAGAAGGCTCTCGGCCACCTAGAGCTGTAATGAATGAGTGAATAAAGGTGAATTTCAGATCAAAGAGAATGCAAGCTTTCAATTTTCATATTGCCAACAATGTATACCAATTTATGACTTCCCTGGATCCTTCATTCCCTCTGGGAAACCCAGAGGCTCTGACCAACCTTCTCTCTCTCTCTCTCTCTCTTTTTTTTTTTTTTTTTTTGAGACAGAGTCTCACTCTGTTGCCCAGGTTGGAGTGCAATGGCATGATCTGGGCTCACTGCAGCCTCCACCTCCCAGGTTCAAGCAATTCTCCTGCCTCAGCCTCCTGAGTAGCTGGGGTTACAGGCATGTGCCACCACACCTGGCTAATTTTTTTTGTATTTTTACAACAGGGTTTCACCATGTTGGCCAGGCTGGTCTTGAACTCCTGACCTCTTGATCTGCCCGCCTTGGCCTCACAAAGTGCTGGGATTGCAGGCATGAGCCACCACAGCCAGCCCAACCTTCTCTTTTAAATGCAAACATTTTCTTCCATGTCCTCACTCTCAGCATGAAACCCTGTTTCCTAGTTTACTGAAAATAGCGAAACAATCTTCAGGGAATTATCACATGTTCCCTCAACCACATTTGCCCCACGTGGGGCATCTGCTGCCTGCCTTCCTCTGTGGGACCATAGAGGAGCTGCCCTCTTGGATTTAATCCACCTGCGCGCTTGACCCTGTTCCTTCACAACTACTGAATGACAGCTCCAGCTAAAACTTCTTTACCCCACTTCCCGTACAAGGATCAATTCTCTGTTGAACCAAGTCTTCAGAAGGCTATGGTGGGAGGATTGCTTGAGTTTAGGCGTTTGAGACCAGCCTGGGGCAACATCGAGACCCTGTCACTACAAAAAAAATTAAAAATTAGTCACATCTAGGGGAGCATGCCTATATTCTCAGCTACTCGGGAGGCTGAGGCAGGAGGATTACCTGAGCCTAGGAGGTCAAGGCTGCACTGAGCTCTGATCATGGCACTGCACTACAGCCTGAGTGGCAGAGCAAGACCCTATCTCTAGGAAAAAATCAAACCCAGCTCCTTCTAAGAGTTGTCTGTATTTGCTCTCTCCTCTGTCTTCCCATTTTTTAGTGCTCCTCATTCAGTCTTCTACATTGTCACTCTGCCAAAGGTAGTCAGTACCCTGCGCATTGCTAAATCCAACGCTTAGTTCTCAGTCCTCATTGTACTTGCTTATCAGTGGCGTTTACACAGTGGATGGTTCATTCTTCCTTGACACTCTCTTTCTAGGACGTGAGATTACAGCACTCGGAGTGGTTGCTGGTCCCTCCTCTCTTCTGCATCGCCTAACTTTGGAGACTTCAGGGCGCAGTCCCCTGCCTCCTCTTCTCTTCTGTGTCTACACTCATGCTCCTGGGGATCTCATTTTACCTCATGGCTTTAAGTACAAATCATGTGCCAGTGATTCCCAGGGATTAAGTTTTCAGTCCAGAGCAGTCTGGTGACCTGCTGACCCCATATTCAACTGCCCACTGCATCTCCACTGGTATCCAATCGACATTCCAAATTCAGTATGTCTAAGGCTGAACTTCCCCATTATAGGTGATGGCAACTTCAAAAACTGTTGGAGTTATGTTTGATTTTTTTTCCCCCATGTCCCTCATTCAGTCAGACAGAAATTCATATTAAGTTCTTCCTTGAAAATCCACCTGAACTTGTGTAGTTCTCACAACTTCCCCTGGCTACTGCATGGGCCCAAGCCACCCTCACCTTCTGCCCTGGATTGCTGTGTTTGATCTTCCCATATAGTTGTCTGCCTCGGCCCTCGGCTTCCTGCGATCTGTTCTCAATTCAGCAGCCAGAGTGATGCATTCATTCACTCATTTATTTTTTTTTTTTTACGAGACAGGGTCTCATTCTGTTGCCCAGGCCAGAGAGCAGTGGTGCAATCATGGCTCACTACAGCCTAGATCTCCTGGGCTCACATGATCCTCCTGCCTCAGCCTCCCATAGTGCTGGGATTATAGGCGAGCCACTGCGCCTGGCTGAGTGATGCTTTTGTAATGTAAGTTAGATCTAATCACCCCTTTACACAAAACTCTGCAGTGGCTCTTTCACTCTAAAGTAAAAGTGAAGCTCCTTCTCGTGTTTGCCCTTTCAGGCCCTGTGTGATCTGGGCTCCCATATCCTTCCTTATATCCCCTCTTCTTCTTGCTCCCTCTGCTCCTGTCATATGGGACTCCTTGCCCGTCATCTTCCTCAGTTAAAAGTATTCTGATGTACTCTGGTGGTTTATATACTCTTAAAAGATAATGCAATCTTATTAATTCGAAATGATGACAGCTTGTAATTATCTTCTGATTAATGAATTATAACTTTGGGTGAATTGTTTACTCAATGTGAATACATTTCCTTATGAGATAGGTCAGGTTGTCTATCTTCCCCAATCCTTGGTCAACTCACCTGCCTGTTAGTTATATATATCTTATATAAAGATAATATTCTGATAGAAAACATGACTTTAGTTTTACAGTAATTCTCTCTCTCTCTCTATATATATATATATATATGGCAAAAAATATACTGCAAGACAACTTGAAGTTGCTCAAAGCATCAGAGTATCTAAAAGTGTGTGTAAAATACATACCATCTCAGTGTGTTGCCCAGGGCTACTAAAGCCCCAAGAACATACCCTGATTGTAAGTCGTTAGAGGGGAAAAGCACATATACCTTTATCTGTAAGGACAATGATACCAGGTGCAGTGGTGTACTCCTGTAGTCCCAGCTACTAGGGAGGCTGAGGTGAGACGGTCCTTTGAGCCCAGGGGTTCAAGGTTGCAGTGAGCTGTGACCGTGCCACTGCACTCTAGCCTGGGTGACAGAGTGAGACCTCATCTAAAAAAAAAAGAAAAGACAGTGAGACAGTGACATATGTTTCTCCTGCAGTGTAGCATGGGTTCAGGAAGATGATCACGGCATATTATTTAAGTCCAATTAAATAACTCAGTGATCTCAAAGCATATAGTTTTTATCTTTAACAAAAAGTAAGTGGCACATGTACTTATCGTCTAGTATAGTGTGGATAGAGGGAAGCCCGCTACAGCACATTTAAATCCCATCAAATAAATAAGTCAGTGTAGTTAAATTAAGATTATGGTCTTACATATGAGATGGCTTAATGAACCGGCTCACAGAGTGAGGTATTTATATTGTACTGAAAGCATTCTCATTAGTATATTACTTTTTATAATTTCATACAGCCAGAATTTGCCATATAAAATTCCTCTGGAAAGGGAGAATAGGTTACAACATTTATTTTCCACAGAGCAGGCTTTGGTAACCTGTTTAAAAATCTCAAAACATCTTTATGTGTCTTTGCAATTAGTTCCTTTAATTTTAAGCGCCTTTCTTAGCCCCTAAAATTTTTGCCCACTATGTACTTTCTATCATTTTTCCATGTTTAGGGGTTTTATGTTATTTTAATGTTAGAAAACCACAATCTATCTTGACCTTCTCTTATAAGTTTCATACATTTATGAGAAAGTTGAAATTAAGAGAGTGCTCTTTTGATAGAAAAGAGCTGTGTTTGGGTTCTCCAAATAAACAAAACCAATAGGAGATATTATAATATACATCCCCACACACATACGTACACACATGGAGACAGGTATATATTAGGTTGGTGCAAAAGTAATTGCAGTTTTTGGCATTGTAGTAAAAACTGTGATTACTTTTGTACCAACTGACTTATATAGGTGTGTGTGTTTATAGGAGATTTATTATGGGAATTCACTCACGTGATTATGGAGGTCGAGAAGTCCAGTGATCTGCCATCTGCAACGTGGAGAACCAGGAAAGCTGGTGGCATAACTCAGTCTGAGTCTGAAGGCCTGAGAGCCAAGATTATGGGGTGGAAGGGAAAGGGCTGCAGTATAAGTAAGTATCAAAGCACAAAGGCCCAAGAACCAGGAAGCCTGATACCTGAGGGCAGGAGAAGATGGGTGTCCCAGCTCAATAAGAGTGAGGGGGAATTTGCCCTTCCTCTGCCTTTTGGATCTATTTGGACTCTCAGTGAGATTGGCTGATGCTGCCCATGTTGGTGAGAGCAGATCTTCTTTCTTGAGTCTACCAATTCAAAGGATAATCTCTTTCGGAAACATCCGTGCAGACATACCCAGAAATAATGTCTTACCACCTATCTGGACATCTCTTAGCTCAGTCAAATTAACACATAAAATTAACCATCTCAAGACTGTTTATTTGTCATTTGTTGAACTTAGAACTTTGGCCTAGTGCTCCACCTGAGCTGTTGGGGTCAGGCTTAGCATATTGTTAAGACAGGCAAACATTGTCAATACAAGCCTTTGATGTAATAGTATTTCCCTTTCAAATCTGTATTAGAAAAACCTTTACTTTCACTAATCACTAAATATTTTTCATTGTATCTCCAATGCCAAACAACAGAAAGAACATCGAAAACAAAGCAGAAAGACAATATTCCTCTCCCCCAGAAAGAGACACACACATAGTTTTTTTTTTTTTTTTGGAGATAGGATTTCATTCTGTCACTCAGGCTGGAGTGCAGTGGTGCAATCATAGCTCACTGCAGCCTTGAACTCCTGGGCTCAAAGGATCCTCCCTCCTCAGCCTCCCAAGTAGCTGGTGCTATAGAGGTGCACACCACTATGCTCAGCTAACATAAAATTTTTTTTTGGTAGTGATGGTTCTTTCTAAGTTGCCCAGGCTTGTCCCAGGCTCCTGGCCTCAAGCGATATTCCTGCCTCGGCCTCTGTGTTGGGTCGTTCTTTGCATTGCCCTAGAGGAATACTTGCGACTGGGCAATTTATAAAGAAAAGAAGTATAATTGGCTCACGGCTCTGCAGGCTGTACAGGAGCATGGAGCTGGCATCTGCTTCTGAGGAGGCCTCAGGAAGCTTACAATAGTGGTGGAAGGTGAATGGGGAGCAGGTGTATCAGATGGTGAAAGTAGGGGCAAAGGAAGTGAGTGGGGGGAGGTGCCACACTTAAACAAACAGGTCTCACTACAACTCACTCACTGTCTTGAGGACAGCTTCAAGCCATGAGGGATCCACCCCCATGATCCAGTCACCTTCCACCAGGTCCCAATTTGGGATTACAATTCAACATGAGACTTAGAGGGGACACATACCTAAACTATATCAGCCTCATATGTACATACATAAATCTCCATATAGAAGATTGAGCCAGTTATCATTTTATTGCCTCTTAGCTCCAAATTCATACTTCATTGTCTGCACTATGAAGATAGAGCTAGGCCCTTTAAGTATTTCTCTTTTGCTGCTGGCCTGACGTTAAGTTTTGTCAGATGAGGGCACTGGATGGGACAATGCAAGAGGAGGCGGAGGCATCTCTTCCTTATTCTTGTGTTTTCTTATTTGCTTTTTCTTTCTCCTTTCATAGGATTTCTAACAGCACTTGTGGGAGTATCCAGTGGTAGTTATCCTCTTTGAGTTTTAGTGACACGCCCATGGGCAGACTCCCAGTGAGTCTTGTGGGCATCCCAGAGGTCAACTTCCTAGCCTCACCCTGCCTATGTACTGGAGGGGGTGTTTGCTTGACAGTTCCTGTCACTGTTATATACACCCCCAGGATATTTCTGGCTTTTTAGTCCTGCTATGCCAGGACTAAAAATGGTTTCCTGCCTGCCAGCCTCAAACCATCTGTATACTGGAGAAGTGTTTCCTGCTTGCTAGTCCCAGGCACAGTTTCTTGTCCACTTGCATCCTGGAGGTGGGTGTTTCTTGCCTGCTCAATGATAATGGAGAATCTTTGGCCCAAGGAACCCAACCATCTTGTGAGCTGCAAACACACGTTCTCCTGTGAGCTCTGAGTCTTAGCCTTGGGGAGGGAGTCCTCTTCCAAGGTTGTTTTCTCCTTGGATAACAGGAAAAAATCTCCTTCAGTCCTAGGTATTCTTTAGAGTTCTCTCTGACTTTACAGATAAGCCCCTGTTATAGGTAATAATTATTTATATTAAGCTTCTCTGTTCAAATTACTGCAGAGCTCCTGTCTCCAGGTTGGACCATGACTGATGCAAACATAAAAGGCAGAAATTAGGGTTTGATAAATCACTAGTGTTTTCTTCAGTTTTACGGAAATTTAGTGCACTTAAAAATCTATAGATTTATGTGATTATAACTGCCTTTCCACCTTGGGTGTTCTCCAACCTAGAATGTACCCTTGCAGGTTCTGTTTTCCTTTTTCAGATCCTAGCTCAAGTCCTGCAAGTTCCAGTATAGCCTTTTCTTTTTCTTTCTTTTTTCATTTTTTTTTTTCTTTTTGAGATGGGGTCTCACTCTGATGCCCAGGCTGGAGTAAAGTGATGTGATTATAGTCACCACACCACTGCAGCCTTTACCTCCTGGGCTCAAGTGATTCTCCTGCCTCAGCCTCCTGAGTATCTGGGACTACAGGTGTGCACCACCATGCCCGGGTAATTTCTTAAATTTTTTATATAGACAGGGTCTCACTGTGTTGCCCAGGTTGGTCTGTAACTCAAGCAATCCTTCTGCCTTGGCCTCCCAAAGTGCTGAGAGGAGTGAGCCACTGTGCCCAGCCCCCAATATAACCTTTTCTGACCTTCAATGATTGGTCTCATCTTTAAATTATTACAGTTCTTGTACGTATCAATCAACTGACCCTTGACATATTTTAGTTTTGCTGTGGTGCTTTCTTTTTTTTTCAGTTATAAAATATGCAAATTAAAAAATATTGCTTTTTATATACTGGAGAATTTTATGAAATAATTTTATTGAAATGCTTCACCTGCATCTTTGACAGTGTCTATTCCATGTACCCAAATATAAGGTGAGATTTTTTTTCCTCCTTAAAATTCTTTCTCAGAGAAGAGAGAGCTGCTTTATATTGAAGTTCTTACAAAATCTCTTATAGGTAACTTTCTGTTATTTCACTTACTCAAAAATTTGTTGAATGGAGAAGGCACATTGTTCTCATATAACCTAAATTCAAAATTTTTGGGTATGGTTTTAGAGGCCACCTGACAGAATTGTTTTTTAAAAAAGGACACTATTCATCAAGACAATGGGAGAAAAAAAACGTTGCAAAGAAGTTTAAGCCAGATTTAATTATTATTCCTTAGGGAAAGGTTGTGACCTCACATTTGCCAACGTTAAAGATACTTAAAGAGTAGCTTAGTGGTTCTGTTGTAGAGATAAAAACTATACAGTTACAGGACAAATGAAAAACCGATCAGTTTTATGTAGATTTCCCATGACAGCATCTCACGAATAATCAAAAATATGCTCCATCTCAAACAGCTTATAGCTTATCTAGAAATGAAAATGATGTATTTTAACTCTGAAATTTAAATTATTTACAAAGTTATTGTAAATAATTTAAATAAAACAATTTCATGAAATATGCAAGTGGGGCCCAAACCTAATATCTAAATTAATATATTTTACCTCATAGGTAATTTAAGGTATGTGTTCCTAACTAAACTGCAATGTAAATTTTAGAAGCAGGCATGAGCATTTTATCAACATCTGTAAAAGTCAATTAGATATTTGAATTATTAGACATAAACAGATGTTAATAATTAATTAGGTATGTATTTCATTGTCACATTAAATGTTCATGTATTTATTTGAAAGAAAATGTGTTTTGGATCTTTTCTTGGGCAAATAAGAGAGCCTTATATTTAGGATTGCTTTATGTTGGGGCATATTCTGTGTCATCTAAGATGATAAGACCTCTGGGGGCAGAGATAGTCATATATTCTATAAGTTGTATCTCCAGTGACAAGCATAGTACCCTGAATATGAGAACTCAGTAAATGTTGATTCTTAGGAACTTTGCCTTTAAAGAGGGTCTTAGTCAGTTTTGTACTGCTATAACAGAATACCACAGACTAGGCAATTTGTAATGAACAGAATTTTATTGGCTCACAGTTCTGGAGGCTGGGAAGTCCAAGATCGAGGAACCAGAATCTGATGAGGGCCTTCTTGCTGTGTCATCCATGGCAGAAAGGCAAAGAGAGGGAGAAGAAGACTGACTCACCTTCATATAATGAACCCATTCCCAAGATAATGAGCCCACTCCTACAATAATGGCATTAATCTATCCATAACCTCTCACTGGCCTCCACCTCCCAACGCTCTTGCATTGGGGTTTAAGTTTCTGATACATGCTTTTTAGGGGACACATTCAAACCACAGCAAAGACCTAACTCAAGTGTTTACTTCTTTTCTGAAGACTTTCCTGATGTCTTCTTCGTCCTTTGCAGGAATTGACCACTTCCCTTGCCATTGCCGCAGCACTCTAACCTTGTCCTGGACTTACGAATAGACCTGTCTGTGCTTGTCTGCTGCACTGCCAACTCCTGAGGACAGGAGCTGTGACTGATTTTTCTTAGATCTTTAGAGCCTTGAGGAGTGTTTCATTCATAGCTACCATAACTGTTTACTGGAATCAATGAGTTTGAATGACTACAGAGTATAGGGTATCTCATTGTCTCAGTTCTTGCCCAAAGACCAAGTAGATTTAGGTAAATTCTTAAAAAATATCTGCTGCTATCTAAACTCTCATCATTTGCCCTTGAATCTCCATGACCCAAACCATTTGGATTTCACAAAACTCTTCACCATTAGAACTTTAGGAACTGAGTATAGGAGTATTTTAAAAAACATGTTAAAACACAGGCCCCATTTTATGCATGGCCAGAGATGGTTTCTAGGGCCCTTATAATTCATTTGAGTGGAAGTAGTTGTCTATATTATTTACCTTCATGGAGACTGCACACGGCTCTGGCCTGGTGGCTCCTTTAATCATGTCTTTAATTTCTGGTTGGCACTGTGCTGTCTTTTCTTGCTGTGGTCATGGTTACCAGATGTGGTAGTTGAAGGGAAGGTACGGCTCTTGTTACTAGAGTGCCAAACTGTGGTGGGATATTAGTTAGGATTACATAAAACTAGTAAAAACCAGAGAACTCTGGTTTATGAGCTTCTGCTAACAGAAAAATTATTTTTTATAAAAACTTAAATATAATATGGCTTATTCCCACAAAATGTAAGCAGTACTTGGGTAAAGTTAACACTTTCCATATGTAAAAGACTAGCGTGGTTTTATTTCTGAGTATGGTATTGTATCCAATTGCAATATACAGCTAAGCTATTGTTTGACTTTGAACCATTGAATTGAAATGACATTTTCATTCTAGAAGAAGACATGTTAAGCAACGGACTGCCTACGCTGTGCCAGCCACAGGGCTAAATGCTGCCATATGAATTGCTCTATAGAATTCTTACAACAACCGTGTTTGCCATAATTTTTTTTATGTTAGCATTTTATTTTGAGATAATTGTAGATTGATGTTATGATCTCATGTACCCCTCAGCTACTTTCTTCCGATGGTAGCATCTTGCATAATTATAATAGAGTCTTGCAATTAGGAAATTGCCATTGGTACAATCCTTTGACCTTTTCAGATTTCACATTTTATATGCACTTATTTGTGTGTGTCTCCGTGTGTTTGCGTATTTAGTGCTATGCATTTTTTTTTTTTTTTTTTTGAGACGGAGTTTCACTCTGTTGCCCAAGCTGGAGTGCAATGGTGTGGTCTTGGCTAACTCCAACCTCCACCTCCGGGGTTCAAGTGATTCTCCTGCCTCAGCCTCCCGAGTAGCTGAAATTACAGGTGTGTGCCACCACACTGGGCTAATTTTTGTATTTTTAGTAGAGATGGGGTTTCACCATGTTGGCCAGGCTGATCTTGAACTTCTGACCTTAAGTGATCTGCCCACCTCGGCCTCCCAAAGTGCTGGGATTATGGGCGTGAGCCATTATGCCTGGCCGTGCTATGCGATTTTACCACACCTGTAGGTTACCATTTGTTTTTAAACACATGAGGGAAATAAGGCTCAGTTAAGTTACGTGAAATGCTCTAAGTGTAGACTTTGAGTTTGAATCTAGCTGTGTTTGATCCACACTTTTGCTTTTTCTGTAACGATATGATTAATAACAGTAATAATTATGACAATAGCTGAAACTTACTGAGTTTCATGTGAAATGTATTGAGTACTTTTTATGTGACAGGGACTGTTCTAAGGTATTGAGTCATTTAATCCTCCTGACAACTTTTATCATGTAAATTATGTCACAGTTGAATTAGTCTCCTTAATTAAACTGTAAGTCATGTTACCAAGGAATAGGTAATTATTTTTACAACTCCCCAAATCAATAATAAAATAATGAAATTTCACCCTTTCTTTACATAATTTCACATTTTGACTTCCGACCTTAACCACTGATCTTGGCCATTGTTGATTACTTTCATATATATAATGAAACCTGTATTATTATAGATTGAGTTAGGCTGAGATACCTTACAAATAATTTTACTAAACTGTAAATAAGAGCTGGTGTAGGCAGAATGCCAGGATTTTAAGGGAATAGATGTAAAATACCAAGAATACTTCAGAATGTAATTGAGAGAAGGTTTTTTTTTTTTTTTTTTTTAAAGACTGTTTTAGCTTTTTTTGGCCAAATAAGGCCCCAGAAATGTTTCAATTTAATCAGATCTCCCAAGTTATGTATCTTAATTTTCAATATGGTACCTAATGCCTTTGGTTGTAAGTTATCACTGATAAGCAGAATTAGTATGCTTCAGGAAGATAATAGATATACGAATCATCAGCCCATAATTTACTATTCTTTGCTAGTTAAATCTCTTGTAAAGCTGTCCCTGTGATGAACAGCAGCACTTATTCAGACCAAAAATAACAACAGTCCCATGTGTTGTAGGTCCCAGGAGGTCTTGGTGTTTTTGTAGACAGCAGACAAGAAATAAAAGGAATTTTGTCCTTTTTACCTCATGTAATCCCACTGGAAAATGAAACATGTGCTATGAGTTGATATTGACTCCTGCCAGGTCACCTCCCTAAAGAGTCTCGGGCAGGCACTGTTGCAACATTTCTTGGACAGGAGTGTGACGGGCTGTGATGGAGATGGATGGTTTATGTAGTACGCTACCGTGGAACACTGCACTACTGTCTGCCCCTAGGAAGTGGCTAGTGAGGACGCCACGAGTAACCCGCATCTGTTACTTTAACTCTTTCAGAGGGTATTACATAAGCTTTACATCCCCCAATTTTAAACTAAGTTCTACGTAGCTTTTTTTTTTTTGATAGTTGACTATAGTAATGTAGAACCATTTATGATTTCTTTTCCCGTACTTTGTAGGACTTTCTTTTGGATGTTAGATAATGCAAGTATTTTTGAAACTATATGTTATTAGGAACTATTTGGACACTACAAAACCCTTTTAATGGGCCACCCTATCAATTCTCTGTTCTTCTAAGGAAGTTTTTCCTATTCATAACTCATTTCACTCTTTGGCTCAGATTGAGGGAAATGTAATAATGATTAAGGAAAGGAATGTATGCGTTTTCTTCTTTTTCTGAAAACCTGTACACATTTTCTGTCTCGGATTATGTAAACTTGGAGGGCTGTAGAATGTTGACAACTGTGAGAGGTAAAAATGAGTCTGTTAATACATACCACTGCTTTGGAATTTAAAAGCCAGAAAATTCCCCTTTGGTTCTTTGGAGAAGTGTTTAGCTTGATGGCCCGGAATACAAATCCAGTAAAATTGGCATGTTCCAGCTGTCATTTACACACACCTTAGGCGAAATTAATGAGATCACTCTAAGATTACACTTTGTGTTTTATTTTCATTTTATAGGTCTGTATGAGCTGTTGGCTGCTCTGCCAGCCCAGCTGCAGCCACATGTGGATAGCCAGGAAGACCTGACCTTCCTCTGGGATATGTTTGGTGAAAAAAGCCTGCATTCATTGGTAAAGGTAAACCATGCTGATGTCAGATTCTCTTTGCGAAAAGCATATGGAAAAATATTTGGGGCACCACCAAGTAAACCAGAGATCAAATTGTTGCTCTCTGAAAACAAAACAGCCTTGTTCCATTCACCGACGGGCGTGGAAGTTGTTAAAGATTCTACCAAAAATACATAGATGATTTCACTTAATGGTGGTGAGCTGGCTCTGTATACTAATGTAGCAACCATGTGGTCACCCCCTTGTTTAGAGAAAGAATATGAAATAGTAGCAGGAAGGTTTAGACTCTTTTACGGTCAACATTCATGAGCTGGAATTTAACTTAAATAAATGTTCACAGCAAAAATTAGAAGGAATCTATTTTCTGAGGTCAAGGATGGCAGCAGTTCAGTAGCCACATTAATTTAAAATAATTTCCTTTAACAAAGTCAACTGAAATTCTAGTAAGCTGTTCCTTTTATTGGCAGAACTCCATTGAAGTGGTATTTTGTATATAAATACACTGAAGCCGAATGTGAGTAAAAACAGTTTTTGGAGACAGTTTTAGTAAAGCATCATGCCATGAAAATGATCAGCCAGCAGAAATCGGGTCTGGCCATACAGCAACATTGGGAGTGATCAGAACTCCTAAAATAGTAAAATGAGAACAAGAAGCTTACTGGAAAATATGCCACTTGTGCTTCTGGAAATATGAATTGCATTTTCTCTCATCTAACTCAAGCTGAAAGAAATTTAGAGTCTTTCTGGAGTTTATGAGGAGGTAGAAACCAGTGCCTCAATGATAACTGGACCTATATTTTTAAATTCAGCTAACTTTGTTATGGCTGCCTGTCATGATAAGAGGCTTTTAATTGATATAGAGTATTAGAAAATGAGCAATTTCTGAGTTGCAATTGCTTTTCAGAACAGAATTCCTATATTTCTTTTGTCAAATTTACTGAAATTTGTGTACTTGCAGCAGTGACAATTCTTAAGAAATGGAAGTGTTGATATGTGGCATTTCCCTAGCAGTACATTTAAAGACCATGTTTATTTGTTCATTTCTTTATTTTTTCATAACAGTGTAATTTCCAAGGCATCCTTGTGCTCTAAATAATAGTTGCCCTCTGGGGATTTATTAGGCATGGTCTTGGGATTATAACTGATGACGTTTATGACTTGGTAATACAATCATAAAAATATTTTTAAGTTGACTGTGTGGAAGTTGGATAGCTATGGGTTTATTTAGATTGAGTTGACCTTTTGATAGCAGGAATAAAATATATTTGAGGTGTCATCATCATCCTTTAATCATTAAATAAGCATGCCTCCAAACAATGGATGCATATTCATTTGTATGTATTTACAAATAGCTACTATCTCAGTTTCCTTACCTATAAAATTAAAGTTATAATATCTGTTTACAGGGTTGTTTGTGAGTTTCAAATAAAATAGCGAAGATCTGAGTTTTTTGGTAGTTATATAATGGGGTTAGACAAATTTAAGTAGGCATTATTAAGTATTGAGGAAAAAGTTAATTATCGTAGCACGCTAAAGACCAAAAAGGAACTACAGAGATGGTTGTTATTTCTATTAAAAGAATGAAACTAATGCATAAAACAAATTCTTAGTTACACTGGCTTGAGTTTTAAGCTGAGGCTGTTTTTCAAAGTATATGTCAATACTAAGTGGTTAGAAAGCATAGCGGAGGGTATTGATATCTGATTTCATAAAAACAGTGGAGCGAATAAACTCATGTTGCTAGTATTTAGATAGCACAATAACACATGTACTATTCTAAATGTTTTCCAGTAATTGCTGTAAAATGTATTTTCAAAATTAGTTTTATTACGTACCTCTAGTACATTCTCAATGTCTTAATAGTTCCTCCCACCCCCAACTTTTATCAGACACAGACCTCAAGTGTGTCCTTTGACTGACCCATTCTATTCGTTTTCAAGTATGTAAAGTCTGCAATACTTTCAGGAGGCAGGTTCCTGGGACTGGAGCTTTAAACAGCTGGAACAAACCGCTTAACTGTATTCCAAGCGTGTCTATTTAAGCTTGGAGGATAGAAGCCTTCAGCTTTTGTACGTAAATCTTGGTAGAGCTGAAGGAATTTGTATGAAAAGATTTGTGGTAGAGTGAATCAAAATCGCTTTGGTTTTATGCTCTTCTGCCTGCAGTCGAAGCTGTTAGAATGTGGTTTAGAACTGAGTGAACACAAAACTTGATTTTATTCTAGTACAGAATTTTCATAGTTGTTATCGTGTGATCGTGTGTGTGTGTGTGTGTGTGTGTGTTTAAATGGGCTGAGTGCAGTGGTTCACACCTGTAATCCGAGGCCAGGAGTTCAAGACCAGTCTGGGCAGCACAGCAAGACCCTCTCTCTCAAAAAAAAATTAAAAATTAGCCAGGCATAGTAGTGTATGCCTGCAGTCCTAGCCACTCAAGAGTCTGATGTGGGAGGATTGCATGAGCCCGGGAGGTCAAGGCTGCAGTGAGCTGAGATCACACTACTATGCTCCAGTCTGGATGACAGAGACTCTGTCTCTTAAAAAAAAAGTTTGGGGGCAGGTTGTAAATCACAACACAATTTTAAATACATAGACCTCTTTGGACTAGGAAAAAATATACTTATAAAGAGGAAGTTTGAGTAATACAGTCTCTGTGACAGATTCAGCCACCTTGGGGTATCTGGCTACAGTGCAAGTATATGTAGGCTGGGAGCTTGTCACTAAAAAGGAAATATGGTGATCCTCTAGGGTGTTAGCTGAGGATGCTTTTTAAAAGAAAAACGCCTAAATAGAAACGAAGAATAATAAAAACGGTGAGCATGAGACTTTAGAAGTATCAGAGGGAAGATGATACTGAGAGAATGCCTGAGAAGTCTCATATTGATATGGTTTAGCTGTGTCCCCATCCAAATCTCATCTTGAATTGTAGCTCCCTTAATTCATATGTGTTGTGGGAAGGACCCCGCGGGAGATAATCGAATCGTGGGGGGTGGTTTCCCTCATACTCTTCTCATGGTAGTGAATAAGTCTCATAAGAGCTGATGGTTTTTTAAAGGGAAACCCCTTATGCTTGGCTCTCATCCTCTCTTGCTTACCACGATGTAAGATGTGCCTTTCGCCTCTGCCATGAGTGTGATGCTTCCCCAGCCGCATGGAACTGTGAGTCCATTAAATCTCTTTTTCTTTATAAATTACCCAGTCTCAGGTATGTGAAAACTGACAAATACACATATCTGTGGGATGGAAATACATTGTTTATGAGGGTGGAAATAGAAGGATATCAGAATTCACATGAACTAGGGAATGGCATAGACCATCAGCAAGGGTAGAGCTGCATCCAGGACCCATCTCTTGCAAATATCCAGGACCATATATTTTGTATCCCAACCTCATTTCTAGATGTAGTTTCTATTCTTGTGGATTCTTTTTTCCTATTGAGATCTCTTTACTTATTTTACATTTTATTTTTTTTAGTTATGTTTCTGTGTGTTTTTGTAATCTGGTTTAAGTTCATTTTAGAACAAGATATGGCACAAAAACTTGCTTAAATACTATATTTCTTTCTTTCTTTTTTTTTTTTTTAAATTCTCTGAGACAGAGTTTTGCTCTGTTGCCCAGGCTGGAGTGTAATGGTGCAATCTTGGCCCACTGCAACCTCTGCCTCCTAGGTTCAAGTGATTCTCATGCCTCAGCCTCCTAAGTAGCTGGGACTGCAGCCGTCTGTCACCAGTCCCGGCTAATTTTTGTATTTTTGGTAGAGACAGGGTTTCACCATGTTGGCCAGGCTGGTCTTGAATCCTGACCTAAGGGATCCACCTGCCTCGGACTCTCAAAGTGTTAGGACTACAGGTGTGAGCCACTGCGCCTGGCCTATATTTCTTTTAAATAAGGCTGTAGTTCTGTTTTCTCCAGAAATCTTTGTTTTTAACTCACAACTATGTTAGATTTCTAGGATAAGAATATGGAATTGTTAGTACCTTTTAAATGGTTGTGTTATGTTTACCCCTACCCTTTAAAGTAATTGTGTGTATATTTGGGAACAGGAGGAAAAAATGTAGCAATCTGAATTTTATTCTTTTTGGTATTTTGAAGTATTTCAACAAACCCAAATTGATATTTTCCAGATAATTTTCCTCATATGATTGAATTATTGTGTGTGTTTCTGTGATTTCAGCCTTATACAAGTAATGATAAATACTCAGACCCCTGTAACATCTGGTTACATTGTTTTAGCTTTGCATATTTTTTAATTTTGGGGGTTACATAGTAGGTATATATTTTTATGGAGTATACAATATATTTTGATACCAGCATGCAATATAATAATCACATCAGGGTAAATGGGGTATCCATCACCTCAAGCATCTATTTAACTTTGAGTTTTGATGGACTGATTGATACTATTTGTTGGGTACATACTCTATGCCAGTTACTATATGGACCACTAGGGCCAAGATGTTCAACTTGGTGGGCACAATCCCTTGCCTGTGGGGGCTCCAGTCTCCCAGAGAGTTTATAAATGAAGGGATGGATGATTACAGTATTCTAAGATAGGCCTCATTTGGAGCTTTTTAGGAGAGACACAAGGTACCTCACTCAACACTAGCCTCAGAGGGGGCGGTTCATGGAGGATTTGGTATCTTAAGTTGGAACCTGCATTCGGTATAGGAGTTGCTCAGGTTAGGCTGGGTGTGGTGGCTCATGCCTGTAATCCCAGCACTTTGGGAGGCTGAGGCAGGTGGATCACTTGAGGTCAACAGTTCGAGACCAGCCTGGTCAAAATGGTGAAACCCTGTCTCTACTAAAAATACAAAAATTAGCCAGGCATGGTGGCACATTCTTGTAATCCCAGCTGCTTGGGAGGCTGAGGCATGAGAATTGCTTGAACCTGGGAGGCAGAGGTTGCAGTGAGCTGAGATCGTGCCACTGTACTCCAGCCTGGGCGACAGAGCAAGATTCCATCTCAAAAAAAAAAAAAAAAAAAGGAAGTTGCTCAGGTTAGAGTTTATGGGATGGATGAGGGCATGGGAGGTCAGGCAGAAGGAATAATGGATGCGAACACCTGGAGGCAAGAGCGAACAATCCACCTTTAGGATTGAGGTCAACAGATTGTTTTGGCTGATCTGTGACACCAGGAAGGCTGTGGGCAGCCAAGGGTGGCAGGAGAGATGAACAGTGACCTGTTCTTGAATAGCTTTGTAAACGACAGAAGGTAAATGGGCTTTCTTCTAAGAGAGTGGGAACCATTGCATGGAAAGGTTTCAAGAACAGTGAAGATATCAGGTTTTTCTTTTAGAGGTAAACAGTGAAGACTGGATGGGACATGAGATTCCCAGGTCAGAGATGATGGTGGCAAAGTGTTGGAAGAGCCACTGATTTTAGTTTGAGAGAGGGAGGCTGATGTTCAGTGTGCTCTCATCTGCCTGTGGGCTCTTCATTGAAATATGAAACTCTCCTGTTGTAAGCCACCAACTATTGTTTATGCCAGGCCATTGCGGGTTGGAAGAGGATACCAGGAGACCTGTATAAGCCCTAAGATACCAATACCAGGTACCAGTTCTTATATATTTTGACCATCTCCTCAGAGGAGATGAGAGGTAATTTTAGTTTTGGTTATGTTTGATATCTGGGGCATAATCAAATAGAGCTACTTATTGGATGTGTGAATCTTTTTTTTTTTTTTTTCGAGATGGAGTCTCGCTGTGTCACCCAGGCTGGAGTGCAGTAGTGTGATCTCGGCTCACTGCAACCTCTGCCTCCTGGGTTCAAGGGAGTCTCCTGCCTCAGCCTCCCGTGTAGCTGCAATTACAGGCACCTGCCCCCACGCCCAGCTAATTTTTATACTTTTAGTGGAGATGGGTTCCACCATGTTGGCCAGGGTGGTCTTGAACTCCTGACCTTGGGTGATCCACCTGCCTTGGCCTCCCAAAGTGCTGGGATTACAGGCATGAGCCACCGCATCTGGCCTGGATATGTGAATATTGAACTGAGGATAATTATGTTCTGGATTGGACAGAATAGATTTGGGAGTAGGGGTGCCAGATAAAATGCAGGACATCCTCTTACAGTTGAATTTCAGATATGCAATGAATGGTCTTTGTTATAAGTGTGAACCATGCAATATTTGTATTTTCATTACTGAAATCTGACAGCTCTTATTTGGGAGTCATCAACGTTTAGAAGGTAACATTCTTTTGGGAACAGATTTGTTGAGCTATATAATTCACCTACTGTCAAATCACCCACTTAAAACATACAATTCAGTGGTTTTTAGTATATTCACAGGATTGTGCAACCATTGCCAAAATCAATTTTATTTATTTTGTTTATTTTGTTCTTTTCCTATCCCCACAATCAGTTTTAGAACCTTTTTATCACCTCAAAAATAAATCCTTCACCCCTAGCCATCATTCTTCAATCCTTGCATTCTCTCTCCCATCCCATCCCTAAACAACTGCCAGTCTACTTTCTGTCTCTATGTATTTGCCTATCCTGGAAATTTCATATAAATGGCATCATCTGTGGCTTTTTTGTAACTGACTTCTGTCACTTAGCTTAATGTTTTCAAGGCTCACCCAAATTATAGCATGTATCAGTACTTAATTCCTTTTTATGACTGAATAACATTGTATGGCTATATCACACTTCGTTCATCCTTTCATCCATGGATGGACATTTGGGTTGTTTCTGCCTATTGGCTGTTATGGTGATGCTACTAAGAACATTTGTGTATAAGTTATTGCATAGATGTATATTTTCACTTCTCCTGGGTATGTATCTAGGAGAGGAATTGCTAGGTTAAATGGTAGCTCTAAGTTTTTATGAAGACCTGTTAGACTATTTTTCTAAGTGGCTGAACCATTTTATATTCCCACCAGCAGTGTATAAGGGTTCTGATTTGTCTGTATCTTCACCAACATTTGTTTTTATCTGACTTTTTGATTCTTACTGTCCTGGTGGGTATGAAGTGGTACCTCATTGTGATTTTGATTTGCATTTTCTAGATGTCTAAATAATGTTAACCATCTTTTCATGTGCTTATTGGCTATTTGTATGTCTTCTTTGGAGAAATGTCCAATTGGATCCTTTGCCCATCATTTCTCCCATTGGATTCTTTTTAATTAATAAACTTTACTTTGTAGAACTGTTTTGGATTTACAGAAAAATTGAGCAGATGGTACAGATAGCTCCCATATCCCCCTTCTCCCCTTCCCAGTTTCTCTTATTATTTACCTCTTGCATTGGCATGGTACATTTGTCAATTAACGAACCAATGTTGGTTGATACATTATTATTAATTGAACTCCATTATCTACATTAAGGTTTATTCTTTGTGTTGTATACTTCCAGGTTTTGACAAATGCATTATGTCTTGCATCTATTATTACATTGTCATGAAGAATAGTTTTACGTTTCCAAATCTCCCATGCTTTACCTGTCCTCCCTCCCCAGCTCAGCAATCACTGATAGTTTTACTGTCTGAATAGTTTTGCCTTTTCCAGAAGGTCATATTGTTGGAATAATACAGTATGTAGCCTTTTCAGATTGGCTTCTTTTACCTAGTAATATGCATTTAGGGCTCCATCAAGTCTTCTCATGGCAACATAGCCCATTTCTTTACTTTGTATTGCTGAATAGGATTTAGTTGTAGATAAGCACCATAGTTTGTTTCTCCATTAACCTTTTGAAGGGCATGTTCATTGCTTCCAGTTTTGAGCAGTTACAGGTAAACTTTCTATAAACATTTGTGTGCAGGTTTTTGTGTAGATGTAAGTTTGCAACTCATTTGGATAAATATCACGGAGCACAGTTACTGGATCATGTGGTAAGACTAGCTTTTTAAGAAACTGCTGGCCAGGTGTGGTGGCTCATGCCTGTAATCCCAGCACTTTGGGAGGCCGAGGCGGGTGGATCACCAGGTCTGGAGTTCGAGACCATTCTGGCCAACATGGTGAAACCCTATCTCTACTAGAAATACAAAAAACTAGCCAGGTGTGGTGGCACGCGCCTGTAGTCCCAGCTACTTGAGAAGCTGAGGCAGAAGAATCGCTTGAATCCAGGAGGCGGAGGTTGCAGTGAGTTGAGATTGTGTCACTGCACTCCAGCCTGGGTGACAGAGTGAGACTCTGTTTCAAAAACATTTCAAAAACAAACAAACAAAAAGAAGCTGCCATATTGTCTTTTAAGGTGACTGTACCATGTTGAATTCCTACCAGCAATGAGTGAGAGTCCCTGTAGCTCTATAGCCTTGTCAGCGTTTGGTGTGGTCATTTTTTTTTTTTTTTTAATTTTAGCCATTCTAGTTGGTGTATAGTAGTATCTCATTATTGTGTCAATTTGCACATGGTAGGTTAAGCATATCTTCACACGTTTATTTTTTATCTATACATCTTCTTTGCTGAGGTGTCTATTCAGATTTTTTGCTTATTTTTATTTTTATATTCCTGTTGTTGAGCTTTAACAATTCTTTGTATTTTCTAGATGCAAGTCTTTTATCAGATATGTATTTGCAAATATTTTCTCCCAGTTTGTCTTTTCATTGTCTTAGTGGTGTCTCTCACAAAGCAGAAGTTCCACATTTTACTAAAGTCTAACTTACAGATTTTTTCTTTCATGGATTGTGCTTTTGGAATTATATCTAAAAACTCATTGTCAGGCCAGTCATGGTGACTCACGCCTGTAATCCCGGCACTTTGGGAGGCCGAGGCGGGCGGATCATGAGGTCAGGAGATTGAGACCATCTGGCTAACATGGTGAAACCCCGTCTCCACTAAAAACATAAAAAATTAGCCAGCAGTGGTGACGGGCGCCTGTAGTCCCAGCTACTCGGGAGGCTGAGGCAGGAGAATGGTCTGAACCCGAGAGGCAGAGCTTGCAGTGAGCTGGGATCGTGCCACTGCACTCCAGCCTGGGCGACAGAGCGAGACTCCGTCTCAAAAAAAAAAAAAAACAAAAAACCAACCAAACAAAAAAACCCAAAAAAACTCATTGTCAAACTCAAGGTCACTTAGATATTCTTGTGTTATCTCCTAGAAGTTTTACAGTTTTGCGTTTACATTTAGCTCTATTGTCCACCTTGAGTTCTATGTCTAGATTAAAATGTCTGCATATGAATATCCAATTGTTTTAGCATCAATTGTTGAAAAGACCATTCTTTTTCTATTGAATTGCCTTTGATCCTTTGTCAAAGATTAGCTTCTATATCTGTGGGTCTATTTTTGGGTAATTGTGTTCCATTATCTATTTGTTTATACTTTCATCAACACATGCTGCCTTGATTACCTTAGCTTTATAGTTAGTTTTGAAGTAGGGTAGCGTCAGCCCTCAGACTTTGTTCTTCTTTGATACTGTGTTGACTATTCTGAATCTTTTGCCTTGTCATATAAACTTTATAATCAGTTTGTCATATCCACAAAATAATCTGCTGGGATTTTGATTGGGACTGTGTATTCTATGGCTCCATTTGTGAAGAGATGACATCTTAGTAATATTGTGTATTCCTGACCATGAACATGGAATATTCCTCAATTTATTGAGATCTTGTTTGATTTCTTTTACCAGAGTTTGTGTTTTCCTTATTTAGATTCTCTGCACACTATATTTTGTTAGATTTATACCTAAATGTTTTATTATTTTTGGTGCTATGGCTTTGGAGTGGTATTATATTTTTAATTTCAAGTTTCAGCTGTTCAGCACTGGTATACAGGAAAGCAATTGATTTTTGGATGTTAAGCTTCTGTCTTGCATCCTTGCTATAATCGTTTGCTTGTGGCCAAGGTCTTTTGCTGTTGTTGATTCTTTGGGATTTTCTCATCTGTAAACAAAGACAGTTTTGTTTATTTGTTCTCAATCTGTATATATCTTTTTTTGTCTTATAGCATTAGCTAGGAATTCTCATATAGTGTTGAATAGCTGTGGTGAAAACAGACATCTTTTCTTTATACTGATCTTAGGGAAAATTAAGTATGATTTTAGCTGTAGGTATTTTATACATGTTCTTCATCAAGTTGAGAAAGTTCTTTCTATTTCCAGTTTGCTCAGAGTTTTTATTGTGAATGGGTACTGATTTTTTTTTTTTTAAAGGCAGAGTCTTACTTTGTCACCCAGGCTGCCTCTGGGGTTCAAGCGATTCTCGTGCCTCAGCTTCTCAAGTAGCTGGGATTACAGGTGTGCGTCACTACGCCTGGCTAATTTTTGTATTTTTAGTAGAGATAAGGTTTCATCATGTTGGTCAGGCTGGTCTTGAACTCCTGATCTCAAGTGATCCACCTGCCTTGGCTTCCCAAAGTGCTGGGATTATAGGCGTGAACCACTGCACCCAGCCTTAAAAATATTTTTGCTTCTGTTGATATGATCATATGATTTTCTTGTTTAGCATATTGATGTGATAGATTACATTAATTTACTTATGAATGTTTAACTAGATTTTGCAGACCTGGAATGAGTCTTATTTGGTCGTGGTATTGGTTGAGGATTCCTTATCCAAAAGGCTTGTGATCTGAAAGAAGTGTTTTAGATTTTAGATTGTTTTGAATTTTGGGACATTTGCAGATTTTTAACTAGTTAAGCATCCCTGATTTGAAAGTCCAGAATCTCAAAGTGCTCCAGTGAGCATTTCTTTGAGCATCATGTCCTTGTCAGCACTCAAAAAGTATCAGATTTTGGAGCATTTCAGATTTCAGAGCATTTTGGATTTCAGGTTTTTGGATTTGGGATGCTCAATCTGTATATAATTAATTTGATCTATTGCTGGGTTCAACTTATTAATATTTTGTTGAGTTTTTTTGCATCTCTGTTTGTAAGTACGGTTAGGCTGTAATTCTCCTTCCTTGTCATGTCTTTATCTGGTTTTGATAATAAGATAATGCTGGCCTCGTAGAATGAGGTAGGAAGTATACTCTGCTTGCTATTTTCCTTTTCTTTCTGGAAGAGATTGCAGAGAATTGGTATAATTTCTCCCTTAAGTGTTTTGTAGAATTCACCAGTGAAGCCATCTGGACCTGGTGCTTGCTGTTTTGTAAGTTAACTAGTTATTGATTCAATTTATTTCATAAATATAGGCTTATTCAGATTTGTGTTTCTCCTTTTGTGAGATTTTGTCACTCTTGTCTTTCAAGGAATGGTGTATATCATCTAACTTATCAAATTTGAGGGCATAGAATTGTTCATCACAATTCTTTATTGTCCTTTTATTGTCCTTGGCATCAGTACTGTTGACTCCTCTTTCATTTCTGATATTCGTAATTTGTATCTTATCTCTTTTTTCCCTGGCTATAGATTTATCAATTTTATTAATCATTTAAAAGAACTTGCTTTTGATTTTGTTGATTTTTCTCTGTTTTTTTTTGTTCCAGTTTCATTAATTTTTGCTCTTATTGTCTGATTTCTTTTCTTCTACTTGCTCTTCTTTTTCTGGTTTCCAAAGGTTGGAAAGTTAGATTATCAATTTTAGATTTTTCTTTCTTTTGAATGTATTCTTTCAGTGGTATAAATTCTAACCACTGCTTTTGCAGCATCTCACAAGTTTTAGTAAGTTGTATTTTCATTTCCACTTAATTTAAAATATTCTTGAGAATTCTTCTTTGACCCATGTGTTATTTAAAATGTTGTCCAATTTCCAAATATTTAGAGATTTTCCTGCTGTCTTTCTGTTACTGATTTCTAGTTTAATTCCATGTGGTCTGAAAGCACATGCTGTATGGTTTTTGTTCGTTTAGATTTAAGTTGTGTTTAATGGCCCAGGATGTGGTCTATCTTGCTGAATGGTCTATGTGAGCTTGAGAAGAATGTGTATACTGCCATAATTGGATAAAGTATTCCATAAATGTCAGTTAGATTTGGTTGGTAGATTGTGCTGCTCAGTTCAACTATATCCTTACAGATTTTTTTTTTTGCCTGCCGGATCTGTCAATTACTGACTGATAGCGGGTGTTGAAGTTCCAAGTATAATAGTGACTTCATGCATTTCTCTGTAGTTTTATCAGTTTTGCTTTATGTCTTTTGATGCTTTCTTTTTAGGTGCATACACATTTAGGATTGTTATGTCTTCTTGGGGAATTGATGCCCTTTTCATTATGTAATACCTTTATCTCTGATAATTTTTTCTAGTTCTGCCAATTTGCCATGTTGGGAATTGACATATGTACTCCATCTTTTTTGGGTTAATGTTAGTGTATCTTTCTCTACTTTTTTCTTTTCGTGTGTCTGTATCTTTATGTTCAATGTGAGTTTTTTATAGACAACATATAGTTGGGAGTTGGGTCTTTCTTTTTATCCATTCTGACAGTCTCTGTTTTTTAATTGGTATATTTAGATCATTCACATTTGAAGTGTCTGTTGATATAGTTGGTTAATATTTACCATATTTACAACTGATTTCTGTTCACTGCACTTGTTAGTTTCTAAGATTTTAATTATCCTGTCTTTTCCTTCCTTCTCTGCTTTTAGTTGACCATTTTATATTATTCCATTTACTCTCTTCTTTTATCAAATCAATTATACTTAATTTTTTTTTTCTATGTGTGCTTGCCCTACAGTTAGCAACACACATTTACAACAAATACAGGTTTTTTTTTTTTTTTTTTTTTTTTTTTTTGAGACAGGGTCTTGCTCTGTCTCCCTGGCTGGTGTGCAGTGGTGTTATCTTGGCTCATTGCAGCCCTGATTTCCCAGGCTGAAGTATTTCTCCCACTTCTCAACCTCCCAAGTAGCTGGAAGTACAGGCGTGCGCCACCATGCCCAGCTAACTTTTTTTTTGTATTTTTTTGTAGAGACAGGGTTTTGCTGTGTTGCTTAGGCTGGTCTCAAACTCCTGGGCTCAAGTGATCCTCCCGCCTTAGCCTCCCAAAGTGCTGGGATTACAGGCATAAGCCACCATGCCTGACCTAGGTCTATTTTCAGATAACACTGTCATTTCACAGGTAGTACAGGTACCTTATAACAGAGTATTCTCAATTCCCTTTTTCCTATCTCTTATAACATTTCTGTCATTCATTTTACTTATCTCTATGCTAATGTAATCCCCCAGTACTTTGCTAATATTATTACTCTGAACAGTTATCTATTAGATCAATTAAGAATAAAACAAATAAAATATTTTGCTTTATATTTATTTATTTTTTCTCTGATGTCCTTCCTTTTTTTTGTGTAGATCCGAGGGTCTGACCTACATGATTTTCTTTCTCTCTGACAAACTTCCTTTTTAACACTTCTTGCAAGGCAGGTCTACTGGTTGCAAATTCCTTGAGTTTTTGTTTGTCTGAAAAAGTTTTTATTTCTCCTTCACTTTTGAAGTGTAATTCCATTAGATACGGAAGTCCAGACTGGCATTTTTTTTTTCCGTCAACACTTAAAATATTTCAGTCCACTCTCTTTTTGCTTGCGTGGTTTCTGATGAGAAGCCTGAAGTAATTCTTATCCTTGTCCTCTAGAGGTAAAGTATTTTTTCCCTCAAGCTTCTTTCAAGATGTTTGCTCTCTAGCAGTAGTCTTCAATGGGCTTTACTTCTGAACTTGAAAACTTTACAAATTCAACTAAGGTAAACTTTGCTTACTATTTTGGTCCTTTTCACTCAAAGACATGGAAGCCTTATCAGAGGCCTCCATATTCCTCAGTAGATGATCTCATGATAATGTTATGATTAATCTTTTTTCTTTTCCCCTACAAATGGAAAAGTCCTTTGTCTATTAGCCTATTATAAGCACAGGAGTACATATCATGCGACTTGGAAGTGCCATGATAACCTCTTAATTGCCTACCCCTTTACCTTAATAAAGATGAACACTTTTTTCAGGTAAGATAAATTCCTAGTTTTATTAGCTATAATTTAAAAGGAATGCCCACTATTTAATATCAAGAGTAATTTTTAATTCAAAATATACAATTTATCTTCTTAAAAATGCCCTGAAGTCTTGTTTTTAATGAAACCTATGAAGTCGCGGGCATATTAGTCACCTAGGAGAAGTGAAGTATGAGAGATGACACTTGGTGGGAGTTTATTTTGAATCTCCATATTAATATGAATTCGTAAAGTGAAATTAATGCTCATGAATTTAGGTTGAATTCTCAAAGGGAAAAATCTTCTTAATCTTGAGTCTAAATAAATCCTGAACAGAGGCTCATAGAGCAACCTGTGAACAAGAATATACTTTTGAAGTTTTATTTCTCCAACCTGGAAATTTCAGAAAGTGAAAAACCAGTTTGAAGGTAATTCTTGATCTTCATCTTTCAATAACTCAGATTTTCTTACTAAAATTAGCACTATGAGATTTGCATAGAAAGTAGTTATTTCCAGGATAATCGATCCAGTCAAGGTATTTTAAAAAGAGGGATAATTTTATTGAGGAATGGTTTTATAAACTCTTTTTGGTTCAAGCACTTTTAAGTTCCTCACCTTTTAATCTAGAAGCAACAAAAAGCATCATACTTGCGGGCAAAAGGAGATATTTACATATTAGTGAATCAGATTCAAGGCTGAAGAACTATTAATATTTTATAAGATACTCATGGAATAGGCCCTTTTAGAAACAGTGCTGTTTGGGGAAGGGAGAGGTGGTATTAAGTTTAGAGAGTAAACCCATTGGGGAGGTTACGTTACTTGCCTCTGACATATCATTTGCTTTGGGTGGGAGGAAAAACAAAAAGACAGCCAGACATTGCGAATGATCCATGGCCACCTGGTCTGACAGAGCGGAGACTTGGGTAGCAGCAGCTGGTAACGCTCCTTGGCCAATCAAAGGTAATTGTCAGGCCAGCTCTGTTGGAAAAGCCAGATGAAGTTATTTCTTACGTTATAGTTTACATTTTTTCAGGCACAGAAACATGTAAAGTCTGCTGAAGAATTCCTGAGACCCTGAGTAAATTGTTGCCTTTGTAATTCATACTCTAAAAATGGTGGCCATATGTTGCCCTTTTCAGAGATTTCCTTGAGAGTAAGGATGAGAAATTGGGAGCCATATTTGTGAATATTTAGTGCGACTGTGCCCTCCCGCGTGGTCTACATTTATGTAATGTAACAGTCAAGTTATTGTGAGATTTACATGGTGATTCAAATATACTTAGTTTCAGAACAACCGTCTTATATTTATTCATAATTTCGTAATAGGAAGTCTATATGCTCTACCAGAATGAATGTGGGGAGTTTCTTACCTAGAAATCTCTGACTTAAGAACAGTTCATTCATTAGAATGTATGGAATCAGGAAATTTGTAACACTTATTTCCCTTTTTGGGCAATTCCTGCTGTTCTCTAATTCCAGAGGATAGGAATTCCAGTAGGGAAACATCTAGCTTCTCTAGGTATTATACCTAACAGTGGAGTCTCTGGGCTACAGAGATGAGCGTTTCCCACTGCAGTAGGTCTTAACCAAATTGCTCTACTAAGTGAATTGACTGGCTCAGTGAAATGTATATTTACAATTCTGGGACCTTGGGTCATCTCCCTTTATCACCCGCATTTCTGGATTGTGCTATTTTTGGATATCTGGCTTTAATGCCATGACAGGTGGCACTTCACGTCCTATTGCCACAAAGGTGTTGGGCAGTGCAGTGTGGTCCTGACATTCCCAGTTGGTTCTCAAAGTCCATTTCCCACAGCAAATTGTAGAACCATTGGCAGCAAATAAACCTCCAATGTTTGTTTTCATCTATAGTAAAATGATTTTAAAACGTCACAGTTCTTGCCATCTACAACTTCCTTGGAGGCTATCCTTGTTTTATTTTATTTAAAGTAAATTATTTTTAAAGTATAGAACTGAATTATAATAATTTCAAAATAGGCTGTTTTCTCTCTCTCTCTCTTTCTTTCTCTTTTTTTTTTTTCTGAGATGGAGTCTTGCTCTGTCACCCAGGCTGGAGTGCAGTGGTGCGATCTCAGCCCACTGCAACCTCCACCTCCTGGGTTCAAGCGATTCTCCTGCCTCAGCCTCCTGAGTAGCTGGGACTACAGGCGCCTGCCACCATGGCCAGCTAATTTTTGTATTTTTAGTAGAGACAGGGCTTCACCATTTTGGCCAGGCTGGTCTCGAACTTTTGGCCTAAGTGATCCACCTGCCTTAGCCTCCCAGAGTGCTGAGATTATAGGCGTGAGTCACCACTCCCGGCCAATACTGTATGCTTCTGATGGAAGTCAGCATGAAAGTGACTATCAGAGCTTTGGAAATGACAGGACGAATAACTCAAATTGAACAAGGGAGTGCTGTGGGATCTGCTGTGTCAAGGCTGTGTGGAGGCTAGTTCACACTTCTTGTGGTTGTGTAAAAAGGTATACAGGAATACACATTCTGCATAAGGAAAACTTAGTGTCAGCATGGAATTTCACATGATAGATTTAAACATGTTTTTGTGGGCTGGCTTGGAGGCCTATTCACCACCACATTTAATTATATTTCTAGAGCATGTGTTTGAAGATCTAAGAAAAAAATAAGAATTACGAGCACACTTTTTGTGTAAACTCTGCTTGATTTGGAGTGGAGGGACTGGATAATATTCACTGAAGTGTAGTTTGGAACTTTAGGCCTTTGGTTAATAATCATTAAATGATTGGATGTGTGAGTGTAATAATGTATGGCTGAAGGAGACAGGTAATTTCTAGAGAGAGGACAACGACTTCCATGATTCCTTCACATCAAATTGGGACCTTTTGCTGTCTGCATCCTGTTTTCTTTTGAGTCTAGTGATCATTTGCTTCTCATTGAGTCTGTCTATTCACCCTTTTGTGTTGTCTCAGTTATGGACAGTCAGGTATATTGAGTACTTTTCTGTGCTTCCAGAAACTCATGTCCCACCCTTTTGCAAAGAGGCAACTGTAGTCAGAATTCAGAGCTGGCATTGTGAGCCACATTGCTTGGACTCAGGTTCTGGCTGTGCCAAGAATAAGATAATAACTTATATTATTATCATAATAATGTAACAATATACAATTATATTTATCTTAATATATCATATTATACTATATTATATCATATAACAACATAATAATTTATAACTTATTTTCATCATAATAATTACATTATTAAAAAATATATAATATAGGCTGGTCTCGAACTCCTGACCTTAAGTGATCCACCTGCCTCAGCCTCCCAAAGTGCTGGGATTACAGGCATAAACCACTGTACCTGGCCAATGATATATTTATGATTATAAATACTATATATGATATAATAATTACATATTAATATATCAATTAATAAATAATATATTAAGATAAATATATTATATTATTACATTATGATATATAACAATATAATAACTTATAATAATTTGAAAGAACTTATTTTATATTACATTATAAAAAATCATAAAAATCATAATATATTAAGTTAAAATAAATAGATATGTTTACCTTAATATATTAATATGTAATATTAATATATATTAAGATAATATCTATATATAAATAATATATTAATGATATATATTAATTATATTACTATATATTAGGATAATATCTTTTCATTTTGGAGACAGAGTCTCACTCTATCACCCAGGCTGGAGTGCAGTGGCATGATCTCTGCTTACTGCAACCTCTGCCTCCCAGGTTCAAGTGATTCTTACGTGTCAGCCTACCGAGTAGCTGGGATTACAGATGCCCCTACAACGCCCAGATAATTTCTGTATTTTTAGTAGAGACAGAGTTTCACCATGTTGGCCAGCCTGGTCTCAAACTCCTGACCTCAAGTGATCTGCCCACCTCGGCCTCTCAAAGTGCTGGAATTACAGGCATGAGCCACCATGCCTGATCAAGATAGTATCTTAATATATTAATATTGTAATATATTAATAATATCTTGTGATATATATCATAATAATATATTAAGATAAAGATACATTTAATATGTAAAGATATATATTTTAATGTATAAATATATTTTTATATGTAAGATATATATCTTAACATGATGGAATATATCTAATATGTATTTTATAATAATATGTTAAGATAAAGGTATATTTAACATATAAAGATATATATATTTTGATATATAAAGACATAGATCTTAATATATACTAAGATAATATATCTTTATATGTAAGATATATATCTTAATATATTGTCTTTATATATAAATATCTTCTTATTTTACTTCACAGTGCCTCACTTTCCTTATATATTAGTGTAAAATGACGATAATAATAGTACCTACTTTGTGTGGTTGTTATAAGGATCAAAAGAATTGATAGATGAAATGTGCTTTAAATATTGTCTGGAACATATTAAGTCACCATCATTATCATCATCCTCATCCTCAATTTCTTTCTTTCTGTTAGCTGTGTTCCATGCTATACGCCAGGATTTGCACCATTTTCAGTATCCCTTTGGCTACATTGCTGCTTTTTCAGGATGATAGTTTCTTGTCTTAACAAACTTGTTTTTTTTTGAGATAGATTCTTGCTCTGTTATCCAGCCTGGAGTGCTGTGGAGCGATTGATTATAGGCCACTGCAGCCTCAACCTTTTGGGCTCAATGATCCTCCCTTCTCAGCTTTCCAAGTAGCTAGGACTACAAGTGCACAATACTGTGCCCAGCTAATTCTTTATTTTTTGCTGAGATGAGGTCTTGCTATGTTGCCCAAGCTGCTCCTGAACTCCTGGGCTCAGCAGCCCTCCTGCCTCAGCTTCCCAAAGTGTTGGGATTACAGCCATGAGCCACCACACCTGGCCTCTTAATAAACTTTTCTTCTGGCTTTTTTATTTCTTTGCTCTCACTCTTTTAAAATTACAGTGAAAATTAATAGTCTGTGATTAGAAATCTTTAAAAAGTTCTTGAGTTGGCTAAGTGTGTTTTCTAACTTTTCTTTCCCTTAAAATGTTATGAAATATTTTGGGCATTAAAAATGAGAACAATATACTGAACATCCATGTGTTCCAACACACAGCTTAAGAGAGAAAATATTGTAGATCCAGTTGAAGTCTGAACATCCCTCCTGTTCCCATTCTTTTCCTTTTCCTGCCAGTGATAACCTTCATCTTGAGTTTGTATTCACAATGTGAGATATTATTTCGTCTGTTTTAAAACTCTTATAAATAGAATCATATTTACATGACACATTCCTCTTTCCTCAACTTGCTCTTTTTTTGTTTGTTTGTTTGAGATGGCGTTTCGCTCTTGTTGCCCAGGCTGGAATGCAATGGCGTGATCTTGGCTCACCGTAACCTCCACCTCCCAGGTTCAAGCGATTCTCTTGCCTCAGCCTCCTGAATAGCTGGGATTATAGGCATGCGCCATCACGCCCGGCTGATTTTTGTATTTTTAGTAGAGATGGGGTTTCTCCATGTTGGTCAGGATGGTCTCGAACTCCTGACCTCAGGTGATCCACCCGCCTTGGCCTCCCAAAGTGGTGGGATTACAGGCGTGAGCCACTGCACCCGGCTCAATTTGCTCTTTTGCTTAACATTTTGTTAATGAAATTTATTGTATTTATGGTGATATAAATAGGTCTAATTCATTTGTTTACATTGCTATCTATGGCATTATGTGACTAGATAACAAATCATCTATTCTCATGTTGATGAATATTTGTATTGAAAGTTGGCTTGTGAGTACAAGAGTCATATGTCTGGAAATCATCTTTATCTCCATGTCACTATTGGGAACAGTATAGGAGATAACTTTTGTGTGGATTCCCCTTGTACACACATGCAGTCCCTTCTGTAAGTAACGTACCTAAGAATGGAGTTGCTGGACCATAAATATATACATCTTACACTTTAGTAGATATTGCCAAATTACTTTTCTAACGGATTGTATCATATTATAATCCAGGAGTTCCAATTACTTCACATTTATTTCAGCATTTTGAATTGTTAGACTTTAATTTTTGCCAACTTCCAATCCAGACCATTAATTAAAATACTTACCAACAGGATCAATTTGAAATACCATAATATCTCCTTGTTTTAGTTTATATTTATTTGAATATTAGGGGTTGAACATATGTTTGAGTCATTCCAGTTTCCTTTTTATATCCTTTGCTATTTTTTTTGCTTTGGTTATTTGTCTTTTTCTAGTTGATTCGTAGGAATTATTTTGTACATTCTGATGCTGGATCTTTGTTTATATGTATTGTAAATTATCTCCTGGTCTGGGCTCACTCCACTCTTTCCGATAATTTATCATAAGTGTTAAAACATACATCCATGCAGAAAGTCTTCTCTCTGTCTTAAATGCAGAAGCAAAGGCATCTTCACAGACTCACCATTTAACACAAAATCCTTATTAGCTCACTGGGTCTTACTGAAAGCATGTATGAGTCGGAGGTTTATGTAGCTCCTGGCCAAGTCTGAGGTCTGGTTTATTTTTATGTGCTGGCTCTAGCGGGGTCCTCTGGGACTGTTTGAACTGATCTAATATTCTCATTTGGTTGTAAGCATCTATAGAATGTATTTTTAGCACCTAGTCTAATTATGGGTATAGTTGTTCATTGAGTAAAGTTCTTTTCAGGCAGAATCTGTGTATAGTGTTTTTTTTGTTTGTTTATTCTGCGTTACCTCAAAGCGTAGTAGGTGTTCAAGGGAGATTGCCTGATTAAAGGAAACTGAATAACTTGCCCTTCCAGGCTCTGTCTTGCCCAGTTTGTTTTCCATTCATTTCACAAATACTTGAGTGCCCATCGTGGGGCACGATAATAGATGCTCACATCTCATTGGATTCATTTATTGAAGTATTATGGTTATTCACAAATAATTGATGAATGTAGTTTGATTTTTCAGTCAGCTCAAGTTGTGGCATAAGTTGCATCATCTTTATTACAGACAGATGATAGTTAATAAAGAAAGATATTTTTATCCACCTGGTTTAAAATGAAGTTTATTGTTGATATTTCTGCATGTCAATAAAATAGGAATTAGGAATGTTCTATGATGATCACGGTTTAACAATAATAGACTATCAAAGGAAATTACTGAATTAGATTGGTTTTATCATTCTTTCCATTTTCACGTAAAATACTTTAAATCTTTAACATTTTAAAATTGAGTATTTTTAAATGTTTCAAAATGTTATTTAAAATACTTTATTATAATTCTATAAGACATTAATGTAAATCTAATTTATTATAAAGAACCTAAAAGTAAAATTAATAAGCTTCTGTATATGTAAAATTAGTTGCAGGTGATCCATTCTGAATCAAAAAATTATTTTATATTTATCTACCCACCCATGGGTCCATCCATTCATCCATCCATCCATCCGTATATCCTGCAGTAGTGCTGTTTACAGGTACATGTAAGATTGCACTTCTCCACCTCTTGATGTTAGTTATGGCCACATGACTTGTTTAGTCAATAGAATGTGAGTGGGAGTGAAGTGTGTCACCGCTGGGCAGAAGCCTTTAGCAGTCAGTGCACTCTGTCTCTTCTTCCTACCCTCCAGCCCCCATTGCTGACTGCTGATGTTCCAGGTGGTGGGAGTTCTCCCCACCTGGGTCTGAGCACGTGGGCTTGTGGAGCAGAGTTCACAGAGGAAATGCAGTAGACAGAGAGTGTCTGGGGGAATATAAACTTTCGTTGTTATATGCTGCTAAGGTTTAGGCATTGCTTATTACCACAATATTATTTATAACTTAATTTTAACAAGTATTTTCACTATATTACATTTCAAATATATTTTTCAAATATGGCTTAGTGATGTAGAAATTAAAATAAATAGTTATTAACATTGCATGAGGCTAATTACTTTTAGGTAGTTGCTATTGATCTAACAGTTGCGCTGTAGAAAGTTCATATTCATTTTCTTGTCAAAACTTGGTAATTTTTACATTTTCTTCTTTGATAGACATGCATCTCCCCTCTGCAACCACTGTGGCAAGGCTTGAGAAAGGGTGATATGTCTTGTAAGATGTCCCTGTTTTACTTGATTATTCCAGTTTAATATTAATATATTAACCCAGGAGTGTGCTATCCTGGATACTTTTGATTTGTGTTTCCTTTCATCACTAATAAAACTAGAAGACAAATGTATCTACATTGTTCTTAGAGTCCCCTGTTTCATTACTACATTTCACAATTATTTTTGCTTAGCAAGCGAGGGCTATCAATATCAAAGTATAATACACCCCCTCCCTTCTGATAAAAAACTTTCCTATTTTTTTTGAAAGGCTTGAGTGTATCAAATGGTGTATTTTCATATGCAATTAGTGTTTTAATTGTACCTTTATTTTCTTTCTCACTTTGGAAGCATAGCATCTAGAATTGCTTTCTTCCTCATTGTTTTCATTTCTGTGTTCAGTTAAAAGCTAAATGAAAGGATGTTAACTGCCAACTTTAAAAATACATTTTATTTGTGAATTTCATTTGTTTAAATTGGAATGTTATAAATTATACAGATGGTAAAAATTTGATTTTCATTACTTGACAAAGTTGGCATGTATCTTTGTCTTTTAATTTGAATAAATATTTGGCTAGCCACTATTGTGTGCCTAGTAAATTTAGGTAGTGTTTCAAGCCACTTTTTAATATTATGTGCCTCCACTAGGTGGTGCTCATTCCTTCGGGACATCTGAGACCTAGCTTAAAGAATTTAGTTCTGTCACTGATGGGTTAAAGATAAAAGAAGCAAATTCAGGCCAAAGCAGTACGAAAAACTTGTGAAATTTTTTTATTTCATGTAATGAGTTGTGAAACTCTGTAGTAGAGGTATTTATTATTATTAATGTATGATATTTCCAAGAAATCAGTAATTTTATTATATGGCTCATTTATATAAAATGTATTTAAATAGTTATTATAGATTGTGTTAGATGATGGGGATGCAATGGTGAAAAACAGACACGGTGGTCTTAAACCATATGACTCTTGGAATCAACACTCAAGTAATCACTTGAGTAAGTGTGTAATTATTACTGAGATAGGGACAGGTTTTTGGTGCTTTGAGTGTATAAGGGGCAGAGAAGGGGGTATTTTCCAAGATTCTGGGAAGTTTTATTGAAGAACTGATCACTGATCTAGTTAAATAAGATCTGAAAGTTGCTGAAGAATTAACCAGTGTGAGTGTGTTGGAGGAGAAATTTCACAGTGATGAGGTTAGTGTGGGGTTGCAAGGAGTTCTTTATCTGCACCCCAGTCGTTGTAATGGTTGGATCCAATGGACCTTTTCAGTCCTGGAGACATCTGTTCTTCAGCTTTAATTTCTTGATAATTTCCTTCCCTCAGCTCTTCTCCTCTTCCATCTTTCTAGAAGTTCTTTTAGGTGAATATTGGCCTTTCTGGATTTTACCTTTGCTTTTAAAGAGATTTCTTCAACTTTTACTACATTTCTCTTTAAAATCTTAAAAATTCGCTGCTGCTATTTTAATTCCAGTACATTTGAGAAGAATGTCTCTGTTTCTTTTTTGTAACATCTTAGTCTCATTCCATGGATACACTATAGAATCTTTCTGAGGATAATTAAACAAAACAAAAGCCCCCTTTTTGTTGATTCTGTGTTCCATGAACTTTTCAAAGTTCTAAGTACCTTGTTTCTCTCTTCCAGCAACCCTTTAGATAGATATTAATCTTTACCCCATTGTAAAGATTAGAAGAATGAGGTACCACTTTGATTACACAGCCAGTTAGGTGGTAGAGCTGGTCTTGAACCCAGGTGGTCTGACTCAAGTTCTACATTTTTACTATCATGCTACTCTGCTTGTTGATGAGTATTCAGTAGAATGGTTTCGGTTTCATTTTCAATTCTCCTCATTTTGTTCACAATTTTTCTTTACTCTGGGACTTTTTTTTTCCTGTTTTGCCTGCTTGGTGTTTATCCTGTGGGGGCTTTCCTCAAATGTCTGCTTATTCTTGGTTGTCTGCCTGTGTTTAATAGTGAGTTGTTAAAAGAGCTGATTGGAAGATCTATGTGTTGGAGCAGGGCCTGGTGACAGGTGGAATCTCTGTAGAACAGTGGTTTTCGACTGAGTTGGATTCCTTCTCGCCTTTCCTGGTCATTTGGCAACATCTGGAGGCATCTTTGATGGTGATGACTTGAGGAGGGGGTACTGCTGGCATCTAGGAGAACAGCTCAGGGATGCTGCTGAACATCCTGCGATAGACAGGAAAGCCCCTCACAACAAAGAACTATTCAGCCTAAAATGTCAGTAGTGCCAGAACTTAAAAACTCTGCTTCAGAGGGAAAGGATGAAAAATCAGCTACTGTTGGTTACAGGAGGAGAGATTGCAAATCCCAGAATAAAGAGCCATTTTTCTCCATGGCTCTTCAGTTTTTTCATCAGAGAGACCTGGAATCTGCTGCCTGGGCCTTAGGTGGCTGGCTGCTTGACATTCTGGATCAGCCAAGGGAAAGGAGCCCCTCACAGTATTTAGGGTTTCAGCACCTGCATGCCTGGCATCCCTGATCCGCCAGCATGACAGTGTTCCCTGGGTCAAATTGTCTCTTTTAAACAATTCCCCACTTTGTCTGGTTCTATGCGGTGGCTTCCTTTTTCTAAAAATTTTTGAACTCTCTAGTCTTCTGTCTCATTTCTGTTATTTTTAATTTGAAAAATCATCTTAGTGCAACTTAGGATAGAGAAGAGATCCGTATCTTTAATCACTAAACTTTGTAATCATAATTTTTAGTGGCATTATTGTAATCCATCAACCGCTTATGCTATGGTTTATTTAATCATTTTCTTATCATTGTACAGAACAATTTTTCCTTATCAATTCTTAGGTTATTTTGAAATACAGCTTATATAGGAACAATTAATCTACGAATTTTCACAATGTTGTTTTGGTGCCCTTGCACCCTCCAAAAGTGAATCAGTAAGAACTCTTTTTTTTTTTTTTGAAATGGAGTCTCACTGCGTTGCCCAGGCTGGAGTGCAGTGGCGTGATCTTGGCTCACCACAACCTCTGCCTCCTTGTTTCAAGTGATTCTCCTGCCTCAGCCGCGCCACCATGCCTGGCTAATTTTTTTTTTTTTTTTTTTTTTTTGCATTTTTAGTAGAGTTGGGGTTTCACTATGTTGGCCAGGCTGGTCTCGAACTCATGACCTCATGATCTGCCTGCTTGGCCTCCCAAAGTGCTGGGATTACAGGCGTGAGCCACTGCGCCCGGCCAGAACTCTTTTTACTATCGGTATGAATACAAAGATTTTTGTATATTTGATGAGTTTTAGTCCACTGCAATTATTCTTGTTTTTTTCTTTTCTTTCTTTTTTTTTTTTAAATTATACTTTAAGTTCTAGGGTACATGTGCACAATGTGCAGGTTTGTTACGTATGTATACATGTGCCATGTTGGTGTGCTGCACCCATTAACTCATCATTTACATTAGATATATCTCCTAATGCTATCCCTCCCCCACCCCCCCACCCCACGACAGGCTCCGCTGTGTGATGTTCCCCGTCCTGTGTCCAAGTGTTCTCATTGTTCAATTCCCACCTATGAGTGAGAACATGTGGTGTTTGGTTTTCTATCCTTGCGAAAGTTTGCTCAGAATGATGGTTTCTTTTTTTTTAGACAGAGTCTTGCTCTGTTGCTCAGGCTGGAGTGCAGTTGCACAATCTCAGCTCACTGCAACCTTTGCCTCCTGAGTTCCAGCAATTCTCCTGCCTCAGCCTCCCTAGTAGCTGGGATTACAGGCATGTGCCATGACACCTGGCTAATTTTTTATTTTTATTTTTAATAGAGATGGGTTTCACCATGTTGGTCAGGCTGGTCTCAAACTCCTGGCCTTGTGATCCACCCACCTCAGCCTCCCAAAGTGCTGGGGATACAGGCGTGAGCCACCATGCCCAGCCAGTGCAATTATTATTCTTTTTGATGCTAAAATGACCCCAGCTTTGGCCATTGGGAGTGCCTTCAAGTTGACTCCTGTGTTTTGTTTTGTTTTGTTTTGTTTTGTTTTGTTTTTGACCCAACTGCACTGGGCTTTGATTGCTTCTTTGCTTTTTGGCCTGACAGGGTCTCTCAGGCTTATTTTACACATTTCCTGCCCCTGTATATTTTAAGGTAGATTTCTAGAATTGAGAATTGCAGTGATGCAATCTCAGCTCACTGCACCCTCTGCCCCCTGGGTTCAAGTGATTCTCAATTCTAGAATCTCTTGTTAAATACTGTATTGGTTCCTAACAGTGACCAATAGGAATTCCTTTACCCTGCTCTTCCCAACTTCTAATTTAAACTACTATATACTTTTTTAAAACTCCCAATTAAAGGTAATCAATGAACTTATTTACTTTACATATATTATTTCCCTTCTCTTCCTAATTTTTGGTAGTTGTATTTGACCTGCATTGCTAGATTCTAAAAAAGCTGCATTCTACTTTTTACTCTGCCCCATTGTTTAACTTTAGTTAAATACAGTATATTGATGGTAACTATCATTTCTTATCCAAAAGCTTCTCTGATTATTTCAGAAATTCATCCCCTAGTTGCTCTCCCATGGAGAGGGCTCAGGGAGCAATTTTCCCTGAGCTCTTACAAGTTTTTCTTGTGGTCTTTACATTAATAGTTGAAGATCAGTTTGTCTAAAGTTAAAATCCTTGGTTCATAGCTTCTTGTTTTGAATATCTTAAGTATCATACTTCTTCAGCTTCTGGTATAAAGTGTTCGTAAGTATGGTGTCAATATAACTTTCTTTCCTTTATAAGTGTTTTTGTCTTGATGTTTAAAGAATGTTTTTTAAAATTTCTGATTCTTAAAAAATATTTCTCAGTGTTGACTGTTTAGTATCAGTTTTCCCAGATATTCAGTATGTTCTTTTAATCATGTATGTTCACATACTTTTATTTCATGGCATTTTAAAAAAATTCCTGCAGAACCCCAAAATGTACCCTCCTCTCCCCCATCTTCTTGCTCCTTTACTTCAAACTCTACTTCCTAAGTAAATCACTCGGCTCACTTTAAAGTTTATGGGTGGTTTGCCTGTTCTTGGAAGTTTCTTTTTTTCCTTTTTTTTTTTGAGACGACATCTCACTCTGTTACCCAGGCTGGAGTGCAATGATGCAATCTCAGCTCACTGCACCCTCTGCCCCCTGGGTTCAAGTGATTCTCATGCCTCAGACTCCCAGGTAGCTGGGACTATAGGTGCGCATCACCACGCCCAACTGATTTATGGATTTTTAGTAGAGATGGGGTTTTGCCATGTAAACCAGGCTGGTCTCAAACTCCTGACCTCAAGTGATCCGCCCACCTCGGCCTCCCAAAGTGCTGGGATGGCATGAGCCACCATGCTCAGCCATGTTCTTGGAAGTTTCTTTAAATGGAACCATGCAGGATGTATTTTGTTTGTGTCTTTCTTCTCTTGCTCAAATTATATGATTCATTTATGTTGTTACTAGATTAATTCATTTTTGTTACCAAACAGTATTCTATTCTGTAAGCATAGAACAATTTATCTATTCAACTGTCGATGGACATTTTTACCATTTCTGATTTTTGACCACTTTGGTAATGCCACTGCTGTTAGCAGTCCTGTACAGGTCTTTGCCTGAATGTGTATGTGTTTCTGTTGGGTATATACTAAGGAATGGAAATGTTGGGAAATAGGATTTTCATTCAACTCTTTGTATATGTATTTTCTTAAGGTATGATGTAAGAATGGAGTTGCGGGGTATCTTTGTTTTGTGTTGCTACAAAGGAATAGTCGAGGGTGAGTAATTTATAAAGAAAAATTTGTTTGGCTCACAGTTCTGCAGACCGTACAAGAAGCATGGTGCCAACATCTGCTCTTGATGAGGGTCTCAGGACGCTTCCACTTTCAGTGGAAGGCAAAGCGGAGCTGGCATATGCGTGTCCTATGGTGAGAGAAGGAGCAAGAAAGAGAGAGGAGAGGTGTCAGGCTCCTTTCATTAACCAGCTTTCATGGGAGCTAAGAGTGAGAACTCACTCTCTAGAGAATGGCACCAACCATTCACGAGGGATCTGTCCGCATGACCCACACACCTCCCAACAGGCCCCACCTCCAACATTTCAACATGAGACTTAGTGGGGCCAAAAGGCTCCCCATATCCAAACCATAGCACTGGGTAATTGGGTATTGTTGCGGTTTGTATTGCCACGATCAGTGTATGACAGTCGTTGCTGTTCCACACACACATTCTTGCTAGCCCTTGGTATGGTGGGGCTTGTCTTTGCTTTTTGTTTTTGAAGCCACTTTGGGGGCTGTAGTGGTATCTCATTGGTTTTAAATTTGGATCCCCAGATGACTAATGAGGTTGAGTACTTCTTCATATGTTTCGTATGGGACTGTTTCTGGACCGTCTGCTCTTTTCTGTTGTTCTGTCGCTATGTCAGTACCACAGTGTCTTATTTGCAGAAAAATCTGTTGGCATTTTGATGATTATTGCATTGAATTCATAGTTTAATTTGGTGAGAATGAATATCTTTACAATACTGAGTCTTATAATTCACAAGTGTGGTGACTCTTTCTATTTAGTTAGGTTTTCAGTTTCTCCCAGTAACACTTTCTAATTTTCTCTTATAGATCTTGCATATCTTTCACTAGTGTTTTTCCTAGGTGTTGAGAAAATGATTTTTAAATATTTGCTACTTAAGAATGGGGTTGCGGGTTATCTTTGTTTTGTGTTGCTACAAAGGAATAGTTGAGGATGGGTAATTTATAAAGAAAAATTTATTTGGCTCACAGTTCTGCAGACTGTACAAGAAGCATGGTGCCAACATCTGCTCTTGATGAGGGTCTCAGGACGCTTCCACTTACAGTGGAAGGCAAAGCAGAGCTGATACATAGAAATGCCTCATGTTACTGCAGTATTGTGCACTTAGAACATTTATTCCTTTATCTGTAGATTCTTTTGTTTGTTAATAATGCCAATTTTATTTCTTCCATGACAATTCTTTATCCATCTATTTATGTTTGCCTTATTGTTCAGTCTGGGACCTCTAAGTACATTGTTGAGTGGGTAGATCCGTGATAATGGATAATCCGTAGTAATGGTAGATCTGTAATAATGGATCTGCTTGTCTCTTTTCCTTCAAATTCTTTTTGTCTTTTTTTTTTTTTTCATCGCTACTCACCTATTGAGTCTGAGCCTTCTCTCCCCTGTGCTTTAGTATTCCTGCCCTGCTCACCCTGGTTCTCCTTTCAGAAGTTCCCTTCCTGTCTGGGGAACCACTACTTTTGGAAAGCATGTTTTGCCACTGTTGTTCCTCCCCCGGCTTATATTTTATTTAAAAGTCGATCAAACATTTTATTTTGTGTCCACCAAACTTGTGATATCTATAGGGTGAAAGTCTTGGTATTCATAGGATGGTTGAATAGATTAAAGGGGTCAGTCCACATGAAGCACCTGGAACAGTCCGGCCATAGTAAGCACTCACTGTTTATGTTGTAATTATTAGTAATAATGAGAAAATATCATATTCTTTCACTCATTCAACAAAATAACCATTTCAATAAATAATATTAAAGCTGGTAGTGACTGAAAGAAAAACATTGAGAATAAGACTAATTTATTGCTTGTCTGACTCACTTTTTGGCAAATGTGTAATTAGATACACGAGAAGCAATCATTAGTGTAATTGGTGTAATTTCTATAGCTCGGTGTAATTTCTATAGCTCAGAAAGTCTTTTTTTGGATATCGAGTTCTTTCATGCTTTATTAGATTTATCTTTCTTCTTTGGAACTTGATGAAAAACATTATTTTGTCCTAGCTGGAAAATCAACTTTCTGCTGCCGCTCATTGTCAAATATTTCTTACACCCACAGTCTGAGTCGGTGTAGTAGAGTCTTGATATTTCCACAGTAACTGCCTTCGGGAGTAGAAATACAATACATGTATGTTTAGGGTAGACCAAGTGTCTAGAATGAAATAAGACTTCGGCGTGTGCCACGTGGAGCTGTTTAACCTTCCTACATAAATCAGCAGTGGGAGAGGATTGAATAGTGTCTGACTGTTTTTAAGATTTTTTCGTACCATTCCAACAGTACCTATTTCTAAATCACGTATTTTACTTAACAATGTATTTGTTTGTGCTGAATTTTAAAAATCTGTAGTATGTTGAGGTCCTACCTGGCATTTTAGTAAAATATCCTCTTGAAATTAATAGGACAATTAGATTTGGTATCTTGCAACTTCATGAAAATGTGTTGCCAAAGTTCATGACATCGTCCTTCTCCGTAGGCCAATGAAAGTACATTGCATCATCCTAGACCTGGCAGTTTGTGAGATTTGCAAAGACGTTAGCACAGGCTCTTGTGCTGCTGGGATAGTGATGACTGCTGCTTTGGCAACATTATTCAGTGTATCCAGGGAAAGACTATGAGGACCTGGGGGATAGTGGAGCTGCTTAGATGGAAAGAAGCTCGGCTTTTGAATAACTGCATGAAACCAAGAGCCCATCCATCCTCCCCTCTTCTCTTTGGAACATGGCACGAGCAAAAAGTAAAGACATAACAAAACTACAGAAAGTCTGCTGTGTAGAAAGACTATACAAAGAATGAACAAAACTAGAGAAGTGCAGGCGTTTGATACCATAATCCACATTTACACAGAGGGTGTGCTTTTGTTACCCTTGATTTGTTTATCTGAGGATTCTGCAATATACTAGAACTGCCTGCCAAGTTTCAAATACGGTACACTTAAAAAGTTTGGTTGCAAGCATAAACTTTTATCAACATACCCGTGAAAGAGGTTCAGTAAATGTGTAGAGAAGACTCAGCGAAATTATAGTTTCTCTTTCCAGTGAGTTTAGCATATTTTCACTTTTTAAAATCTCTGGGCTCATTTGAAATGCTGTTGACCCCATGGTATGGCCTCCCTCCCATATTGGCAACCAAGACTAACCGGCAGCTATTAAAATAGAAAACTGTAAGGAAAATAGACTTTTCCCACAGCATAGAATTCTGAGGTTAAAAATAAAAAGGAAGTAAAGGTGGCAGAGAGAAAAATTTTCTTTACTTTCCCTCTTCTGGTTTTCATTAATTTTCATTTTCTTTTGCTCACAGAACATGTTTGTTTTCTTTTTTGAGAAAATTGGCTAAAAAGCAAGTTAAAACAATGTAATTAGTTGTTTAATGTCAACGCCTCCACAAAGTATACTATAAACTTTAAGAAGATATGGACTGAAGGTGTGTCTGTCCTTTCTGTACCCTCGATGCTGACAGGGCACATTACTCGACACCTAATAGACACTTATTAATTTGTGTTTTTGGATGTAGTGTGACATTTTGAGAATTTTTATAATTAAACTTACCTTTTGGAACAATTTGTGGAATGCTAAAGTTGTATAAAGCTATTCCTCAGAGCGTGTAGGATTTTATGTAACTATTATATGATATACTGATATGGTTATTCTATCACTGTTATCTCGTCATGTGAGAGGATACTTTTCTATAATTGTAACCTAAGTCTGAGGCTAAAAGGGAAGAAATGAATGAAGACATATGAGTTGCTGTTGCAGAGATGAGCTATGAATGAACATTGAATGGGCATTGGGAAGAAACCGACAGATTCAGTGGTGAATGGAACTTCTAAAAATCTAATTGTGGAAATAAAAAACTCAGTGGATCAAATGGCTTCAATTGCAAATTAGATACAGCTGAAAAGAATTAGTGACCTCAAAAATTATCTGAAGAACAAGAAAGTAGACATATAATAATAATACATGTATAATTATATATTATAAATATTATAATTATGTAATAATAAGGAGTGATAGAGAATACAAAAGAAATTCCCAGTGGTAAGAAAGTTAGAATGAGAGAGTCTAATGTGTGCTCAACTGGGGATCCAGGCAGCGATGATAAAGAAAATAGAGGAAGTTGGATGCAGTGGTTCACCCCTGTAATCTTAGCACTTTGGGAGGCTGAGGTGGAACAATTACTTGAGCCCAGGAGTTCAGGAACAGCCTGGGCAACATAGCAAGACCCCATCTTTATATAAAAAAATTAAAAAAAAGAGAAAATAGAGGAAAGGTGATATTTGTGGGATAATGACTACATGCTTTCTAGAACTGGAGAAGACCCATGACACCACAGACTCAGGAATCACAATATACCCAAAACAGAACATATACATAAACAGAACATATACATAAATAGAAACATATATATGTATATACATAAAGGCAGAACTAGAATATTTTGAGCACCCTCATTTTTTAATTAAAAGAAGAAAAATACTCTTAGATAATAGGATGGGAGGAAAAGGAGGAAACTTATGGATATCTACTGAAATCTATAGTAATTATTATGCTTAATGGGGAAAAATGAAAAGCATTCCTTTAAAAATAAGAAACAAATAAAAAGTGCTTTCTATCGCCACTTAAAAAAATCTTGGAATAGAGATCCTAGTCACCGTTGCAAGATAAGGGAGAGTGGGGATAAGGATTAGAAAGAAAGAAACAAAACTGTCATTCACAGGTGATAGGATTATCTCTGTATGGAAAACCCAACGGGAATCTACATACTAGTTAATAGAGTGGTCAGTGCTGGGTGGCTGACTGCAAGGTCTGTATATGAAAGTCAGCTGTGTTTCTAACCCCAGCAACCAACAGGAAATGAAATAAACAAACAAAAAAACCCTACTTACAATAGCAGCAGAAACCATGAGTTAGCTAGGTAAAAATTTAACAAAAAATGTTCAAGGCTTACATGCAGGAAATTATGACACTTTACTGAGGCACAAGTGGAGAGTGATACTTGTTCACAAATAGGGAGACTCAGTATTGTAAAGATGGCAATTATCTAACGTGTATTAATTATTTTTTTTAAAGAGATGGGGTCTTGCTTTGTTGCCCAGGCTGGAATACAATGGTACAATCATAGCTCAGTGCAGCCTTGAACTCCTGTGCTCAAGAGAACCTCCGACATCAGCCTCACTCCTGGGTTCAAGATATCCTCCCATATCAACCTTTGTTTTAATTAGCTGGGGACCTTTCCTGGCTAATTAATTTTTTTTTTTAAGAGACAGGGTCTTGTTGTGTTGCTCAGGCTGGTCCTGAATTCCTGGGTTCAAGCAATCCCTTCACCTCAGCCTACCAAGTAGTGAGGATTATAGGCTCGGACCACTATGCCTGGCTAGTGGTTTAATGTGTTTTAGAGCTTTGGATTATAGATACCAGCAAAGTGTCACCACAAGCCAACCCACACCTGATGGCATAGGGGGTGCTCTTCCCACTAGATATCAAGTTTTATCATAGAGTCTCAATAGTGAAGATGGCATGGTATTGGCATGGGAGTAGACAGGTGGAACAAAGGAACAAAAGAACTCCTTGTTACAGACTTGTAAGTCTATGGAACTGGGACAGTACTGTAGAAAAAGAAGGAAGCTAAAATAAATAGTTTATACATATAAAAAAGGATGGATTTGGATCCCTACCTCACATCATAAACCAAAATCAATTTTAGATGGGTTATGAATATAAATTTGAAAAGCAGAACCTGAAAACTCTTAGATGATGAGATAAAAGAGGCTGGGCACTGTGGCTCACACCTGTAATCCCAGCACTTTGGGAGGCCGAGGTGGGCAGATCACAAAGTCAGGAGATCGAGACCATTCTGGCTAACATGGTGAAACCCCGTGTTTACTAAAAATACAAAAAATTAACGGAGCATGGTGGCAGGCACCTGTAGTCCCAGCTACTCCGGAGGTGGAGGCAGGAGAATGGTGTGAACCCGGGAGGCGAAGCTTGCAGTGAGCTGAGATCACACCACTGCACTCCAGCCTGGGCGACAGAGCGAGACTCTGTTTCAAAACAAAAAAAAAGAAGGTGAGGTAAAAGAATATCTTTCGACTTACCATAAAAATTGGTGTGAAAATTTTACCACATTAAAGCTAAGAACTTCAGTTCATCAAGGTGTCCCATAAATAAGTGAAAAAACTAGCCGTAATTTGAGAGAAGATAATTGTAATACATATAATTGACAAAGGTTTAGCTTCCTGAAAATAGAAAGCACATCTACAAAAGAGTGAAAAAAACAATTTAAGAGAAAACGGGTAGAAAACATCAGAAACATGTAGGGGCCAGTAGATATAGAAAATATAATCTTTTTTTAGACAGAGTCTCACTCTGTTGCCCAGGCTGGAGTGCAGTGGTGTGATCTAGGTTCACTGCAGCCTCCGCCTACTGAGTTCAAGCGATTTGAGCCTCAGCCTCCGGAGTAGCTAGGACTACAAGCATGCGCCACCATGCCCGACTAAATTTTGTATTTTTAGCAGAAACGGGGTTTCACCATGTTGCCCAGGCTGGTCTCAAACTTACAACCTCAAGTGATCTGCCCACCTTGGCCTCCCAAAGTGCTGGGATTATAGGCGTGAGCTGCCATGCCTGGCCTAGAAAATATAACCTAACCAGTAAGCATGAGTTGCAAATTAGTGCCACAGTGAGCTAGCTATTCACTTAGGTCCTCTAGATTGGCAAAATATAAGAGATCTGTAAATCTCAAGTATTGGTGAGTATGTGGAACAACTTTTATGTTATTCTGGTGGGGTGCAAATAGATAACACCATTTTAGAAAACATTTGATGTTAACGTAAAAATATTTATATCCTGTGACCCAGCAATTCTTCTCATGAGAATTTATCTGAGGAAACCATTTCCATATATATATACCAGCAAACTTTTACAAGAATATTTTTTATCAGCCAAGTACTTATTTATTTTTTAAATTTTAGATCAGTAGGTACGCGTGTAGGTTTGTTACATGGATATGGTGTGTGATGTTGAGGCTTGGACTTCTGTTGAGCCGGTCACCCAAATGGTGAACATAGTATCCAATAGGCCTTCTCAAACGCTGTTCCCTTGCTTTCCTTCCCGCTTATGCAGGCCCGGTGTCTGTTGCTCCCATCTTTATGTCCCCGTGTACCCAGTGGTTAGTTCCCACTTATAAGTGAGAACATGCAGTTTGGCTTTCTGTTTCAGTAGCAGAGTTCTTTTGAGTGTTTTGTTTGTTTGTTTGTTTGTTTGTTTGTTTTTTTGAGGCAGAGCCTCACTCTGTTGCCCAGGCTGGAGTGCAGTGGTGCCGTCTCGGCTCACTGCAACCTCCACCTCCTGGGTTCAAGTGATTCTTGTGCCTCAGCCTCCCGAGTAGCTGGGATTACAGGTGCATGCCACCACGCCTGGCTAATTTTTGTATTTTTAGTAGAGATGGGGTTTTGCCATGTTGGCCAGGCTGGTCTCGAACTCCTGAGCTCAAGTAATCCGCCCTCCTTGGCCTCCTAAAGTGCTGGGATTACAGGCATGAGCTACCATGCCCGGCCCCACTAGCAGAGTTCATAATAGCAGAAAAGCTATATCAATTGGGATATCTATTGATAGCAAAATAGGTAAATAATTTGTGGCTTTTCTGCAGAACAAAGTATTATGTAGCAGTGAAAAATAAATGATCTATAGAATATGGAACAAAATGAGTGATCTCCAAAACCGTAATGTTGAAGGGGGAAAAAAGCAAGTGTTGGAAAAGTTCTTACAGCTCGATACCATTTTTATGAAGCTCAAAAACAAGCAAAACAGAACAATATATTGTTGAAACATTCACACAAGAGTTGTAAGACCAGATTTTTTTTAAAAATTAAAAGATAAGGCTGGGTGTGGTGGCTCACGCCTGTAATCCCAGCACTTTGGGAGGCCGAGATGGGCGGATCACCTGAGGTCGGGAGTTCGAGACCAGCCTGACCAACATGGAGAAACCCCATCTCTACTAAAAATACAAAATTAGCCGGGTGTGATGGTGCATGCCTGTAATCCCAGCTACTTGGCAGGCTGAGGCAGGAGAATCACTTGAACCTGGGAGGTGGAGGTTGCGGTGAGCCGAGATTGCACCACTGCACTCCAGCCTGAGCAACAAGACCAGAACTCTGTCCCAAAAAAAAAAAAAAAAAAAAAAAATTAAAAGGTAAAAAATAATCTGGGTAATGGTTATTTCTTGGAGGATGGAGGAGTTTGGAGGGGAAAGGGGCACACAGGGTTAGATGTAAAATATTTGTACTATTCTAGTGGATGGTTTGTTGGTAGGTTCCTAGATGTTCCTAGTAAATTATAACTTATTAATATGCAAAATGCTTACATGCTCTTTTATGTACTGAATGATATAAGATAAAGAATAAAAGAGTAGAAAAAAAGCTCTGACTAGATTATACAGTTTTATTAAGGATGTTATGTAGTTAAGGTACATCAGGATTTAAATTTCATTTGTTGGTTTGCCTGGAAGATAAGCACCTTCAGGACCATGTGGGACACTAAATTCTTTTTTTTTTTTTTTTTTTGAGATGAGTCTTGCTCTATTGCCCAGGCTGGAGTGCAGTGGCGCGATCTTGGCTCACTGCAACCTCTGCCTCTGGAGTTCAAGCGATTCTTCGGCCTCAGCCTCCCAAGTAGCTGAGACTACAGGCATGCGCCACCACGCCCAGCTAATTTTTGCATTTTTAGTAGAGACGGGGTTTCACCATGTTGGCCAGGCTGGTCTCGAACTCCTGAACTCAGGTGATCTGCCTGCCTTAACCTCCCAAAGTGCTGGGATTTCAGGCGTGAGCCACCACGCCTGGCCAGGACACTAAATTCTAAATTTTACTTTTATTCTAATTGGCCTGACAGGAGTCAGTGCTTATCAAAATGATTTTTGGAAGATGTCATGCCCATGTTTTTTCAGGTTTGATGTGATGAACTTATCATGGCTGCCTTTAAAATATTTGAGGCTAAAGTCATCTGGTCCATACAGCAGAGAATGAGGCTTCTTTCTTTTTTTTTTTTTTTTCCTTTTCTTAGAGACAAGGTCTCACTCTATAGCCCAGGTCGGAGGGCAGTGGTGCAGTCATGGCTCACTGCAGCCTTGAATTCCTGGGCTTAAGCAATCCTCCCACCTAAGACTCCTGAGAATTTGGGATTATAGGTGGGCACCACTATGCCTGGCTAACTTTTAAAAATTTCTTTATAGGGATAGGATTCTCACTCTGTTACCCAGGCTGATATCAAACTGGCCTCAACTGATCCTCTTGCCTTGACTTCCCAAGCTCTGGGAGTATAGGAGTGAGCCACAGTGCCCAATCAATATCTTTATTTTAAAGAGTCATCTGCAAAGTCCCTTTACCATGTGAGGTAACATAGTCACAGGCTCGGGCGATTTGGATGCAGACATCTTTGGGGGCCATTACCCAGACACCACATGCTCTATTATTGTTGCTGCAGCTGGGAACGGTGGGATCTCTGTGTTCATTTGGAGCCATAGGTATTAGTGAGGCGAAGAGAATCACCATATTGGCCAGGGGCATTCAAAATGCCATTATTGTGTTAAGCCATTCATTAACTCATAATTCCCCCATGTTTCTGTTTTGATTTAGGTTTAGGGGATACAAATGTAGTTTTATTACATGGATATATGTATAGTGGTGAAGTCTGGGCTTTTAGTGTAACCATCACCCAAACAGCAACATACATTTTACCCATTAAGTAATTTCTTATTCTTCATCCCTCAGCCCTGCCCCACTTCTGAGTCTCCAATGTCTCTTACAAAGATGTCCAATCTTTTGGGTTCCCTGGGCCACATTGGAAGAAGAAGAATTATCTTGGGCCCCACATAAAAAACACTAACACTAATGATAGCTGATGAGCTGAAAAAAAAAAATCTCATAATGTTTGAAGAAAGTTTACAAATTTGTGTTGGGCTGCACGTGGCCCATGGGCCACAGGTTGGACACTCTTGGTCTATTATTCCACACTGTCCATGTGTACACATTATTCATAAGTGAGCGCTTACCCACACTTTTTTAATGGAAGCTTCTATCGGGTGACTACCTGCCTTCTCTACCTACCTGTGTTTGGAGTCCCCTGTTGCAGCCCTCCACTTAGCTACCAAGTAGTTCTCACCAAGAAAAGCCTAATAGTGGATAGTTAGCTATACAGTGTGAAGAGGTGCTATTTCAGTTCTGGAACACCTTCATTTTACCTCATGGTGAGCTCACCATTAAAAAGCGCTTTCCCAGAACTCTGAGATGCCAGCATCTGCGGGGTCTCCTATCCCTCTCCCTCCCCTCTCAGGAGGTCTCCTGGGCCTCTCCTCCACCCTGCTTCCCTTCTCAAACTGCAGACAGTCGGTTCTCCCTGGGTGATTTCTTTCTCTTCAGTTCATTTCAGTTACCATTTACATCCCCTGACTCTCCCAATCTTTGTCTTCGGTCTCGATCTTTCTTTTTAAAGCCAGGCCTATATCATCATCTGCCTGTCCCACTTCTCCACGTGGGTGTCTCACAAGCCTTTATGCTCAGTGTATCTCCTCTACATTTGATCTCTACTTCTTCAGACTTCTGTGTTTCGGTAAATGGCAGCATCGTTCCTCTGGTTTTTATAGAAATATAATACTCATTCTTTTTTTTTTTTTTTGAGATGGAGCTCTGGAGTTTTATCACCCAGGCTGGAGTGCAGTGGCGCGGCCTCGGCTCACTGCGATCTCCGCCTCCTGGGTTCAAGCGATTCTCCTGCCATCACGCCCGGCTAATTTTTGTATTTTTAGTAGAGACGGGGTTTCACCATGTTGGCCAGGCTGGTCTCAAACTCCTGACCTCAGGTGATCCACCCGCCTCGGTCACCCAAAGTGCTGGGATTACAGGGGTGAGCCATTGTGCCTGGCCAAAATATAGTACTCATTCCAGACACTTCTTTCTCCCACTACAGGCAGTCAAATTCCAAGTACTATTTTTTTAACCTGATTTATTTATTTGAAAATATTTGAGTATGTACTAAGTTTCTTGCCTATCCTGGTCCCTGGGTGTATAGGTGTGAACATGATAAACCAGGGCAGCCCTCTTTTCTGAGAGAACTTATGTTAAATAAATAAAAAGTGAGCAAGACAACTTCTATGGTACTGTGCTGTGAAAGCAATAGTAAGGGTGAATAGGTAAGATAGTAAGATGGGATCACAGAGACCTCTCTGAAGAGGTGACATTTTAATTGAGATCTAATGTCAAGGAGTCAGCCTTAAAGATCTGGAGACAGAAGGAACAGCAAGTACAAAGTCCCTAAGTTGGGAAAGGCTCTGGATCTAGATTCAAGACACTGTGAAGTGCAAGGTGGCCAGAGTGTCATGAATGGAGGGAGAGGAAGGGATGTGTTCAGACAGGAAAGAGAGACCAGATCACAGGGAGGATTGGAGGTGCTGTGTGCTGGGTGGATTCATGCCTTCCTCCACCCCTTCACTACCCTCAAGACGTCTTTCTCCCTGGACCCTATGACTGTGTCACCTTACATGACAAAAGGGACTTTGCAGATGTAATGACGTTAAGGACCTTGAGATAGGAAGATTATCCTGGACTATTCAGTTGGGTCCAACCAATGTAATCACAAGCTCTGTGTAACGGGGAAGTAGGAGGGTCATAGGAAGGAGATTCAAAAATGGAAGCAGAGATATGAGAGAGAGAGAGAGAAAGAGAGAGAGAGAGTGAGAGAAAGAATATGGAGGGGGCTTAGGCATGTACCTGCAAGACAAAAGTCACGGTGTTTTATAACCTGATCTCAGGAGGGACCTCCCATCACTTTTGTCTGAATATTTCAATTCATTAGAATCAAGTCAGTAGGTTCAACCCCCCAACAAGGAGAAAAGATGACACCAGGAAGTAAGTCCTGAGAAGGAGAATCTTTGGGAGCCATTTTAGAGGCCGCCTGCTGCACACCTAGTAGATGACTATTGAACAACGAATTAATAACCTGCTCCCCACTGTTTTTCTGAACCTCTGCTTCTCTGAACTTGGAGTTCTTTGGTCCTTTGGTGGCCATACTTGTCCACTTTCTTTCCTAAGCAGGTCTCTCTTTCCCGGTAAGTATAGAAGAATACGATGATTCAGATAGACTTTTCATAGTATTTTTATCTTTGTATTTTTTTAGAAATATTTCAGAGTCTCCTGACCTGTGGGTGGCATTTTTCTCTGCTATTACCATGCATTAAAAAAAATTTGTACTGTATATTATTTGGTTATTTCAGTGGGATTCTGAGTAGGGTGTGTGATCAATTCGTGGGCTCAGTTCACCATCTGAAACTGCAAGGCCTTGTTCTGTGTTTTCAAGGTAATTCTTCCCACCTTTAGTGGAATTGTTGATATTTCCACATGTAAAATATTAATTTGATGGAAAACAGTGTTTCCTTTGCTTCTTCAGAGAGTTGTCTTTGTATCCCTGAAGTCCAAAGCTTCATTTAGGTTTTATTATTAAGCAGTGCTTTGTTATAGCTGATCTGAGAGGAAACTTCAGCCGGATTTCAGAGTAGTAGAATTTGACAGATTTGAATTCAATTGCTTTCTGAATTGTGACTTGGATTTTCTGGGTGTGTAAACTATATCAATAAGAATGTATTAACCATCTGCCGTTTGAAAGTAATCAGATTTTACCTATCTGTTGGAATGAACCAAGAGATTGTTTAAAAGCTAGAAGAAAGGCATAACAATTTTTACAATTTCCTTTCTGTAAATAAGTTTTAACGTATAGCCATATGATTCTAAGGACTTAGAATCTATTTGAATTAGAATTTTCTATTGAGTGAAAAGTTGGGGAAATAATTTTCTTAGAAAATAAAGGTTTTATTTTATGTTAAAAATAAATTGCGAATATTTTCACTTAGACTTCAGAAATCGAGGATGTTTAGCTTTGAGGTGGTAGGAAATGTTGTTTAGGAATAGGAATGAAATGTTTAGCTTCGGTCTGAATTTCCTCTCTCCACCTAGGGACCGTATTCTTACATGCAAAATGATTACAAGTTTTTGTTTCTTACTGACCAAGGGGTATATTTGATTATTCATGCCTGCAAAGCTTCTTGTATAATAGCAGCTTTCATGTTCTATTGAAAAAAGAATTCATAGCAAAAAATGTTTTTCATAGGAAGAAAAACATTTTAGATAACTCTGCCAGGAATAAGAAGGGAATGGAAGCAGTGTATTATATAAAACCTGCGGGGGGTGGGAGGGGGTGGGGAACGCTGTTTTTTGGACATGCTACAGTATATATTTGAGTGCATTAAAATATCCCAGCTGTGATGGTAGCAGTGTAAGCAAATTACATTTTATGTTATTATACAAAGCAGCAATATAGAGTAGCATTTTAGAACATAAATGTGCATGAAAGTAAATGAAAAATGTATGTTAGTGTGTGAAAGGACGATTTTGAAATAGTGCCATAAATAAAAGAAGATGATAATAGCAGCACTGGGCCAATGCCAGAGCTTCTTAGTCTGGGACCATGTTATAAATCGCTGAGGTTTAAATGCGCTAACGGTGGCAGCAATCAGCCAGCATGAAAAGCATGAAAGGCAGAACTTTGGAAAAAATGTGAATAATGAAACATTAAGGGATTGAGCAAACTTCAGTTTCATGAAATGCTAAAACCTGTTCTGTGTCTCTTTTTAAGTGAACTCTTTAAAAATATACTAGTTTTTTCCCCAAAGCTACTTTTCAGACCTCAAAATCATGGTTTTTTAGAAAAGTAACACCTGGTTCTGAGAGTCACACACATCACAAGCCTGGACCAGTGGTTTCAGGTAAATTGCCAGATTCAGAAGACCGTGTTTGTAAGGGAAAAAGTATTAATATTCCTATACCAAAGTCATATAGTTCACCATGAGTTCTGCAGCCACAAAGAAATGTTAGATTTCCTTTTATTTGTTAGATTCATGTATTCAGAGATAGTAGGTAGTCGTGGTTCTCAAGGTGTGGCTTGTGGACCCCTGGGGATCCCTGAGACTATTTTGTGGGGAGGCTCTTCAAGGTCTAAACTATTTTCCTGATAATATTATGATGTTGTTTGCTTTTTTCACTGAGTTGGCATCTGTACTGATGGTTAAAAATACTGATGGGTAAAACTGCTCATGCTGTCACACAAACCAAGGCCATGGCACCAAGTGGTACTAGTTAGTGAGTTGTCATGTTCTTCACCATGGCACACTCACAATCAAGAATAGTTGGCTGCATTAAATCTTAACCATGGTACACATCTCTTTACTGTCAAGTCTTTTTAATCTAGAAGGAAGAGGGGAATACTCAGAAAGCACTTGGCTGCAAACCAGAGTTCTGGTTAGCAGAGGACAAGTAGCTGTAGGATTGTGAGATTGTGAACTAAACTAGTTTCTTTTTCTCATAGGAAACCATTAGAAACTGTGTCTATGCAGATTGTGGTGTTTGGAAGACTTTTTTTTTTTTTTTCTAATGATCAAAGTTTGCCTGTCATTAAAAAACCAACAACAAACTGTATTGTTGCCAATGAATAAAATTCAAGCTTTTGAGCAAGTATTAGAATTTTGAAAAACTTGTCTCTGCCACTCTGAGATTGCCAGCTTTCTAGTACTTAAAAACTTTTTTTGATGAGATTGGTGGTGATATTAATGTGTGGCTTTTTGTTGTTGTACCATGAAATGTGTAAATGTTTGGAAAATCTGCATAACTTAGTGAAGCAGTATTTTCCAAATGATCAATGCATAATATCATGAAACTATGCATGGGTAAGCGCCATGTAGAATGCAAGAGAAAACAAGGATTGTAATGTAAAGGCATATGGAAAGCCCAGTGATGCAGCTGCAGGGTCCACATTGCATCTCACCTCTAAGAAAGTATCAGCTGCAGAGTTTTGGTGTAGTATCAGTGAGTATCTACACTTAGCTAAAGAGGCTCTGAACATATTCCTCTCTCTTCCAACTGCAAGTCTGTGGGAGGCATGATTTGCTTCATGAACTTCAACCAAAGCAGCGTGTCCCAGTAGATAGGATGCAGGAGCTGATAGGAGAATTCAGCTGTTTCCTTTGTAGCCAGAAATGAAAGATATTTACAAATTTGTCAAACAATGCCACTCTTCAAAAACTTTTATTTTGGAAAATATACTGATTTTTGGTAAGATGTCATTTTAACACATTTATTGTTATTTTAAGTGAATAAATTTTTAAAAATTCTTAGTTTTATTTTCAGTATTACAAATTATCAGTAGATATAAGCACATAGAACTCTTTAAGATACTCAGTGAATTTTAAGAAACTAAGACGAGTTCTGAGACCAAAAAAGTTGAGAACTATTGGGCTATACTGTTCTAGACAACAAATCAAACAGTGCTCAAAGAGGGAGTTTTAATTTTCTCCAATCACTGCATCAAAATATGTTACATCAAAGCTAACTTTTCTATCTCTTTTAACAAAATTTCTGGCAGTCTGTAGCTTCCAGGACATTTTCAATTATTAAAAGCTCAATTTAGTATTCCTTTGTGGTCATCTCTGATCTGAGTCTCACCTCCTCCTGTCCCTAGTGTCAGCCAGGGGTAGGGGAGTTGGCTTGGGGATGGGGGATAGTGTGTTCTCCTTTTACCCCTACTCCCCCAATACCCTTTGCAAGATGGATCGGTTTGCTTTTGAAAGGAGATCCAGTTCTTCTGTTGTGTTGGGACAGGGAGACAGAAGTTGGCCACATTATTGCCTCTTCTCAGGCCAGCACTGACCAGCATTCTTACTCTTTGTGGAAGTGCTCAAATGTTGCATTTCTCTTACAGTGCATGGCTTGTGTAACCCAAAACCTCCTGTAGTGCTGTAGGCTGGATTATCTGCAGGGTGGCTCCAGCCCAACTACTTTCAGTGGGGTCCATGTGACCTGTAGGTAACTCATGCATCATTTGTAGGCCAAGCAACTGTCGGCCTCTACTGTTCCCTCTCTCTGTTCTGCCATCCTGCCTCATTTCCCTTGTCACCTTGATTAGAGAAACACGAAAGGAAAATCAGCTAGTCTGCTGCCTGCATAGGAGCTAGAGTTTGTCCTCTGTCGTCTTCTCTGTACCCCTGTTCTCTATGAGGGATTGTCTCAGAGACTTACCTCCATTATTCTACTCTTCACTAGGCTGTGGGCCCCCCTGCCGGCTGTCCCCTCTTTTCCTATTTCCGTAAGACAATTTCCACTCTGTAGTCCTATGTATGTATGTATATATGAAATTTATATTTCATATATAAATTTCACACACACACATTCTGGGAAGTGGCAGATAGAAGATAGTTGATGGTTACATTTCACCCATCTCTTTGAGTCTAGAGAAGTGTATGTTTCAGCTGTTTGGAGTTTTTCTTAGAACATGAGACTTAACACTTCTTTTTCCTCAGCTTTGGGGACTAGTCATCAGTTTTGGGGCAAGAAGAAAATCATTGCATTTATCATCCTCTTCCACGGTGATCCCAGGGTGTTACCAACTGTGCAGGATTAGAGGATTTATATGTCCACTTATCACTAACTAATAATAACGTTTTAACATCTATTTTATGTGAGGCATTGGGTTATGAGCAAGGGATCTGGTGGTGAACTCTAGGGACATTGTCCCTGATCTATGAATTTCCTTACCGATGGGGGTGTAAACAGATAAATATGATAAATCTATAAATACAAAGTCTGATAAGGATAGTGAACAAAAAGAATAGGAAGCCATCAGACCTAATAATGAAGGAGAACTGGTTTTGATTGGGTAAGACTGTTGGGAAAAGCTGTGTGTAAGTGACATTTTAGCTAAGACTCAGAGATGAATGTGGGTACCCCCAAGACTCAGGAACATTGCAGGCAGAGAGGATGCCTTGAGGTAGGAGAGACTCTGGGTGCTTGAGGGTCTAACATAAGGTCCCTGTGGGTGGAACCTGATGGAGAATGGCTTGAGATGGAAGTCTGCAGGGTCCAGGGCATGCAGAGCCCCAGAACAGGCTTGAGTTTCAAGTGCATTGGCAGGCATGCCCTTCATCTCAAGAGCAATGGCAAGCCACCAAAGGGCTTAAATAAGGAAGTGACAACCAGTTTATGGTTGCTGGGTATTTCCATTGTGAATAAAGTCTGATTCCTGTCTAATAGTCATTTTCCATACAGTCACATTGGAATACACTCCACATTCCCTAACCAGATCCTAGCTCATCTCAAAATTATGTGAGCTTCCTTATTAATTTCAACAGAATTTGGGCTTGTGGGCAGAGGGTCTTTGGATTCCCAAATGATAGACAGATGAGAGCTGACAACAGTGATAGCTAGCCCTGTATCGTCTTTGAAGTGACTCTGACGGTTACTCTTTTTCTTTTCCTTTTCCTTTTCTTTCCTTTCCTTTCTGAGACCAAGTCTCGCCCTGCTGCCCAGGCTGAAGTGCAATGGCATGATCTCGGCTCACTGCAACCTCTGCCTCTCGGGTTCAAGCGATTCTCCTGTCTCAGCCTCCCGAGTAGCTGGGATTACAGGCACGCTGCACCACACCTGGCTAATTTTAGTATTTTTGGTAGAGACAGGGTTTCACCATGTTGACCAGGCTGGTCTCGAACTCCTGACCTCAGGTGATCCTCTTGCCTCGGCCTCCCAAAGTGCTGGGATTACAGGTGTGAGCCACCACACCTGGCCGATTACTCTTTTTCTAAGAATCTTTCCACCTCACTGTTACACTTTTTCTTGTGTGAGGGTTTCATTCTGTCTTCTCACCAAAGATAGAACTTTCTTCTTTGGGAACAGGGCAGCTAGAGCTGTGGGTGCGTCCAGACAGATTCTTTTTGAACCTGTTAATAAACATGTAGATCTAGGTTTTTCATCACACCCCTCATTCCTCCAGGAAACCTCCTTATGATACTCTCAGCTTGGTCTTGCACCCTTTCCATCATTTGCCACTTGCAGTGATCACAGTTAGTGTCTGCCTTTCCTGTGTCCGTATCTGGTGGTCACAGTTACTGTCTGCCTTTCCTGTGTCCATCCAGGCTTCCATTAGCCCTTTGTTCAGGTCCTCTTCTCTTTTTACTTGGACTGTTTTTGAAGAAATGTCAATAGAGATGGCATTTGGTTGCGTGACCTCAGAAATTCTCTTCTTGAATATAGGTGATACCGATTAATCTTTGATGTTGATCTTTAGGTCTTGATTGTATCATATGTATACACGACATGGTGTAGTCAAAGGGAGACGAGAATCTCCTCTTACTAGGAACACCAGTGGAAGCGAGCAGGGGAATTGGAAATAAATACTGTTTATTAGGTGTTTTCTATTTTCCAGAACTTGCGTGAAACTCTTTTAATGGTGACTTTCATTCTCACAGTAACCCTAGTTAATAGATACGATTATTATCCTGTTTTAAATATGAGAAAACTAAGGCATAGAAAGTTAAATAAGTTGCTTAAGCATAAGTAAGGGGCGGAATTGGGATTTAAACTCATGTATTTGACTTCAAGACTCTCAGTAAATTATGTTGATACTTCATCTTTTAAAACTGTGAAAATACTATAAATTCTTCATTTTTTTTAGTGCTTTTCCTTTTCTCTATGGAGATAACAGTTAAATCTCTAACGTACAATGGGCCTATATGTTTATCTTGGAGGCAGCAAGGAAAACAATAGCTGGAAGAGTACATCTGATTTCACAACAGATTTGGGGATAGAGGCAGTGTGGTGGCTGCTGAGAGGAGATGGAACTGCTTAAGTCCATTGTGTTTGCAAAGAAAGGGAAACCTGAGGAACCCCAAAGTCATCTGCACTGAGCAGTGACCAGTTTGTTTGTTTTGTTTTGTTTTTTTTTTTTAAGTTTCTGACCACTAGCACAATATCCTCCTAACAGGTTTTCTGTTCCTCGTCTTACCTGCTACCTCCCTTCCTCCCCAAATCTGTCCAAGGAAAATGGAGTGAAGCACAAATTGGCCCAAGGGTCTCCTATTCTTTAATGCCTTTTTCTTTTTCTTTCTTTTTTTTTTTGGAGACAGGGTCTGGCTCTGTTGCCCAGGCTGGAGTGTGGTGGCACAATCTGAGCTCACTGCAACCTCCACTTCCTGGGCTCAATCAATCAATCAGTCTGCCCACTTCAGCCTCCCGAGTAGCTGGGACTACAGGTGTACACTACCATGCCTGGCCAATTTCTGTATTTTTTGTAGAGTTGGGGTTTCACCATGTTACCCAGGCTGGTGTTGAACTCCTGGGCTCAAGCAATCTGCCTGCCTTGGCCTCCCAAAGTGCTGGGCTTACCGGTGTGAGCCACCGCACTTGGCCTTTAATGGCTATTTATTTATTTACTGAATAAAGTCTTAAGTCCTTTAGCATAAATCACCCATCTGTATTTGGGTATTTTCCTAGAAAATGCATGCAAACAAATTGTATATAGTTTTCAGGAGTTCATGAATCAACTGAGTCACACATGAACTCTCCTAGCCATAGATCCCAGACTCGCCACGTTTTAAGACGGTTCATTCCATCTTTTGTTACAAAACTAGTTTTAAGCTGTAATTACAGTTTTAATGTTTGTTAAAATGTAAACTGCAAACAAGTATACAAGGTAATTGATTGCTACTTGTATGTTGAAACCTGTCTGAGTTCCATGACATCATCTGCAGTAACAGCTATCTGATCAAAAATTTAACAGTTCCCACTTCATCAACAATTACTGGAAAAAAAAAACAATTACTGAAATACAGATTTTTGAAGAATGGCAGCTCTCATAATTGTAATATGTGGGGAGTGAAAAATAAATGTATGTAGAAATTTGGGGTTGTTTCAAAATGGGACAGATTATATATCTCTGGATTGGAGAATTCAAGTTTCCCCACCACCCCCCACCCCAACTAACTCAGATTTTCCAAAGAAATGTTTAATGCCCTGGCTACTTTCTCTAGAACATTATTCTGGGAACTAAAGGAATTTGATCTGTAGAAAATGTTCTGAGAAGTGGTTTCAAATAGTATCACTACATTTTCAACCAAAATGAAAATGTTGATGGTTTGTTGCTTTTTAATCATTTAATTTAAGCCTAAAAACGGTTTTTGGTGCTTTGTATTTTGTAGACTTTATAGACATGTTCCTTATAAGAATTATGCATCTGTGTAGAGATGTTGCAAACACCCTGGCTGGAATTGAAGGCAAAGTACCAGTTGCTCCCAGCGATTCCTATGGGAAGGCTTTATTTCTTTACATTTTTACTTCTGACTGTGTAGCTTGAGCAAAGGTACAGCCTCCAAGTTTTTAGGCTTTATGATATACACACACAGAATAGCTACTTTTCTAGGGCTACTTTGTTAGTGAGTGGGAAGATGAGAAAACTTTAAACTACTAGGGAGATGACAAAGAAGCTGGTCTGGCTCTTCCTGGGATTAGGTAGGAACAAAAGAAAGTCTGCTTTAAGAGTTTGTAACCATCCATGGACTTGTTGGTCCATGGCTTAGGATTTGAGAGTTTTATCCACCAAGTCCTACATTGTAAAGTTAGCAAAGTGGCCAGTGATATTTCAAGGTCATGCATCAGAAATAAATACATGTTTCTGAAAGGATCGTGTCCCATGGATTTTCTTTTTTTAGTACCCAGAATCTTCTCCCCACCCCCAGTATTTAAAATATGGAGGTAGATAGGTGTATGCATGCATGTGCTAATTCTAGATCTGGTACCATTAATTAACATGCTGAAGAGTCAAACTACTGGGCAGTAATTTTCAGTACTTTTTTGTACTCATAATAGAAGCCAATAAAAGGATTACAGCTTTAGTTTACTTAATGTAATGTAATGCAGATGACCATGGTGGAGTCTGTACATCATTGACAGGTATAAAACACATGACTGCATTGGGGGGTACTTTATTCATAGTTTAATTATTGAAGCTTTATTTTTAAAAGTTCTATTGTATGTGTAAGTAAAACAGATTTCCTCACTAAAATTAAACATTTATTTTTAGGAAGTATGTAAATGAAGGTAACTATGGCTTCCTTATGAGAACTGCTTACATATTAAAATTATTTTTATTTTTACTGATGTTTTCTGATTACAAATGTAATTATAGGAAAAAAACCCTTATGGACATATACATAGAGCATAATGTATATAGATTTTGAAATGTCCTTTTTTCTTAATAGTGCATTTAATATATTTTAGCGTGTCCTGACTTTTAGGATCTTGTTTTTGAATAACTGTTATATAAAATTAATTTAACCAGATTTCCCCTTTTCTCCAGACTTCTTTACTCCTAACTCCTTTCCTCCCTCATCTCCTTCTCTGCTTCCTCCTCTTCCAGTTGCTCAGGGGAGAAAAATGAAGTATACTTTTTTTTTGTTTTCTTTTTTGAGATGGAGTCTCGCTCTGTAGCCCAGGCTGGAGTGCAGTGGTGAGATCTCGGCTCACTGCAACCTCCGCCTTCCGGGTTCAAGCCATTCTTCTGCCTCAGCCTCCCGAGTAGCTAGGACTATAGGTATGCGCCATCATGGCCGGGTGATTTTCATATTTTTAGTAGAGATGAGGTTTCACCATGTTGGCCAGGCTGGTCTTGTACTCCTGACCTCAAGTGATCTGCCCACCTTGGCCTCCTAAAGTGCTGGGATTATAGGCATGAGCCACCACACTCGGTCTGAAGTGTACTTTTATTATGTCTTGAATCTGCAAAGGGAAATGTGTAGTTAAAATAAATGAGGTTTTGCAGGTTTGGCTACACCTGATACTTAATAATTGATGCTAGATTGCTCATTGATGATGAAGCCACATCTTTGGTTATATATTTGTCTACTAGATCCCCAAATGTTCCCACTTAGGGAAATTTGTCACCCTGTATCAGAGTAAATTTTTCTGGGATATAAAGAGAAATTATAGACTGCATAAAGTTATGTCATGTTCTCCAAGAAGAAGGCTACTGGCTCCATGTGGGTATTTAAATGTAAAGTAAATAAAATTAAATAAAATGAAGAATTCAGTTCCTCAAGTCAAGCCACAGCTCAAGTGCTCAAAAGCCACACGTGGCCAGTGGCTAACCATATTGGGCAAACGGCTATAAAACATTTTCACCATCACAGGCAGTTCTGTTGGATAGCCTTGGGGTGAAGTCTATATGTGTTGCCTGTTTATTAGAATTGAAAAATCATTTTTTTCTTTTGGTTATCATAAATAGTAATAAAAAGCAGAATTTCTGTCAATATTTTTGGAAACAGTGAACAGCTCAAAATTATTTAGAGTAAATTTTTACTCCCCTACCAACTTAATTTTTAAAATGATGCGGTAAAGTAAAACACATACGCAACACAGGGTTACCAGAACTTTGAAATTCTAGAACATTTAAAAAATGTTTGATATGGCACAAAATCCAGGAGTGGGCAGGCTAGGGGTGGGATACTCTATCAATTGGGTCAGGATCTGGAGAAGATGATGGAAGAGAAACTGACTATTTGTGAAAGACGCTCAGAAGAAGCAAATGAAGTGGAGAAATAATGTGTTTATTTGAGGCACATAATTTTATGTTATAATTAGAGTATTCATAGAAATTAACCTGGGAAAATTGGAAGCCATCAGAAAGAAAACACAAGGGATGAAGAGGAACCACCAATGAGAAAGAAAATATAAGGGATGGAGAGGAACCACTGATGATCCTCTAGTCAGTGGAAGCAGTCACTGCGATTTGTTATATATCTTTCCAGCCTTCCTTTCTATGCCCTACAAACTGGCCATATTCATTAGGCAGCCAAGGATCGCAGTGAAGAACACAGATGAGATGTCAGTCTGAGAGGAAAAGTGGGTGATTAGGAGCTCCAGCACTGAGCCAGATGGCTTGAGCTTGAAATCTCAGCTCTGCCTCTTACTGTCTGCAAGAACATAGCAACTTGTTTAACTCCTATTTATCTGTAAAATGAGATGGTCCCGCTGTCTACCTCTTTATTTTCTTGTGAGAATTGAGGAATTCAAATTTTAAACTCATTAAAGACTATGTTACTAGTATTACTGACCTATTAGGTGGGTAGTACAGGCACCTGGTAAGTTCTTAATAAGTCTCTATGTTTATTATAGCAGGGAAGCAGACATTTAAACAAGTAACTGCAGTCAGGTTAGATGAGTTTTGTGATAGGGTAAGTTAAGTATTCTGTGATACTATATGTTGAGATGTCTTAATTCTCGATAATTATTTAAACAAAGTGAATTTAGCTCAGTATGATTGGTTTTTGTTTTAAATTAAATGTTCATAGTTTCTCAAATCAAATCTAACTCTTTTTATAGCTTACAGTCTTTAAAGTTTATTACCTTGTTATGATACATCTTTAAAATTTCCAAGATGTTAAGTAAAAATGTGGCTCTGATCATTCTGGTAATATCATAAGTGTCAAAATTCTTTCCCTGAAGCTTTACATTGTGTACTGGGTTGCCAAAAAGGTAATAGAATCCTCTCTTAGCAATAGCATCTGGCTAATCAGAATAAAATTTATCTTCCAGACTTTTACAATGGAGTTTGGTTAGCTTTGAGTATAATTAAAGAGTGTATTACTTGATACCTGTTAAAGACAGGAAATTGTGAGGTGCAACTGTTTTTTGTATATGGTGGGGGACATTTTTCTTCAACTATAAATAAAAAGAGACTAAAGTGAGTTTTCAAGTATAAAATATGAAAGGACACCTACACAAGAGCTGAAATAGATGAAACTTAAGTGCTGACAGTTATGTGTTTGTCAACACGTCTTTTGTTTCTCAACTTTCTGCTAGATTTTTCAAGGAACTCAGTGTGTCTTACATGGGATTTATGTAGATTCTTGCCTTTGTGTTTCTTGGGTCACAATAATGGGAAATGAAGGGCTAAATTTTTTAAAATTTATTATTATAATTATTTTACAATATGAAAAATGATCTCATTTATGCTAAATAATTATAAGAAATGCCACTAGTTATGAAAAATCCCTTCGTTTCTTAGAAATTTGAAGTTGAGGGGGAAAGTTGGCAATTTCAAAAAAAAAGAATGAATAAGTATAATAAAAGGAACAGTGTGCTTGAGCAGATGTTCCTGGATGTGGCACCCAGGCACAAATAGTGCCAGCTCCTTCCCTCTTGACAGTGATTCCATACCAACCTGCCAAAATGTGGCTGACAGTTTATTGCTTTGCTTTAATCATAATTTACATTTTTAGCAGGAATATAAGCTGCAACTGATACTTGAAATATTGCAGCAATAGATTTTAGATATAATAGACATCACAAAACTTAACATGCTTATTGAGGGGAAAGACAAAGACTTAGTTTTCAAGTGGGTTCTGTTTGATTAAGACTGTTTTTTCCATTTGACTCCATGTTGTAAACACTGGGCCATAGTAATAGATGAATTAGGCACACATACGTGTCACCTATGGGTTTATATTAGCATGTACAAACATATTACATGTGTGTAATATGTCATAAACATATAACTTTAGGATATTCAAGGATTCAGATTCTCTTTTCAAGTATAAAAATGTGCAGCTATCTGAGATTGTTTGCTAGCAGGTGAACTTATATGCATTTGATTTTCTTCCAGATTCATGAAAAACTACACTACTATGAGAAGCAGAGTCCGGTGCCCATTCTCCATGGTGCGGCGGCCTTGGCCGATGATGTAAGTGTGACTCTCCGAGCTCACTGGGATGTGTCTGCTGCAGACCTGGCCCAGGCAGAACCTGTCCTAGTGCAGACAGATGCGTGTGATCCTATGAGTGAAAAGCAGAAGAGGTTACAAATGTTTCCAAAAGTCCTGTCATCACTGAGCTTATGTTAATATTATGTTGATTTCCATTCACTTTTCTGTTCTAAAAATTTTGCATGTAGCTACTCTCTTGTTCTGCTTTCGTAACTTCGTAATAGACATTTTAGGCTTTAAACTCTGGAGAGAGAGAAGCTGTCAGCTGTTGGTGTTCTGAGAAAGTCACAGACAAGAGGAATGCTTTGGAGAAATAAAGACAAATGAGATAGCTCTATTGCTGACAGTACTAAAAAATGACAGATACTAGGATACGAACGAGGCATATGAAATAATATGAAATACATAAAAAGACAGGATTGTTTTTATAATGGATTATAAAACATAGTAATGATTTATGGATATTAGACTTTTCCAAATTACCTTCATAACCAAAAAATAAATTTTAGAAGCAGTTGGCATTGATGGAGTAGTTAATTTCCTGTAGCTATAATTTTATTTTGAACTTGGGGGAAGGTAACTAACTTGCTGATTCTTACTGTTAACTTTCGGACTCGGATGAATTGAGAACACACCTGGATAAACTATAAAGGACATGAAGCTGGAAGAGAAATATGTTTAGTGCGAAGGCTGGTTTTAGTGATAACCCGTAGCTTATTTGTTGCTTTTAATATTTCTTTCCTTTATTTTTTAAGACAAGCTATATAATTCAGTGTGGTAAAATATCCAGGCCATAATATAATTAAAAAATTGGCCATCTTGAGAAGTTGATTTTATTTGAACTACTTTGCATTCTAATTTAGAAAAAACACATATGTAATAAATTTGCAAGTTGCGTGCTATTTGTTTAGTTCCCATTTTTCTTTTTGTTTTTATCTACAAAGATTACAAGTATGTTTCAGTATATATTTAATGAGGAAGCTTACTTCTGCATTATTGAAGCAAAATTTTTTAAATGAAGGCAAATAAAGTTGTAGATACAGTTGCTCAAGTAAGGCACGAAAGCCTTAAAAAATCAGTTTTAAAACATTTACTATTCAGAGTTTTGGGAAACATTTGTTTATAAACCAATGTTGTTGTGGCCCAATCATATTGCAAAAATATTCCTTTATAAAAAGTTAGAGACTGCTATATAAATATGATAAACCATAGTATCTTATAATTTGTCAGAGCAGTATATTTAAATGTTAAAATATATTATGTTTTAAGTGACTAAAGTGTGCAAATGACCTTTATGTCTTTTTGTAAGTTAAAAATGCTGTAGAAATATTACCTCAAAAAAGTAAAGCAGTGTTTGAAAGGTAATTAATGACTGTATAATTTTCTATGATTTTATTTTTTGTGTACAATTTATATTATGCCCTTCTTTTAGAGAAAATTCCTTTTCCAGAGATAAGAGCAATTATTTTTAGCTTGTTAGAAAAAGTAGGGGCAAATGGAAATTTCATGCAAGGTTTTAAGACGGGTTTTTAAATAAAAATGCATCTATACATATGCCACGTATTTCATAATTCTAATCTTTTTTCCTGTTTGAGTCTTGCTTTTTTAAAGAAAATTATGAGATCTTTCCTATAGCCTAAAATTGAATGGGAATTTTGATAGGAATATCTCTTAATGGAAGATATGGGGCAGGTTTGAAGTTGTAACACCTTCTTTATGTAGAACCCAAAATGGGAATTCTTGGTTATTATAGTAGAGTACAGTCAGCATTTTTGGTACCAGGGTAGCTAGCTGTCAACCCATTATAGCTCATTTTACAATTGGTACTATGATTGGTTGGTATTTAACAGATTTCTTCATCTGTATAGGTAAACATAATAAAAGTTTCAGGCCATTTGCTCTATTAGGGGCATTCTAATTATTTTTACCCTAGCTCTAAACAGCACAGCTACTGTGGGTTTTTGGAATCCCCATGGGTTTTTGGAAACCCTGTGGATTTCACCACCTCATTCAGAAGCTCTGTTTTTGTGGGGGTTGGGGGAGGTTACAGTGTCAAAGCTTTATCCAGTTCTTCTTACAAGTGGTCCTTTGTCTAGGTGCAAAAGACCATTCACATGGACGAAGTGCTGGGGTTTGCCCTCCTTGCAATAAATCAGAAGGTGATCTGGCTGATACGATTACTTGATTTGTACTCAGCTGAGAGCCTGGGCTCGGATCTGGACTACCGAAGGTCTAAAAAGAAGAGCAATGATTGATGATCTGTTTTCTTTTATGCTGACCTCTCCTTAAACATTGGAAAGTAATAGCCTTGAGCAAGTTAGATTCTCAGTTGTCACACACCCAATCCCACAATGCTCTTACTAAATGTTCTTTAAGTCAATGTAATCTCCGTTGCAGCTGGCCGAAGAGCTTCAGAACAAGCCATTAAACAGTGAGATCAGAGAGCTGTTGAAACTACTGTCAAAACCCAATGTGAAGGTGAGGACATGTTACGCCGGTAATAAATACCTTCAAACAGGGCCACTTTCTGAGCCTTCAGATGAATTTTGTTTCGAGCATCAATTCTCAAGTAAATGTATTTTGAATAGGGCACAGTATTTTAATAGCCTAAATCCTATTAATGAGAAAGAGGCGAGCTTTTGATTATAATGTGATGAGAAACTGCAAAATACTCTTATTGGGAAGCTCAGAATTTAAGTTCTGTCAAATGTAGCTTCAAGGTCATTTTTGTTTTAAGTAAAGTTAAGAGTACACTATACAGAACCTACTAGTAATTTTGTTTAGGTCCATTTTACTTGGGTAGTTAATGGGATTCCAATATGTTTGACAAACATACCTATTTTTCTATAGGGTCATTTCAGCATTCCTCTTTCTTTCCCCTTTCACCTCCCCATTTCCTGTCCCTTTACTAATTTATGTTTCAAAATGTCATTCCATTTTACAGAGAAGAGCACTTTTCCAGTGTAAAATACCCATAAAATATTGGCAGACAGATTTCAATTCTCCCTTTCCATTGCCTCCTAAGTTTATCACTTATTTTTCCTCCAAATGTGATCAGTTTACAGCAGGCATTTCAGAATTTTCCTACATTATTCTGAAGTCATTACTGCACTAAATCCTGCACTGTATACATTTTGGACTTGACGCTGGGGCAATTATGTGTCAGATATTGTTCTGTGAGTCAGAATTACATATAGGTTACATAATTACATAATTAAAATGATCATTTAGCTTGTGATGATTACTGGTGAGCATATGTAGAGTGTTGAATGAAAATTTCTTCCTAGATGTAAAAACTAGTTTCTACTTTTTTTGAGAAATAGCTTTCAGAATTTAAAACTTGGTTTTAAATTTATTTTTATAAAAAGAGAGATGGTATTAAATAAAAGATGAGGTTAAAAACATGTGGCGGGCGCCTGTAGTCCCAGCTACTCGGGAGGCTGAGGCAGGAGAATGGCATGAACCTGGGAGGCGGAGCTTGCAGTGAGCTGAGATCGTGCCACTGCACTCCAGCCTGGGCGACAGAGCGAGACTCCGTCTCAAAAAAAAAAAAAACAAAAAAACAAAAAAAAAACATGCGTGGACTATAAACCCTAATCCCTATAAGTAAATGTAAGTACATGAATGTATTGCTGTAAAAGCTAAACAGGCTATGATTAATGATGTGAGGGTAATTGATTTGTAGTGGTTTAGGAAGTTTATTAAATTTTTGTTCTGAAAGAACAAGGATCAGATTAGAGCAGAAAAGTTCCTTGATGTTAAATACAAAGTGTGTAAAAACGTTAAGGAGATTTTTAGCCACAGAACGTTCTGAAGATTTCTTCATTTGGTCTTAGACTGCACCTGAGAAGTTAGTATCACCCAGGGGAGGGTGAGGTTAGCTATGAATATCTTGTTAAACTCCTTTTTGAAATTATTGTTTTGGTTCAAGGGTATTAGAAATGAAAGCAGCATGTTTCAGACAAAAAAAATCCCCGATTATGGTATTTGGTTCAAGAGTGTTTCAAATGGAATAGCTAATTATGCAATATTATACTGGATGAGAACTGGTATTTGGCTCAAGAGGGAGGTATGACTTTAGACGTTATTAAGAAGGGCCATTTGATAAAATTTTATAATAATTAGTTAAATTTTATTATGTGGAAAATATTTTAGGTGGATAATTTGGTTATTTTTCATTTTATCTAGCAGTGTGACTAAAGAATTGTGTAAAGTTAGCATGAAAGACGTATATTCATATGTGTAGAAAATAGGTAATATTCCAGGATACATGATGTTTTGTTTGGCAATGTCAGTTTGTAGTTAGCTAGTCTTGGGAATAAAGTATCTTTTTTCCTTTTTTGATCTAACATTTAACATTGCTTTTCTTGAAGTCATTCTTATTATCTACCATTGCTTTGACCTCATTTCCATATTACTTTAACAAGTTAAGCCCCCAAATAAATTTTAGACTATTTCAGGATATAATCAGTTAATCTATTTTTGTCCTGGGAGTAAACTAAAATCTTTTTGTGATTGTTTTCCTTTTAAACAGAAGCAAGGTATGTAGGTTGTTAGTTGAATTGACAGTTAAAATATGAAAAATGTAACTCTAGTGTGTTAATTTGAATATTTAATTTCTAGTGGATTAGGGAAGTTACTTACTTTTTAAAGATTTCCTATTTCATTTTAAATACTTAATTCATTGGACTGAAAAGGAAGTTGAAATATATCTTCAAAGTAATAGAACTTTAAAAAGACACAGATACGGCCAGGCACGGTGGCTCAAGCCTGTAATCCCAGCACTTTGGGAGGCCGTGACGGGCGGATCACGAGGTCAGAAGTTCGAGACCAGCCTGGCCAACTTAGTGAAACCCCGTCTCTACTAAAAATACAAAAAATTAGCCAGGTGTGGTGGTGTGTGCCTGTAATCCCAGCTACTCGGGAGGCTGAGGCAGGAGAATTGTGTGAACCCAGGAGGTGTGCCAATTCTTTCTGAAAATTTTTATAACTTTCTTTGGCAGTTTATAAATGTCACCAGCAACGGATCTTCATTCATTCATTTATTCTTAGATTTTTTTTCTTCTAATGCCTAGTGTGTGCCAGGCCCTATGGATGCAGATTATAGAGGATATACGTACACTAGTGAAGGTGATAGGAGAAATACTGATTTAAAAGAGGGAGCGTATGGAAATGATATGGGATACATAGGAATGGCGCTAAACCCAAACTTGGGCAGGGGGAGAATATTGAAGAAAACTTTACAGAGGAAGTGGCATATAAGTTGAGACCTTACGTTGCAGTTTGAGGGAATCAGCAAGGGGACAAAGGAGTGGGAGATGGGTTGGGGGTGGGATGTGAAAAAGAAATGATTTAGGTACAGGGAAGAGCATGTGAAGTCCCATAAAGGAAAACTTTAAGTTTGAAGATGTAAAAATGCAAAAGCAGCCTCAGAACGGGCGAACAGTGGCTTGCGAAGGAAGAAGGGGTGAGAGTTTGGAGCTGGGGAGTCGACCTTTTGAGTAGGGTTTGCCCAGGATAGTCGGCTTCATGCCTGCAGTTCCAGCATTATTAGTAATAGCCTTTCTCCCACTTTCATTTGTTTCCCTATTTGGGTGATAAATTATATGGCCACACCTGAAATCGTGAGCTTATAAAAAAGTGGAAAGCCATTGAAAGGATCTGAAGCAGGAAGTGACATGTCACTCCCTATGTAGTCTACAGACCAAGCTTTTGAGGCATTGGGTGGTGTAGAATGGGAGAAATGCAATACTGAATGGAGGAAGGCCAGTGGGAGCCTATAGGAATAATTCACATAGAGCACTAGCACTTTGGGAGGCCGAGGTGGGCTGATCACCGGAGGTCAGGAGTTCGAGACCAGCCTGGCCAACATGGTGAAACCCCATCTCTACTAAAGATACAAAAATCCCGGGTATGGTGGCGGTGGCAGGTGCCTGTAATCCCAGCTACCTGGGAGGCTGAGGCAGGAGAATCACTTGAACCTGGGAGATGGAGGTTTCAGTGAGCTAAGATCACGCCGCTTCACTCTAGCCTGGGTGAAAGAGTGAAACTCAGTCTCACACACACACACACACACACACACACACACACACACACACACACACAGCACACGATTGAGGTCCTAATGAAAGAGTGTGGGATGGGTGGAAGGAAGCACGGGGGATGGGCAGCTTGAGGGACAATTGTAATACGTGGTCTTGGAATAACAAATAGTTTGGGAAAAAATGAGAAAAGTCACCACTAGAGTGAACTTCAAATAGATTAAAAATTTAAGTGTAAAAAGTTGAACCATAAGAATATTTTTAATTGAAAAAATATGTATTAGAAGAAAATTTGTAAGTTATGTTATCATGGAATAGAAAAGCATTTGATCCACAAAGATAGGAATACACACATACAGACACAAACATGCACCCATAAAGGAAAGAATATTTTAAAATCCATAAGTGAGATTAGAAGGAACATTTATTAATATACATGATTTATGATATCTGTCCTTAATAAGATGTGATAATTTATTATGTTCACTTTTACTTTTTGCAGAGTGACTTGATAAAGACTTAAAAGGAAACAGAAATATTCTTTTTTGATAATACGTAATTGTATTTTTCATTCAAATTATAAAGAAAGTAGAAGCCCCTATCGTCATTGCTTTATTAGTGCGGATGCATATCTTTTCCTATGCTTATATGTTTTTATTTCTTCTGTGAATTGCATGTTCATATACCTCTAGGGATAACTGCTCTTGGCTGGCTGCATTACCTTTCAACCCTTTCTGTATATATAAATATTAAATGTTTTTTCCCAGTATATTCTGTGGGATCATAGAATGCACTACTTAATGTGATTTTTTTTTCTTTTAATATTTTTGGCATTTTGTAGCCTTCTCTTTGTGTCAACAAAATTACCTATTTTAACTTACAGACGAACCTTTGTTATTTCTGCTTTTCTGCTATTTAAATAACACTATGATGCACATCTTTTGTATATTAGAGGATTTTATGGAATATTTTGTCAAAATATACTTTAATTAGGACAGTAAATTATTGGGGCATACATAATGTTTGTACATTTTACAGTTTTGATCATTGTTTCCAGCTTGTTGTTAAGACAGACCTTCTCGAGCACCTGCAGTATAGTGCATGAGAAGGCCTGTTTCCCTATGCTGTTGCAATTTATATGCAATTAATTGCATAAGCTCTTTTCGACTAATATTCTTTCTCTTTTTTTGAGACAGAGTCTCGCTCTGTCACCCAGGTTGGCGTGCAGTGGCACAATCTCAGCTTACTGTAACCTCCACCTCCCAAGTTTAAGCGATTCTCCTGCCTCAGCCTCCTAACTAGCTGGGACTACAGGTGCACGCCACCACACCTGGCTAATTCTTGTGTTTTTTGACAATTCGGGGTTTTGACATGTTGGCCAGGCTGGTCTTGAACTCCTGGCCTCAAGTGATCCACTCACCTAGTCCTCCCAAAGTGCTAGGATTACAGAGGTGAGCCACCATGCACAGCCCCAACTAATATTCTTTTTTAGCTTTGCTAGTTGAGTACCACTAGAATATAAGCCACATGAGAATAGGGAATAAAAATTGCAGGTGTATAGCAGGCTTTCATTGAGTACTGTGTGATTAAATAATGATTAGTAAAAATTTTGTGTTTTTCCTAATGACTTGTGAGTGACATAAGAATATAAAATCATTATTATAGATTTCTCCTTAGTTATTTTTCTTTAATCTTACATGCATTTTCTAAGACTGGGTAGAAATATGTACTTTTATATAGTAGAATTTGGCATTCTTTTTCTTTATGACTTCTGGGCACTGAGTTAGCTTGGAAAGGACTTGTATTCTTCATGATGAGTTTACGAAAATTGTCTTTCCTATTTTCTTTTGGCTTTTTAAAAATGTGATTTTTTGAAGTTTGAAATTATCACTCTGTATGAAAATTTGGTGTATGGTATAAGATGTGGTTCTAGTTTTTTTTTATTCAAGTGGATGGTAATTTTCTCACAATTTGATTTATCTTTATTATATATCTGAATCTGTTTTGAACTCTTGGTTTGATTGCTGTTAATTTGGTTATCTTATTGTTTTAGTAATTGTAGCATGATACCTTCTAAGGCCAAATTCCTATCATTATTCTTGCAAATGTATTTTCCCAGAAGAAATTTGGAATTCTCTTTTATGTCATAAAAAAAAACCATTGGGATGCAATTAAATTTTCCAGAGACAGTGGCAATTTATTTATTTAGATCAAATTGTTCCTTATATAACCCTGGACTATTTCCTGCTAAGTCTATTCCCAGGCCTGATGTGTACGCGTGTGTGCCGGCATGCATATATTTATATGTATACACACATCTACACATATGTATAAATTAATTTTCCCCCATGGTATACTATTTACTGAGTATTTTCTAACAAGTATGTTGTTTCTATACAGTAAACATGTTAATTTCCATAATACTTATTTTATACCACCTTACCGAAGTATCTCATTTAATTTTCAATGTTATTGACAAGATTTTTTAAAAATCTTTTCCTGTTTAGTAATTATAGATAATTTCCCCCGTTACCTTATTGCCTTGATATGACTTGCAGGAAAAAATGCTCAAAACTTGTAGTAAAAACAGGATATGCTTTTGTTTTTCTGTACTTTTATGGGGATACTTCTGTGCTTCCTGTTATTAATAAGTATGATGTTTGTGGCTGGTTTCTGATAGAATATTTTACAAAGTTTTGTTGTCTCATTTAAAAAAAATAAATCAGAATTATGTTAAATTTTGTCAAGTGACTTTATGGTACTTATCAAAGTGATCATAGAAACTTTTTTAGTTGTTAGCATAAATAACTGCAGATATTTATGTGATAAAACATTAAATTCTTGGGATTAAAACTTCTTTTTGATAAAAGAAGATTTTTATGTCTAATTTTGTAATATTTTACTTTAGTATTTAAAAAAAATCATCCTGAGACCAAAGTTGTGCTGTCATCTTTTTATACTTTCTGGTTAGGTTTTACATTTGGGTTGTGAGACCTTTGAAAAAGAAATGTTACATTTTACTATGTGTTGGAATTCTGTAAATAACACAGAAAACTTTAATACAACCCTTCATTTGGTTCCAGTGCCATCTCTGGGGAAAGTTTTTTGATAGTGCTTTTAATTTCTTCTGTAGTTATTGATTTAATCCAGCTTTCAAGCTCTTCCAGAATTACTTCATTATTTATTTTTTCCTAGGAAACTTAACATTTTATTAAGATTTCAAGCATGTTGGAATGGTGTTCAATTTATCCTGTTGATTTGTATCCAAAGTTCTGTCCCATTTCTCAGTGCTATTAATATACATATTTTTCTCTAGTTTCTTGCTCTGCATACCAGAAATGAGTAATTATCTAATCTCTCAAAAGAACTGGCTCATTATTATCAATTCTATTTTTTTTTCTTTTTTTTTGAAACTAAGTCTCACTCTGTCGCCCAGGCTGACGTACAGTGGCGCGATCTCAGCTCCCTGCAACCTCAGCCTCTCGGGTTCAAGCAATTCTCCTGCCTCAGCCTCCCAAGTAGCTGGGATTACAGGCACATGCCACCCGCCTGGCTAATTTTTGTGTTTTTAGTAGAGATTGGGGTTTCACCATTTTGGCCAGGCTGGTGTCGAACTTCTGACGTCTGGTGATCCGCCTGCCCCAGCCTACCAAAGTGTTAGGATTATAGGCGGTAGCCATCGCATCTGGTCTGATTTTTTTCTTTATATCTATCTTTGATTAGATAGTGGGCTCCTTAGCTGTCACGCTTGTTTAATTACAAACACATTTAAGAGTATGCGGCTTTCTCTTAAATTTGGTCACCTTCCATGGACATTGTGTATGTCATATTGGCATTGATATTAACTTCTTGATTGTCTATAATACATTTTGATAACTTCAATATCCTGACTTATTTAAATTTGTGAGGTTGTTTGGGTTTCATTTTTTATATTTACAGATGTTAATTTCTAGTTTGACCCATTTTTATCACAATATACAACCTGTTAACCTTTTTAATATAAAATTTGTTTAAAATGTTTGCTTGCTAGTTTGGCCAACTTTTGCAAATATATGAAGGAAAAGAATAGCTATATGGAAAGGATTTTTAAAAAATTTATATATGGTCCTTTACAAGTTTATAGACAAGGTTAAATATACAATGTGACTGTTCCTGAAATAAGATAATCATTAAATTAATTGTAATAGCTAATAAGCCAACAATACGAAGTCTTTACTATGGAGCAGCCTTTTTGCCGTGCACTTTCATGTATTATCTCTTTAATCATTGTGAAGCCCTATTAAGTAGGTACTAATATTAACTCTTTTAAAGATTAAGAAAATTAAAGCTCAAAAACTTGTATCCAGAAACGAAACTGGACCTTTAACAGATGTTTGTGTGTGTGTGTTTGTGTGTATGTATGTGTGTTTCAGGGATTTTCTGTGTTCTGTACCTAATAAAGAACAAAAGTATATCTTTCTTATTTGTTGGAGGCCGAAAGTGTGAGGGTCATGATCAGCTCAGTATACCACTGGAGGTTATATGAGTAAACAGCAAACTTCTCATAAATGCAGGATGTGGGCAAGCTGACAACTATGTCCGCTGCCCAGAAGGAATGCTGAGGGCATTCATGCCCCAAGCTCAAGTGTTTCTGGTGATTAGGCATAATTGAAGCCTGTTAGCAATGATGTGAACCTGTGATCAGTTAAGCAGCTGACCAATCATTACCTCCTCCATGCTCTTTCTACCCAATAAATACAAAGGGTGGTAGGAGCTCAGGGGCTGCCTTTGCTCACTAGAAGCGGGGAGCTCTCTTCTTCCCCTGGCCCTTTCCTTAAAATAGTTTCTTTTGTTTTTTGTTATCATTTCTATGTTCGTCCCTTCATTCAGTCTCATAATGAGGGTCTCAGGCAGTAACAGTGGTAACTGCTGTAATGAGGGTCTCAGGCAGTAACAGTGGCAGTCTGCCACACTTCATGATACACAGGATGGTCTTCTTATCTTTGTTTCTAGCACATAGCACTGTGATTGCAACATTGGGATTCCCAGTAAACGGAATTCAATGTAAATTATTAAATGTTTGGTGGAATTTTTATTCCATTATAGCCTTCTTTGTCTCTACATATAAGATAATTCTGTACATTTATATGACATTCAAACTTTTCTTTCATAGTCTTTAATTCATAATAGTATAAGATTGTGATTTTGTTCATTTTACTCTTTAGGAATCTCTTGCTGTGTTCAGAAGAATGCCAACACTTTTCTTGTATAACCTGTTGCCCTCAAGTCTTTGATAGTTAGGAAATGACTTGTCATTCTGTAACAATAGTGTCACTGGAGAACTGTCAAAAATTGAAAGATTATACCCAGAATGAATTGATCAGTCAATTGCCATATTGAAAAATAGATTATTCTTATTAGTCAATAATGTCTACAAAATCCAGTTCAGGAAAATAAATGCAGTATAAAAGAAACAATAGATGTCTGAAAATGTAAAAGTAAGTAGCCAAAGGCCTAACTAGATTAATTGAATGTGAATACTTCCTGCAGTGATGAAATAGGCAAAATCAATAATGTTGGTGGCATTTAGGGGCATTGATGGAGGGATATTGTTCTATATAGAGACTTTGTTTCTAGGGGAAGCAGAGATAGTCATTAATAAATCAAAACCACTTCTAACCATCAAATTGCCACATTAAAGGCAAATTAAACTGTATGAGTCATCATTCCGGGGGCTCACTTTTGATAAAACAGTGAAGTGACATCATCTCTAGAATATGGCATTATAATTTAGGCAGTCATGGAAAATTTGGTAGATTTTTTAAAAGGCAATAAAATAAGAAGATTTGTTGTAATTTTTAGCTTCCAAACATTCACTTAAGAGAAATTACTCACTGCCTGAGCATGCAAGATGAATGAAGCTTCATTAAAGCAAGCTGAAGGAAAAAGTTAAGCTCCTTCTGGAGGGATAAATCAATGTTGCTCATCCTTATAAGCTAGACACTTAATTCTGTGAACCTGACAGATACTTAGAACATAAAGTTGACTCCAGGGGTTCCAGTGCAGTGAGTGCTTGTGAGTCTGATGAGTTACAAGGCCTAGTGTTCAATTTCCTGCAGATTCTTCTGAGCAACAGGTAAACCCATCAGTTGTGATTGGTGGCTCTGGCATATGGAAACACAATTTCCATTTAAGTATTGCCTTTTTAAAGGCAAGTCTGTATATTAAAGAATAAAATCACCTCAGTTAAAACAGGATAATGGAATGCAAAATTTTAGTTGTCCAAAATTAAAAATGTTGCTATCCAACAATATTTGTAAAACAAAGTTATTAAAAATTACAAACTTAATGCCTATGAAATTATTTTGGAATGCAGACATGGAACAAAGCTAAGTAGAAAAAATATTTAGCTGATGTTCTTAATATTGCCTGTCAATTATCATAATTGCTTCATTTAAAAACATTTTATTCAGCTATCTCTGTTTTACTATGTGCAAGATATGCCATAGATACACAGATAGTAGATATTCCCAGTGTTCTTTATTCCTCTGTATGGACCCACATTTCCATCTGCCAACATTTTCCTCCTGTCTGAAAGACTTCCTGTAACATTTCTTGCAATGCAAGTCTGCTGGCAGTGAATTCTTTCAGCTTGTGTATATTTTTCAAAACTTTTCAATACCCCTTCATTTCTAAAAGATATTTTTGCTGGGTATAGAATTCTAAGTTAACAGTATTTTTCTTTGAGTATTTTAAAGATGTTGCTCCATTGTTTTGTGGCCCACATTGTTTCTGATGAGAAGTGTGCTGTCGTTTTTAATCCTTATTGTTTTATATATAATGTGTTTTTTAAATCTTTTGGATGATTTCAATATTTTCTTCCTGGTTTTAAGCATTTTGGTGGTGTTTTATGTTTTCTTTGTGCTTGGGTACATTGAGCTTCTTGAACATGTGGGTTTATACTTTTTTCATCATATTTGGACTATTTTCTGCCATATTTCTTTAAATAGTTTCCAGCAACTGCCCCCTTTCTTTGGAGATGCCAGTTAACATGTATATTAGGCCATTTAAAGTAGTTGCCCAGATCACTAAGTCCTATTCAGTCCTATTCATAATTTCTCAGTATATTTTCTCCCTGTGTTTCATTGTGGACAGCTCATGTTGCTTATTCTACAGTATTACTTTTCCTTCTGCAGTATCTATATTAATCTCATTCAGTGTACTTTTTTCTTATTTCATACTTTCCATATCTAGAAGTTTGATTTGAGTAATTTTTATATATTCTATTTCTCATGTTCAGTGTTTCCTTTAACTTTTTAGAGCATTTGAAATACAGTTAAATAATAACTTTTAATTTTCTTGTCTGCTATCTGTGTAATTTTAGGGTTTGGTTTTATCCAGTTTATCATCTGTGTAATTTCAGTATTTGGTTTCATTGTTTCATTTTTTTCTTCATTATGAGCAGTATTTTCTGCTTTCTTTGCATACCTAGTAATTTTGAGTCATTGTGAGTTTTATCTTGATTAACTACCAGTTACTGTGAGTTTTATCTTGTTGGATGCTGGGTATTTTTGTGTTTCTTTGGATCAACCTTCTCCAACCATTTTGGCACCAGTGATCGGCTTCATGGAAGACAAGTTTTTCCACAGATGGGGGTTTGGGGAGTGATTTCAGTGTGATTCAAGTGTATTACATTTGTTGTGTACTTTATTTCTATTATTATTACATAATCACCATAATGTAGGATCAGTGGGAACCTTGAGCTTATTTTCCTGCAACTAGATGATCCCATGTAGTGGTGATGGGAGACGGCGACAGATCATCAAGCATTAGATTCTCATAAGAAGCATGCAACCTAGATCCTCGCATACTCAGTTCACAATAGGGTTCACGCTCCTATGAGAATCTAATGCTGCTGCTGATCTGACAGGAGGCAGAGCTCAGGTGGTAATGCAAGCAATGGGGGACAGCTATAAATATAGATGAAGCTTTGCTCAGTCTCTACTACTCACCTCCTACTGTGTGGCCTGGTTCCTAACAGGTCATAAGCGGGTACTGGTCTGTGGCCTGGGGTTGAAGACCCCTGCTATAGATAGTATTCTTGAGCTTTATTTTGTTATACAGTTAAATTACTTGGAAACATTTTGATCTTTCAGAGGCTTATTTTTAGCTTTTTTTTAGGTGAGATCATAGCATTAAATCTTGGGCTTATTTTTTCCACTATTGAGACAATACCCATCCCATAACTCTTCTCAGTGCCTATGAATTATGAGGATTTTCCTGCTAACTGATGAGAACAAGAACTATTTCTGCCCTATGCAAACTTCAGGGATTATTCCTTGTAATGCAGTTTCTCAACCTTAGAATTATTGACATTTATGGGCTGGATAATTATTTCTGGAGTTTAGGGGACTGCCCTGTATATGACCAAATGTTTAGGAGCATCCCTGGCCTCAATACAGTAGATGGCAGTAACATCCTTTAAATTAAGACAATCAAAAATTGTCTCCAGATATTGCCAATGGCTCCAAGGGAGTACAATTGCCCTCAGTTAAGAGCCACTGCTCTAATTCTTTCTGGTAGTTTTCTTATATGCATGCCATGGCTAAGGACTTTGCTCAGGACTCAAGGGAGACCTCCTACAGATCTCCCAAATTCTGTATCTGCCACCCTTTCCTCTTCTATAGGCTTACCTGAGAATCTAGTCAGTTGACGTCTCTGGATTCCCAGCTCTGTTTTCCCAACTCAAGGAGACGACTGAGTTTTGCCTGTGTTTCTTTTTCCCCATCACAGCCTGGAAACTCTAGGCTGCAATGCTGGGGCAGTCATAGGCTCACATTGTTTCCTGTCTCTCAGTGATCTCTGTCCTTTGTTGCTTGATACCCAGCATCTTTGAAAACTATGGTTTCATTATCCTTTATTTTTATTTATTTTTAGTTT